>NC_000001.11:29553835-30178835 GCF_000001405.40 Homo sapiens
CCACCACTACCACCACCACCACCACCACCACCGTCACCACCACCACCACTACCACCA
This sequence comes from Homo sapiens, assembly GCF_000001405.40. Classification (NCBI taxonomy): domain Eukaryota; kingdom Metazoa; phylum Chordata; class Mammalia; order Primates; family Hominidae; genus Homo; species Homo sapiens. Next base: position 29,553,893 of record NC_000001.11, read on the forward strand.
CCACCACCATCACCACTACCACCACCACTACCACCACCACCACCACCACCTCTTACTGAGGGCTTTTGCTGTGCCAGGCACTGCCTGTGCCATCTCACTTCATCCTGAAGCAGATTTCCCATTTCTCCAATGAGGACTCTGGAGTCAGAGAACAATTCGTCTGAGGCTACACAGTAGTGAGCTCCAGAATTTGAACCTGGGCTGGTTGGGGCAGAGACTCCTGTGGAGCAGGTGAAATCTGATGTCTGGCCTGAACCCTGGGTGTACCATGTGGTGTATGTCGTATTGTGTGTGTGGTATGCTGTGGTGTGGCATGTTGTGTGTGGTGTATGTGCTGTGGTGTGTGATATGCTGTGGTATGGTGTGTTGTGTGTGCATGGTATATGGTATGATGTGTTGTGTGTATGGTGTGTGTTGTGTGGTGTGGTGTGGGATATGCTGTGGCATGATGTGTTGTGTGTCTATGATGTGGGGTGTGTTGTGTGGTATGGTGTGTGTACTGTGGCATGTGATATGCTGTGGTAAGTCGTGTTGTGTATGTATGGTGTGTGTTGTGTTGTGTTGTGTGTGGTGTGGTGTGTGGTATGTTGTGGGTGTGTGATATGGTGTGGCATGGTGTGGTCTGTTATGTATGTGTGGTGTGGTGTGTGATATGCTGTGGTGTGGTGTGTGGTATGTCTGTGCTGTGTGGTGTGGCATGTGATATGCTGTCCTGTGTGATATGCTGTGGCATGGTGTGGCCTGTTGTGTGTGTGTGGTGTGGTGTGTGGTATGCTGTGGTGTTTGATGTGCTGTGGAGTGGTATGGTCTGTTGTGTGCGTGTAGTGTGGTGTGTGGTATGTGGTATATTTTGTGCTCTGTGGTGTGTGCTATGGTGTGGCATGGTGTGGCCTGTTGTGTGTATGTGCTGTGTGCTGTGGTGTGTGATATGCTGTTGTGTGGTGTGGCCTGTTGTGTGTGTATGTGTGGGGTGTGTGTTTCTCTCACACAGTTGCTGGGTGCTGGGCAGTGGGTCCCCTCCCAGTGGCTCCACCTGCTGCACCCTCCGTGGTTTTGGGTTGGCCTCCAGGGTAGGCTCAATCAGTGGACAGGGATCTGGAAGCTCCAGGAGCCCCTTGTTGGAGACCCTGTCTCTGGGAACCGGAGATGCTGCTCTGGCAGACCAGGTGCCTGGCCTAGCCAATGGTGCTGCTGTGAGAGGGATTTCCAGGGCCTTCCCCGAGGGCACTGGGTGGGACAGGGGGGTGGGTGTTGTAAGAAGGTTCTGGAAGGAAGGAGTGCCATCCTGATCACCCCACACCCTTGCCGCAGGTTCACCAGAGCCCTGCTGGGGGTACAGCACCTGGGCATGCTGTGGGGTTTCTGTTGCCCTGTTTGCCTTCCTGCCACCCTTCACCACCTCCTGACCTGGGAGGGTTTGGGGCACAGGCTTTCCCCAGGGCAAGTGGGGGGCAGCTCCAGGAGGCCAACTGAGCCTCCTACCTCTGGCCCAGGTCCCTCCCTGATGCCAGGCGATCAGGGCAGCAGGGTTGGTGGGCAGCGTGGGCTGGGGTGCATGGCTGCGGACACCCGGAGTCAGTGCTGGGAGGGACTTGGCGCCAAGTGGCCTCTGGAACCTGGCTTTTGTTTCTCTCTCTTAGAGATTCCAATTTCCGGGGCACTTTTTGTCTGTTTTAATTCTCTTGTCTTTCATTGCGCTTTCTCTCTGGGTAATCCGAGGCTTGCTGGCAGCTAAATACGATGTGTACATTAAAATGAAATGCAGCAAATATAATTGAACTTATTTCCTTCATGTCTGAGCAGTGGATTAATCTCTCTGCTGCATCCCTATTTTCTCTTCACTTCCTTCTCCTTTTGTCTGAGGTTTTCCTCCCCTCCCCAGAACCTCTGGGACTGAATGGCTCCCTGGCCCCTGCTCATCAGAGATACACACATGATCCTAACAGTATAGCCCATGACCCTGTGATGGATAAACCATGTTCCCAGGGCGAGGGGAGGGAACCGCCAGTGTCCTCGTGGGCCTGGGAGGGGTCCCCACTGATGATGGGGAGGGTGAGGTTCCGCAAGTGGGACGGGGAGGGGTTTCCCTGGGTGCAGAGACCCTTCCGGGCACACACTCCTGGTGGGTCCTTCTGTTGCTCTAGAGCTGAGACTGTAGATTTGTGATGCTGACTTGCAGCCAAAACGGCTATCGGGGTCCCCAGTGGGCAGTGAATTGGCAGGGACACCCCGGACGTGGCTGTGAGCTCAAGTTCAGGTCAGGAGGGGAGCCAGAGGCATTGGAGGAGGTGAGCAGGAAGGGTGTCACTGCCTCAGCTTACCCACTATGTGGCCTTGGGTGCGTGACTCAACCTCCCTGGGCCTCAGTTTCCCCATCTATAGTATGGGCATATATAGTCACAGCACAAGGGATTACGTGGAGGATTAAATGAAACGATGCCTGTAACATGCTCAGCACAGTGCCTGGTACACGGTGGGTCCTGAGTGAATGGAGGCAGGTGATATTCATTCATTCTCTCACTCAGCCCATTGTGAGGCCTCCTATGTCCCAGGCCATGCACCAGGCATCAGGGAGAGAAGAATCAAACCTCCTGTTGCCTGGGGTAGCTCGTGGTCTAGTGGTGAGACTGGAACCAGCTCTGGGAGAGGGACATAGTGGTGTTTGCGGAAACAGAGAAGGGACAAGCAAAGTCAGCACCCAGGGTAATCAGAGGAAGCCTCATGGAGGAGGGGATGCTCAAGCTGAGCCTGGAATGGGGCCTGGGTTCCAAATAGGCAGGGGTGGGGGGTGTTCCAGGAGAGGACAGCAGGGCAATGTCAGGGAAGCATAAAGAGTAGGGGTGGAGGTGCCAGGGGTGGTATAGCTGGGCCTGAAGCCTGGGGACTGTGGGGACAAGTGGAGGGAGGCAGGGCAGGGAAGGCAGGTGCGGCAAGACCACAGTGGACCTGAGTTTGGACTTTGTCAGGCCGATGCTGGGAGCCATGGATGGTTGTGGGGCAGGGGAGGGCTGTGGTCAGAGCGTCAGGTCCTTCTGCAGACAGCAGCCTTGAGAGGGAGCCATGAGGGAGACAGTGTCCCTCCTGTCACTCCTGTTGCTCAGACTCTACCTGGGGCTTCACAGAGTGAGTGTCATCTGTGTCCCTGATGCGGCCTCAGGGGCTCATAGCTGCAGATGTGTCCCCAAGTCTCTGAGTCTCCCAGGCCCTGCCTCCTTTCATCGCATGTCACTGTGTTCGTTCTTTAGTTGCCCTTCACTCCTCCCTCCCTGCCCTCCTCCTACCAGTGTTCACTGAGCTTCCGTGATGTGCTTGGCACCATTCTAGCGGCTACAGCCATGAACAAACAGATGACAGCCCCAGCCCAGAGCTCACATCCCTGTGGGGGCACAGCTGGTCACCAAATAACTGGGGACCTCCCCTGGGATCAGTGCCTTGAGACATGGTTCCCAGGGTTCTGGGAGCCTGGGCTGGAATCTGACCTTGTCAGGAAGGCGGAGAGGGCTTCCCTGAGGAGGGAGCTCTGGGAAATGTGGAGGAGGTTAGCTCCATGGCCTGGGGACAGTGTGAGCAAAGGCACCTGGGAGGGAGAGAGGGAAGAAGGGAGGGGAATTTAGGGCCTGAGTGTGGTCCCTGGGGCCAGGTGGAGATGTGTGGGACTTGGTGGAAGTTGGAAAAGGTGGGGACAATCCAGAGGTTTCCTGGTAGAAGGTGAAGGCTCCAGCACAGCCAGGGCCAGGGGAGCCAGGTTTGGGGGTGACACTCACTGAGGCCTTTCCCTGCCTCAGCCTCTCAGGTGCAAGAGAGGTTTCTTCTTGCCTCTTTTGTCTGGTGTCTTTTTCATACCCCCCTGTATCCACCCTGTCCCCACCCCGACCCCACCTGCACTCTTTGTTCCCTGGACCCACTCCTTAGGGCCCAGAGAGGGAGCTTGACTTTCCAAGGCCATACGGCAAGAGGGACGGAGCTCCTGGAGAAGGGGTTCCCCACCCACGCTGTGTGGCCTGGGGATGGCTGCCGAGTGTCCCGGGCCACAGCTCTCCGAGGTTCTGCCCGGGCAGCCAGAGGCCAACAGCTGCCCAGCCTCCTGAATCAACACCTACAGGGCGAGCTGACTTTACAGTATATATATATTTTTAGATAGTTCAAAGAGTTGATAAATGGATCTTTTCCTTTTTGTGAATAGTATTTTGCTATTTAATGCTTTCTAACACACAGACTCTCTCTCCCATAGCAGCTAGTGGTCCTTGAGGAAACTGCTCCTGTGATGCTGGAGCCCCTTTCAGGGTGCGCCTTGCAGGGGCTGGGGCCTGGAAGTTGCACCGTGGCCGAGGCTGCAGTTGTTCAGGGCTCCTGGTCTCATCCTCTTTGGTCAGCCCTGTGATTCTTGCTGCCCAGTCCAGGAGGTGGTGAGCTCCCCATCACTACAGGGGCCTCCAGAGTCTGGGCAACCCTTGGCAGGGAACTAAGGCAGCAAATACTGGGAGGAGGTTGTTCTCTGCAGATTTCCCAACCCCACCCTCCATTCTTTCCCAACACCAGAGTGGAGGAGGGGGAGGGAGAACCCAGCAGTTACTTTGTGTGGCAGGTGTGCCGGGCTTGGCACGTAGGGTCTGATTCCCTCCCCTCCCTCTTCATTTCCTCCCCAAGCCCATCCCGAGTTAGGCTGCATTTTCTCCCATTTCACAGACGAAACCTGGGGCTCAGAGAGGTTGAATGAGGCAATAAGTAGCAGAGTTGGGATTTGAACCCAGACCTGCCTGGCTGTTTCCCAAAAGTACTCCTGTCTCCAAAAAAGTACAGTCTGCTCAGAATCGAGTGCTTGCCTTGAGCCAAGCGCTGAGCTCGACTCTTCCCATTTTGTATCTCATTGAACCCTGATGAGCACCTCTAGGGCAGATGCTGTGACTGCCGCTTTTCAGACGGGGAAGCTGAAGCTCAGTGAGGTTGTTACTTGCCTGTGAACTGTGAACCTAAGATTCAGTCTCGGGCCTGTTGCCTGCAGAATCTGTGCCCCAAATATTTGCACTGTGATGTCCCTTCCCCAAGGCCCAACTCATTCCTGTCCAGAAGGTCTTCATGTGGTCTAACCCAATTCCTTCACTCTGGCCTTCAGACTGGATGCATTAGTGTAAGAAACAGGTTATAAACTTTCAGAGGACATGAGAGTTTTATTTTATTCATCTCAGTATGTTCCATAAAAATTAATCACTGCATGAATGAGTAAACGAATACACAGTCACTCTGCATGTTGGTCAGCAGGTAGCCAGGCTGATAGTTGGTGGACACGCAGGTAGGAGGTGGGCAGGAGTTAGGAGGTGGGCAGTGCGGTAGGAGGTGGATAGGCAGTTGGAGGTAGGCAGGGGATAGGAGGTGGGCAGGGGATAGGAGGTGGGAAGGGAGATAGGATGTGGGCATGGTGGGTGGAGGTGGGTGGGGGGTAGGAGGTAGATAGGCAGGTTGGACATTGCAGCTGCTGGGGGATTGACAAGAGAGAACAGTTAGATCTTTTGGAGGGCAAGGAGCTAGCTGTTCAAGTACAAAAATGTTAGTTGGGGAGCATTAAATTGATCTTGGTGCAGCAAATACAAATCTATATATCTGGCTTGTAAATCACCCATTGAAAGGGCCTGGAGATGCCATGGTGGAGAGGCTGGTGCAAGACCTGTGGCCTCACTTGACACACCCCCTGCCACAGTGATGCTGAAAGTGTGTATGTCATAGGGGATGTTGGTCCAGGCAGCCAGGACTAGAGTGAAGAATCAATGTCTGCCCCGAAATCCATCCTCTGGTGCAGAGATAGGTGTGGGGTGGGAGGAATGGGCTGCTGGCCCTGGGGAGCTCTGCCCAGGAAGAGATATCAGCCTAGAGCCGTCTCCGTTCAGCTTCCCTCACCAACTCCAAGGATGGGGGCAACGGAGGGAGGGCCTAGGCAGCGGCCATGTTCACCCCAGCCCCTGTCTGCCTGTTGACTCCCCGACACCAGGACTTTTCCCAGACACCACAAATGTGGGATGCCAGTGGAACGAGAATGACTTTTCAGTTTTGCCAAAAACCTAACTTTGGATGAAACACAATTATGTCAAGTGGTTAACAGAGTTCTCATGGCTGGATGTGTTTTGTTTTATTCCTTGATCTTGTCTGCTTACAAAATGAATTCTGCCAAACCCCATGAAGCCAACTGTCAAAGTGAAGCATTTTGGGGGAACAGATCTTTCACTCTGATGGCAAAATTCATTTGAAATGATCCTTTAATCCAGTCTTCCTGTGAGACCCAGAGCTGAGATTTTAAAGCCTTTTCACCCTGAAAGGTTTTTTTCCCACTTCTCCTGACTGCCCCCTCTCCTGGTGCCCTGTCCTCCATCTCTTAAATAACATGGCAAAGAATTTCAGCTGGCATAATGATGACCATTCGGCTTCTCATGACAACCTTTTAGGGAGGAAATGATAGCACACAAAGCCTTGCCTTTTAATGTCTGTTTGAGGAAGGGAAGGAGGTGCTCATTGTCAATGCCAGCAAGAATTGAAGAAGGGGCACGAAAGGGTAGCTGGGATTTTACAGGCCTGAGGTTTGTGTGAGCAGGAGGGATGTCTAGGAGGATGACAGCACCGTCATCCTTGCTGAGGATGTGAGGCCTGCATTTGGGCTCAGCACTTTACAGTTTACAAAGCACTTTCACTTTCCTTATGCTCATCCATCACTTTATTCAATAGTGTATTTGCTCATCATTTATTCATGCTACCCAACAAATGGAATTGGGTTGACTACGCGCCAAGCCCTGTCTTAGCTCCTGAGGCAGAGCAGGTACAGAGATTAGCAAGATACAACTTCTGCTCTCTAAAGGTTCAAGGATTGGTGAGGGGGACTCACTGGTAGAAAAATACAATAGCTGTGTGTTTTATACAGATTGCTGTGCTGCCTGCAGTTTAGATATTTTGAGCAGCAAGTAAAAAAAAAAAAAAACTCAACAGTGGCTCAAACAATTGGAAAATGAAATGCTTTGCTGTACCCAGATGTTTGGAGGGAGGTGGTTCCAGCTTTGTCAGATGCTCAGGGATGTCAAAGACCCAGGCACTTTCTCTCTTCCATCTTTACCATCCTTGGCTATATTGACTTTTTGTCCTTAGCTTGTTGCCTCATGGTTGCAAGATGGCTGCTATAGCTCCAAACATCATGTCTCACACTACAGCATTCAAGTTGAGAAGGTTGCAGGGTGAGGCAGAAAAAATATTTCCCAGGAGCACTCCCTCCACCAACAGATTTCCCCTCATACCTCAATGGTGAGGTCTGGGTCGTGTGCTCACCCCTAAAACAATCTCTGGAGAAGGGGGATGGGGTGCTTGGCTCAGCTTCACCCCAGGGCTGGAGGACCCCCAGGCCTGAGCCTGTAGCTGCAGAACAAACCCAGGGTTCTGTGAGCGAAGGAGGGAGGGGTGGGGTCACTAGGGGCAACCCCACTTGTCCCCCACCTTCTTGTCAGGGTTTACTGACGAGTGTTCCTGATAGTGTGGAGTCTGGAGTGGGGGTCAAGCCTGGCCCTGGGGACAGAAAGCCCTGTTCTAAGCCTCCACCCCTGTGGGCTGTGTGATCTGGGAGGTACTTGACATTTTCCCTTGTGGAGCAGGGACCATGATGGCACCTGCTGCATAGGGAGGTCGTGCAAGGTCATGCAGGTGACATGGGTCATGTATGCAGGTGCCCGGCTCATGGGGGTGTTAACACCTGTCAGCTATTGCAGGATGCAGGGATGAGGCCCATCTGTAAAGTGGGCCCAAGTTGCCCTCTCTGTAGCAGCCCTTGGGGTGACAACAGCAGGAATATCAGTTCATAGGTTCGTGTACTTCCTATGCATGCTGGGCACCCTGTACTTGCACTTGCTCACTTAATCCTCACAGCCACCCTAAGGAGGGAGCTGTTTTCATCCCCATTTTACATCAGAGGAAACTGAGGCTCAGGGAGGTGAATCCAGGTGGAATGAGGGCAGGTGGGGCTCCAGGGTGCTCAGATTCCAGCCACTGTGCTCTGACCCAGTGCAGGGCCCTGGGTGGAGCTGGCACAGGTAAGTGCCCAGGTGACCCCCTTCCTGCCCTGCTGATGTCACCTGGGCCCAGGCCAGTGACTGGGCTGATCACTCTCCCAACCCTGTTCTCTGTCCCTTTTGGAGCTCCAGGGCCCCAGGCCTTCCTGTGGCATGGAGAGATTTGCCCACCATCCTGGCTGCCCTCCTCCAAGTTAAGGAATAAACATACTCTGTGTGGTCAATAGTGTCACTGTGTCTTGGTCAAGAATTGGCAACTCTCATGCTTTAGGGAAGTATACATTATATACATTTAACATAGAACATAAGCGTATGACAGTGATGGATAATAAATTTCATATTTATACATTTATCAAAATATGCAAAACCCACTTCCAAAATTGTATACCTGCAGACACACAGTTTAATAACTACTTGAGACTCCTCACCAGCACCATAATGTGAGCTTGGGCACTAAGTGGGACACACGACCTGCAGCCCAGACCTGCTAAGGAGGACTTGACTGTTGGTGTTGTGGGACCGATGACGACCTGACTGACCCATCACTGTCCTTCCCAGCCTTTCTGACACTCCTGGCTTCTCAGAGGGATGGGCTACATATCTGACCTTGTGGGAGGGACTTGGGAGAGACCCTGAAGACCATGGGGAGCAAAATCTCTATTTTACAGATGGAGAAACTGAGGTCCATTCACTCACTCAATCAGTCACCCAATAATTGCTGAGTGCCTACTGTGTGCCAGGCTTTGTTCTAGGCACTGGGGATGCATCCATGAACAAAAGCAAGTTCTCGCCCTCATGGGGCTGGCATACTGGGAGGAAAGACAGAAAAACTGATAGATGCTGGATGATGATGAACACCCAAGGAAACCAAATATGGGCAGGAGGAGTTAGTGATGGATCGGGGGAGGATGATGAGCATGTGAGGAAACCCAGCATGAGCAGGGGGAGAGAGTGATGGATGGAGGTGTTACCAAGCAATGGGCTTGCTGCTTGATGAGCACAGAAGCCAATACTATGGCACTGGCTTTTTAGAAAAGAAAAAAGCTTTGTTGTGAGTCAACTGGCAAGGAGACAGGAGGCAATGCTCAAGTTTGTCTCCCTGATCTGGGGGTGGGCCAAGCTTTTATGGCATTTCTAACTAGCCCCAGATGATGCCAATGCAGCCAATCTGCCAGGCTGGTGGTGTTAACAATCAGATTAAAGTTTTTTTCCCATTATACATGCCCAGACAATTTTTGGCTCTTTATCACCTATAACAAGACAATGGTTAATGGGTTTCAGCTGGTCCTGCTGTTCCAAGTCCCCCCTCCCTTTTTGTTGTACGTTCCTCACTCTTGAGAGAAATGGGGTGATGACCATTCTAGCTACTTCCCGCTTTCAAGGGGCACAGGTGTGGGTTTGAGGAATGAACAGGGGGTATCGAAATATGAGACAGCTCTGCACCATCTGTACCTTGACAAGAATGAAAAGAAATCTCAGCACACATAGAACTATAATTCCTAACATAAGCAGACTCTCAAAAATAGATCTTATTCCTGATGGCATTAATACAGGCCTGGTCTGGTATCTTGGGTAAGCTGTCTCCTTCAGTTACCATCTGCTTCTGGCCTCCCCATCTGATCAGGTGGAGTCTGGTTTTAGAAACAAGAATGACTTCTCATTATCGAGAGATCCAGGAGCTCTTTAAGTCCTATTTTTTTTTTTTCTGAAAAGTAACTTTAGGAGTTACTTTGTTAGGAGTTCGCAAGCGTATTCCTGCCTGGAGAAATCATCTGTAGGCCATGCCATCTGTAGGTCATAGCCATATGGTGTTTGGATGACTCAGCCATCCTGCTTCCTGTTTCCTGTTGTTTGTGATAAGTGTAGCCTGTGTGGAGATTATGAAGGGGGTGAGGAGAGTCTTGACTACTAACAGGTACTATCTTTACTTGTGAATGGTGAACACAGGGCTTAACTACTTTACGGATGGATGGGTCACCAGAAGAACTTCATTGAGTCCATTTCATTTGGGCTGTAATTGGTACTCAGTCTCCTGGGCTTAGACAGTGTAAAGAAACATCTGCAGGAAATGTTAAACAGCTAGAAGCATACTTATGTATAACAGATAAAGTTGCATGCAGAGACTGTACGTATTTTGTAGTACCTAATTCTTTTATAATATGACTATTTTTGGAATTATAAAAAAATTCACTTTTGAGGAAGGGCTCAATTGGGGCTTGCTTCTGGGGGCTAATCTTACACTAAGCAGGGCAATAGGCAAGACTTTATCCCAGGTTAAGTTGGTTTCATGATTTCCTTTCTTCCCCCTGAATTCAGAAAGCCTCTCCCTTCCAGGTGACTTCATGTGCATGCACTACCACAAAAGCATATTTGGAGTCAGTATAAATAGTTACCTTTTACTTTGTCCCAAGGTTGCAAGTTATGTGCAGAGGTAGCTGGTGGGAGAGCCTCAGTTTCTAAGACTTCCTGGAGAGTCACAATTACATATTCAGCTTTTTAGAGTCTTCAGTTCAAGAAGTTGCTCCCATCTATAAACATCTCCAGGTTTAGGTCTTCCAAAGGCTGATTAGTCAAATGAGGTCTGCTAGAATAAGCTTCAATTATTTGTATACAATCACGAACAGTTTCTTCTACAGTACTTGGAAGTATGGTGGCTAGGTTTAGTGTGAACACTACCTTAAAATTTATATTTGGGTTGTCTAGTAGACTAGCCTGGTATTTCCTTACTCTTGCAGATGTAAGGTAATATCCTGCTTTTTGTTCAAAGAGGGGCAGTACATAGTGCAGGGTGTGCTCTGTGGTAGGCTGGCCCAAAGTAGATTTTTCAGCTTCTTGTAAGAGACCACAGGTTACAGCTACTGCTCGAAGACAAACTGGCTACCCTTGGGTTAGTATGTTGTTTAGAAAAGTTTACACCAGCACTCTTGGTGTTATCTAAATTTTGTGTCAGTACTCAAAGACTTATACATTGCTGTTCATGTACCAAAAGATCAAATGGCTTTCTTATATTTGGGAGATGAAAGGACAGGGTTGTTAGGAGCCTTTCCTTTATGTTTCAGAATGTCCTATGACATTCTGTAGTCCAATTAAATGGCTCATTATCATTTTCTTTGGGGGCTTGATATAAGGGCTTTGGACTTCTTATAAGTCAAAAGTGGGGAATCCAGATACAACAGAACCTAGTAATTCCCAAGAACCCTCATAATTGTTTTCTGGTAGTGGGTAAAGCCACTCTAGCTAGGGCCTCCCTTCAATCTGGTAACAAGGTTCTTTGCCCTTTAGATAGCTCAAACACCAGATACTTTAATGTTGACTGTGTAATTTGTGCCTTTTTCTTAGGAACTTTGTATTCGTGGTCTGCCAGAAAATTTAGGGTCAGAATTGTGTTTTGATCTGAGGTTTCTTTAGTTTTACTGGAAATCAGGATATCATCTATATATTGGAGAAATATTCTCTCAAGTCCTTAGCTAAAGCTTCCCCAAAGATGGTGGGGGCATTTTTGAAATCTTGTAGAAGTACTGTCCAATATTGTTGTTTTACATTAATTTCTGGATCATCCCATTCAAAGGCAACAGTTTTTGGGAGTCAGAACTGAAGGGTGCATTTGATCAGTTGAAGGAAGGACTTGTGGGAGGTTTTGCCACATATAACAGTAATTGCCATAGTCTTTGGGGAGAAGGGTCCCTGTCTGATGTTTAGTACAGAATATGTAGCCCCAGTGTCAATTAAAAAGGGTATGAGTCTTTCCCACAGTGACTGTTACCAGAGGTTCCTTGTGCGAAGTGTTGATAGAGCTAACAGAGTCTATAGGAGCCCCTGGGTCCCATCATCTTTGGTTGCTATCAGCAAGCTGTGGTATCTAGTAGATTAATTTGTGGGAAGTTCCTTCCTCTCCCATCAGGGGAGGTTAGGGCATTCCCACTTGCAATATTCTTGTTTACAATATGTACACTGTTGTGACCCTAATGATGGATGGCTCTTCTGGCTAAGTGGTGGGGTCTGGTGGGGAAGGTCTTAACTGTGGTTGTGTTTACCCCAGCAAGCATCTTACTGGGTCTTGATTGATCACAGGTGAAAGCTACAGCAAACAGTGCAGCTTGTTTTGTGTCATACTGTTTCTGCTTTTCCTGGACTTGGTCATGGCTATTAGATACTTTAGAGACAGGCTTGTCCAACCCACCTGATTTTGTTTTGTTCTGTCTTGTTTTATTTTACACTTTTAGCAGCTTGAAGCCATGTTTTTAGTTTCTGTCTCTAGCAATAAGTGGAAAAGAGAGGTGAGGAAGGGGTTTTACTGGCCCACCCAGAAACAGAAAGAAAGAACCCATGACTGTATTCTCTCTCTTGGATACTCCTGTGAAGCAATGGACAGTGGAATCCCTAATTCCCCCTCTACTCTTTGTCAGGAGCACACTGACTGATAAAAGTAATATTAACCAGTCTCATGTTTTCCAGGTGTTCTGGTTCAATGTCAGCATACTGTCTGTAGGCTTCAAAAACCCACTCAAGAAAGGCAGAGGAATTTTCCTTTGGCCCCTCTTGTACCTCCTGGACCTTATTTAGGCCCTTCAGTTTTTGGACCTTCTTCTGTGTTCCAGTTATTAAACATTCTTTATAATGGTTTAACTTTGTCTGGTCTCTGGGGTCACTGGGGTTACAGCCTGGCTTGGCCCCAGGTTTGGCCTGCATTGCTGGGGCTCTGATTGGATTCTTAGGTTATAATTAATGAAGCCTCTTGGCATCCTGACAGTCCTTTTCCAGTATCATCCTATGTTCCTCCAGAGTAAGGAGGATGTTTGTAAACACCTGAATGCCAGCCTAAGTGGAGTTATAAGTAGCAAAGGTGAATGTAAATAAACTTTTCATCTTTTGGGGATCATCCCATTAGGCAGGCATATTATTTTTCCAATTGTATAAATCTGAAGTTGAAAAAGGGGAATGCTCATATATAACAATCCCCTTGTTCATTGAGGCCCACAGGGACTGGTCTTAGTGGGAATTGCCCTGCTAAGGGGGAACTGAGGGAGAGCATTCCCTATGCCAAATTGGGTAACCTGATGGGTATGTGGAAGGGAGACCCCTCCTACCTGATTGGTGGGTAAAGGGAGGCATAAAGCTGAGCCTCCAACTTTGGGGAGGGAGTCTTATGCTCTTTCTGATCGCCTTTAATAGCACCTGGCATACAGTAGAGGCATTGCGGGAGATTGCAGATGAAGAAGAACAAAGTCATACAAATATAACCCAAATGTTTCCTGCGCAATTCCAACATACGAAATAAGCCTACTATGTCTCTCCTGGACTTCCAGGGGCCCTAATATACAAAGAGTTAGTTTGAGGTTATAAAGATTGAATTTAGAATTTACAAATGTCAAAGGTTTAAAACTCTTGCTCAAAATAGGATCACAGATTTTGTCAAAGATTTCAAAATGACTCTTCGATAGAGAGCAGACTCAAGTTGCCAAATAATCAGAAGACCTAATAAAGGCATGAAGTATCAAAAGTACTACATGAGCAACAGTTTTATGAACTTAAACATTTATCAGAGACAACATAAACCTGTCTGACCAGAAGACTCAGGCAAAAATGTCTGAATTTAAGACATTTCTATTTTGTCAAGAATCTTAAATTTTTATTTATCTAAAATCATATGAATCTGAGAAGCATTTGTACTTATTTATGAATACTCCTTTATATATAAGCCAATTTGGTCCCATAGACAATATAGAGACATGTATAGACAGACACAAAGACCCTACAGCCTTGATTTTAAAACTCTAGCCATAAAACTGGCAAAACTTAACATTCTAAAAGGGCAGCTGGATTCAAATTATGCCTTTGAAAGTGGAACAAGTCAAACTCCACTTGTCCTACATGGCACAGCCCTCACTGAGCCCCAGAGGAAACAGAGTTGCAATCCACATCATAAAGTGGAGAAAGAGAGAGAGTTTAAACACCTTAAAGGAGGAGTTTGGGTGTGCTAGAGGAAGACCAAAGACCAAAAAATAGATGCCAAAGTAACAGAATCATAGGAACTCACTATAGGATTTTACAAGGAGACCAACTTCATTTATATAGGTAGCTTTTTATTTAGTCTATTTCTTCAATAGAACTAATGAGCTCAGGGCAGAGCCGCTCAGGGCAGAGCTGCTCAGGGCAGATCCCAACAGGGAACAGGGCCAACAAAGCACTTTCAGCTTTTAGGCCCTAACAATTTAAATATATGGAAGCAGCTCCCTGCAGCAACAACCATTTCAGCCACCTCCAAAGCTGCACAGTCTTATGCCAAAAATACAACCAAACCAAACTGAGTGCCTTAGTGGATAGAGCTTTAGAATTGCCTTTATTCTTTGGATCTCTAACCCAAAGCCAGGACTCTAACCTGACCAAGATCTTCCTGGGGTGGGACTCTAACCCACAACCTGACAAGGGTGGGACTCTAATCCACAATCCTGGACCAAAAGGATGGGACTGTGGCCCACAATCTTTATGATGAGAACAAATCAACGTAAAACATAAGCTCATATTAACAAGGCTGCTTACCCAAAAGATGTCTGATCCAAAAGCTGTTTCTTTTCTCAAAAGTGAAAGTAGCACCAAGGACCCTGGAGTGCCATGACAGAGAAGAAAGGACCTCACAGCCAAGCCTCTAGACAAATGCCTACACAGCTACTGAGGGTTGGTGAAGAGGGCCTGCACCCCATCGAGAGGGTACAGTGCTTTGGGTAGGTTTTGTCCCATCTGGGTCGCCAATATTGTTATTGAACAATTGGCTCACTACATGACACACACAGAAGCCAATACTATGGCACTAGCTTTTGAGAAAAGAAAAAAATATTGCATGTCAACTGTCAAGGAGATAGGCAGTGACACTCAAACCTGTCTCCCTGGTCTGGTGGGTGGGTCAAGTTTGATGGCATTTTTAACTAGTCCCAGGTGATGCCAGGCTGGTGGTGGTAACAATTAGGGTAAAGCTTTTTCCCATTATGCATGCCCAGGCAATTTTAGCTCTGTGACACCTGTAACAACTTAAGCAATTGTTAATCACTTTGAGCTGATTCTGCAGTTACAGGGGATGGTGATGAACATGTGAGGAAACCCAACATAGGCTGGAGGAGAAAATGATGGATGGGGATTAGCTCCTGAAGGGGATCACAGAAAACTTGGCTGAGCAGGTGATGTTGAGCAGGACTGAAGGCAGTGAGAGTGGGGCCTCACTGGCACCTGGGGACAATATGTGCAAAGGCTTGGCAGGGGAACTGATCTGCCCAGAGAGGATGTCCTTCCAACCACTTACATCTATGCCTCTTGGTCACATGTGGGCCCCATGCTGAGGGCCAGGGAAGGAAAGAGAAGCAAGGAGGGAGGGTCCCTGTTTTCTCAGCTTCATCAGGGAGACAGGGTTAGATACACGATGATGTTGCACAGTGGTCAGGGTGCCGACGGGGCTATTGCAGTAACAGAGAGACATGGAGGCAGTGTAAGTGGACCCAGATTGGCCTGGTTCACTTCTTGCTCTGATGCTTCCTTCTTCAGCTCCCAGAGCCTCTGTACCAGACTCCTGGTCTGGATGATCTTGGAGTCGTCTTTCCAGGCCAAGTAAGATGGATAGTTAGGTGGATGGAAGGGCAGAAGGACAGGCAGGCCTGGATCCTGGTCTCTTCTCAAGCCCCTCAGTCCCCCTGGCCTCACACTGCCTGGGTTTCTCTGAGCGCAAGATGTTCATAGCCTATTTTCAAGAGTCTGTGATGCAAATGTTCTAAGTGTCCAACATCGTCCCATTCTAACATCCAATTGTATTCTTGTTTTGTGAAACTCACTTTGATTTTGGCTATTTTAGTATCTTTATATCCTGTATTTTGAATCTTTGAATATTATAACATTTTGTTATTCAAATTTGTTTCAACATCCTCTGAGTCCCCCTTGGTGAATGCAGCCTTCTGTGACCCTGTGAAGTGCACACTCTCACCCACTGCTGGTGTAGACATTGAGTTCCCCCAACCTCAGTCTCCCCGAGGCTTCCAGGTACTTCCCCAATGCTATCCTTTAAATCATGTCCAGTAAACCATCCATGGTCCACTCTGGGGCCCACTTCAGACTTTCTGAATTTGTTGCCGTCACACAATATTCTTAGTCATGACCATGGCAATTAGAATGACTATGCTGGGTCATCAACTTTTGCTGGATTTAGTACTGATGGTGAGTCAGAGCCTTGCCCAATGAGTAGGCCGTCGGTCACCCTGGCTGTGCCTGACAGGTGTCCACTTGGTGGACAGCACTTGCCACAGTTATGCAGTGACTCATCCCAGGCTCCTGTAAACACCCAAGGAGTTTACCTTGCCCACTGCATAGACAGAGCCGATTCATCAAGGCAGGGGAATTGCAATAGAGAAAGAGTAATTCAACCAGAGCCAGCTGTGCAGGAGACCAGAGTTTTGTTATTACTCAAATCAGTCTCCCCTGAGCATTTGGAGTTTTTAAGGATAACTTGGTGGGTGGAAGGAAGCCAGTGAGCCAGGAGTGCTGATTGGTCAGGGGTGAAATCACAGGGAGGGGAAGCTGTCCTTCTGCACTGAGTCAGTTCCTGGGCGGGGGCCACAAGTTCAGATGAGCCAGTTTATTGATCTGGGTGGTGCCAGCTGATCCATCAAGTGCAGGGTCTGCAAAATATCTCAAGCACTGATCTTAGGAGCAGTTTAGGGAAGGTCAGAATCTTGTAGCTTCCAGCTGCATGACTCCTAAACCATAATTTCTAATCTTGTGGCTAAGGTTAGTCCTACACAGGCAATCTAGTCCCCAGGCAAGAAGGGGGTCTCCATGGGAAAGGGCTGTTATTGTCTTTGTTTTAAACTATAAACTATAAACTAAGTTTCTCCCAAAGTTAGTTCTGCCTACGCCTGGGAATGAACAAGGACAGCTTGGAGGTTAGAAGCAAGATGGAGTCGATTAAGTGAGAACTCGTTCACTGTCTCAGTCTTAATTTTGCAAAGGTGGTTTCACTCCCACAGGCAGAGGATGCAGCCTCTCTCAAGCAGTGCTGGCCTGTGCCACCTGGGCCCTGCAGGGAGCCCACCCAGGCTGTTTGGGTTCCTGGCTTTCCCTCCATTTCCTACCCAGAGCTTTCATGTTCTCTCTCTTCTCTGCTCTCAGGACAGCATCAGACCTTTTATCTTTGCAGGCCTCTCCTCAAGATTTTAGATTCTGATTCCAAACCCCAGTGGAGGAGGCCCAGTCTTCGTTAATGATCCCTGAGTCCCAGGCATAGTGTGACCTAATGGTTAGATCACAGGCTTTGGCTAACCCTGGTCTCTTCCACTTCCCTGCTGAGACTTCAGGAAGGTTACTTAACCTCTCTGAGCTCAGTCTCCTCAGTGTGAGTTGAAGATAATAATAGCATCTACCTTGTGGGGTGGATTAAGTGTAGCAACACCGGTAACAAGCTCAGCGAGGATTCTGTTATTGTTGCTATCCTGATGTGTCACAGCTGGTGATTTCTCTGCCCCGAGAGCATTCAGGTGGCCCCTCTAGGCTTCTCGCCACTGGAGCAGTGGGAAGAAAATGGGCCCCGGAGCCCACAGACTCAGGTTCAGGTTCAGCCTCCAGCACTCACTCAATGTGTGTCTTGGGCAAGTGGCTTAACCTTTGTGAGCCCCATTGGTTTTTCCCTCTGTAAATTGGCAAGCTAATACTGAGCACATAGGGTTATTGTGAGGACTTCATGAAGGTACATCAGATGGAGGCAGATTCCTGGGCTCAAACGACACTTTCGAGGCATACTTGGGGGTGGGACTCTGAACAAAACAGAGTTTTGTTCTGTTCCTCGCTGTTCC
The DNA here is from genome assembly GCF_000001405.40 of Homo sapiens. Lineage (NCBI taxonomy): Eukaryota > Metazoa > Chordata > Mammalia > Primates > Hominidae > Homo > Homo sapiens. The sequence continues at coordinate 29,571,756 of NC_000001.11, forward strand.
TCGCATCCTTATCTGTAACATGGAGACTGGGAGTCTCTGCTTCATAGGATGCTGTGGGGACTCCAGGACCTAAGAGAGCCCTCAATGCATGTTAACTGGCATTGTAACTTTCATCATCATCATTATTGTTGTTATTATTACTCTGTTTGCAGGCAAGCACCCCATCTTATCTTCCTGCATCAAGCCTCTGGCACAGGGTCTGGGCATAGTAAAGACTTGACACTCACCGGAGCAGGAAGAGAAGGGACCTGGGAGCAGACTGCCTGGGTTCAAGGTCTAGCTCCACCACTTCTGAGCTGTGTGGCCATGGACAAGTTTCTAAACCTTTCTGAACTTCAGCATCTTCATCTGTAAAATAGGCGAGAGGAGTGGATAACAATAGGACCTCCTTCATGGAGTTGTTGAAATAACTAAGTGAACTAATGCATGAAAAGTACTTAGCACAGTGCCTGGCACACAGTAAGTGCCAAGCCAGTGCTAGCTTTGATTCTTCCTGGCCCCAAAGGAATGTTGGCACTGAGGGGCTTCTAAAGATCTCCTTTTCAGCCACTACTCTGCTTTGAGATGAAGAAACTGAGGCCAAAAGACATTAAATTAAACGTTTGGCAATAAGACAGTATATGGCTGTGCTAAATTATGCAGGGCAGACAATTAGAGAACAAAATGATCTGTAATAAAGGGCTAATTGGGCGGGACAGATGCTAAGTGGACCAGGAGACTGAGATGAAGGAGAGAAAAATGCAGCCTGGAACGAGGATGGCCTCGGCCAGGGCCCAGGTGTTCTTGTTAATGACATTGATGTTTCCTCCTAACACAGCCATGCATCCTTACTGTGAAGCATTTGGCAAGTGAAGGCATTTATATAAGAGAGTATATAACTCATCTTGTGTCTTGTCTTTCAAAGATAGTAGTTTTTCCTGATTAATATCTTTCTTCATTTATTTGTCTCTTCATATACAAGTATATATTTTCATAATTGCTTTCCCATTGGCATGGCTGTCAGGATAGACTAGGATATGATTAAAAAAACAAGCAACCCCCCAAAATAACAAAGATTGTTTCTTGCTCTTGCTACATGTCCTCAGTGGTCTGCAGGGAGGGCGTGGTCATCACAGACAGCAGGGACTGTCACCGATGGAGGCTCCACTGTCTGAGGATGTCAACGTCTCCACATGTACTTCTAAAGTCACCGTGACAGGGAAGGAGGACAGGGGGAGCTGAGCGCTGACTCAAATGCTCTCACCTGGAAGGGACACTCACTGCCTCTATTCATACTTCATTGTCCAGTGCAAGTCTTATGGCCACCCTGACGTGAAGGCCGCGGGAGATACCGTTCTCCTCCGGGTCCAGATAAAGAAGTGGATACTGGTGGACCCAGCTGTGTCCTTCCATGTGCAGATACAGATCTGAGGCTTTCCTACCTGACACTCCAGGCCGATCAGTTTCCCATTGCATTGTATATTCTTGGAAATTGTCCATGTGATTAGTAATCTATAATTTATTTAACAATCTCCTATGTATATAATTTGGATGGTTATATTTTTTACTGTCATAACACTGCAATAAATATTTTCATTCTTCAGCCTTCTAAATTTCTATTTTGTTAGAATAGCCTCCTATAAGAGATGTTGGTAAAATAGTATGAATTTATAGAAATTACACGTGGCTAAGACTTAGGGAGTGAATAGTCTTCCTGGTAAATGGGAGGTTGTGAATGATCAGATCACTTGCTCTCCTTACCAGCACTGTCACTGGGTCAGCAGGAAGGTCTCTCACAGCAGCTCTGCTGGCCAAGGAGGGGAGCGCCTGGGCTATGGGCTCAGGACCTTCACTGTCCATGCACTGGCAGTAACTCAGCTGGGCCAGTTGGCTCTCAAGCCTGAGTCCACCCCTGTAGGATGAGGGCCATGATGCTCTCTGTCCGATTCACTCTTCAGGAAACAGGATCTGCGAGGGGCCTGGTAAAGTGCAGACCTTGTCGGGGTTACCAGTTGCTAGAACCATCCTTATCCAGGTGGGAGGCAGTGGGTGGTGTCACATGGCCAAGCAGAGGCGGGGCCAGTGGAACCCCCCTGTCTTGCCCAGGCTCTCCTTCCTCATGTGGCTTTGTGCACCTTATGGCATCTCAGAGATATGTGGAGGGAGTTGGGCACCTCTCAAGGGTGGAGGAAGGGGTGGCACCAAATTCCCAGATGACCATCAAATCAGGATGAAAGTTGTGAAAGTTATCTGTGCAAAAATGCTAGGCTGAAAATAAAAGCAAGAAAAGCCTCTGTCTCCTGTCCTGAGAGAGATTGTGTGGGAACAGCCAGTGCCTAGGGGGCAAGAGAGGCTGAGCAGGGAAGTGAGCAGTGAAGAGTCAGTGTGGGCAGAGTCACTGACCTTGGTCTCCCACCCAGGGCATTTGGGGCAAGTTTGGCCCCACCTCCTGCATGGCCAAGACCTACATCTCTGGATGGAAGTTCCACATCCCACAGCTGAATGGAGAGCTCTGATCCTGTCTGGCTTCACACTAAATGATCTCTGAGTTTTCTACTGGTGTCAGTCCCATTTTCCTGGGCAGGGGTTGTGGGGCTGAAGGCCTCAGGGCTGGATGGAGAAAAGGGAAAAAAAATGCTATCACAGGAGATGATGAGGCTGGTCTATTAGTAAGTGGATGGAACCAAGTCCTAGTGAAGAATTTGCTTAAATGACTTGTTCACAGCATCTCCCTGTAATCGCTCTCATGCTCCATGGACACTTTTCTTATCTCCATCCACCCCCGTACCCCCACAATGCTTTAGTCTTTTTTACCACTTTTTTGCTTAACAACAAGACAACACTGTTTGCCACATCATCTTCATAAAGATCCTCCAAGAGAAACGCAGCAGTGCTGACTGTGGAACCAATGAAACCGTTTTGTAAATTACTGAAAGTGAGGAGAAATTAGAGCAGCATTTATGTCTACTGCAGCTGGAGATGGAGAGAAAGGTGGTCTGGGTGGGGTTGAGGCTGTGGGTGGAGAGTCTTCCTTAGTCATAGTAGTGGAGGCAGCATGGACAGTGGAGAGAGTCCTGCACTGGGGGCCCAGGGCCTGGAGTCAGGGTTCTGCTGGGTACTGAGCTTTGAAGAACCCCTGGGCCTCCACCTAGAACCCTCTGAATGTGCACATAGGTGTGTAGATATATGCAGTGCGTACACAGACACATGCAGCCACACACAGATTTACACAGACACACAAAACACACACATAGATCCACATAAACATCCCCCATGCACATGCAGACACAATGACAAACATTGCGTGCACACACATGCACACTGGAATGCATGTGCATGAATTCACATTACAGGCAGACACATGTCCACTTGGCCAAGGTCAGAGACAGAGGTAGATTTTGAAGCCTGATCTGCAGGAGAGGTGAGCCTGTCAGGCAGAGGGGAGTGGGGGGCTGTGAGTGTCAGCACCCTCCCTCCCACCCATGGGGTGGATCTGAGTACCTGGACAGTGCTGCCATTCCCACCCTCTCAGGAGTCAGGAATGCATTCTGCTCTCTCAGCCCTGAGGAGTCCCCTGCCCTGAGTCCCCACTCCTGCTCTTCCCCTGACTGCCCTGAGCTAACAGGCACAGATACTGCCCTCTCTGGCTCCTTGGCCAAGAGTAAAGTGCTCTACGCATGTGACAATATGCAGCAAGTGCACAACTGTGCCAGGCAGGACTTGGCCCTGGTGACGGGTACAGATTTGTCAGGCTAAGGATTTGCCAGGGCACCAGAGAGTCAGCAGCCAAACAAGGATATGACCCACCTATTAGGTAATTTTCTGCTGCCCTTGACCTAAGGATGTGTGATTTCAAGGGAGGAGGAAGCGTCATTCCGATGAGAGCGGAGAGGCAGGAAAAACACGCTGTAGAGAGAATAAAACAGGTGCATGGAGAGAAGTGGAGATGAGCTGCAGGGTGGGGTGGGCAGGTGAGTGGCTGTCTGGGGTCCCAGCTGGCATTCCAGGCCCTGGTTCCAGGCTCCGGTAGGCTGGTCTTCTGTAAGTTCCATTAGAAACTTCCCCTCTTCCCTGCCCTCCTCCAGCCTAGTACAATACCCCTCCACACACAATTTTTCTTTGCCTAAGCTAGAATGAATGGTTTTTCTGTTACTTGCAAAGAGCCCTGACTCAGACACCAGGCAAACCTATTTATTTTTAAAACTCCTTAAAAAAAAAGCATCATTTCCAACAATGAATGTATTTTGCTCAGAGAGGCCTTGTCAAATAAGAGGAATGAGGCATTTGCAAACCTACATGAAAATTAAACCCACAATCTGGGTACACACTTGTTTGACAAGTGATAATTAACTGTTGACAATATAATTCAGTTTGAATGCAAGTGTGTTTTTCATTAAAAAGTAATCAAAGAAGAAGATATATGAATGGCCAATAAATCAAGAGAACATGCTCAACATCATTAGTCATCAAATAAATGCAAATTAAAGCTACAATGAGATGCCATTCTACACCCACCAGACTGGCTAAAATTAAAAAGACTGAAAATAACAAGTATTGGTGAGAATGTGGAAGAACTAACTCCTCATACATTGCTGGTGGGAATATAAAATGTTAGACTGCAGAAAACAGTCTGGCATTTTTTTTTTTTTAAAGTTAACATGCATCTACCATGATCCGGCCACTCTGCTCCATAGGTGTTTATCCAAGACTCTATGCTTGACTGTGGCACTCAGCTCTCCCGCTAAAAAGATTTTCAGAATAGGTGCTGAGTGTCCACCGCTCCCTGCTGGGACTGGACGTAGGCTCTGGAAAGAACGCTGGGATTATAGGTCTCTGTGCCTTCTGTGTGTCTCACAGACCAAGTGCAGTCCTTAGCAGGTGGATCAGCTAGTCTACCTCTTGCTAAGGGACCAGCTTCCTCCTCTGGGCATGCTCGGGCCTGAATGTGCCCGCAGCCAACTGGCAGGGCACCAGCATTGACTCCAACTCAGGGAAGGAGATGGGTGTCTCATCTCTCCAGCCCCTACCATACCACAGGTCCTGCAGGTGTCATATCCTATTCCTCATTTTACAGAGGAGAAAATGGAGGCTTAGAGACATGCACTCACCCGTTCAAGGCCACACAGCTGGTGAGGGACCAAATGGAGAGAGAGGTGAACTCTGACTTGCCTGACTCTCAAGTCTGGGCACACACGCTGCCACTTCCCCTTCCTTTAATCCATTCAACTCCTCTGTGTCTCAGTTTTCTCATCTGTAAAATGGGGATAAAAATGATACTTGCCTCACAGGTTTGTTATGAAGACTAAATAAATTAACGCACAGAGCAGTGCCTCGTACATAGAAATGTCTCAATTAATATTTGCTGTGACACTTATTAATTAGTTCAGATAATAAATAATATCATTATACCACCTTTATTCCTTCCCTCTACGGGGCTAATTGGCTTTTCCCCCTTAATCATCTCTGTATCCCTCTCTGGACTTTGTCCTGGAAAGGGACCCTGTGACATTGAGAATAGGGTGGGCATGTGTTTCCTAGCCTATGCAGGTTAGACTCTCAGACAGACATCTGAGAAACCAATAGCCGAAACTGCCAACCACTTAAAAGAAGAATCTAACAGTGTGAAAAGGGCTTTAAATGCCCGTGTTTAATTGCGTACAAGGAGTTTGATCTCATTTCATAGGAGCCACTTCTATTTCTCTTTCCTTTCTGGAAATTCTTCTTCTAAGAGCAATTTGTGATGATCAGGGACAATTTGAAGAATGTGGCAAACTTGAGAAGGGGAGTCCCGCCTCCCTCTGGGGCTGCGCTTCTCCAGCTCTCCCTCTCTTCTGGAAGCAGCAGAAACCCCCAGGTCATAAAGGCAGGCTGGATGCATGGCGTTCCCCCTGCGGGATGGACAGCAGGGATGCATCCAGTCTGTGATCAAGGGACCTGCGTTCTGCGGGCAGCCTCTGTGGGACTGGGTCCCTGTTGTCCCTGGAGTGGAAGAGTTGGGCTCTGAGATCACTCCGCAAGCTGAACTCTTGTCAAAGCTGGCCCCCTGTTGGGGTCAGTGTGGACACTCAGGCACATCTTATTTCCTCAGAGCAAAGCTCCTGGCCCCTCATTCAGAGCCTGGCGATAGGTACTTTATCACAGTCCAAACGGCTTTTCTCACCTCTCTAGGCTCACAGCTGCTAGAGGCATCAGACAGAAGTGGGAGAGGGGCCGAGTGAGGCAGATACCGAGGGAGTAAACTGGGTGGACGGATGGGCCGGGAGTGAGGCAGGATCTGGACAACCACGAGCAGACGGAGGAGCATTTGGTGAGTGGCCATGTGTCTTTCAAACCATATTGTGTTTATAAAGGCAGTTTACAAAACACACAGTATGTGATAGGGTTAATTTGTTCTTCCAACCAATGCCTACTGAGCACCTATTACGTGCCAGGCCCCATGCCGGTGCTGTGATGCACCGAGAAGCGAGACTCGGTCCCTACCCTCAGTTTGGGGAGGGGGCACACGTCAAGAAAAGACCCCGTTGCCACCCCACAATGAAGGATGTGCCCTTGCGGTGGGGACATGGTGGGGGTGTCTGTGTGACTAACGCTGACTCTGTTCCAGGCCTGCAGTCAGATCTCCTAATGTCCTAGTGAGTTTGGGGATTTAGGGAATCATCCTCGTTTAACAGGGAAAGTGACCAAGGCTCAGATGGGGAAATACTTGTCTGATCTTCTGGACCCAGGTTTTCCGAGTTCTCAACCCGATCATTGGCCTCAGTCAGCAACACTCGGCCTCGGGGTCTCACAGGACGATCGCAGCCACAGCCTCAACCCATCCTCATTCCTGGGCCACGCTGCCAACTTTCTCATACTGACATTAATTACACTTCCTGGAGGTTAATTTGTAAGGAGACAGTAAAAATGTGTTGTTTAAATAGTGATTACTAAAATCATCCTGGGGTTTTGCTACATAATAGGTAATTATCTGTAACATAATTGGGAAAACAACGCAGTCAATTCCGTTTAGCTCTTTCCACAGAACACAGAGTTAATCCTGGGGAGCATACTCAGCATACTCAAAAAAAAAAAGAAAGCTCAGTGTGACTGCTGGGGTGGGGAAAGGATTGGAGGGGCCTGGCATACTCAGTGTGATATTTGCTCAAGCATACTCTTATTACATCTGAATTGAAGTCACTTTAGGAACCTTCGGTGGGAGGAAAACATGCTGATTGGCTAAGACCTGGGTCCCAGATGTCTGAGTGGAGACGCTTTCCTCCAAAGTGGGAGTTTTCTGCTCCACGAATGACACTGCCTCATGTCCAGCAAGAACACATTGAAACATTTGTCCACGTAGGCCTTAGGCATTTGCACAATTACTCTTTCGCTTATTGTTTTTTTATACCCATTCATTTGGCTCTTTGGTATTTTTCATTTGTTCATTTTTTCTTTCATTCATTTTACTCATACAGCCATCATGCGTGAATGTATTCCTTGATGCACACCTTGGTTTATTTGTTTCTGCTTCCATTGATTGTTCTTTCATTTTGTCACTGCATTCATTCATGGATTCATGGTTCCTCGGTCCATTCATTTATTCAATGCTTCATGCAGTTGTCAATTTGTTCATTCGTTCATCATTCAACAATGAATGATTTGATCATATACAGTGTGTTGGGTGTGTCTGTCAGGTGTGAGTGCAGCCAGGCCCACTGGCATATTCTGGGCATTTCACTAAAAAGGGCCCTGGGGCTTATCTTTTTTTTTTTTTAAAGCAAACCTCTTAGTGTAGCCTAATGAAATGTGAGACTTACACAGAAGAGAGTACACAAATGGTAAGCGTATGGCTAAAGAACTCTCTGAAACTAAATACACCTATGGGACCAGTGCAGATCGAGAAAGAGAATGTTACCAGGACTCCAGGAGTCCCCTCACACCCCTGCTTGTCACTCTTCCTCTAGGTCAGGACAGGTGAGAAGCGCCCTGCCTTCTAACCCTGCGTATCATCTGTGCCTGTTCCAGAACTTCATGCAAATGCACTCACACTGTCCGGTGCTCCTATGTGTCTCATTTCCACTTTGCTCAACATCATGTGTATGTTTTATCCAGGTCAGCGTGTTAAGTTGGACACTGTTGATTCTTATTGATGTGTGATGTTTGTATGTTGTATGAATATGCAGCTATTTGTTTACCCATCTAACTCTAGATGAGATCTGAGTACTTTCCAGTTTAGGGCTGTTAGGAACAGGGCTGCTATGAAGTTCTTGCAAGTGCTTTTTGGTGAACATATGGGTGAATTTCTGCTGGGCAGATACGAGTGGAATTTCTGAGTCATCAATTACACACAGGTTCAGCATCAAGAGAGACTGCCGAACAGTTGTGCAAAGTGGTGCCTCCAATTTAGACTCCCACCAGCAGTGTATGAGGCTTTGCCCACCGACTTGTCCCTGAGCAACCTGCCCTCCCATGACCTTACCTCATCCTTGGGCTGCCTCAGGTCTCCTGGCCCTGCTGCTCAGTTTGCCCTCCCAGTCTTTGTCCTTCCCTGGGTCTTTGGTGCAGGACTCTCTGCGCCTGGGTCCTGCTGTTGGCTCCTTCCAGGCCTGGTCCTGGAGACACATTCTCAAGCCACTCTGGGTGGCATCATCTGGGCCTGGTGTTGCCTGGCTGCCTTCCCCACACTGGGGCCTTCCTTGCTGGAAGGGACCCCCTTGCATCCTGACCAGCCTTCTGGGGGTCCACGGATCAGGTGCTCTACTGAGCACTGGGGGTCTTTGTTAAACCAAGTATGGGTCCTGCCCTTGCGGCGTTCATAGACCAGTGTGGAGATAGAGCCTGGGCTTATCTTCCTATGCTTCAAAGGTGGGCAGTTGAGTCTAAAAGGAAGAGAGGGACAGAAAACTTCATGTAGAGAGAATGCTAGACCTTGGCATGTGATTTACTGGAGGGATAATGTCATGGGACAGAAGGTGCAAGAACTTTAGAGTTGATTGGTCCTGGGCTCAAATTCCAGTTGCTCCACGCCCAGCTGTGTGATGGAAGATGCTAGCACCAATCTTGGTGGCACTGGCAGTGTGTCCAGGAGATGCCCAGCAGGCTGTGGGAAATGCAGAGACTGGGGGAAAGGGCCCTGGAGTTAGCGCTGGTAGATCTGGCTTCACCTCCGGACCCTCCCTGGAGGCTGTCGCCAGCAGAAACCCCCTCTCGTGCTGTTTTCTTTCTCTGACTCACAGTGTGACCTTGGGCAGGTCCTGCCCCCTCTCAGAGTCTCAGCTGTCACATTTGTGAAATGGAGATAATTCACCTCCTGGGACTATGAGGACTGAGACGATGGAGGTGATGGTGTCTAAGCAACTCTGCGGCCTCATTCATCTGGGGCAGTCACGGCGTTCTCACCTCAGATGATGTTTCCTCTCACTCTTGTTATCCTTCCCTCCTCCTTCCCACGCTGTGCTCATTTGCCTTCTTTCATCCTAGTTTTAATTTCACTTATTATAATTTTATATTAGAAGAATCATCAGAGACCAGCTAGCCCCTCATTTTACACATTGGGGAAACTGAGGCACAAAGAGAGAAAGTAATGGCCTCAAGATCACGCAGCCAGCTGCAGTTCAGCTCCTAGCTCCACACAGGAGCTCCAGCCCCAGAAGGATGAATATCCTCACTTTGATGTGGCGCCTACTCTCTACACTCCAGGAAGATGTCCAACCTTGTCTAGGAATTTCCTGGCTGATACTTGCAACAAGAGCAAAGCCCAACAAGTGTGAAGTCAGTCTTTGAAAAGCTGGAGGCTAATTTGTCCTGGAGCTGTATCTTCTCTTTAGATCCCAACAGTAGCTACGTTTTCTGATCTAAGTGGCTGTCAGTTTCATTCCAAATAAGGTGCGCTTGATCTGCTGCCTGTGTGAATATTGTTTGCTATTACATCTAGTTTAAAAATCCCATTGAAAAAGTTGATTACAGAAGAAAGGGTTTGATTTGGGAAAATTCAAGTGTGTGTGTGTGTGTGTGTGTGTGTGTGCGCGCGCGCGCACGCGTGCGCGCGCATGTCTCCCAACATTTATTTAATTTTTAAACCAAGAGCAAATCATCTTTAAAGGCTACCTTCCTCTTAAAAATAATCCAGATAGGCCAGGCACGGTGGCTCATGCCTGTAATCCCAGGACTTTGGGAGGCCGAGGTGGGTGGATCACCTGAAGTCTGGAATTCGAGACCAGCCTGACCAACATGGAGAAACCCCGTCTCTACTAAAAATACAAAAAATTAGCCTGGTGTGGTGGTGCATGCCTGTAATCCCAGCTATTTGGGAGGCTGAGGTAAAACAATCGCTTGAATCCGGGAGGCGGAGGTTGTGGTGAGTCGAGATAGCGACATTGCACTCCAGCCTGGGCAACAAGAGAGAAACTCCGTCTCAAAAACAAACAAACAAACAAACAAAACTCCAGATAGCTGTCACTCAGGTACATGTGGAACCTGTGAAATGTGAGTGTTTTATCACTTAACTAAGCCTTTCTCCACTGCTGTGAAGACCTTGTGAAGACTCTCCCCCTGCGCTGCACCACTGGCAATTTCTCTTTGCAGCCTGAGGTTTGTTTTTGTTTTTCTTTGCAATTCCCTCTGAGAGTCTGGATGGAGCTACTGAACTCAGAGAAATGAGGCCAGGTAGCTTCAGGATTTGGCTTCAGAGTTATCAATACCTTCAACTAACTGATAATAATAACAGCTGTTATTTCTACAGGGCCTATTGTGTGCCAGGCACAGTGCTAGATGCTTTTTTGTTTGTCTAACTATTATTCATTATCTACGACCCTCACCACAACCCTGGAAAATACATGTTTGTCTTAGCTCCTGCTCTGATTTGATCTATCCACTGCCTGGATGGTTGCAGGGGCTGCCCAACCATCTGCCTGATTCCACTCTCACCCGCTGTGGTCTCCTCTCTACTGAGCAGCAGGAGGGAGCCTTTTAGAATGCCCATGCAACCACTTCCTTCCTTGCTCACACCCTCCATGGCTCCCATCTTCTCCAGGTTAAAGCCAGAGTCCTTCACTGGTCCCCAAGACCCTGTGACCTTTCTGGCCTCACCTCCCTAGCACCTGTCACTCTGCTGTCTAGGATGTCCTCCCTAGATGTTCTCATGGCTCACACCTCTTATGATCAAGTTGACCTCTAGAGGTTAGAGTTAGGCTTGGGTGATATTTAAGAATCTGGTTAGGTTTTTTTTTTTTTTTGAGTTGGTGTCTTGCTCTATTGCCCAGGCTGGAGTGCAGTGGCGTGATCTCGGCTCACTGCAAGCTCCGCCTCCCGGGTTCACACCATTCTCCTGCCTCAGCCTCCAGAGTAGCTGGGACTACAGGCACCTGACACCATGCCTGGCTAATTTTTTGTATTTATCAATATCTTCAACTAACTGGTAATAATAACAGCTGTTATTTCTAGTATTTTTAGTAGAGACGGGGTTTCACTGTGTTAGCCAGGATGGTCTCGATCTCCTGACCTCGTGATCCACCTGCCTCGGCCTCCCAAAGTGCTGGGATTACAGGCGTGTGGCACCATGCCCAGCGATTCTGGTTAGGTTTAAGGGCAATGCTCCTGCAACATTTCCTACAAAGCCCGCCTAGGGAAGGAGGTAGTGAATGCTCTCTGGGCATCTGAGGGCATGGGCAGAAACAAGCTAGCACAGCACAGAACATTTTAAGGACCGATCATTTATCTTAGAAAAAAGTCATGTTAATTCTTATTCCGTTCCATAATATTTGCTTGGATTAAAAAAAAAACCCTCCTACCAAATCGTTGAGTGATGTTGATGTTTAGGAAGATTGGCTCATGGTTCAAAGAGGTGCTGTGCCTGGGATACCACCAACTGGAGCAGCAGAGATCTAGGGGTAGGTGAGGTAGGATGAGGCTGAAACTAGAGGTGGCACAGAGGGCCTTTGACAGGTGACCAGCTCCTGTCAGGATCACTGGCTTTGGTGCAAACAGGAGCCTTGCATAGGCTCATTTTAGCCTCAATTTCCTCATCTTTAAAAGGGAGCTTACAATGGGGATTACTCCCAGAGCTGTTGTGAAGAGTCAGTGGAATGATGTGTGCACAGCGGCCAGCACACAGCGCAGCTCAGTTAATGCAGCATCATTGCTGTTCAGTCACCAAAGCAGAAGTGAGGTTTGCAATCAACTGTGTCTGCCTGTAAACAACCCCGTCATTCCACAGCAAGCTCCCCGACTTCTTCCAACAACTCTGAACGCAGTGGAAACAGGGCTGGACTTGTCTGGAGGGAATTTTGGTCATTGAGCAAGCAGGGTGGGTACACAATGGGTGCTGAACCTCCTTCTGCTTCTGGTTTGGACAGGGGAAGGCATTGAATCAGCATGACCTGGAAGCCTGTTCCTGGGAGGGAGGGTAGTGGGTGCTGGCTGGCATCACTCATGGATGGCAGTGGCTCTAAATGCCCATGGAGAGAGAGACCTGGGAAAATCCACTGGCAAGGCACCAAAGAAAATTAGCCTTTGGGTCATCTGTGGCCCTTGGGCCAGGAGTCACTGAACTCTAGTTCATCGATCAGATGTGTCTGGGACATTGAGCATCTTCTTTCTCTTGAGATTATGTGACTCCTTGATTAACAGTAACAGTCATCATTGTTGAGTATCTTTTTCATTTATGTTAGTGAATATCTATGAGTCCCCACTGGGTGCTGGGTGCTGGGATGACAATGGTGAACCCCACAAATGACCAAGACGGGCCCCCTGCCCTATCACTGTAATTGCTGTCACTGTTATCATGCGAGAGCTTCCTGTCCATACTCTCACTTTCCTGTTGCTTGGTTTCAGGCTCTCTTTTCTCCCCTCATCATCTGCTGGCCCTTGGTCTTTTCATATGCTTGGAGCTGCAGCTGGGGCTGGAGGTGTCGGGGAGAGAAACAGGCACTTGGAGGATGTGTCCCAGAGCCAGGTAGGGATCTTCTTCCTGTTCCTTCCTGTAAGAAATGACAATTAACTCAAATTAATTCAAGCTCAGCCCATACCTGAGGAAGAAACATAAGCTGGTTAGATTCGTTTTCTCGGTCAGCTTCTCAAGCCTGGTATTAATCTGCTCATCAGCTGAGCTCATCAGGAGCAAACACGCTTCTTCAGGAGTTTTCTAACAGGAAAGAAATGCCTCATTAAGTTAAACATATTAACCTGAGAACGGTACTGATGTCAGACAGACTAATGAACGTCATTATAGGGAATGCGCCGCAGTCCTCAGAGGGGCCCCACCCAGCGTCGGGGGACTCCCACAGATTGGCTCAGCTACTGCAGGGTGTGGGATCATCAGAGGAGGGAGGGAGACGGAAAAGGGGCTGTTGCTGGAGCTGTGGTCATGGTCAGCCCTGTGAGCCGTGCCCTGATTAATTCTGGCATCTTTGAATGTCTGCAAAGGGCGTGTGGCCAAAGGAGGAGCCCTGTGTGCCTCACTGTTGGGTCCAAGGGGGTTGGGAGGAAGCTGAGTGCAGCCTCTGAAACAGGAGGGAGGGCAGGAAGGCCGAGTTGGGCATCAGAACCCCGGGTTCTGGTTCCAGGCCTTCTCCACCTAGTGCAGGAGGCTCAGTTCCAGCCCCTCTCCAGCAGGCCGAGCTCTGCGCTGAGCACTTCCAGAAGCATTGAGCTCAGCTACCCTCGCAGAAACCCAGGCAGACAGGGGTTTATGGCCTGGGGTTGTGGATGAGGAAACTGAGGCTCAGAGGAGTTAAGTGACTTGTCCAAGGTCACCCAGCTTGTGGGTGGGAGAGAGACAGGCCCAGGCTGGCCGAACCCTGGTGCATGTTCCCCAGCAAGGCCCCGCTGCCTGCTTCCTGGTGCTCTGTCTTCCAACCCCTCCTCCAGGACTCTGGAGCATCTTTATGGGGGCTGCGTGGGGAAGGGCTGTCTCCGCCACCACGCAGGAGCCAGGGTGTAGACCCCACAGGGCTGAGGAGCAAGGAGGACCCTAACTTACATATGGCTCAGGAAGCCCTGGTCATGAGCCCTGGGCAGTCACTGCTCTAGTTTCCATTTTTTCATCAACAAAATGGGCTGAGTCTCACCACCCCACAGGCTTGCTGTGAGGATCAAATGAGCCGATGAAGGCACAGTTCTCCACGTGCAGCAGGCGCTCAGGACGCGCTGGTCCCTCCTACTCTGCACTGCATCCTGGCAGAGCCAGCCCCAGGATGGTCTCTGGGGAGAGGCTGAACGGGGCCAGGTGGAACATGAAGGAGTGGACCCCCTTCCTGAGGTCTAGCCCAGCAGCTAGGGCAGTCCCAGATCCCACAGTCCACTCACATTCATTGAGGACTCAACCTGTTTCAGGTACCATAGGGCATAGAGATGATCACAGCATGGATTTCATATCCCAGTGGGGAAAATGACCCTGGGGCACTGGAGAGAGTCATAGGATGGGGCCAGAGCCACTGGGAATGGCACAGAGAAAATCTGGATATGGTGTTGAGGAGGTATTGGGGACAAACCAGCCTCCTCCTGGGAACAGACACTGAGGACTCTGTGTAAAGAGCCAGAACTCAGGCCTTGCTGGAAGGCATTTGTTTTCCCTGAAAATGACAAGCATCTGGAAAATTGCTGCTGGCCCCTCTCCCTGATGTGGCTTTCAGGCAGAATGTGTCTCGTGGGTGGGAGGCATGAAGACCCTCTTTCCAGCCTTGCGTGCAGACAGGCAGGCCCTGCCACCCTCTGTCAGTAGAAGCTGGAAGGGCTGGGCACAGCCCTGCGGTGACTACTGCAATTCGGAGCTGGTGTTTCTAGCCCAGCTGCTCATTTCTGAGTGTGGCTTCCCCTCACTGTGAGCACCTGCTCTTTCATAAGGTGGGCGCTAAGCATTCTGGCTGAGCATGGAGGCTGCAATTTCATTGCAGGTTGGAGCACTTTGCATGGAGAATGACACAAATTCTGGGTAAAATGCTACATGGAATTCTGCTGCAGTTACTTATTCAATTCTCCCATCTCCTGGAAGTTCTTTGGTGGCAGTCCTATGTCTATTTTACTTACTGTCTTTTCCTCCATGCCTGACACATGTAATGGCACACTTTAAACATTTGTTGAGTGGTTGAAGAAAGGGGGCACTGAAAGCAGGAAATGGGTTCTAGCAACTCCGTTAAAATTTCTCTAGGCATGGGAGAAACACCGTGGAATTTTAGGAACAAAGATGGTGATAAAGAGAGGAGTGAGAAGAGTCAAGACACTTGACGAAATACACAAGGTAGTTGAACCAAACAGCTTTGTGGTGAGAGAGTTATGGTGTATCAGCCAGCTCCTGCTGCATAACAAACCACCACAAACTTATTGCTTAAAATAACAAGCATTTATTGAACTTAGGAGTGTGTATGCAAGCTGGCTGCTTCTGCTGACCTAGGGTGGGTTTGGTTGATCTTGGATGGATATACTTCTGCATCTGCAATCAGCCTGTGGATTGGCTGGGAGATGACTGGCTTGGCATGGTCTCAGGGGAGTTGACTCATTTCTGTTTCATGTGGTCTTATCTGAGTGCAGGCCAGCCCAGACACATCTTCATGTTCAAAAGAGAGGATGAAAGCACACAAGGTGTTTTGAGGCATAGGTGGATATCTTGACTGTATATTCTCATTTCTGTATTATTGATGCTCTGGCATTTGGGGCCTTGATCCTGGAGACATTGCCCTACCAGGGCTAGTTATTCTCCAGAGATAGCAAAGGACTCTCCTGAGAGCACATCTTTGATATTCAAACCAACCGATCCAGAGCCCACATCCCCAGCCACCTCCTTTATCTAACTCTCCCACACCAAGCCAATATTCTTCCTGCCCTGCCCCAAATCACCCCAGGTCCAGGTAGTGGACATCTAGGGACCACCCTTATGGGACAAAGCTCACTTAAGTTATCCAACCACCCAATTGTAAGCTTACTCAGCAACCTACCCTGCGTTGCCCATTCCTGCCCACGAGAGCCCCAGTGAATGCTCTGGGCATTCGATTTCCTCTTCTCCCCCTATCTCCTGACTTACCCTGCTGCTTCCCTGCATGGAATGCTATGCCTCTTGTTTCCAGGAATCTGTGAGAATAAACATTTTCCTTCATGACAGTCATTTCCATATCTGTGTGTCTTGTAAATACCTGATTAAAACAAATCCTGGGTACATTTTAAAACAGCTGAAAACTGGCACATCACTTTTGTCATATTTTATGAGAAAAAGCAAATCACAGGGCCACCCCAGATTCAAGAGTTGGGGAAATAGACCTCACCGCTTGATAGCAAGAACAGCAAAGTCACCTTTCAAAGGACTGGATAGAGATACAAATTGAGAAGCACAGTGGCTGTTTTCCAATCAATCTTTCACTTTTTAACATCTCATTATTCACTATTTATATTCTTGATAAAAAACTGTCAGGAAGGTAGAAATAGAAGGGAAATTCTGCCAACTGAGAAGAAGCACCTATGAAAAACCAACAGCAAACATTGTACTCAATGGAGAAAGACTGAATATTCTTCCCCTAAAATCAGGAACAAGGCAAGCACATCCGCTCTTCCACTTCTACTAAACATTTTACTTAAAGTTCCAACCAGTGAAATACGGAATGAAAAAGAAATTAAATGCATCCATGTTGGAAAGGAATAAATAAAACCTTTTAGTTAAAGACAACATGATAGAGCTAAGTGAGTTTAGCAAAGTTTCAGGATGTAGGACCTATATAGAACAATCAGTTGTATTTCCAAATACCAATAGCAGAACAATCAGTGATTGAAATGAAAGTTACCATTTAAAACAGCATCACAAAATGTAAAATACTTAGAGATAAATCTGAAAAGATGTGCAAGACCCATACACTCTGAATGAAAAACATTACTGAGATAAAGAAGATCCAAATGAATGGAGAAATAAATATTATCCATGGGCCACATGATTTAATATTGATAAAATGGTCAATTCTCCCCAAATTGATAACTAGGTTCAAGTCAATCCCAACCAAAAGTACAAGAGGCTTTTGATTTACCAGCTGAAATTTACAAACTCATAAAAAATTCATATGGAAATGCAAAAGACCTAGCATAGCAAAATAGAAAACTTTGAAAAAGAGAAAAAAATATAGTTGGCATCATCAAAACAAGGCGGTGTTGGCATAAATGTGAACAAAAAGATTTATATGGAACAGAATAGAGTGTTCAGAAATAGACCCATTCATATAAGAACAACTGATTTCTGACAAAAGTGCAAAGGCCATTTGCGGAGAGCTTTTCCAACAAATGATGCTGGCACAATTGGATGTTCATATGCAAAAAAGGAGAGCGTTCATTCATACCTTACACAATATAAAAATTTAAAGTGGATCATAGACTTAAAAATAAATCCTAAAATTATAAAACTTAAGAAGAAAACAGAGGAAAAAATCTTTGTTACCTTGGATTAGTCAAGGATTTCTCAAATATAACACCAAAAGCATGACTCATAAGACATTGATAAATTTGGTTTTATAAAAATTAAAAATGTTTTTTGAAAGACACTGCTAAGACAATTAAAATACAAGCCATAGATTGGGAGAATATTCTCAAAGCATATATCTGATAAAATATTTACATCTAGGGCATGTAAATAACTCCCAAAACAAGCCACCAATAAAAAACAGGCAAAGGATTCACATATCAAGAAGACATGTGAACGTAAAGATGTCCAACATGAAGATGCTGGACATCTTTAGTCATTAGGAAAACATACATTAAGAACCACAATGAGATACCACTACACATCTGAGGTATCAGAATGGCTAAAATTAAAAAGATCATACCAAGTTCTGTCCAGGATGTGGAGGAACTGGTACTCTCATGAACTGCTGGTGGGAGGGTAAAATGGTCCAACAACTTTAGAAGACAGTTTGACAATTTTTTTTTTATTATGCTTTAAGTTCTGGGTTACATGTGCAGAACGTGCAATTTTGTTATATAGGTATACATGTGCCCTGGTGGTTTGCTGCACCCATCAATCCGTCACCTACATTAGGTATTTCTCCTAATGCTATCCCTCCCCTATCCGCCACCCCTGACAGGCCCTGGTGTGTGATGTTCCCCTCTCTGTGTCCATGTGTTCTCATTGTTCAACTGCCACTTATGAGTGAGAACACGCAGTGTTTGGTTTTCTGATCTTGTGATTGTTTGCTGAGAATGATGGTTTCCAGCTTCATCCATGTCCCTGCAAAGGACATGAACACACCCTTTTTTATGGCTGCATAGTATTCCATGGTGTATATGTGCCACATTTTCTTAATCCAGTCTATCATTGATGGACATTTGGGTTGGCTCCAAGTCTTTGCTATTGTGAATAGTGCTGCAGTAAATATATGTGTGTGTTTGTCTTTATCTCGATGTGGTGATGGTTTCAAGGATGTATATTTACATCAAAACATAGCCAATTGTACATTTTAAATACATGGGGTTTATTTCATGTCAGTTGTATCTTAATAAAGTGGTTAAAAAATTCTTATTCAGATCTCCTGCTACAGTTCAGGCGGAACATTTCTGACAGGAATCAGGTGAACAGGTTGGGGAATAAAGGAGAATTTACCCAATTGTCCATGACCAACCCCATGTCTGGGCAGATGGCTCCTCATTCAGGAAGGGTCAACAAAAAAACAAAAACAAAAGCAAAACAAAACAAAACAAAAAACAAAAGAGGGAAACTTGAGCCAGGGCCCTGCTGGATCCTTGGGACAGAGAGAGGGCTCAGTTGGGCCCTGCCCTGGGCAGACCTTCCCTGGGAAGTTGCATCAGAGAGCTCAAAAGAGAGAGAGAAGCTTGGTTGGAGGGGCTGTTTAATGAGGAATGCCAAAGGAGTGGGATTGTAGAACCTGGGGACAGAAAATCCCTGGAAGGATGAGAATTATCTTCAAATACATGTGCTGCCATGTGGAATATGAAGTAGATGCCCTCAATGTGGCCTGAAGGAAGGACTTTCCAAGTCAAAGCTGTCCTGAGATGTCTTGAGAGGTAGTGAGCTTCCCATCCTTAGGGGTATACAACCAGGAGGTGAGACAGGCATAGTAGTGAAGTGCTAAGGCTTTGGCATCAGACAGATCTGGATTTGAATTGCAACTTGGGTGGTTCAGTGCAAAGGACTTCCCCTCTCTGAGTCTCAGTTTCCTCATCTGTAAAGTGGGGTCATAGTACCATTTAACCCACTGGATTATTAGGAGGCCTAAACGAAGTCAACTCCATCATTTATCTCGGATGATTAGTGGTGTGTCCTTCCCTCTCCTTGCTCTCCCCCAGTCCCTTCCTCCGGAGATGATCTCTGTTGAGTCACAATCTCCCCCCTGGCCTTCTTTGTGCAGTGAGCTGTGGCATTGAGGTGGCATTCTGGGTTTCCTGCTCGCGCTGCCCACACGCGTATGAGGATGACTGACTCACCCTTCCATGGGCTCCTGGATGCACAGATTCAGTCTTTCTGAGGAACAGAGACCCCTTTCCAGGAGTGATCTGGGAGCTCCTCCTCCATCCATTGCACAGGGCTGGCTAGCTGCCCTCTTGATGATCTTCCCTGGTCTCAGAAAATGAACTTTAATTTTAGGCAGAGAAAAAGAAAAAGCTCATAACCTGTATGTTGTAAATGTCGCTCCAGGGCTCCCGGCAGAGTGCCCAGTCAGTTTGATCATTTCTTGGGCTTACTCAAAGGCCCCCTCTGTGAGTGATTGGCCACTTAGCACTTGTTAATGGATCTAACTTCCACAGACTTTTTAGTGTTTTCTTGGAATTGATCTTTCCGTGAAAAGTATGCTTTGGAGATGTGAAATAACCATCACAGAGCCTTAAATGAGTTACACTTTATCAAACAAAGAAAAACAATGCACTTGAAACAGGTGCTGCAAGGGAAATGGAGGGCTGTCTCACAGAAGACCGGGAGGGCAAGTGGCCATGTGTTGTGTGCCTCTGCACTCCTGCCTTGCAACAAGTGCCTGCACTTGCGTTCTCCAGGGGGCTGTTACGTTCTGGATCATTTTCTCTGCTGTGTGATGTGGCATTTGCTGCTCCTATCCTTACCCCAGCTCTGCTGTTCTCTGGGTCATTCTCCCACTGCTGGGGGTGGGGGTGTGATGGCTTTGCGTGGTGAAGGGAGGTGGAGAGGGGTCCCACACTCTCCTTTAATTACTCCCCCTCCTCTGCTTCCCCATCCTGGGCCATATGTGGAGAAATGAGCTCCAGAGACCCTGGGCAAAAGGGGGTGCAGAGGCCCCAATCTTCACCAGCGATTAGAGAAGGGAGACGAGGCCCCTGCTCACCCATTCCCCACACAAGGGGCCTGAGGAGGGGGCTCAGTTCATCTAAGTGCCCAGTTGTCAAATGTTTACC
The DNA here is from genome assembly GCF_000001405.40 of Homo sapiens. Taxonomy (NCBI): domain Eukaryota; kingdom Metazoa; phylum Chordata; class Mammalia; order Primates; family Hominidae; genus Homo; species Homo sapiens. Next base: position 29,592,057 of record NC_000001.11, read on the forward strand.
GAGAGCCAGCCTGTGCCTGGCTCTGAGCCGGGACTGCAGATTCAGGAAGGGCTGGTGCCCAGGGTACAGGGGCAAGGTACCCACGGGATCTGCTACTGTCTCTAAGAACAAAGTTGTGCATGGGGCACTCGGGTCTTAGAACCAGCAAACTTGACCCTCCCATGACCAACACAACACAGCCCCGCCCGAGACAAGCGGGTCCCCACGCTGCTTCCAGGTCATGTGGGTCCGTCATAGCCATGGCCCCCCTCAGCCCAACTCAACCCTGCAGGTGGAGATTGGGCTCAGGTGGGGCTTCTGTGCCATGACCCCGCCATCAGCTCTGCTCTGTGGTCAGTGTGGGCTTACTGAACCCTGTCCATGTGGAGAATCAAGTGGGCAGATGAGAGTTGGAACCCAGTGGAGGGGTAGGGGCAGAGGCAAGGCTGGTGTGGCATGAAGGTTAGGAACGCAGCTGAGGACAGAGGAGACAGCTATAGAAAACTAATGTCACATATTCTGGAGCATCAGAGCTGGATGACCTCGACATACACCCCAGTGGGCGGCTTGACAGGCAGGAGCACAGTGGGGAGACCCGAGACCTGCTGGCATCTGAGCATCAAGGCGGTGCTGGGGTGGAAGGTGAGGGCCCAGCAGTGAGTGCAGGTGGCAGCTGTGACATAGAGTCACATGGGCCAGCTTTGTAGTGAGGAGGAGAGAGACCTCCCCCATGGAAGGGGCTGGGGTCTCAGGGTGACCCACAGGGGCTCTGGAAAGGGCTGCAGTGCCAGGCAGTAAAACCAGGTGGGCAGCAGCTGTATGTTGAGGGGTGAGGAGTGGGTCCAGAGAAGGGTGTTTGGTTTCAGGTGTAGCCTGGGCTCAGGGCTCCCCGCTGGCGGCTGCATTCCCAGCCTGGGCTGCACAGTGAATTCCAGAGCCTGCCAGTGGCAGGAAGTGAGCTGCTCATAGACTTCCTGCAGTGGCCTAGGTCTGGATCAGAGAGAGACAGAGATGGAGATGGAGCCCTGTTTATGGCTCATCTTCCTGAAGCTGGTGCGTTGGAGCCACGATCTCACTGAATCGTCCCAACCTTCCTCAGGGAAAAGAGGTGGAACTGTGCTGGGCAAGGCAGAGGCCCAGGGAGGCAGCCCAACAAGTCAGCATGGAGAAGGAGGACCTGGGGAAGGGAGGCTGAGCCTCCAGGGCTCCTGGGACCTGGACACACCTGCCCTGGGCTCTCGTGCAAGGCCAGCTCTGATGCAGGGGGGTTGGATGGGCTCTGAGAGCTGCTGCTGCTGGTGCGCAGCCCACATATTGAGCAGCAGGGGCTGAGAGAGGTCATCTTTTATTTCACAGCATTTATTTCACAAGCATTTCTTGAGGGCTCACTATGTGGGGGGTGCTGGGATACAGTGGGGTGCAAGACAGGCTTGGCCCTGCCCCATGGAGCTCGTATTCTAGCTGAGTGCACAGACAGGAGCAAGCCAATGGTCATACTGGTGTGTGTCTCTCTCTCTCTGTCTCTGTGTGTGTGTGTGTGTATATACATACATATATAAAATTATATATATATATAATTTTAGTTTTTTTTTTGCAGTTTATGGAGGGGAAACTGAGAAAGGGAAAGGAGGTATTTTTTTCCACTTTCCAGATGAGAAAGCTGGGACTCAGAGAGGTTAAGTAACTTGCCTGAATGACACAGACGGTGAGTGGCAGAGAAGAGTGCAGACCTGTGAGTAAGCACAGTGCTTCCCGGGCTCCACTGCCACAAGGGTGGCTGTTACACCCCACTGTCTGCCCCAGGTGATGCTACAGAGAGAGCCTTTATGTGAAGTGATCTCTCCTCACTGCTGAACTCTTCTTTCCAGGGTGTGTGGGAAGGGGGAAGAGGGAGGAGAAGGGGGCAGGTCTAGTTGGGTGCGGATCTGGGGCTGGTCTTAGGGGTGCATCTTGCAGGGCCAGGGTCAGAGAACAGTTTTCATCCAGGGCAGGCCATGGCACTGGGCCTGGAAGGTTGCTCCACAGTGGAACCCAAGGGGAAGCTGAGACCCAGGCCCAGGAAGGCTGAGTCCCTCAGTCAAGGCAGAGAGATGTATGTGGGGAGCAGTGCCTGGTTAGGGGCAGGGGTCCTGAGAGATGCCTGAGCACCCCATTGTGTCCCATGGTGTCCTCTGGGACTGGCAGTACCCAGGCCAGGCTGGGTGTGGCTGGGTCTCCTAGCTAAAGGAGGCCATGGTGCCGCCTCTCTCCTGCACTCTGGAGCTGCTATTGGCTGTCTGCTGATCCCTCTGTCCCTGATCCACTCCATTCTTGGCTGTTAGCTTTCTGTGTGGCACTCTCCAGGGCACTGGATTTACCTCTTTTCTCTGTGCAACGCTGGTGTCACACTCCTCTGCCTGCCACTATGCTGATCCCAGCACCTGCAGGACAGGGAGATGCACCATGTTAGGGAGGCTGTTCAGCCCTGACGGAGGCTAAGGCGTGTTACTGCAGGGGTTGCAGCGGGCTCTCCATTTGCATCCAGGGAGGCAGGACACCTTCATTTATCAGCAGCGGGTCTTTTGTGTTTATCTCCTGGATTGAGTCTCTTCTTGAAGATAATAATTAAAGCAGGCACATTAAGGAAGTAACAGCCCTGGGGGCCTCTGAGGGGGACCAGGATGGGGGTACGATGTCGACCAAGGATGAGGGGCTTGGCTACCAGTGCAGGAGATGCTGAGGAACAGAGGCCTCTGTGAGTCCAAAAGCTTCCTTCACTACAGGGAGAAGGGGGCCCCAGTCTGTGCTTTCCATTGAGAGGTGTTGAAGGGAGGGTAGTGGGGGGCAGGGGAGGGCGCCCTGGAGGAGAAGTCAGGCCCACAGGGCTTCCAGTCCTGGCTCCACCACTTCCCTGCTGTGTGACTGTGGACAAGTTGCCTCCCCTCTCTGGGCCCTTTCCTCATCTGTAGGTGGGGATGGTGCTTCCATCAGCCCCTTCCTCCCAGGGTGATTGTGGGGATGAGCCCTCCAAGTGGCACAAATGGACACCAGGAGCACGTGGCAGTGAGTGCAGTGGTTGGGGCAGGGACTGGAGGCAGTCACCGGCCTGGGATTTAGACCCAAGCTGTGAGCTCAGGAAAGTTCCTCAACTTCTCAAGGTCTTGGCTCCCTCAGCTGAGAAATGGGTTACTACCAGTTCCTTCCTTAGTGAGTGGTCATGACGATTACTGATGTGGTGCAGCACTCTCACTACACACACGCATGCACGTGCACACACACACACACACACACACACACACACACACACCCCTGGCCAACAGGGGGTGGCCTCCCAGGCTTTCCCACGGGTGCGAACCCAGGGTGCATCTGTGCTCCTTCTCTCCATAGACCCCGGCCTGACCCCAGCTGCCAGTCCACAGAGCCCAGTCCCACTCTGCTTTGCTCTCTTTGCTGTGCCTACTAAAATAGTTTACTCCCCTTTCTCGACCGTGGCCCAGGGAAGGGAGGATGCTTGCGCCTGGAGTCTGGACTACATTTTCTGAAAGAAAGATTGTTATTCATGGTTATTAGCAGTACAAGCCATTAGAGCTTTTTGACTGACTAACCCCAGTCTACAGCAGAGTTTCATGAAAAGATATATCCTGAATTGCAAAGATCTTTAGGAACACAACACTCCTAAATTATTGGAGAAGCAATGCATATCCATCGTGTACCTCCTGAGTGTTAGGCAGGCTAAGGTCTTTGCGTATGTTAATGCACTTTCCACAGTGACCCAGTGAGATTGGTGGTGTTTAGTGTTATTTATGGTTTTTCTCCCCTGGCATATATTTATTTCATTATTTAAATTAATACTTTTATTCTGAGATAATTGTAGAGTTCTATGAAGTTGTACGAGAGACACAGAGGTCATTCCCTGCTCTTCCCCACTAAGTATAATGATCAGCTCTGGAGGTAACACAAGAGACTCCCAGAGGAGCACTCAGAAAAGAGGAATGTGACTGGTTAAGGACCCCAGGACTGGAGGAACAGTATAGTAGCGGGCATCTCAGACCCCTTCACCCACCCAGGAGACCCAGGCCCAGAGTTTCTCTACTGCTCCCAACAGAAGGTGGCCCAAGTAGGCTTCTTCCTCCCCACTGGATTTAATGAAAGCTCCACCCATGACACCAGCAAGGAAGCACCCAGCTCAGGAAGTCCTCCTCATCCCTGTGGGAGAATTTAAAAGTTTAATTTATAAAAAGAAAAGGAGGAAAACAGAGAGATTTTGTGTACCCTTGACCCAGTTTCCACCCATGGTAACATCTTGTAAAACTATAGGACAAATTACAACCAGGATACTGACCTTGGTACAACCCACCCATCTTACTCAGATTTCCAGTTTTTACTTGTATTTTGTGTGCGTGTGTGTGTGTGTATTTAGCGCTATACAATTTAACACCTGTGTTGGTTTGGTTATCTTCCACGATAGTCAAGATTCAGAATAGTTCCATCATCAATATACCCTCCTATTGTGCCTTTAAAATCACCCCTCCCCACCCCCACTGCCCGCTTCTCCCCTATTCTAAGCCTTGGCAGCCTGTTCTCCATTTCAAACCCTGAGCAGACAAGGTATGGGAAGGGCAGTCCAGACCAGGGTAAGGTCACACGCAAGGTGTGGGCCACAAAAAGGCCCAGGTAATGGATGGTGAAGAGAAGGGGCTGGACTCCCAGCCTCAAGGAGCTTTACAGAAAAGCTACCAACTTAGGAGCAAGGAAGAGAAATCAGCATGGGTACTGTACAGACGCATTTCATTAGGGACTTCATCTCACTCTCACCGTCCCCCTTGAGCTCTCATCTTTGGCAATCCAGAGGTGAGGTTGCTTGCTTGCATTCCTCTCACTACAGCAGCTGCACTGACTTTTGCTTGTGGGTCACTCCTTTCCCTACTCTGTCTGTGAGGCTGCACCTGTAGCTCAGCAGTGGGCTGTGGGACTAACGCTTAAACTAACCTGTGCAATATATCTTTCTAGCACAGCCATCAGCTCAGGGAGGGCAATGATCCAGGGAACCACCGAGATCCAATGGACATTTTTCAGGCCTCCTGCAGAAGACGCTCTTGCTCTTCACCACTTGGAAGTTCATGGTCCACAGCTGTTGCCATCACCTTAGATGCAGCCTAAGAATGAAGACAATGTGTGAAGGAGAAATGGAGAAAAGCTAGGTCTTGGCAACATCACCAAGAGGCCCCTTCAAGCCATTTCTGGAGTCAACTTTTTCAGAAAGTTTCCATTACATGAATCAATGGAGTTCCTTTGGCTTAAACCAGTTTGGGCTGAGTTTTCTGACATGTGCAACAGAGAAGAAACTTAACTGGTTCACAGACCCACAAAAATCTGCAAAGCAGAAAAAGGGCTTTGCAGAAGGATGCAGGGGCCCCCTCAGATCCCAAATATAGAAAGTTCAGCCAGGTGTCCTGGGGTCTAGGAGTCACCCAACAGTGACCCTTCCCATTTCTCTCTGGGTCTTCCTCTGTCTCCCATACTGGATCTGTGGATAATCCAGGTCTATTTCCTTTTGGTCTTCTTCCCCCTCACTGTAGACTGGCTTCTCTGCTCACTTCCGATCCAGCATGGCCTCACCAAGATGATTGCCTCTAACCCACAGCCACGTGCTCTTCCAGCTGGCCCCCACAGCTTCGTGACTGTCTCTATGTTCCGAATGGAGATTCTCTGGAGAGAAAATTGGATAATGTGGCCAGTGTGGGTCAGGTGTCCTCAATACTGTATAAGCTAAGGGTTGGTAGGTGGGTGAGGAGCAACTTAGCAGGGTTGTAGGCTGAGCAGGGAGGCAATGGAGAAAATAAACAGGAGAAAACAATCAATATTTCTAAAAAGATGAGAATTGTAGTTTGTATTCTTTAGATAAGGAAAGTGAAGCTCAAAGACGTTCAAGATCCTACAGCAAACAAGCTGCGGCATCATGACTTACATCCGAGGGTCAGCTGGACTCCAACCTCCAACACCCACTGCCCAGCCCCCTTGCCTTTTTTTCTCTTCTTCCCATCCACTCCTTTCACCTGCCACTTCCTGCGGGGCCAATCCAGGCAGGAAATGGGGAGAAACTGACCTCCCTGGAGGAGAGTTCATAGGAGCAGCTTTCTGGGCTTACAGCGGTGAAGATCCATCTTTGGCTCCTCAGTAGAGGGGACATTTGCAGATTCTCACAGAGCCATGCACCTGAAGCAGAGCTTTCCTTTCAGAGAAGGCCTGAGGAAGTCAGCACTGAAGAATCTACGCTTCATTATTCACACAAGTAAGAGTTTAATTAAAATTTCATGACGGTCATTGTGTTTTACCCGAATGGCTAACTGATGGCCTTGCATTTCTGCCTGGGTCCAGCAGTCCCACCACTGAGTTCTTCATCTGAAATCTTTCCACCTCCACAAATCATTTTGGATAACAAGCCATTTTGTAATTGCCACAAAGTTCAAAGTGGAGCAGACTTCTCTGCAGACACAATGCCCCAGTGACTGTCGCTTGAACAAGTCCCTCTTGGGAGCAGGGCTGGGGTTTCACCCAGTGTCTGCCGGCCAGATAATCATGCCCTCCTTTTCCAGGAGACAATCTCAGACATTTGCTTGGTGGGATCAGTGGGATGATTTCAGGTAAACATTGGTCAGGAAGGATTTGAAGGGGAGATTCCAGGAGGCTGTCCCTGGAGGTTACTGGAAACCATGTCTCTGCAGACAGGGGCAGTGGGAAGGAGGGAGGTATGTGTGTTCCCTTCTCCTCTGACCCTTCAGGTTCCTTAGGGGCATGTGGGTGACCTTGGGGCAGTGGCTTCACCTCTCAATGCCTCAGTTTCCCCACCTGGGAGGCAGAGCAGATGAATCCTCCTGACAGGGTGGTTGTGAGGGCCACGGGGGTGGGCCTATGGGCAGCTCTCAGTATGGTTCCTGGCAGCAGGTGTTCAAATCTGTCAGTGTCGGTGACTTGAGTTGGGTGCACAGATGACTGTTGACTGGGGTGAGGTGTGGTACCCTGGCTTCCAGCCCTCACCTGTCCCACTACTGACCATCTGAGGAGGCCCCGGGCACCCCTGGGCAGCAGGAGAGTGGGTCGACATTGAGATGGCCCAGAGGTGACACTCAGAGATGTGGGCAAGGGGCCTTCCTGCCCAAACGACAAGATAGTTGTGGGGCAACCCCCGCCACCGCTGATGGGAAGGAACACTCAGCATTTATAGAGGCAGGGGCAAGTGAGTGATGATCAGAGGGTCAGGCCAGATGTTCCAGCAACAAAGCAGACAGACCACTGTGTGGCTTCAGGCAGGCTGAGCTCTACCCACCATGGGGGCTGAGGGCAGGTGAGGAGGGTGGATCCTGACTAGGGATGAAGGGAGCATCCCTAAGATGGCAGAAAAGGGACAGAGCCTGAGCTCAGAGCCCAGGTCAGGTCCTGGGAATGAGAGTGCAGCAGCTGCTGCAATTCCCTTCGGTATCTGCATTCGCTATTGTAGGACTCGCTGATGGAAGAACTGAGCAGACTTGCTGGTAACTGGAGATGTTCAGTGTGGTGTGGACTTTGGGAGACAGGAAGGATGCTATGGGAGGGGCTGCTTAGGACTGACTCTATTGAGCATCATAAAGAAGGGAAGGAGAACCCATGGGGGTTCTTGGGGAGGACATAGATCTGTCTTTGGAGGATAAGACAGCAAAGTTAAAGGAACAACTGGACTCAATTGGGAGATCTGGGTTCTGAGCCCAACTCTCTCTCTAAACAACTGTGTGACCTGGGGCAAGTCACTTGCCCTCTCTGGACTTAATCTGCACATCTACAGAACAAAATCACTTCTAAAACCCCTCCCCTGATTAGGCCTTGACTCTACAGGGTTCTGTATGATGCCTGCTGTACCAACCCCCCACCCCACCCAATTCTCTTAAAATCCACCTAGTGGCTTCCCAGCACAAGCTGCCTTCTTCCAGGAGGCAAGTAAGCACCAGGAACCCACAGTGCTGACTCGGCAGCCCTCCAGGTCACTGTGTGATGCCGGGTCTGGTGGTGACAGGGCTGCTCGGTTCATTAGAGACTAGGGCTAATGTGTCCTCATCCTTGGAGGTGCCATTACTGGGTAGTTTTGGCAGCCTTCTCTGTGGGAAAGGAGAAAATGGGGGAGAATGGGCAGGGAGAGATGAACCTCACACCTAGAGAGAAGAGGCTGAGGCAGCAAAGTTTTGTGCTGGTCTCAGCTTGGAGACATAGGTGCTAGAGGGGAGACAGCTAGGCTCTTTTATTTTATGTAATAGGAAACTCAGCTCATCCCAGCTTGAACTCAGAAGGGAGTTAATGGTTTTATGCCACTGAAAAGCTCAGGGATGCATGGCGGGGCCTTGTTGCAGGGGCTCAAATGATGAATCCCATCAGTGCCTCCTCCATATTTTAAAAAATCTCTTCCTCATGTGAGGCCATGTTCAGATCCCCCTTCTTGGTGGCCAGATGATTTCCATCCAGACTGGAGTCCAGCAGAGAAGAAAGACCTTTTCTTCCCAATAGTTGATCAAAGGTCCTAGCTGATTCCCCTTGGTTACACACTCAACCCCGAACCAGTCTGGATGGCCAGAGAGGGGGAATATGGTGGTTGGCTTGATCCAATCAGGGATCATCCTGGAATTGGGAGGTAGGATTAACCCTGCTTAGGTTCAGGGATGGGCTGAGAGTAGGAGGGGGGAAATTCTGGGCACAGCTTTCCCAGTAAAAGGGTCCAAGGGTACTGGGTGGCAAAAGCTCACAAATATCCTCTTCTGGGCTTAGGATGAAGGTCATGAAAAGCAAATGTTTTAAACAAAACCAAGAAGGAGAGGGGAAGAAAATCCTAACATCCATGAAGCATGACTGATTTCATTTCATCTTCCCAATCATCCAATAAGATTGCAACTACTATTGTCCTAAATCTAGAATCCTATATTTTAGTGCTGGAAGGACCTTCAAAAGCACCTGATCTGATACCTTCATGCTTATAAATAACAGAAGAAAAATGCAGAGAGGTTAAATGACCATCTCAAGGCCACACAGGTGAAATACCCAGGTCTTCCTAGAGAAAGCTCATCTCAGTAAGCATCCACCTGCTCAGAGCTGCTGTAGAATTACAGTGAACTCTCGGCAAGAAGAGCCTCTCTGTTGCTCAAATCAAGCAGGGCAGCCCGTGGGCCAGAGTCCACTTTGACCTAGGCTTGGGGGAAAGGGGGTCCCTCACCATCTCTCTGGCCCCTCCTACCTCCTCCCCTGCAATGAGCAGCTCCTATCTTAGGAGATGCATCCCGCTGGACCCAGCCAGAGACCTCTCTCTGAGGATCTTGTGACTCTTCACACCTCACACTCCTGATTGCACAGATGATCCCAACCTCTGCCACTCCTACTTCACCTCCCTGTGGGTCTGTGAAGTTAGGAAAGTTAATTCCAAGAGTATGAGAAATGATGAAGCTCTTCACAGTCATCTAGTCAAAACCTTGTATTTTACAAGGGGGAAGACTGTGGCCCAGAAGGAAAGTTCATTCCAAGACAGGCAGAGTACTCCAGGTGGAAGGCCTCCTGGCTCCCACTCTACTGCTCTCCCACCACACCACTGGCCTTGCAGGCTGTGCCAGTCCTGAGCTGGAACTCTCATGGCCCTTGGTGGAGACCATCAACTACTCTGATGCCTACTTACACAATGACAACCTCTCCCCCTTGAACAGTGTTGCCCTTTGCAAGGTGTATACACTCTCCTGTTTACACATGAGACAACTGAGGGAGTCACATCAGAGATCAGGACCAACCCCCTGCATTCCAGGACCGAAGCTTTCAAAGAATTTGTGTCACTTTATCCTCTTTTGATTGCTGATAGGCTGGCATCACTGGGACTGTTGCCTTCGTTATGGATGAGGGAATTGGGCTAAGAGAGGCCCAGCCACCTGGGCTCCAACACAGAGCTGGCCAGTGGTGAAGAGGGAGTGGGCCAGGTTTCCAGGAGTCCAATCTGGTGCACTGTCTACACCCCCCAAAACCTCCATCTCCCACTGCTACTTGTATACTCAGGAATGCTGTGCCCAGAATGATGGAAACCTGGCCAACAGAGGCCTAAACAAATTAGGGATTTATTTTTCTCACTTCAAGGGACATCTGGTAGTGGCCACTAGTGAAGGCCCAGCAGCTCCAAGATGCCATCAGGGCCAGTCTCCTCCTCTATTTCCCCTTCATGTCCTCCATGTGTGTGGATGCCCTGAGGTCACAGCATGGTGGCTGCTCCTTCTCTGGGACCCAAGTCCCCTGTCAGGATGGGCAATGGCTGTTCTAGTGGAGTCCTGCAGGCTTTCCCAGAATGCCCTGCAGCAACCTCTGCCCCTCTCTCATTGGCCGGAGCTGTGTCACATGACTTTCCAAGAATGGGACCGGGAATGCAGTGTTTTCCCATCTCATTGGCTGGAGCTGTGTCATATGACTACTGCAGAGGGAAATTGAATGTTTTTAAGTAAGGGAAATTGTCCCTGATAAAACAGGGGTTTTGTTAGTAAGAAACCAGAGGAAAATAAATGCCAGTGGACAGGCAACCTGCTGTCTCCGCATCAACACTTGCTGTCTTCTTTTCACATTCGTTACCTCATTGGATCTACATGCGAGCTCATTGGCTGTGGTGAACAGGCAGTGAAAGGCTGAGTGCCTGCCGGGGGCCCCAAAGGCAGGTGCTGGCTGAGCCAGGCTAGCCCCAGAGCACCCAACAGCTTCCCCACATCGGTGCCCCTGCTCCCTTTGTCTGCCTCTCTCTTCTCTCTGTCCCACTTCTCTGCCTCTCTAGTTCCCCAGAGCAGTCTGGGTCAGCTAGGACTTTTGATCCTGGAGAGGAGGGGTCAATGGTTCATCAGTTATGTTTATGACACCATGTTCAGCTTGAACTACTTTTAACAACAAGTCTGCTATCAAAAGTCCAAACCCAAACCAACCTCCCCCTACCCCTAGCATCACATCCCTCTCTCACATCCTTCTGGTGGGTTGTTCATTAGGGAAACCTTAGTGGAGGACATTTGGGCAGCATCTATCAAAATTCAAAATGCTGGGATCCTTTATTTCATCAATTTAACTTTTAGTAGTTGATTTTTCTGAAATATTCATGAATATAAAGTTATATAAGGACCGCCACTACAATGTTACTTGCAATTGCAAGATTGGACACATCTAAATATCCATCGGTAGATGGCAAATTATGATTATCTAAACTATGGAACATCCATACTACTTTATACTAAGCAGCCATTAAAATGATTGAGTTTGGCCTCTATGACCTGACTTGGGAGAATGTCCCTGGTAGGTATTTAAGTAAAGCAGGTTGCTGGAGAATGTGAACAGTATGATAAAGATTACAATAATATTGGTTTATACCTAGATAAATATCTAGAAAGATGTGCACCTGTACTGGTTGATTCTCAGGAAAATTCCTAATGGGTTGAGATGCTCTGACCACATGAATTCTCCATCTTCTTATCCCAGACCATTTGTTTCCGAAATCCCTTCCCCTCTCACCTCATCATCAATGTTCCCTTCTCCCCTGGATCATTTCCATTAGTGTATGAACATACCGCTGATTCTCTAATCCTCCAAATAAAAACAAGTCAATACCGAATCTCTCCTGTTACTTTTGCTTTCTCTTGCAGTAAAACGAAATTGTCATCATACTTGCTATCTCCAATTTCTCTCCTCCCAATGTCTTTTTACTCCACTCTACCCAGATTTCACCCCTCACACTCTGCTACAAATGCTCTTGGCAAGGTCACTAACAACCTCAGCATTGGGTTAATGGTCAACTTTCAATGGCACTTGGCCTATTGGTATTTGGCATAGTTGCTCATTCCTCCCCTCTGAAACTCTCTCTCCCCTCAGCACCTGGAACTCCACAGTCTCTTGGTTTTTCTTCTACCTCCTTGTTGCTCCTCCTCCATTTTCTTTGCTAATTCATCCTTGGCTCCTAGCCTTGTAAACCTTGTGCTATCCCAGGGGTCCACCCTTGGTCTTCTTATCTTCACTTACTCTCTTGGGGATGTCACCAGATCCTGGGTCTTTACATTTTGTTCATATACTCATGGCTCCCAAATTTACATCTCAGCCTTATCTCTCCCTAATTTCAAGCCTTTTACATCCAACTGCTCCTGCTCCCTCCCTTCCACCCTTCTTTCCCCCTTCCTTTTTTGCTTTCTTCTGTCTGCTTTATTGCTTCCTTCCTCTCTCTTCCTTCCTTCCTCCATTGCTCACTCCCTTTCTTCTCACAAAAGTAACATATTAATCACCCTTATAATTTTCTCTCTGACACACACACACACACACACACGTCTGAGTGTGAAACAACCTTATAAGTAAGAACTATTTACAAAATGAAGCAATTCCACACTTTACAAAAAGATTTGCCAAAGCCTTCCTTGAAATGCTGCACTCTCTAGGGGCCTACAAAAATGATTTTGATTTATAAACACATTTCTTTTATGCTCTGTGAAAGTTGATTATATGAATTGGGCCATTCTAGTCATACCCAACTAAATCAGAGTCAAGAGGCCAGGGAAAGAAGCACTCAGGGCACATAGCACTAGCTCCAAGAATTGAATTTCCCTCAAGCCTAGCTAGTGAAGCAGATTGCTGTAACCCTAAGATTGGTTTTATGCAGTAACTGCTGAATTGACCTGCTGGGACTCTAAGACTACTTTTACTTACAGCCGTCACTCATCAATCAGAGCTTGTAAGCTACCAAAAGCTTTTCTAGTGTCAATGAGCTTTCTTTCAAAACAGTAAGTAACATTTCTCTTTCTAATAAAACTCCCAAACTTCTCTGTTTTTTAGACATACTGAAGACCACCCTGGTCTGTGTGTATGCCCCAAATTGCAATTCTGTGATTTTCAAATAAAACATTTAGGCCGGGTGCGGTGGCTCGTGCTTGTAATACCAGCACTTTGGGAGGCCGAGGCAGGCGGATCGCTTGAGGTCACGAGTTTGAGACCAGCCTGGCCAACATGGTGAAGCCCTGTTTTAGTAGACTAAAAATACAAAAAACAGCCAGGCATGGTGGTGCATGCCTGTAATCCCAGCTACTCAGGAGGCTGAGGTGGGAGAATTGCTTGAGCCCAGGAGGCAGAGGTTGTGGAGAGCCAAGATAGTGCCACTGCACTCCAGCCTGGGTGACAGCAAGACTCTATAGCAAAGAAACAAACAAACAAAAGAGCAAACAAAAAACCCCAAAGTTTAATATAGAGATTTGTCTATATTTTATTTTGACTTTGACATATTGGATGTCAGGAGTGGGTTTCAAAGCAGACTTACCTTGGAGACATCAATGGCCCCTGGAACTATGGCATGAGGTATCCATACTCGGGCCCCTTGAGCCCCTTTTCTTCCATGGGTCACCTGTTTACCCCTTGATTAGTCTTTCTCAGATCAGACTTCCATTTTCTTTTGGCTGAATTTGGTTTTATTTTGGAATTGGTTAGGAACGGTCTTCCTCCTCCTGGTTGTGAGGCCTGGTTAAAGGGATTTTTTTCTCCCATTGAAGATAGCTTATCATCCTTCTTGGTAATTACTTACCTTATTTTCCAATTCATCTGGATGCTTAGATTTAGTTTGTCATTTGTGTATTCACCATTAAACTGAATCACTTAGATACATTTATTTACAAATGGGCTCTCAAAGTTCAAAGGCATGCCAAGAGTGTTTCCTACTTCTGGGACTCTTGATGGTGGGTGACATGTTCAAACATTATAGGGATCATTCAAACAGTCTGTTTTTCTGAAAACTGAGCTAAAAGGTTGTAGCTATAAAATCATACAGTCTAGACAGGATGCATATCTCAATTGGTATGTCCAGACTACAAAACACATTTAGGACTCAAAGATTGCCTTACTGAAAAATACTGTTTCAATTCTAGCTGAGACTTTTCTCTTTCCAAAGTCTTTCCCTCTCCATTCTACATCTCTTCCTCTTTATCTTTCTCTAAGCTAAACTCTCTTTTTTCAAAAACTCCTCAACTATTCTGACATACTGTTTATTTAAATAAAGACACATTAAAACCAGTAGACACAAAAGAAAATCACTTTGACCTCTGTGCTGTTTCTTAAAAGCAAAAGATGAAATTCCCATGTAAAGGAAATCTCTCTGTAGTAAAAGGAAGGGCAACACTCTTATTATCAAGGATGAGGAATTGAGACCAAGAGAACACTCTACAGATCTTGTTATAATAACTCTCATCTTTTGGGCTTCCTTGCATAATTCAGTCACATTTTCACAGTTAACTATTCTTTGTCCAATCCAGTATATTGGTAAATGACTCAAATTGCTTTAATTAAAATTTGGTTCAAAGCCTTTATAAGATTGCTTATTAGGAAAAAGATCTTAGTTTAGCCTTAATTCATTTTGTCAGAAATATAATTTAGATTCAACTGTCTTTTATAAACTGGTGAGTTTTGTGTGTTTTTCTGTCTCATGACTAAAATTCTAAAATGAAAGCTGTAAAATTTTTGCATGTATGTATTAATATATGTTTAGGTGTGCTTGTGTATATGTACATGTATTATATGTGTGTCTACATGGTAAAATCTGGCATAGTTGGCCAGAAATCTTTTAAAGAATTCTATTCAGATTGGCTTAAATAAATGAGTGCTCATATAAAATATATAGTAATTAACTCAAATGCCTTTTAGTGTCCTTCTGAGAGGGAGATGATTGGTGGAGACTTCTCTTCCATCATCTTGCTCCACCCCCTTAAAGTACCCATATATTTAACTTTAAGGTTCTTACTTAGGTGAATATCAGATATTCGTAGGCTGTGAAAATGGTTAATAGAAAAATAGCTTGAAATAATGAGTAGCTTTGTCTAATATCTCAGTTCTAATAAGTAGTCTGAGTAAATTATTAAAAATAAATTAAGTCAATGTAAATGAGATAAATGTTTATAAACAGACTTTTTATGTACTTTGAAATCTTAAAGTTATGTTAAATAATAGGTACTTATTAAGTGGGTCATTTCTAAAAATAAGATTAAAAATGGAAACAAATTGCTGAACATAGATCTGTTCTTGGTTTCTTAAATTTCATAAAAAGACTAAATATAGTTGGGTGTATTAATACATATAAAATTATAAGAAAAACATAAAATGTGTTTTTTATTAAAAAGAAAAATATTTTGTCTAATTTGGGGGTTATTTAAATATGTATTTAACAAATAAAATTAAGATATAAAGTAAATCATAAGTAGGAGAGAGAGATATAAAGAAAGTTATAGATTTAAAGATATATTTTTAGGTTAAAAATTAAAATAACTTTGTATAAAAACATTTTTTGATACATTTTTGTCCTAAAATAAAATGACTGGTTTTTTAGAAAAAGTGTAAGACAAAGAAGAAAGTCTAAGCATGTCATCAAAGGTCTGAGTAAGTCATGATAAAGCTTCTAAAGGATAAATTTATAAGATGAATTATGTGTGTTATCACAATGGCTATAATTAAAAGGGAGTTATTTATAAATCTTCCTAAAGATTGAGTTTTGATATTTAAAATAAATTGATATAAAACTAAAAATATGGTCCCCTATGTTTACACAACAAGATGTTCTTAAAAGATTGACCTGCTTTTAGCAAAATGTAAAGAGGTTTTGATTTTTTTTTTCTTTTGAGACGGAGTTTCACTCTTGTTGCCCAGGCTGGAGTGCAATGGCGTGCTCTCGGCTCACTGCAACCTCCACTTCCCAGGTTCAAGCGATTCTCCTGCCTCAGCCTCCCAAGCTGGAATTACAGTTGCCCACCACCATGCCCAGCTAATTTTGTATTTTTAGTAGAGATGAGGTTTCACTATGTTGGTCAGACTGGTTTCAAACTCTTGATCTCAGGTGACCCACCCACCTCGGCCTCCCAAAGTGCTAGGATTACAGGCAGGAGCCACCACACTTGGCTTGAGGTTTTGATTTTTAATTAATTGTAGCTTTTTTCTGTTTTACAGTCTTCATTTAATTTTCCTAGTTTCACATTAAAAATGGTATCTTTTTCATTCAGAATGCAAATTTCATTTCTTGAAGGAGAGTTTTCCTCTTGAAGCTTTTTAGTTTTTTATTTCAGAAGTTCAACTTTTGCTGTATCTCACTGCATGTAATTTTCAGGTCATACATTTTTGCCTTCTGTACTTTCTTCTCTTGAGAAGGCCCGGGATAATAACTTTCCCCTTCAACTTTTTCATCAGCTCCGATCATTTTTTCTCTGGTTCTAACACTGGTGTTATGGCCTGATGCTGAAGTGTTTCTCTTAAAGGCCCAGAAAAACAATGTTTTTCTTCAGTGTAATTTAATTTTGTACTCTTGGCTTTTCTTGATGTGTCTGAATTGTTTCATAACACTGTGAAAGTTTCCATGCTGTTACTAAGAGCCATATATTCCTCTGCTTAAGGTACTAGTTTTCTTGTTTACATTCCTCTATAATATAGTGTGCACTCTTAACCTTACACACATATTCTTCCTGTGTCCCATGAAATTCAAGTACCTTTTCACCAGGTTAAACTTCCAGGTTGTCTAAATGGGCTTCCCATAAGGAGAAACAATCACACTGCAAAAGATTTTTCTTTACTGTTTCAGTAACTGGCCTGGAAAACAAAACATTTACATTTTATCAAGATAACTTTCAGTGTTATCTTTATTAGATTTTTGATCACTTAGGAAAGCTGAGGTCTGAAAGAATTAAGGTTTTAAAAATTCTTGTAACTTTCTGTATTGATTTTTAAGCCTTTTGGGTATGACTCTGATTAAATGAATGACTATTATTTCAGTGACCTGTGATCTTGTTTTGATCAAATGTTTGAGCCTTTGGGCATCTTTGACAAACTTTCCCAGAATCAAATTCTAAATTAAATCTCTTTGACCTAGAATTAACTTTGGAATTTTCCAGTTGGGCCCCTGGAGAGCTTCAAAGAATGCATCTCTCATCTCATAGATATGTTAAATGACTAGGCTTATTTGATAAATTATAAGGAAAACTTTGTCAAATGATGAGTGATGCTAGATTTTCTTTCAGTTACGTTTATGGGTATGTTATTGATATAAATTTTCCAAAATTATATACAATTCTTAGAAATCTAATATGTCATCAGTCATAAATCTAGATATTGTGTTGTATGCCACAAAATAACTAAATTTTCTTGTCAATTTCTAATTACAATGAACTTCTATCAGATTTTTAACCATGACAATTCTAAGTTTTTGTCATCTGTAGTTTATCATTTTAAATTCCTCTCTAAAGGCATTTACAATAAGATTTATGGAAGACTGTAACAAATACTCTTAAAATACAAGTTTATAATACCTTTAAGATCAATGGACTAAATGAAATGTTTTTCAAAGCTCTAATAAAAAACTGATGGGTGCATACAACTACTAATCAAGATCAAGCAGAACAAAAATTAGCTACGTGAGATTGATAAATATAATGTTTTTATGACTTTTATTTAAAACATTATTGGTTCTTTACTGAATTATTCTGTTTTCTAGACTTAAAAAATTTTCTCTCTTAAGCTAACTATAGTTTACAGCAATTTGGTAAAGTATACTTTTGTAAACAAGTTGGAAACATTTGCTTTTTATCTCTACTGGATTCCTTCAGAATTTAGAATCTATTCATGAGTATTCTTATGGCAGTATGGTTATTTACACAAGTCCAGTAAAAATCTGCTCTCTCTTTATAGTAGGATACAATTGAAGACATTAGTTATATTGCCAAGGCTTTGACTGAAATGTCATATTTTAAAATATGCGTGTAATGCCTGACTTCAAGAGTTGTCAGCCTTACAGTGAGTAAATAAGAATCGTCACTTCCTGGCATGCCCAGGAACCTTAAGACTATAGGTGAAATATAGAGTCTGCCTTGGTTTAGCTTGCTAGACTCAAGTGATTTTTAAAATCTGAGATTCCTTTGTAATCAACATATAGAGAAAAAATTGTATTTCTCAAGAAAAGCTATAATATATATCAGTTATTAGCTTGTAGCTCTGTGTACTGTTTTCAAGTCTTCATTATGTAACTGTGGACTTGACTAAATTCTGAGTTTTTCTAGATTCCTCCAACCCAACTTTCTTCCATAAAATGATTAAAAACAGGAACTACTTTGTTCCTGAAGCCTTGTAAGCTACAACTAAAAAAATTTTTTTTTTTTTTTTGAGACAGAGTCTTGCTCTGTCACCCAGGCTGGAATGCAGTGGTGAGATCTCGGCTCACTGCAACTTCTGCCTCCCGAGTTCAAGCGATTCTCCTACCTCAGCCTCCAAAGTAGCTGGGATTACAGGCACGTGCCACCATGCTGGGCTAATTTTTGTATTTTGTTTTTAGTAGAGACAGGGTTTCGCCATGTTGGCCAGGCTGGTCTTGAGCTCCTGACCTCAGGTGATCCACCTGCCTCTGCCTCCCAACGTGCTGGGAATAGAGGCTTGAGCCACTGAACCTGGCCTAAACTAAATTTTAAGGAACAAGTCTTGTGCTTGATGTATGGACCACATAAAGAAATTCACTAAACCACCCAGTGCCATAACGAGAGACATTCAAACTGTAAACCAACATAGGAAGTTGATATTTTCATACTGTAGACAGCTTTTCCCAAGGTGGTGGGACACGACTTCATATTATAATGAGACTGTCTCTTTTTTTTTGAGACGCAGTCTTGCTTTGTCACTAGGCTGGAGTGCAGTGGTGTGGTCTCAGCTCACTGCAACCCCTGCCTCCTGGGTTCAAGTGATTCTCCTGTCTCAGCCTCCTGAGTAGCTGGGATTATAGGCATGTGCCACCACACCCAGCTAATTTTTGTGTTTTTAGTAGAGACAGGGTTTCACCATGTTGGCCAGGCTGATCTTGAACTCCTGACTTCGTGATCTGCCTGCCTCGGCCTCCCAAAGTGCTGGGATTACAGGCATGAGCCACCGTGCCTGGCCTATAATGAGACTCTCAACTCCTCTTAATGCCTACCTTTTTCTCTAGACAGAACCTGACACCCCCAACACCCTGCTGCAAATCCTTTAATCTATCTAGTGGGTAATTTTGACAGTATGTCTAACACAACTTATTATTAAAATTGTGCTAGTAGTTGCTCTTATAGAGTTGGCAATCCCTGCTTTAATTCAACGCAGTCATAAAATGAAACTCAACTACAACAGGTCTCATTCAGTTCCCTCATAGTCTTTTGATTTGCTTAGTTAGTTTCCCTTAGCCTTGGGCTCTTGGTTCAAAACCCTTATACAAACTAAATGTATTACATTGTCGCTAATTATTTTTTTCATATCACAATCCTTAAGCTTTGTTCTTGTTGCCTGTTTAATCTTTGTAAAGCCAGTTCTCCCAATAGGATAATGTTAGCCCAATGCTTTAAAATGATTGCTAATACCCATGGGACTAATATAAGGAAACTCAATACTGGACCCCAGACAAGCCTGCCCTGAGAAAATTTTTCCTTCTGGACTTTTTGTTCCTCAAATATAGCCTAGGTCCCTGACATAGATTCCTGTACCTTCTCCCCGTTGTGGGACAGAAACTGGGATAGGACCATTCCAGTACAGTGGGACAATGAAGCTTGACTTCAAGATGCTTCAGTGATGCTTCCAAATAAATATCTTGATAAAAGAGGGAAATATGAAAGCTGATTATACAAATTTTTGTCATATCCAGCTACATCAGAGTCAGGAGGCCGGGGGAATAAAACACTTGGGGCACATAGCTCCAATTCCCAAAAAATTGAATTTTCTGCAAGCCCAGCTGCTGAAACAAACTACTGTAACCCTTAGACCAGTTTTATATAGTAACTGCTGAAATGACCTTCTGTGACTCTAAGATTTGTTTTACCTACCACCATCAGTCACCAATCAGAGCTTGACAGCTCCCAAAAGTTTCTCTAGTGCCAATGAGCTTTCTTTCAAAACAATACATAACATTTCTTTTATTTATTTATTTAGAGATGGAGTTTTGCTCTTGTTGCCCGGGCTGGAATGCAGTGGCATGATCTTGGCTCACTGCAACCTCCGCCCTTCCAGTTTCAAGAGATTCTCCTGCCTCAGCCTCCCGAGCAGTTGGGATTACAGGCGCCCGCGACCACACCCAGCTAAATTTTGTATTTTTAATAGGGACGAGGTTTCACCATGTTGGCCAGGCTGGTCTCAAACTCCTGACCTCATGATCTGCCCGCCTTGGCCTCCCAAAGTGCTGGGATTAGAGGCGTGAGCCACCACGCCTGGCCTCTTTTATTTTTTTGAGACAGGGTCTGGCTCTGTCAGCCAAGCTGGAGTGCAGTGGTGTGATCATGGGTCACTGCAACCCCTGCCTCCCGGGCTCAAGCAATCCTCCTGCCTCAGCCTCCTGAGTAGCTGGGACTACATGGGAGCCCCACCACACCCAGCTAATTTTTATATTTTTGTACAGACAGGGTTTCATCATGTTGCCCGGGCTGGTCTCAAACTCCTGGGCTCAAGTGGTCCGCCTGCCTTGGCCTCCCAAGGCAGGTGTGAGCTGCTGTGCCTGGCACATTTCTCTTTCTAATAAAACCTTCCACCTTCTCTTTCTTCTTTGGATGTACCACTCCAGTATGTGTGTATACCGCAAATGGCAATTCTGTGATTCCCAAATGAAATGCTTAATTTAGAGATTCGTCCTTATATTTTATTTTGACTTTAGCACTCCAGTGCAACTGCAAAAAATGTGCTCATTTTCTGTTTCAAGTTTTGTCCAATTCAACCAGTATCTTCACGTTACTACTAAAATCAGACACTGTGCTTGGCACTGTGGCACTGTGGGGGAGCAAAGATGATTAAGATATGCGTTCAGGCTGGGCGCTGGCTCATGCCTGTAGTCCCAGCACTTTGAGAGGCCAAGATGGGTGGATCACGAGGTCAGGAGTTTGAGACCAGCCAGGCCAACGTGGTGAAGCTCTGTCTCTACTAAAAAAATACAAAAAATTAGCCAGGTGTGGTGGTGGGCACCTGTAATCCCAGCTACTCGGGAGGCTGAGGCAGGAGAATCGCTTGAACCTGGGAGGCAGAGGTTGCAGTGAGCTAAGATGGCGCCATTGCACTCCAGCCTAGGCAACAAGTACGAAACGCCATCTCAAAAAAAAAAAAAAAAAAAAAAAAAAGATATGTGTTCAAAAGGAAACTGACCCTGTCAGCTCTCTCAGTGAGGAAGCTTTTAAGAAGAACTTACCTGGGGAGCTGATGCCACAGGCAATTTGGCAAGGCTAAGCATAAGCAAATCGAACCAGCAGTTCAGAATGAAGAGTTGCTCCTCGGCTCCCAGGCTGGAGGGGTAGCCAGAAGGGGCTCGACTATAGACAGAAGGGTAGCTGAGAGATGGGAGAGGGAATAGCTAGGCTACCAACTTCTATTATTACTGGACATATTCCACCAAAGAGCAGCTTTTTGAAAAACATTGGGTAACATATTGACAGGATGGTTTTTGAAGCTACCATGAAAAATCCATTAATGAAAACAAGTCCCAGGTACACCCAGAGAAGGCAGATGAGGAGTAAGCAGCACCTTTTTAGAGTTTTCAGGAACCCCACTAGGCACACACCCTGCCCTATTTCACCCTCAAGTTGTCCTTTTTATTTTAGAACCTGCTTATACCTCTATTGTTTGGGGATTGTGAATCCCTGTGGCCATGTTGCAGTGATAGCTTTCCTTTTATTTGTTTGTTTTCCTGCAAAATGATGGGTTTTGGTAGATGAGCTTTGAGTGCAGCTGAGATGGGTGAGAGTGAAGAGTCAGGAACCATTGGTCATGGAGGAGGGAACTTTATCACTTTGGTACAAAGGCCCAGTGAGGCCAGAGCCCAGGGTGGAGACAGGGATTATGCTGAGAGATGACCCAGAGAGATGGGCAGAGGCTGAGCCATATGAGATTTGAAAGGCCAAAGAACTCTGTTTTTAACTCAAGGGAAACTAGATGCTATTGAAATATCTGTACATGGAGGGATGACATGATGAGAACTGCTTTTCCAAAATCACAGTGGCTGAAGAGTGGGGAATGCACTGGAGTGAGAGTGACCAGAGAGACTGCAGGGATACCGGTTATGACACAGTCATGCAGACGAGATGATGAGCTGGATGTAGGAAAGTGGACACAGAAAAGCAGTAAAGCAGGCAGATTTAAGATATATTTAGGAGACAGTATCATCAAGACTTGGTGAGAGGCTGGATGTTGGAGGTGAGGGAGAGGGAAGTATCAGGGTGACTCCTGAGTGTCCAACTTGGGTAACTGGGTGAGTGGGTGGAGGTGCCATCCACAGACACAGTGACAACAGAGGACCAGGTATAGAAGGGAAAACCAAATTCCATATTTGACAAGTTAAGTTTGAGGTGTCTTTGAGATGTGCAAGTGCGTGTGTTGAGGAAACTGATCTATCATCTCTGTAGCTTTGTCTTTTCCAGAATGTCATGTAAATGGGATCATAGAGGTGTAGGCTTTTCAGATAGGCCCCTTTCCCTTGACTATGTATTTAAAATGCATCCATGTTTTTGCAAGGGTTGGCGGCTCATTTATTTTTATTGCTAAATAATATCCCATTTTATGGATGTATCATAGTTTATTTACCTGTTGAGGGACATCTTGGTTGCTTGCAGTTTGGGGCAATTATGAATAAAATTGCTACAAACATTTGTATGGATGTTTTGTGGAGACATAAATTTTCAAATCAGTTGAGTAAATACCTAGGAGAATGGCTTCTGAGCCTTATAGTAAGACTATGTTTAGCTTTGTGAAAAACTGCCAACCTGTCTTCTGAAGGGGCTGTACCATTCTGCATTCCCACTGGTAATGAATGAGAGTTCCTGTTGCTCCACATCCCTGCCAGCAACGGGCATCCTCAGTTCTTTTTGGCTTTTAACTCTTCTAATAGGTGTGTAATGTTAACTCGTTGTTGTTTAAATTAGCAATTCCCTAATGACAAATTATGTTGAGCATTTTTTCAGGTGCTTAGTTGCTACCTTTTTTTGTGAAGAGTCTGTTCAGATCTTTTGCTCCTTTTTAAATTAGGTTGTTTTTTTATTATTGAATTTTAAGAGTTCTTCATATATTTTGGATACAAATCTTTTACCAGATATGTGTTTTTCAAATGTGTTCTGTCAGTCTCTGCCTTATATTTTCATTTTTAAAATGTGTCTTTCTTACAGAAGAAGCTTTTAATTTTAATAAACTCAACTTGTCAGTTTTCCCCCATGTATCATGCTTTTGGTGTTGTAACTATAAACTTATTGCAAAATCCAAGGTCATCTAGATTTCTTCCTACATTTTCTTCTAGGAATTTTATTGTTTTGCATTTTATATTTAGATTTGTCACCAATTTTGAATGAATTTATGTGAAAGATGTAAGGTCTGTGCCTAGGTTCTTTTTTTTGTTTTCTTTTGTTTTTGCATATGGAAGTCCAATTGTTTAAGCACCATTTTTAATTGCTTTTCTCCTTTGTAAAAAAACCAGTTGATTATATTTGTGTGGGTCTATTTCTGGGCTCTCTATTCTGGTCTCTTGATCTGTGTGTCTAATTTTCACTGTTTTGTTTACTGTAGCTTTATAGTTAGTCTTGATAATGGATTGTGTGAGTCCTCCAACGTTGTTCTTTTTCAGTATTGTATTGGCTATTCTAGTCAATACAATATAGAAAGGCAAATACGTATTTGCCTTTCTATATAAATTTAAAATCAGTTTGTCAATATTTATAAAATATTTTAGTAGCATTTTGATTGTTATTGCATAGAGTCTATGTATCAAGTTGGAAAAAATTGAATATTGAGTCTTTCAATCCATGAGCATGGAATATCTCTTCTATTTAGGTCATTAAAACTTTCTTTTATCAATGTTTTAGAATTTTTAAATATATAGATCCTGTACATATTTTGTTAGATTTATAGCTAAATAGTTCATTTTTCATTGCTATTATAAATGGTATTTTAAAAAATACTTAAAATTCTAATGTGTATTGATGGTATGCAGGAAAGCAACTGATTTTTGTATATTGACCTTGTATCCTGTGACCTTGATATACTTACTTATTAATTCTAGGAGATTTTTTTTTGCAGAATTTTAGGATTTTTCCATAAACAATTATGCCATCAGTGAATAAAGACAGATATACCTTTTATTTCTTTTTCTTGTCTTATTGTGCTAGTTAGGACTTCCAGTACAATGTTGAATAGAGTGGCGAGAGAGGATGTCCTTACCTTATTCTCGATCTTAGTCTCACCATTAAATATGATGTTAGCTGTGGATTTAGATGTTCTATATTGAGTGGAGGAAGTTTTCCTCTACTCCTAGTTTGCTGAGAATTGTTTTTTTTTCTGATGATGATGAATGAGTATTGGATTTTGTTGAATGCTTTTTCTGCATCAATTGATATAATCATATGACTTCTTTAGCCTCCTGATATGGTAGACTACATTGGCTGATTTGCAAATGTGGAACTATCCTTGCATACTTGGAATAAAGTCCACTTGGTTGTCATGTGTAATTCTTCTCATATACAATTAGTTTGATTTGCGAATATTTTGTTGATGATTTTTTTGTCTATGATGTTCATAGGAGATATTGATCTGACTTTTGTTATAATGTCTTTATCTAGTTTAGGTATTAGGATAATGTTGGCCTCACAGACTGAGTTAAATGTTCTCTCTGCCTCTATTTTCTGAAAGATTTCTGGAGAATTGGTAATATTTCTTCCTTAAATATTTGGTAGAATTTATTGGTAAATATATCTGGGCCTGGCGTTTTCTTTTTTGGAAGGTCTTCAATTATTGATTCAATTTCTTTAATAGATATAGGTCTATTTAGGTTATCTGGCCTTCTATGAGTCTTGGTAGTTTGTATCGTTCAAGGAAATTGTTCATTTCATCTAAGTTATTCAATTTGTGTATGCAGAGTTATTTCCTTCTTAGTCCCTTATTATCCTATTGATGTCCATGGGATCAATAGTGGTGACCATTCTTTAATTTCTGATATTGGTAATTTGTATATTCTTTCCTTTTTTTCTTTGCTAGGAGGAGGAAAAAAACTCCTTAAGTAATGAAACTACAAACTACAAGATCAGGTTTTAACAGTGTTTTGTAGTATTTGGCTCTCTGACACATGACATATTTCAGTGACATAATTGCATAATTTGATGGCTTATTACATCTAAAAATGAGAAAAGTTTGGGTGCTACAATCACTTAATCTTAAGAAGTTTTGAATTTTAACTTTCAGCAAGTCATTTAACAAGTAACTGAGCATCTGCTTTGTGCCAGTCACTGTGCTGGGCCCTGGGATACACTGGTGAGCAAAGTAGACATGGTTCCTATTTTCATAGGGACTGGGCTAACATTAATCAAATGATGTCTCAAATAAAGGAAAAGTTGCTGTTGTGATAAGTTATATAAAGGAGAAAGGTGTGAGGTCTATGATATCAATGAGTAGAGGAGTTTGACTTAGCCCAGGAAATCAAGGAAGACTTACCCAGTGAGAGACAACTGAGCTGAGGTCTGAGGATTAAGTAGAAGTTAGCTGGGCAGAAAGTGAAATGGGACTATGCCAATATGCTGTTCTGAAAGAAGGTCAGTGTGTTTGAGGGTGGAAATAAGGGGTGGGAATGTGGTGGAAGGTAAGGGTAAGGAGGAGCAGGGCCTGGCCATGCTGGAGTTCTGCCATTATCCTATGAGCAGGGGAGTTTTGCCTTCATGCTAAGACTGATGCAAATCACTGAGGCTGCTTTCCATCTCCTGTCTCTTCTTAGAAGGAAGCAAAAGCTGGGAGAGAAACAGAAGACAGAGAACTTGTGTTTATTCCTTACCATTTTCCTCATTTAGCCATCTCTGTGGGGCATACTTATGTAGTATTTTTAAATAAATATTTTTATTAAGATATAATTAACAATAATATTCAACCATTTATAAAGTACAGTTTGGCGGGGGAGGGGGTGGTGATGAAGAAAGGTTGGTTAATGGTACAAAAACCCAGTTAGATAGAAGGAAGAAGTTCTAGTGTTTGATAGCACAGGAAGGTGACTATAGTTCACAACAATATATTGTATATTTTTAAATAGCTGGAAGAGAAGATTTGAAATATTCCTGACACAAAGAAATGATAAAAGTTTGAGGTGATAGACATCCTAAATACCCTGATTTGATCATTACACATTGTATGCATTATCAAAAGATTGCACAAACCCCATAAATGTGTATAATTATTATGAAACAAAAAATTGTAAAAGAATGCAATCCAATGACTTTTTTTTTTTTTTTTGAGATGGAGTCTCACTCTGTTGCCCAGGCTGGAGTGCAGTGGCACGATCTTGGCTCACTGCAAGCTCCGCCTCCTGGGTTCAAGCCATTCTCCTGCCTCAGCCTCCTGAGTAGCTGGGACTACAGGCGCCCGCCACCACGCCCGGCTAATTTTTTGTATTTTTAGTAGAGAAGGGGTTTCACCGTGTTAGCCAGGGTGATCTCGATCTCCTGACATGGTGATCCACCCACCTCGGCCTCCCAAAGTGCTGGGATTACAGGCATGAGCCACCGCGCCCAGCCAATTCAATGACTTTTAATAAACTTACAGAGTTGTGCAACCACTATCACAGTCCAGTGGTGACCATTTCTATGACTCAACAAGTTCCCCTATGTTCGTTTATAGTTCATCCCCACCCTCCACAACTCCCCAGCATCCCAGGCATTCGCTGGTCTCATGTCTATTTCTATAAATTTGCTTTTTAAATGTTTGGCATTTCATATAAAGAGAGTCCTCCTACATGTAGTCTTTTGCATCTGGACTGTTAGCATAACATGTTAAAGGTGCATCCTCAGTAGTATGTATCAGTAGTTCATTCCTTTTTATTGCTGAGATATTTCATTGGATGAAAGTCACATTTGTGTATTCTCTTACCAGTTGATGGACATTTGTGTTGATCCCACATTTTGGCTATTATGAATAATGCTGCTATGAATGTTTGAGTATGAATCTTTTTATGGTCATATATTTTCATTTCTCTTGGGTATATTCCTGGTCATGAAATTGCTGGGTCTAATGGTAAGTTTATGTTTAGCTTTTTAAGAAACTGCCACACTGTTTTCTCAAAGTGATTGTATCATTTTTACATTCCTACATTTCCAACAGTAATATATGAGAGTGCCACATAGACACAAAGAGGGAAACAACAGACACTGTGGCCTACCTGAGGGTGGAAGGTGGGAGGAGGAAGAGTAACAGAAAAAATAACTATTGGGTACTGGACTTAGTACCTGGGTGATCAAATAATCTGTGACATAAGTTTACCTTATAACAAACTTGCCCCTGTACCACTGAACCTAAAATAAAACTTTAAAAAAATATAAAAAAGTGATGTTAAGATGAGACCACATTTTCCAAACACAAAGAAAAATTATTTTGAAAAATTTGCCAATTTTCGAAGTCTGGTATCATCCACTTGTAAAGAGTAAAGTCACTGTTATGAAAAAAAAAAACACATACAAGAGTTCCTCTTTCACCACATTCTTAACATTGATGTTGTCTTTGAAAATTATAGACATCACGTGGGTATGTATTGGCATCTCATTGTGGCTTTAGTTTGCATTTACTAATTCATTAGTTGAGCATGTTTTTATGAGTTACTTAGCCATTCATATACTCTCTTTGGTGAACTGTCTACTCCAGTCTTTCACCCATTTTTAATTTTTTTGTCATCTTATTATATTATTGAGTCGTAAGTATTCTTTTTTTTTTTTTTTTTTTTTTTTTTGAGACGGAGTTTCGCTCTGTCGCCCAGGCTGGAGCGCAGTGGCGCGATCTCGACTCACTGCAAGCTCCGCCTCCCGGGTTCACGCCATTCTCCTGCCTCAGCCTCCCGAGTAGCTGGGACTACAGGCGCGCGCCACCATGCCCGGCTAATTTTTTGTATTTTTAGTAGAGAAGGGGTTTCACCGTGTTAGCCAGGGTGATCTCGATCTCCTGACATGGTGATCCGCCCACCTCGGCCTCCCAAAGTGCTGGGATTACAGGTGTGAGCCACCGTGCCCAGCCACTTCATTTTATTTATCTTTTCATTGTGCTTAGTTTTTTCCATACCAAAGAAATATATGCTCATTACCCAGGAGGCAGAGGTTGCAGCAAGCCAAGATCGCACCACAGCACTCCAGCCTGGGTGACAGAGTGAGACTCCAACTCAGAAAAAAAAAAAAAAAAAAAAAAAAACAAGAAATATATGCTCATTAAAACAACTTCAAACAGCAGAGAAAGTGAGAGCCCCCATCATCTCACACCTTTATTCCCACTTTACAGATGAGAAAACAGAGGCTTTTGGCACTTTCTATATGACACAGCCTCATCCCTTATGAGCACAAAGCTGGGCTCTTTGTTTGCCTGGTGTCACACCAGCAGCTCCATGACAAGGAGAGGGAGGAACCAAGCCCTGGGGAGGTCTCAGGAAGCTGGAAACAACTGGCTCACGTGTGAGGATTTGTCTTCTGAGTTGGCACCAGCAGGCCAGTATTCACAGTGGATTCACAGAGGAGCCTGCTTCCCCACTCAGGGATGGCAGAGAAGAGCAATAATCTTTGCAAAATCTAAATAGCATTGTCTCAAGTGAACTAGAGGGCGGACTCTGTCCACAAATCTAGGGCTGATGAATTACCTGTGCAGGTGCCTCTGGCGCCAGTATCCTCGCTCAGGACCAGAAGTAGGGTAATTACTTCTCTGGCGGTGGTTATCTGGAGTGAGCTGGCCCATTTTTCTCTGTTATTGCTGTTGGATTTCAGGAAAATGTCAGCTGCAGTAGCCCACCCCGACCCCCTTATCTAAATGTTGGATTTATTTGATGACTCCTCTAGGTCTGGTGACAGGGGCCAGAGCGGGCCCTGCAGTAAGAACTGGGTCCTTGAGCCCTGCCCAGAGGCTTCTCTCGGAGGGTGTGATGGGCAGGAGCCGGATAGCCAAAACTGTCCTTCCCATCAGTGGCCCCATAAGTGTCCCTTCCCTTCCCCTTCCCCCACTCTGTGGTCTGGCTTTGCCCAACTCAAGGCAGGGGGAATGGGCTGAGGTGTAGATTTTTCAGACTTGGGAAATGTTGTCTTTTCTGAGCAGCGATTTACAAGGCTGCAATTTGAGGTTCAGTTTCTAAAGGAAGACAGGAGACTACTGAGATGGGCAGTGGCAGACCCACCCCACTCAGGAATATAGATAAAGGGAGTGTTTCTGGGAACTGAGGTGGGACTGGCAGTGGGAATGGGAAGGAGAAGGGCCCATTTTGCCCTTTTCACCATTCCTCCCACCCCCAAAACCCCTTTTCCTCTCCATCTTTCTCAACCTTGGCACTGACATGTGGTTCTTTTCTTGCCTCGATCTGGATCTCTCACAGTGCTCTCTTGAATCATGTCTTAGCTCTGGGATCCCTCAAGCTGGCGAGACCATGGAATATTTAGATAATCAGTTAATGTTTACATTGGCAGAGCCTTATCCATCTATGGTGACTACTGTTGGTCTCCTTGTTCATTCATTCATTCATTCATTCATTCATTCAATATTTATTAAATATTCACTCTGCAATGGTCGCTGTGCTAGCTGCTGGAGATATAACAGAGAGCAGAATCAGATACGGTTCCTGCCCTCCTGGAGCTTAGACTACAGTGGGAGCAGGCAACATCAGAAATAAATCATAAATGCATGCACAGTTAGAGCTGTAGTAAGTGGTCAGGGAAAACTCTCTTGAGGAAGTGAGGAAGAGGAGTTTCTCAGGTAAGAGGAAGGAAAAAAGCATTCTAGGCAAAATTAATAGCATGTGCAATGGCTCTGGGTTGGCAGGTCAGCAACGCCAGGAGGCAAGTGTGTTTGGAGCAGATAAAGTGAGGAGCAGTGGGGTGACATGAGACTGGGGCAAGCTTGGGCCCAGGAGACGTTCTGTTTCTCTAACCAGGGCTGCAGGGAGCCTTTGAAGGCATTGGAGCAGGGAGATTTAGGCCCCGCAGTCAGGCAATCTCCCAGATCCTACTCCACTTCCAGGAAATTGCCAAGGCCATTGCGATTCTTTGCTGTCCGTATTGAAGGTGCTTCTGTCACCGGGGTGCGGGGGTGGTAGTGGCTTGGTTTCCTCAACCAATTTGTTTCCTGGGATCCCAAACATCTGAATTTGGACAGGTCACAGCCAGATCCACAGCAGCTTATGCGGAAAGATAATTCAGAGAAAAGCATTGGCTGCCACAATGAATCCGACGCAAACCTTCACTGTCAAGGCCTGAGTACCAGACAGGCCGTGGCTGCTAAAGCCCTTCCCTTGGCAGCAGCTGTGACCACATTTGTGGTTGGAAATGGTCCCCATTAGCCCTTACTGACCTCACTCTTGTCTAACAACTGAGTGTAAAATCTTCTGTGTATTAAATTGGGCACTTTGAACCTTGGCATAAAAAAAGAAAGATCAATCCTTTCAGGGCACAAAGAGCTGAAGCACTTTCTCTTGTGGGAAACCATTCACCCCCATTCCAGGAAGCCCTGGGGTGGGTTCTCCTGGGAGCCTGGCAGACACTCTGCCTCCCTTACCTCTTCCCTGGGTTCCAGTGTGCCCTCTCGAGGGGAAGGGAGGGGAAGGGTGCACTTCAGCTGGGTTGGCCCAGGAAGGCATTCAGCCGACCTCACCTGCTCCTGCAGTCAGTAGCCATACTGGTGTTCTATTAGTGGTGTGTGTAATGGAGACACCATTCTCTCCCTTTCCCCCTTTCCCCACTGACCCTGGAAATAGGAACCTCCACCCTCTTGGGAGCATTGTCCAGAAGCTTTTGCTTCAGTTCCCATCTCTCATTTGCACTTCTTTGGAGGAGGAGGAGGGATTCATCTGATAAGTGAATTCAATTGACATTGTCATTCTGTAACCCACACAATTAAATTGTATTTGATTTTCAGCAATATCTGTCCTGTGGCTATAAAAATAAATTCTTTTAGGGTTGTCATGGGATCCCTCTGGTTCTCAGGTAATGATATGAGCTAAGAGTTTAAGGAACTGAGCTTTTCACTTATTTCTGTACATGATTTAGTGCATCCAGGAGCATCCATCACACACCCCAGTTCTTGAAATCGTCATTATTGCCACAGTGCCCCTGTTGAAGGGGCCCTCATGCTCCAAGGTGC
This sequence comes from Homo sapiens, assembly GCF_000001405.40. Taxonomy (NCBI): domain Eukaryota; kingdom Metazoa; phylum Chordata; class Mammalia; order Primates; family Hominidae; genus Homo; species Homo sapiens. Next base: position 29,623,137 of record NC_000001.11, read on the forward strand.
TTGCTTCAATTGGCACCTCATCACAATCAACCAGTGGTGAGATGATTCAGTTAATTGTGACCCACTGCCTGCTGAGAGTTACTAGTAGTCCACTTCCCATTAGCAAGGAGCTAGCACTGTGCTCAAGTCCAGGGGTATGACCAAACCAATATCAAGATGCTGCCTTTGAAGGTCTGTCTCCTGGGAGCACTCTTGGCATCAGTTCAGTATCAGTAAGGATCCAATCAGGAGATAGAAGCCATGTCACAAATTAGAACAGAAAAAATTTAATATCTTTAAGAATTATTAACTAGTAAACTACTAAGAGGATATAGAATATGAAGGATCTAGAAACAGCAAATACAGAAAGCATCTGCTACCCCTAGGGCTACGGGTGAGTGAGCTGGGAAAGAAGGAGGAACTTAGAAGAGTCCTCTCCACCACTCCCCGCCAATGCTGAAATTCAGATTTCTTCAGAAGGCGTGACGCGTCTTCTGCCAATGTCCAAGAGAGTTGCTTCAGGGCTCAGCTAGAGCTGGTCCAGGTGGTGGGGAAGCTTGCTGCAGGGTATGGTTTAGAGGGGTCTCCAGAACCAGTCTGGTGGTGGCGAGAAGCACAGTGGCTGGAGCTTGGCTGTGCAGGCCCTTCGGTGTGCTTTCTGGGTCTCCTCCTGGGTGCTGCCTGGAAGTCAGCACTCCTGAAGCAGGCATGAAAGCATGCTCCCCACTGCTATGTTCCTGCTGTTTCCTTCCAGAACCCTCCATTGACAAAGATTACCATCAAGCCAACTGGCAAAGGAAAAATGTTTACAGGGTCTAGCTTTGCTAACCAAAAAAGAGCAAAGGAGGTTAGATTTGGAGTTGAGAGGCAACACATTGATGCCAGGCACAACTGAGCATCACAGTGTAGGGAAAGGCTCACTATTCAGCATCAGACAACTTGGGTCCACTTCTGGGACCTTCCCTTTGCTCGCTGAGTTATCTCAGTCCAGTGACTTTCCATCTCTCAGCCTTAGTTTACTCATGTGCAGAGGGTGGGTCTCATCAGAACCGTGCCAGAGGGTTAGAGAGGGGGTGTCCTGTGCAAAACATGTTTTCAGAGCTGTGAAATGAGAAATGGGTAGGAGGTGGCAATAGTGTGCATTCGGAATCACGTTGGTGTCTCTATTTTCTCCTGGCTTTGTGCGTACTTCATTGATAATCTTTTCGCAATCACATCAGTCCTGTAAATTATCATGGCCTTTGTATCTATAATGATGCTCAGATTTCAAGTAAATGAAGCCACACCTCAAAGTGGCTTATATAGTAATGACATTCATCAGTACACATGGCGAGAATCCAGGGGTGAATGAGGTTTCAGGTTTGGTTGGTTCTGTAGCCCAAGGGTCATTCTAGGATTGTAGAAGAATGAAGAAAGGTTCCCTAGCACTACCTCAGTAGGATCCAAGGGCGGGGAAGGGAGGAGAGGGCAACACCAGCTGGTGTTTATTGGGCATTCAATTTGGCATGGTCTTGGGCAGACCCTTTAGCTTCTATGTGCCTTGGTTTCCTTATTTGTACAACTGGATAACAACAGCCTGTACCTCCCAGGATGTTAAGAGGCTGAAAGAGACAATGAGACTGAATATTTCTGTATCGTGCCTTGCAGGCAGGGACCGCTCAATAAATGTCAGCTTAGTGGTGTTGGTGCTGTTGACATGGTTGGCATTGTCTGAAAGCTGTTGGGTGGGGGATTCTACTTGTTCTGTGTTGTTCCCAGACACAGAGCCCAGGCCTTCAAGAGGAACTTCCTGGAGGCACAGTCCAGCTCAGGAGAGGGGACTTTACCATCGAGTGAGCTGCCAGGAACAGGGTAGGGATCGTCGCTTCTCCCCAAGGGTGTAGGAGCTGTGGCCAGGTGAGGCCTGGAGGGAGATGTCGTGGCAGAGACTTGGACCCCACTGGAGTGGGGGCTACCAGCCTGGGTCAGGGAGTTTTGGGGGATGAAGCATGATTGGAGCAAACACAGCTGTTGCAGCTTCTGAGCACACATGGGGCTGATTCATAAGCTCTTGTTTGGCTACATGAACATTAAAATGGATACAACTGGACTCCTCACCCAGAGGGCAGCCGGTGGCTCCCAGCCTCAGACCTTGGCAAAACCACTAGGCCATCACAGGTCAGCTAGGCTGTGAGACATGAGACCCTTTCTCTCTATGTTTACCCAGCTCCATGGGGTGAGACTGGGGAGAGGCTGGTCCACCCTGGAGAGTGTCTTGCAAACCAACCAGCTTTGTCAAACCCTAACCCCACCTCTTCCAAGTCACTTAACCTCTCTAAGCCTCAGTCTCCCTTCTTACAAAATGGAAACTAGATCCACTTGGGTACTTTTATTGGGCCTTAATGAGTTCCCAGATGTGAAGTGAGCCCATTGACAGATGTGTTTTGAGTGCTGACTACATGTCAGGCCCTGGGTTAAGGTGTGTGCCTGGCACTTAGTAAATGCTCCGTAAATGTTACCTCTCTTTATCTGTGATGGGTTCTTGATATCCGTGGTTGGAGAGGAGCAGAGAATAGTGGGGCTGTGATATGACGGGAAGGCTCTGGGTTCAAATCTTTCTTCTGAAAAGTGCCAGCTATGTGACATTAGGCAGGTTACCTAACTCCTCTGAATGTAAATGGGATTAATGATAATACCTGATTCCTAGAGCAGATGTGAGACTCGGGAAGTTAAGGCTGTAAGGTGCTTAGTGCAGCACTTGGCATACATTAAGTGCTGAGTACATGTTGGCCGTTGCTATTATTTTCATTATGAGAGGCATGTTAGCATGAATGTTAGGGGCTGGAGGTACTGACTCTGGAGCCAGAGGACCTATGTCAAAATCCCAGCTCACTAACTAGGTAACACTGGGCAAATACTTAACCAGCCCGAGATTCAGTTTCCTTGTCTGTGAAATGGGGACATAACAGTGCAGACCTCATAGGGTTGCCATGAGGTTGACTGAATCACTGTGTGCAAAGCACTCAGCACAGTGCCTGTCCCACAGCCCCAAAGACAGAGAGAGTAACAGGAAGGGTTTTCAGACTCTGAATCGCTGCATAGAGGAAGCTGCCTCCTGCTCGGCGATGTTGGAGGTGAGCACTGGGTCCTGAGGCCTCCCACGGGGCTGGGCACTCAGCAGAGATGCAGGAAACGGTAACTGATACCTGTGGAAGGTGGACATTGGACCACAGCCCGGGCCCCTGCAGTGCTGATAAATTCTTGTGTTCTCTTCTTTCCCTGCTCAGCCGCATGGACTACTCCAAGGAGGGAGGCTGGGAAGGGAGGTTGGGCTGTGTCTGCCGGAGGTTGGAGAGGAAAAAGAGGTGTGGAGCCTATAAGTGACTTCCCCAGGGTCACTCAGCAAGTTGATGGCAAGTGGGGCTCCTGGCTCCTCCCAGCCCCCTCATTTTCAGTGTGAGGCACCTCCTCTTCTCTGGCTGCGTCCCAGAGCAGCTAAGATTGACAGAGGTCGGCTATAGTTATGCTGGCATCACTGCAGCTGGAGCTTGGCGTGCTCATCTTCATCGTCTTAGAGCTTTGGGCCACTTTTATTAGGAGATCTCCTTTCAGGAGTGACATAAAATATGTCTTGAAAGGATATGGGGTTTCCATTTTCTCCCTGTTTTACCCATCATAACACATTTCCATTTCAATTGAGTTGCTTTTCAAGAATCACATTTCAAAACCTGTACTGCTGAAGACCAGCTGGAAACACTCTTTTCTGAGCTGCTGTCCTTCCTCAGCACCTTTCTCTCCCTTGCTCTCCCTTCCCCCGTGCGGGTGGGGCCTTCTCTCCCAGGGCCCTGCTCCTGCACTTTCTACCGTGATGCGTGTTCTGTCTCCCACTGGCCACTTCCTACTTTTTCAAGACTTTGCATGGGCATCGCCTCCTCTGGGAAGACTAAGAAAGAAGTCCTAGCCCATGGAAAGATGGACTTTAATCCACTTCTGTCTGACCCAAAGCCTGAACTCTTAACCACCTCCCTTTCCACCCTCCACCAGAACCCCAGAAGATGTAGTTGATGATGATGGTAGAAATGGCAGCAGTGTAGCTAATGAAGTGGAGATGATGATGATTATAAGTTGAATTGTGTCCCTGCCACTACCAAAAAATATGTTCAAGCCCTAACCCTCAGTATCTCGGAATGTGACCTTATTTGAAAATAGGGTCTGCTGGGCGTGGTGGCTCACTCCTGTAGTCCCAGTACTTTGGGAGGCCAAGGCGGGTGGATCACCAGGTCAGGAGATCGAGACCAGCCTGGTCAACGTGGTGAAACTCCGTCTGTACTAAAAAATACAAAAATTAGCTGGGCATGGTGGCGCGTGCCTGTAGTCCCAGCTACTTGGGAGGCTGAGGCAGGAGAATCACTTGAACCCGGGAGGCAGAGTTTGCAGTGAGCTGAGATCATGCCACTGCACTCCAGCCTGGTGACAGAGCGAGACTCCATCTCAAAAAAAAAAAGAAAGAAAATAAGGCCTTTACAGAGGTAATCCAATTAAAACGAGATCATTAGTCATTAGTGTGGGCCATAATCCAACATGACTGAGGTTCTTATAAAAAGAAGAAATTTGGACACAGAGATGATACAGAGGGAAGATGATGTGAGGAGACATGGGGAGAAGATGGCCAAGGAATGTCTGAGGTTACCATGAGCTTGTAGAGAGGCCTGAACAGATCCTTCCCCAGCATCTTCAGACGGAGCACAGCCCTGCCCACACCTTGATTTGGGCCACTGGCCTCCTGATTCTGAGACAGAATACTTTTGTTGTTTTAAGCCACCCAGTTTGTTGTACCCTATTGCAGCAGCCTGGGCAAACTAAAGCAGTGATGATGACCAAAAGGTAGTAACAGATTTAAGGGACTGTGCAGAGATGCAGATGGGAAGGGGCTGCACAGGCTGGAACTATACTTCCCAGCTCCCCTTGCATCTGGGTGGCGCCACATGACCAGTTCTCACTGGTGGGTTGGGGTAAGCAATGTGTGTGTCTCTTTTGAGCCAAGGTCATTAAGAAGCAAGTGTGCTTTCTCCACTCTCTCTTTTCCCTTTGCCAGGGGAAGCAGACGGATCTGAGGCCTTAGAGGAGGGCAGAGCCATGAACTGTAGATGAAAGGAGCCTGGATCCCTGAATCACTGCATGGAGCAATGCCACCCACTGGCCAGCAGTGTTGGAGGAGAGCATGGGGGTGGGAGAGGGTGGGGAAAGTGGGAGGCTTGATAGGGCAGGGACAGTGCAGTGAGTGAGTACATGATGGGAGGATCTAACCCATACTGTGGATCAGGAAAGGCTTCGCAGAGGGGCTGATGCCTGTGCAAGGCCTTGAAAAAGTAGAAAGTGCACTAGGCACAGGAAACAGCATGAGCAGAGGCCACAGGAGGGAACCTGGTGCAATGGGAACCTTGAGATGGTCTGTGATAGGGAGAGGCAAGGTCAGAAGTCAGAGAAGTAAATGGAAGATGGGTCTTGGGTGGCCTGGGTGCCATGTGGGGGAGTTTTGGAATCACTCTGGGTGGCCATTAAATGCTTTTGAACAGAAGAATCATCCGGTCATATTTGTGCATTAGAGCCCCCTCAAGCTGCTGGTGCGGGCACGATTGGGGATGGAGAAATTGAGAACAGTGTGGTCAGGATGGAGGCTGGCCCAGAGGACCAGGACAGAGCGCACAGTGCAGAACTAGAGCAGAAGGGGAGGGGAGTCAGGATTTAGAGTTAACAGGTCTTGACTGATTTCAGGGGAGAGTGAGAGGAGAGAAGAAAGGAAGTGCAACACACAAGTTTTCGGCCTGGGGTGCTGGGGCCATCTCTGGGATGCAGACACAGAAGGAAGAGGAACAGGACTTGGAGAGTGTCTCTGTCTGGTCTGGGCCTGAGTTTCCTCAATTATAGTTGTGTGTCCAGAATTACATGGACATAGGTGATACATAGGTCAATAGATGGATTAGTTGAAGGGAACAGCAAGAGTAAATGCACAGGGGCAGGGGCTTTAGAATGAGGTGCAGTTTTTACTTGTGGAACATCTGTCTCCTCCCCTGGGGTGGGGGCAATTGTGCCTGTCTTGTTCACCGCTGTACTGTATCCCTAACAACGGAGGCTGGCACATAATAGACACTCAATTAATGTTTGTGGATGAATGGAAAAATGAATGAACAAATGAACTGCAGGTTGTTTGATTTGGCTGCAGCCCAGACAACTGGCAGGAGCTCCCAGGATGATCAAATGGGGCCATATCATCAGAGATCTTGAGTGCTGGGTGGGTTTATTTTTATTCCATCGGTGATGGGTTTTGGGCTGAGGCAAGGCATGATGAGAAGAGATGGTCAAGTTCAGCAGCACAGCCGGGTTTGTCACTTGGGAGCGGAGGAAAGGGATGCCATTAGTCCATGGCCCTTACCCGTGTTTGGTGATCAGAGCCTCCTGGAGTTCCCTGGTGGGTGACAATGAGGAAGAATGACAGTGGGTCTGCACTGCCACTCCCTATGCTGCCAGTGGAAAGGAATTGCTTCTCCCCACTCCAGAGCCAGATTCTGTTCTCTGCTTCCCCTCAGGTTCCAAATGGGGCAGCAGCTTACCTTCCTGTTTCCAGCAAAGTCAGTCACCCTGTGAAGAGCAGCTCCATCCATCTTACCTGGAGCCAACCAGCCTTCTGCCCAATGTCCAGAATAGAACCCAGGGAGACAGGCTGTGTTCCTGACACCCACTGGATCCCCAGTGAAGCCCTGGCCTCTGCCTATCTTCTTCTTTTGAGGGAGGACAGGGCGGCAGGGCACAGGCCGCTCATGTGCTTTCCATCCATGCTGGGCAAAGCCTGCTGGGGGCCCTCGCTGCAGCCAGGCCTGCTCCTATGGCCAGGCACTGGGGAGCATAGGCGGGGCCCTCCCTGGCTGCTTCCCTCTGGAGGCAAGGATCACTGGCAAAGGATGCCAATGCAGGTGCACCCTTAGAGCTAGGCTGGGTGTCACAGCAAACTCCTGTGCTTGCGGCTGTACAACTAGCACAAAGGCAAGTTGCCAAGGGGAGATGAACAAGCATCTCACATGGGTCCCTCCTTTTGCTCCTCACTGCCCTGCCCATGTCAGGTCCCTGTGGGCTCCCGCCCAGACCTCCTGCCCCCCAGGACCTGCCGTCATGCTGTTGCCATGTGCTCTTTCTCAGACACAGACCTGATCATGTGAGCCCCCTGCTTAGGAACATTTGAGGGCTCTTCTCCTACTGAAGGAAGCCACTCAGCTTCGTGGTTGAGGTGGACCTTGATGAGGCTCACTGACAGTCCTGCTTTGGGGCTGTGCAGTGCAGTGGTGAAGGCTCAGACTGTGAAGCCAGGTTACCTTGGTCAAAACCTTGGCTTGGCTGTGGCTCTGAAGGAGTTACTTAGCCTCTCTGAGCCTCAGTTTCCTCATCTATAGACTGGAGACAGTAACATGGACTTCATAGAATTATGGGAATAAATGAGTTATGTATATAAAATGCTTAGAGTAATGCCTGCAACAAAGAAAACTCTTGGTATGTGCTTATTCATGGGATCTGTTAGTTATTTCTCCTCCTCCTCCTCCTTCTTCTCTTCCTCCTCCTCTGCCTCCTCCTCCTCCTCCTCCCCCCCCCCCTTCTTCTCTTCCTTCTTCTTGACTGAGGAGGACATTTTCCCTCTGAGAGCAGCCCCTTCTCCCCTTGGACTTCCCACTTAGATGAGTCAATGCATTTCCTTTTAAGTTTAGTGAGGATGAGTTAAGGTTTCTGTCACTTGCAACCAGAACACCCTGGCCTACACAAGCAGAATCTGCCTCCGCAGCTGTGCCCATCCTCTCCTGTTCCAGGGCTTGAAGCTTCTGCACCAGCCTCACTGACTGGCCCCTCAAACAGGTTCTATTCCTGACTCTGGGCCTTGGTTCTTGTAGTTCCTTCTGTCTGGAATGTCCCTCTCCCAAATTCTTGGTTTGCCCAAATGCTGCATGCCCTTCAATGCACCAGTAAACCCATGAACCCTGCAAGCAGAGCACAGAGGAAAGAAATGGACTTTGGAGTGACAGAAGTATGAGTTTTATCCCTGTTCCGTCCCTCACTTGCTGAAGGAGCACAGACTCATTACTTAGCCTCCAGTTCATGCATCTGATATGTGCAGATGGTACCACCAACCCCCCCCAGAGTTCTTACATGGACTGAACGTGATAATTCATGAGAAAGGCCTGGTGCACAGTGGGTGCCTAATAATTGCTGGCTGACGCAGTCAGTGCTGGGCTGACTTATGCCAGCTTTGGCCCCAGCACTTCACCTCCAGAAGGGCAGGTAGGAACCCCAGGGAAATCTTACCCAACAGCCTCGCTTTGGGAAAAAGAAATAGAAAATATTCTAATTCCAAAGAGTAAATGTCAGAGGCGTGGGAAGACTTTCGAGGTTCTGAAAATAAACACAGTCACTGAAAGGAAGGAGGGAGAGAAAGGAGGGGGTGGAGGTGGAGGACTGGAGTGAGAGGCAGAGAGGAGATGCCAAGTATGGGAGAGGCAGAGAGACGCAAAGAGATAGAGAGACAGAGAGAGAGGGAGATGGAGACAGAGAAAGAGAGACAAAGAGAGAAAGAGAGAGCGAGAGAGACTCCCTCTGTCCTGTCCTGGACTTCACATAAGGCCCCAGACAAAGAAACCTCATACTTGCCATGTACACTGTGAATTGACTTGGTCGGGGCTTGCAGAGGGGCGGCCGGCAGGATGCATCCACATGGCTGATGTGCTTTGTTTCCCCCTTAAAATGCCTTTTGAAAAAAATTAAATGAGTTGGCAAAGTTTAAAAAGTGAGATTTTACATGCAAAAATCTAATTTCCTTTTCTCTTGAAAAATCAGGAGGTTTGGCCACACTGGGTGTGGCCTGGACAGTGGGCTGGAGCCCGCAGTGTCTGCTTCCACAGGAAGCCTTAGACTCTCTGGGTACACACGGCCCCCACTCCTGAGCACTCCTGGCTCTGAGGATAAGCATAGTGTTGTGTGTGCCCTGCTGTGTTCCTTGTGCCCATCCAACGATCCTTGGACCCCGGGGGGATTCCAGGCAGCGACCTGGACCCAAGGAGCAAAAGCTAAGACCTGCTCAGCTCCGAGGTTCTACGACCTTCTCAGCTCAAATGGTGACAAAACAGTCTCCCTCCCCTTCACTTCCCATCCCATTGCTCCACCAGGAACAGCAAGAAGGGCTGGGCCCGCTCACCCTAATGCCCTGCCAGGCTTCACAGGAGCAGTGGCTGGTGGAGGACCTTCCCTGTCCTTGCCTGGCTCCAAGGCCCCTTGCCACCACTGTTCTCTTCTCTGGATTCCCCTGTGAAGATGGGAATTCCTAGTTCTCTGTGCAGCTGAAAGCAGACAATCCTCTCTACTCCCAGCCAGGCCCCCAACTTCCTCACTGCTAAGGCCAAGACTTGCCCCCTTCCTGAGACCCCAGTCCTAAGTGGGGCAGGAGCTAGTCCCCCAGCCCCTCATCTCCTCAGTCCCCTAGCTCCCAGTCCCTCAGTCCCCCAGCCTCCCGGCCCCTCAGTCCCTCAGTCCCCCCAGCCTCCTGGCCCCTCAGTCCCTCAGTCCCCCAGCCTCCCAGCCACTCAGTCCCCCAAACTCCTAGTCCCTCAGTCCCCCAGCCCCCAAGCCCCTAAGTCCCCCAGTTCCCCAGCCCCTCTTCCCCTCAGCCCTCCAGCCCCCCAGTCCCCCAGCCTCCCAGCCCCCAGCCCCTCAGCCCCTCAGCCCTCCGGCTGCCCATCTCCTCAGTCCTCCTCCTGTGAAGCCTTCAGCTCCCCATCTCCTTATCCTTTCAGTCCTCCAGTGCCCCAGCCCCCTAGCCCCTCAGTCTCCTAGACCCCAGCCCCTCATCTCCCTGGCTCTCCAGCCTCCCGTCCTGTGTCTTCTTGCCTCAGAGGCCTCAGGAGACATTGAACACTGGGAGTCAGAGCATGGACAGCCCAGCTGAAATCAACGAGAGGCTCCTATCACACCCTGGGCAGAGGGATGGGGACTCAAAGGGAACTGGGTGAACCGACTGCCCAGCATCGTCCATTCCACGTTTCAACTACATCCTGATGGTGCTGGAAAGACGCCCACAGCTGGAGCTCTGACAGCATCATGGAGGGGCCAGGGGAGCAGAGGGAGACCTCTGGTCATTAAACTTTTCAGGGCTTTGCTTTTCCTGGCTCATTTCATTCTGTTTCTGTTTGGTGGGGATTATAGTCCTCATTTAATAGCTGGGAACATAGGGTACAGAGAAGTAAAGCCCCCTGCCCAAGTTCACCCAGCATGTGTGTGGCCGAGCAGAGCTGGATTCCACCCCAGGCGTGTCTCCCTGGGAAGCCCACGCTGTGTCTGGCTGCTTGTGGCTGCTTGTGGGCACCAGGACTCCTGCTGAGGACTTGGGAGCTGCTGAGCACAGTGGGCCTTCATTAGCCTTGTTCACTGCTGGGTCCCAGGGACTGTGCCTGGCATATAGTAGGCGCTCAGCAACAGTTAAGGACAAAAATCAACTAGAGGGGTTTTAAAATACATATGTGTATGTGCGCATGCCTGTTATGTAAAACTGACATGTTTATTTAGGTAAGTAAAAAATCTAGAAATAAATGTCTCAAGGTGAGATTACAGGGCATTTCGTTTTTGTTTTTGACAATTTAAAAAGTGTTTTTAGAGGGAAAAAATAGCAGAGATGACTATATTCCTCCAGTTCCAAGTGATGCATTGAAAATTAAAGTCCAACCATGTTATATCTTGGCTTAAAACCCTTTTGTGTCTCCTCATTGCTCTTGGATGAATGCCAAAATCCTGATGTAGCCTGCAGACCCTATGTGCCCCGGCCCTGCGTGACTCCCCTCCTTCCCTGAGGCTGGAGGGAAGCAGATGGGGAGGGAGGAGCTCAGTTCTCCAGTCCTAGCCCTGCCACCTCCTCCCGGCATCCTTCCCTGATTTATCTCTCCTTACCCCTGCCAGACCTACATGGAGTTCATCTCTTCTCCGCATCATTTCTGTGCCTGGTTCATTTCATGTTAAATTGTAATTCCTGATTTATATTAGGACTTCTGCTTCTCTCTCCCTGCTAAGAGACAGGAATTCTTTTTCAGGGTGGGGGCTGTGCCTGGTTCATTTCTGTGTTCTCAGTCCCTGATAATAGCTTGGTCTTTATTAAATGTTCTAGAATGGAACTGAACTGGACGGTTTGCTACGGGCAATCCACTGCCCTTCTCTGGGCCCCAGTTTTCTCTTTTGTAAAAGGGGTGTAGGTGGGCCTTGAGGCACACCTCGAAGGTCCCTCCCATTCCAGGATTGAGCCTCAGTTTCATCTCCTGTAAAATGAGTTGTAATAACACCTGTCTCACTTGGCGCTGTGAGGACACAGTGAAATGTGAGTAACATGCTCAGACTGGCAGGGCTGCAGGGTCCACGGGTCCACCTCTCACTGCACCCACCTCCACCCTGACACATTTACTGCCATTTCCTGGAAGCTGATTGGAGCCGTCACTGGTCTAAACTTTTCAGCAGCATTTTACCGTTTTGTCCCCACAAGCCACAGCAGGGCTGAGATAAAAGTCCTGGGTGATCTGTTTGAGATGTAAACCCCTCCAGTCCTCCCACTGTTTAAACCCCCTCAGGGGCTCCTCCTGCTCCTAAAGCAAAGACCCAGACCTCCAGAGCTGCTTTCAAGCCCCTGTGGGGCCCAGCTCCTACTCCTCCCCCTCCCACTCCACCCACACCTATCCAGGTGTGGAAACTGAGGCTCTGAGAGGTGATGAGACTTGCCCGAGGCCACTCCATCTGTGGATGGCAGAGCCAGACTCAAACCCAGGCCTGTTGGGATCCGTCCCTGGGGCTTGGCCAGCCCTGGTGATTGGTGGCCATCCAGTGGGCCTCTTAACAGCTGGCAAAGACACTTCTTCCCAGTATCTGAGCCACATGTGGCTCACCGTGGTAAAATCTGCCCAGCAAAGGGCACTTACTGACTGAGTGCCACAGCAAGGAGCCTCATCCATGAGACCACCCACCCTCCATCCACCTCCTGCAGGCCCGCCCTGCGCTCTGGCCCACCCTGGTTGGCTCCCCTGACTTCTCATCTATTGATTTAGAAAGGAGCCCATGGGGGATGCAAGAGGCTCTGATCTATGGCGCTGTGTTTGCCGAGGACACTGGAGCCTTTGAAAGGGATTAGAAATTCATAACCACTGTGATTTGGGTCCCAGCCTGAGGCCTGTGTAGACATTCCCTGGGCTCCTTATTAAAGAGTGAATAGGTTGGCTTTGGAGGGTCCGAGGACAGTGCAGCCAGTGTGGCTCTTCTGCCCATTGCTGGGTCTTTAGGGGTGTCTAGTTGTGAGAATGCTGGTTCCACTGAGCATCAGGGTCTGAGGACCCCTGGCTGGGCCAACTTGCAGGTGTAAACAGCTCCTGGACTCCAATTCCCTCAGCAAGGAGGGGTCCCAGAAGGGGGCTGGTTTGCAGGGGGAGCTCATGAGTTTGGGCTTGTGCATGTCTGGTTTGTGATGCCTTTAAGACTCCACACATGACGCGTGGTTGGGGGCTGGGTCTTGCTCTGCGATGGGGCTGAGAAGCCCTGAGGGGGTCCAGAGGAGAAAGGCCCCACCTGCCCTCAGGCTTCATGGACCACCACAGTGAAAGGTTGTTGTTGAGGAGAGTGGACACCCTACCCTGATGGAGGTGCAGGGCAGAGGTCAAAGTCAGGTCTGCAGGGTCACCTCTGGGCTGAGTCCTAGAGGATGTACAAGATTCACCAGGCAGAGAACGGGGAGGACACGGAGGGCCGAAGCGCTGTGCAGAGGCTGAGGTACAGAGGTGCAGGTGCCCTGCAGTCAGGGCGGCATTCCGGACTGCTGCAACATTGGTGTCTGCAAAAGGGAAGCAGCACAGGAAGTTGGGAGCTGCAAGACTCAGAGCAGGAGGATCCTTGAGTGCTGGGTGTGGGGTTTACATGTCACCTGTGGGTCACAGGGATTCATTGTCCTGTTTCTTTTCGGCAGGAGGATGTGCTCAGGGCAGTTGCCTTTTGAGAAGGCACCTGGGGGCAGGTGAACTGGGAGGGAGACTCTGGCAGCAAAGAGGTCATTTCAGTGGCCTTCTGTGGCATAAGGGACACATGGGAGCTGGGCAGCTGCACAGGGATGGTGAGAAGTGGGGGCACACGGAGCTCCTTCCGTGTATCTAATAACACCTGCACTCCCTCACCTGAATTAGGAACCAAGTGAAAGAAAGGCCCACAAGTCAGGCACATGGAACACAAAATATCTCCTTTATTTCTGCTGAAGTTGAGTTGGAGAATGTGGCCAAGGTTTGCTGGTCAACGGATCTGCTGCTGCCCAGGCCCTGAATTAAATGCACTGACCTGGTCAAAGCAGGCCTAGACCTCGAGGGCCAACCAAGTATGTGAGCAGACCAAGCAGAGCTGAGTGCTGGATGAAATGGCAGAGGTTCAAGGACAGAGGCCAGTAAAGTAGGAAGGCAGGAGAAGTTTGACTCTAAGAACACTGAACAGAGACTGTGTGTACTGCTGGGCATTGGACATTTGTGCCTGTTCCTGGCCCAGCACTCATGGATCCATATGGGAGTCTTGTGGAGAGTGGGTGACTGGCAAGAGGGTTTTTGACGGGTGAGTAAGAGTTCTCCAGGTGGAAGCATTGTGGCACCTCCATGGACAGAGTCATGAAGGACAGGGGCAGGTTTGGGAAAGGGTGCACATATCCCTGTATCCCTGAGAGCTTGGGCAGAAGGAAGGATGTACTGAGTGTCTATTGTTGCTTTAACAAACCACCACAAACTTAACTGCTCAAAAATGGCACACATTCATTATCTCAATAGTCCTGGGGGCCATAAGTCTGGTGCAGGTATCACAGGGCTAGAATAAGGAAATGGCAGGGCTGCATTCCCTCCTGGAGGCTCTGAGGGAGGGTCTATCTCCTTGTTCATTTGGGATGTTAAAAAAATTCAGTTCCTTAGGATCCTGAGGTCCTATTTCCTTGCTGACTGCCAGCTGAATGTGTTCCCAGATTCCAGAGGCCACCCACATTCCTTGGCTCATGTCCCCTGTCTTCTGCTGTCAAATCCAGTGATGGCAGGTTGACTCCCTCTCACTCTCTGAGTCTCTCCTCTGTCTTCTCCCATCTTATCTCTCTGCTTTCTTCTTCTGCTTTTAAGAGTTTATATGATTAGAATGGGCCCACCTCATTCACTCAAATTAGGTTGATATAGTCTCCTGTCTCAAAGTTCATGACCTTAATCACATCTGCAAAGTCCCTTTTGCCTTATAATATAACTGTCTTAGTCCATTTTGCATTGCTTTGAAAGAATACCTGAGGCTGAGAAATGTATCGAGAAAAGAGGTTTATTTAGCTCATGGTTCTGAGGGTGTACAAGCATGGTTTCAGCCCCTGCTTCTGGTGAGGGCTTCCAATCATGGTGGAAGGGGAAAGGGAGCCAGCATCACATGGTGAAAGGAAGGAAGCAGGAGAGAGAAGAGGAGTTGCCAGGCTCTCTCTCTCTTTTTTTTTTTTTGTGAGATGGAGTCTTGCTCTGTCACCCAGGCTGGAGTGTGGTGGCGTGATCTTGGCTCACTGCAACCTCTGCCTCCCGGGTTCAGGTGATAATCCTGCCTCAGCCTCCTGAGTAGCTGGGATTACAGGTGCGCACCACCATGCCTGGCTAATTTTTGTGTTTTTAGTAGAGTGGGGTTTCACCATGTTGGTCAGGCTGGTCTCAAACTCCTGACCTCGTGATCCACCCGCCTCGGACTCCCAAAGTGCTGGGATTACAGGCGTGAGTCACTGCGCCCGGCCCAGCCTCTTTCATCAAGCCAGTCAAAAGGGATCTGTCCCCATGACCCAAACACCTCCCACCAGGCCTCACCTCCAACACTGGGGACCAAATTTCAACATGAGATTTGGAGGGGACAAATATCCAAACCATATCAATAACACAGTCATAGGTTCTGGAGATTAGCATGTGGATATCTTTGGGGGATTATTATTCCTCCTATCAGGGGAGGAAAAAAAGCAACATTTATTGAGCATCTATTAAGTGCCAAGGACCAAGCAAATTGTTTAGCATCCATCATCTCATTTTATCCTCACACCTGCTCTGCAAGGCAGGTAGCATTATCCCCACTTTACAGACAAGAAAACTGAGGCTCAGAGGGACTAGTGAAGGATAAACAATGCATAAGGATTAGAGGTATGATTTGAACCCAGCTCTGCAGTCTCAAAGCCTGTGCCCTTTCCATAAAATTTTGACACCACTTCCTACAAAGCAGGGCAGATGGGCTGGAGCCAGCTGTGAGGCTCAGTGTGCTGTCTCTGTCAACTGCCTGTCACTCAAGAACACGCCTGCCCTCCTGCAAGAGATGCCCAAGGCTGGTAGTCCTTCCTTGGGAAACAGTAGATGCTGAGGTGTGGGACCAAGCAAGCAGGTAACTGCTGAAACAGACACTGTCACGCTTGACTAATGGATGCCATTAGGTGGAGTGGCTGTTTTCTGCCCTAGAGTGAATTGCATGGGCCCACTTAAATAGTGGGGGTTTGATATCAGCAGATATTTATGGAGCAGGCCCCGAGGTGGGCTTTGGTAATAATAATACCTGCTCCACATGGTTTGTGGGTGGATTTTAAAAAATGAGTTGAAACTGCTGATCTCCATGTCAGACACGGTAGAATCTCAATAAAGTATATATTTTTTCTCCTTCTTGTTCTGTAACATGTTCTTTTCTATCTTAGAACCTGTCACATTTGACATGAGAAGTGGCCATTTTTCCTTCTTAGAGAAAAAGTGGTTTGGGAATTTTCTGCGAAAGATGTTGGTTTGATACAAGACAATGTAGATTTTGTCTTCTACTCTGACCGCTGATAAGTTGGAATAGAGAAGGGATCCGAAACTCATTTTATGGGGTCTGTCTCCCCTCCTGCACGGGATTTCTCACCCAGTTTAGTGAGTGCCTATTAAGCCTGCTCGGTCATGGACACATGCAGAATGGGCCCGTCATCGCCTGGCAGGCTGGAGCCTTCTCATTTATGCTTCCGCACTTTATATGCTGATAACGTGGTTTTAATACTTTTATAAACATTTGAGTATCTCCTGCAGTCATTTATTTTTCAGTTATTTTTAGGGGAAAATAAATTGTCTTTACACTCTAATAAAATCACTGTTCTGCAGCCTTGCACATGCTGAGGGGGTGTGAGCAGGAGCCAGAAGAGGCTTTGCCCTGAGTGAGTCAGCACTCCTGTTCCGGTGCTGGCAGGGCAGGTACCTGGCCATGGAGCTTAGGGCACGTCCCTTCCCCTTTCCAGGCCTTAGCACCTTCTACGTCATTTCTGGCATCCATAGTCTGAATGTTCCAGGAGTGTGAGCCAGGTGAATGGGAGCTAAAGGACTTTATTTATTAAACAAGTAAGCACCTACTATGTGCCAGGCACAAGGCTGTATCCTAGGGAAACAGACCTGGCCTCTGACCTCAGAGAATATACATTCTGGAGCTGAGAATATAATATAGAGAATGTAAGCTCCAGGCAGGCAGGGATTTTTGTTCATTGTGTTCACTGCTGCCCCTCCTCTGGCTGCAATGCCGGCCTCAGCAGGGGAGCATGGCCTGAATCCCTCCCTGGAGATGGGGACACAGGGTATGCCATGCTGAGCACTGCCTTCCCTTTAGGACTGTTGACATTACTGGGTACCCTGCCTCACCTCACACAGCTGGAGGCTGACCACATCCTTCAGAGCTTTACAGACACCTTTAATCCCTGTAATCCATGTGCGGAGAGGGCAGGTTTCGAACCCATTGTGTATGCAGCACACATCGCCCTGAAAGGCCCGTCCTGGCCCCGTCGATCAACACACCTGCAACACTAGTGACTCCTGCCTCAGATCAATGCTGCTTACAAAGTTGAGCGGGAGGATCGTGATTTCTTTTTCCTTCCCCTCACATCCTTTCTGGAATAACCAACCATCCTCATGCCCGCTCCTCGGGCCCTGGGAAGCTGGTGGGCTGTCCTGCAGGGCGGACCTTGGTGTCTTGTTGCTGGCTCCGCACCTGGACTGAGCCCTGGGCATAGTACTTCACATGCAGGACGTCACCCGCTCCCTGCAGCAGCCTGGTGAGATGGGCTTCATGGGGTTCCAGTGGGGCTGAGTCACATACCCAAGAATGCATGACCAGGAAGTGGCAAAGCCTCCATTCGAGCCTCAGACTAACTGATTAAAAATAATAACAATGAACACTTGTGGAGCCCTTCCAGGGACTGAGGTGGTGGACCTGGGCAGGAGGGGCTCTCTGAGCTGGTTCCTGGAGAACCGTAAAGAGCTGGCCTGTGGGGACAAGAAAGGAAAGGCCACTCTGTTGGGTGGACAGTTGGGACAGAAGCAGGAAGATGAGTGCAGGTGAGGGGCAGCTGCAGGTCGGTGTCTGCAGTCAGGGGGCAAAGGGCTGGAGAGGTGGGGCCTGATCTTGTGGGACCTGGAATGCCAAGACAGGAAGATTAGGCTGGAGAGCCAGAGCACTGGGGGGTTCCACAAAGTCCTTCTCTACGGTTGGCTGGCACCTCACTCACATCCGCCCCTTTTCTTTTGTTCTAGCTCTTTCTCCATGAAACATATTTGTGTGTCTCCCCAGGGACAGCTAGAGACACAGCTGCAGATGGTGTCATAGGACAGGGTGCTGGGTGCTGGGTCCTTCCCTATCCTCAGGAGGCCCTTAATGGCACCCTCCAGGACATCAGTAAAACAGGTCAGCTTTAATCTCTGCAGCTTCACAAAATGATTATCTGCTGTGATCCAGCTAGGAGCCAGGGCCCTGTTGAGCACCTAGTATGGGCCTTGTTTCATCTTCATGGCATCCCTGATATTTCTGATGTTTCTTATATTAGCCCCATGATACAGGTGAGAAAATTGAGGCACAGAGGGGTTTGCCAGCAGTTACATGAAAAGAAAGTGGCCAAGTCAGGTCTTGAAGCTTGGTCTGGTGTATGCTCCCGTGTCTGTGTTCTTTATAGCTACACGACATCTCTTCTGTATCACTTGTTGTTATTCTCTGTACATTTCTTTCTTTCGTTCTGTTTGTCTTTCTCTCTCTCTTTCTTTTTCCTTCTTTCTCTTCTTTCTTTCTCTTCCTTCCTTCCTTCCTCACTGCTGCCCCCATCCCTGACCTATTGGAGCAGCATCAGAGGGGCAGCTCATGCCCTTATTTCAACAGCCAATCATGGAGGGCACCTAGCTGGAGGCCTTCCGCATGCTGAGCACTGGACCAGTCAGGATAGGTGAGGCTATGCTTTAGGAACAAACACTCTCAAAGCACAGTAGCCTAAAACACCCAGATATTTATTTCTTGCGAATCCTACAAATCTACCAAGGGCAGGGTGGAGTAGCTGTGCTCAACATGTCCACCCACAGACCCTGGGGACAGTGCAGCTCTCATACCAGGGGAGAGGAGAGCTCTGGTGGGTTTGGTACCAACTATTAGGTGCTCAACAGGGAAGTGACACAGTATTTCCACCTGCACAACTCATTGCCCAGAACTAGCCAGAAGGTCTCACTTTCTGTCTCTCCAGGGGGACGGGAGGAGAGTCCCAGCGTGGTTCCTGAAGGGGGCAGATGTGAAAATATTTGGCGAAATGTATGACAACCTCAGGCACCATGGAGGTGTGAGTGGTGGTGACTCTGCCCCCACCTCCCTCCTCGTACCCCCTCCCACTCTGCCTGCACCTAGGGAACTTCCAGTTTCAGCAGAGGGACCAGGGCTGATTTTCTTCCCATTCAATCCCGGTGGCCTTGGTGGGTATAATTATCCCAAGGGAGTGGGAGTCAGCAGTTAAATGAATTGATGGTGATGACAGAGCTTGGAAGTCGCTGAGCTGGGATTTGAATCCAGGTCTGTCTGGCTTAAAGCCCAGTCCTCTCCTCCCTGAACCATAGTGTCCCTCATAGCAGTGAGCCTGGGTGAGATGCAGTGAGGCAGTCAGTCAACACAGCACTGCCATCCAGAGAACTCGGGGGGGGTGGTTTCAGGGGGGGCCGTGCCCTGATGGTGGACAGAATATGAGGGCTGGAGGGAGGGAAAGGCCAGCAGGTGCCCAGGCAGAGGAGAGGAGGCCCTAGGAGATGAAGGAACTGTGAGCAGATGGCCTGGCTGGGTGGATGTGGGAGGAAGAGGAGAGGAAGAAGGGAAGGGGAGGAGAAAGAGGATGATGAGGAGGAGGAGGAGTAGCAGGAGAGGGAAAGGATGGGCTGAGATAGAAATGGATTTGGGTGTCAGACAGACGTGAGCTTGAAACCCAAAGCTGCCATTTCCCAGCAGATTTTAATATTTGTTTAAATCCTCCTTGTTTGTTTAAAGGAAACCACTCCTCGTAAAGTTGATGCGACGTTTATGTAAGATGAGGCAACAAAAATATTTGGTGGAGTGTCTGATGTTCAGGGGCGCTCAGTAAGAGACATCAACACCAGCCTCCAGATAGAGAACGTTCCCTTTGTGCTAGGCCCTCTGCCAATAGGATTGCATCAATCAAGTCACCAAATCCTCAGAACAACCCCCTGATAAGATTCCATTGTTGTGTCCATTTTACAGGTGAGGAATACTGAGGCCAGAGAGGCTGATGCCCGCGTCACTCAGCTAGTCGGTAGATGGCCCTTTACTTTTCATTTTGGGCTTCAGAGCCTGACAGCCAAGCTCTGGGTGAAGGAAGCACACGCAGACCCCAACACCATGACCACCCTCCCCCTGCCACCATCCCTCCATTCCTGCACTCTGCCAAATCCTGAGCCTATCCCCAGATAGCTTCATTTCCCCAGAGAGG
The DNA here is from genome assembly GCF_000001405.40 of Homo sapiens. Taxonomy (NCBI): domain Eukaryota; kingdom Metazoa; phylum Chordata; class Mammalia; order Primates; family Hominidae; genus Homo; species Homo sapiens. Next base: position 29,642,926 of record NC_000001.11, read on the forward strand.
GAGCCACTTCATTACAAAGGTCCCTCTCCACAAAGACAGAACACGGAGGCCGATTAAAGCCCGTCAGCCCAGCATCACTTTTGTAATCGATGCTCTGTGACTGTGAATCGGGTGTCTGTCGGCAGCTGCCTAATTTTAGCTGGGTCTTTGCAGGCTTCTCACCAGGCTCACCCACCCCAGTGGATGGGCAGAGAGGTTCTGAGAAGCATCATTGATCTTTTGACTAAAGTGTCCTAATGAAATACAAATCTGCCATTTCTCACAGAGCTGTCTGTCGTGGTGGCACAGAAGAGATGCCACTGGGAGAGCCAGAACCATAATTTCATGTAAAACCCATCTTGCATGGTGCCCTGCAACCCACCTCTTCCTTGCCTTGACCTTGGCCCCCCAGTTCAGTCCTGGGAAATCGATGCCTTTTACTGTTTCAACTTTGGCACAGAGCGATGGGGGAAGAGCTGTCAATAGGTGTTAAAGACATTCCCAGTTGTGGGCAAGCTCCCTGTTAGGGGGTCCTGGTCTCTGGCAGTGAGTTGGCACTGCCAACATGTTTACTTGCATGGGGGAGATTCAGTGCCCCTGGCCGTGGGCATTCTGCCCAGTGTAAGTGACTAAGGAGGCAGCAGGGGTGAAGGGTTTTCAGGGCATCTGGAGTCCCTGGAAATGTAAAAAAAAAAAAAAATTGTCCATGGGGCGAAAGTGGGTAGAATAAGTAAATGCTGTCTTCATCTTGCAACCAGATAGTGGGGACTTTAGAAAAGGAGGGAGAGAGAATAGCAACTACCACTTGGGGACAGATGTTATGGTAGGACCAGGTCATCAGATGTGACTTGGGAGAAGATCCTGGGGCTCCAACTATTTCATCATGGAAGTGGGACCTCTAAGACCCAGGAAAGGAAGGGCAACCTTTTCCATGATCACCCCACAAATCAGTGGCAGGAAGAGAGATACAGATGTCCCCAGTTAGATTTTCAGCTTCTTAAGAGGAATTGTCCCTGTGCACAGAACATCGTGGAAAGAATATGATTTCTCTCAGCCAGCACTGAGTGTGCCCAACAGTCTAGATGAGGGGTCAGCAAACTATAGCCCATGGGCCATATGTGGCTCCACAGTCTGATTTTGTAAATAAAGTTTTATTGGAACAGACACATTCATTTACCTACTAAGTGTCTAAAGCTGCTTTCACACTGTAACTGCAAAGTTGAGTTGTTTCAACAGAGATGGTATAATACACAAAGCCTAAAATATTTACATTTTATAATTAAATATTTCAATTAAATATTAATTATAATCAAATATTTACAACTGTATAATAAAATTAAATATTTATAATTAATTACAATTAAATATTTAAATCTGGCCCTTTATGGAAAACATTTGCTAACCCCTTGTCTAGGTCCCTGAAGGGATCTTACACATAATTTACACAATGGTTTTATGTACATTTTAGTGTTATTATTGAAGTCAGAAACTTATTTTCAAATGGATCTGACATAGATTCCCCAAAATCTAAAATTAGAGCAGCAAAACTTTTCAGATTGCAGTGGAGAGGGGGCTGAGCCTGCCCATTCCTGGCCTCCTCTTAGCCTGCTCTGGTCCCCAAGTAGAGGTACTGGATAAAATATAGGACACCTGGTTATGTTTGAGTTCTAGATAAACAATAATTTTTTAGTATAAGTATGTCCCAAATATTGTATGGGGCATACTTACACTAAACAAATATTCATTGTTTAGCTGAAAGTCAAGTATAACTGAGAATCTATCCATCTTATATTTTTATTTGCTTAATCTGGCAACTCAACTTTTGAGCCACCACAGAGGAAGAACCTAGGTGAAAATGATTAGCCTCTGGAATAGATTTCAAACTCAGCTTGCCATTTCAAGTCTGGCCTTGGCCAAACTCTGCAGCGTCATCACCTGCCCTGACCTTCCCCCACTCCTTCCTGTATTAGTCCATTCTCACACTGCTGTAAAGACACAGCCGTGAATGGGTAATTTATAAAGGAAGGATATTTAATTGACGCACAGTTCTGCATGGCTGGGGAGGCCTCAGGAAACTTACAATCATGGCGGAAGGAGAAGGGGAAGCAAAGACCTTCTGCACATGGTGGCAGGAAAGAGAAGTGCAAGCAGGGGAAATGCCAGACACTTATAAAACCATCAGATCTCATAGGAACTCACTCACTGCCATGAGAACAGCAGGAGGGAGAATGTCCCTATGATCCAATCACCTCCCACAGAGAAGCAGATCTCTCCTTCAACACCTGGGGATTTACAATTCAAGATGAGATTTGGGTGGGGACACAAAGCCTAACCTTATCACCCCCCCATCCTTCACTCTCCAGCTCCACGGAGCTCTTTTTTGCTTCCTTCCACACCGCTGTTCCCCTGCCCAGATGCCTCCACAGACCCTGATCCCCAAGCTCAGCCTTTCTGCTTGGCCAGTTCTGCAGAATCACCTCTCATGAGGTGTCCATCTATAGATTCAGCAGGTGCAGGTAAACAGAAGCCAGGAAACCACAGATTCAGAGCTCCTGGCTTAGAGTCATTGTGGAGCAGGGATTCATGGAGAGGAGTGTAGGCAAAATCACGGGCATTTTTAAGCTACTAGTCAGATCTCTCTTTTTCTTCCTGAACACATGGAGTTGAAATCACAAATTATCCTGTGTCTACACAGGGCAGTGAGCCCTTTAAGGGCAGACATGGTATCTTTTTCAACTCAACTCTGCGGCTCCTCTTGTGATCCTGTGAAAGACAGGAAGGGAAAAGCAGTTCAAGAGGGAGGCCCAGCAGAAGCAAAGGCACCGTAGTGAGGGCGAGTGCCGCAGACCCCGGGAACAGGGCAAAGCAGAGGAGGAATGAGAATAACAGGAGGGACAGTAAGGCCCTGCAGAGAGAGCTGGGCTTAGCATGGGGCCCACGTGCATGTGGATTCTGACTGCCCACTTCTGGCTGCTTCCCTGAGCCTCTGTTTTCTCACCTATAAAATGAGGATCGTGATCGGCGCCTCACAGTGTTATTGTGGAGATGAAATAGGAGAATGTATTAGGTTGAATGATAGAAAGTTGTTGCTATTTCAACCTATATTTTCAGCCTACGAAATTGGCAATTTCACAGTGATTACCCTAATATATAGAGTGTTAATTCCTTGCATGGTGCCTGGCACATAGTAGATGCTCATTTTAATGAAAGCTCTTATTATGAAGGGTAACTACAGTGGGCCCTGCCTGCGGGCTAGGGCAAGTTTCCAGAGAATCCCAAAGCCAGAGCAATGAAGACCCCAGGAGGAGGTTGGCGTCCCTCTGCAGCCCTGACCGGCCCTTCTAGGGATGGGCTGTGCTTTTGAATAGTTAAGGGTCATGGCTTCTCTGCATCAGAGACTCCTGTCCCTGCTTTAACCTTCCCCTGCTAACCTGCCGAGAGCCTAGCATTGTCTCAAGTGGCACTGAAAAGCTTGTGGCCCGGCCTTGTGGCCTGGAGGATTTCCAAGGTGTCACCACCAAGCAGGTGCTGGTGGCATCTCAGAGCAAGGCCTGAGGGGCTTCTGCCTTCTCTCCAGGGGATTCCTCCCTGCTCCTTTCCAGAAGCTCAGAGGCTTTCACTGGTAACGTCAGGCCAGGTTCATGTGGGAACTGGATTTCTGGAAAGCAGACCTTGGCAGGGGCCCTGGAGAACATGTGAATTTCCCCAGTGACTGAGCTCCCATGGCTGCCTCTGAGGAGTGAAAAGGGGAGTGGGCAGGAACAGGACAGGGAGGGGAGAGGAGGTGATGGGCCCCATGAGGATATGGCCACTCTCATTCGCTCCAGGTGACTATTCAATGGGGCAAAATTATCCCCGAATCCCCTTTATCTCCATTAAGTGCTTCTAGGAAAGACTGACTTGATATTTTGGGTAGGTGGGAAGAAAAGTGAGAGACAATAATTTTCAATAGAAATTGCAGGATGAAGAAATCTCAGTGATTTCAGCTTTGGGTGCTTTTTTTTTTTTTTCTTTTTTTGAGACGGAGTCTTGCTCTGTTGCCCAGGCCGTAGTGCAGTGGTGCCATCTTGGCTCACTGCAACCGCTGCCTTCCAGGTTCAAGCGATTCTCCTGCCTCAGCCTCCCGAGTAGCTGGGATTATAGGCGGCTGCCACCATGCCTGGCTAATTTTTGTATTTTTAGTAGAGACAGGGTTTCACCATGTTGGCCGGGCTGGTCTCGAATTCTCGAATTTCTGACCTCAGGCGATCTGCCTGCCTCCGCCTCGCCTCCGAAAGTGCTGGGATTACAGGTGTGAGCCATTGCACCCAGCCTAGCTTTGAGTGCTTTTTAATGTCTCTAAATGGCGCCAGGTGAGGTGAGAAGCCAGGTCTGACACCCAGCCCTTCTGCAGAAGGTGCTCCAGGGTCCCCTGCATGTCCCTGCTCTGGGTGAGGGACCGGAGGCAGGGAATCTGGGTCCTGGTGTCATCCTCTGGAAAATGGGGATAACAATAGTACTCATCCCCTTGGGTTGTTGTTTGAAGGGTTTACCACACTGTTTATCCCACTCAGGACATTTTGGCTACTCCTACTATTATTTTATTATTATTATTCCTACAGTGCCCCCAGAAAAGTTGTGCCAATTCTTGTGACAGATGAAAGATTCTAAAAGCACCTCCAGAGTGCTTTAGACACAGATATGAGACCAAGTGAGCTGGCTTCTTGTCGTCTCTGACACCACACAAGATCTTACTGATCTAACTCTCTTTCTGAGTCTCAGTATTTTCATCTGTGAAATGTGCTTAGGATCTTATGCAATGGCTGACAACCCTTTTAGGTGATGAATTTGTGAATACAGATGTCCAGAAAGCAAGGCACTCTTTTAAATAGAACAGACAGACCTTTTGCAATCATTCAAATGACTCAGGAAAACTTGTTGGATGAAGTGAAGATAAACCTCATGCCTGGCTCATGATTTATTCTGAGTTATTTTTTGTCTACTGTACTTTCTATATATCCATTTGTTAGTTTAATATGCATTTATTAGAAAGCACCATGGGCAAGGTTGGGGTTTGGGGAGACAGAAATTCATTGTTTTGGGCAGTGGGAATGCAATTGTGAAAAAGGTAGACAAGGACTCTGCCCTGAAGGAGCTCACATTCTGGAGGGGGAGGTGGGATATAAGTAAATACATCAATAAATAGGTTGATTTCCGACCATGATGAGAGCTACTAAGGCAATAGCTGCAGATGATGTACAGGATTGAGGCCTGATGGACAGGAGGAGGGAAATGTCTGATAGGATGATCAGGGAGGGCTTCTCAGAGGAGGTGATGTTTGAATTCAGCCTTGAACAATGAGGAGCCAGCCATAAGGCTGCTGCGGGGGAAGAGAGCCCCAGGCAGAGGAACAGCACATGCAAAGCTCTGGAGGTGAGTGTGAGCTCGGAACTCAGAAAAGGCTGGTGTGGCTGGAGCGTAGTAAGGTGGGGAGAGCAGTAGGAGATGAAGTCAGAGGTAGAATTGTGAGGATTAAAAGTTCTCAGCCAAGTTTTCAGCACATGGTAGCTCCTTTTTAACTGTTACTTATTATTACCTATGATCACAGTGCTGAGACCTCACTTGGGTACAGGAAACATGGGTAGGATTAGAGAGAGGAGAACAATTTTGAGGATCTTGAAGTTCCTCCTGGACCCATGAATTTGTGAAGAAGAGGCTTGCAAAAACTTTGCTCATTTTAGTAGGGTAAATACTTTCACTTCTAGTCTTGTTTATATTATTAATTGGTTTAGCAAAACAATTCTTCCCATAGCAAACACAAAGGTGCCCAGAATTATGATCAGTTTTCATTAGTGAGATTTTATTGTACTTCAAAAGACAGATCTAAGTTTCCCTGTGAAAATGTAAAGATTAATTCAAGACTCAGAACTCATTTTTTTTTTTTTTTTTTTTTTTGGTTTTGGAAGTATCTGACAGTATTCTAATATTAGCAAAATTGTGAATTCAGCAGGATTTCACTTTTATATGCTTGGAAACTTCTCTCATCCTAGGCCCCTCTGCCTCCCAGGATGCCAGTCTCCTAGGGCTCTTCTAGGACGGCCTATCCAGGGTCCCCCAGGTTGGCCCTGGTTTCCCAAGGCTAGTCTTTTCCATGACTTACAGGACTGGAACCAGCGTTAAAGGTCAGGGAGCCCATTTCACAGACGAGGAAAGCAAGGTCAGAGAGGGAAAGAAACTACTCTTAGGATGCCTATCAGGAATACAATCTGGGACAAGGACATCTCCTCAAGGCTTGTTAAACCACAGCACATGGAGCGCAGCTGCTGTTGCCAGATACACAAAAGATCAGTTCTGCCAATAACTGGAATTAATTCATTAATGGATTCATTCTAAAGACATTCATTGAGCTGACAGGGTGCCAGAAAATGTGCAAGACACTAGTGAAACAGAAGAGAATAAGATTAAATCTCTGTTCTCAAGGGCAGGGAGTCGGGGTAGCTGGGCAGGGGGGCTGTGAACCGACGGAGACCAAGCACAGTATGCCAGTGGGCAGGATGGAAGGTTTACCAGAGAAGGTGACACCCAAGACTGGCTTTGCTGTGCAGGTGGTAGAAGTCATCCAAGCCAGAGGGAACCCCTGGGCAAGACCTGCGGTGGAGTGAGTGCGCAGCACTGAGGACCCTGCAAATATTCAGATGAGTCAGGCTGAGTGCAGTAGGGGTGTAGCTGGAAGGGACTGGATAGGTAGCCTGGGGCCAGATCACCAAGGCATTTGAATGCCTGCCAAGTGCTCAGTAACATTCCCTCCTCTCTCCATTCTGCAAAGAGCCCTTCATTTCTTTCCTGTTTGCTCCTTGATACTCCATGTTATTTTGGTTGCGTTGCCAATCCACTACCTCCCTTCCCGCGTAGGAGTGAGCATGTGACCTGGAAGTGACCAATCACAAGTTCCCATCCAAGTGGCTGCTGCGATTGGTGCAGAGGCAGGCACGTGGCTCAAGCCAGAGCAAGCAGAGCCCCTCTGGGGCGTCGTGGGGTCAGGGGTGTGTGTGGGTCATGAATGGATGCTGGGTGGGGAAAGGTCTCTCCTTCCTACGGGTCCACTGGCTGGGTGGCTGTCAGGCTGGTACTATCTTGGGCGTGGCCTCTCCACCCATCTGGCCATTTGGAAGAGAGTATGAGCTGGGCTTTTGACCTTGTATTATGTAAACGGGCTTCATACCCAGGTCTGAGTGCAGAGCCGTGCTCTGATCATGAATTGCCTAATTGCATGCAGTGCTCACCAGAAGCCAGTGCCCACGCACCTGCCTCTCCTGGCTGCCTCCAGCCCTTTCCACCCCAGCCCTCTGCCTTCCTGACTCATCTTTAAGTAAAGGCTTTTCTTCGCCTCCGTGCAGCGCTCCGAAGCTCTGCTTTCCTGGAAGAACTGGGACACCTCTATCCATAGTGTTCTCAGGAAGCCCAGACGTCTCAATTATTCATTAGTCTGACTTCTCCATCAAAGGGTCTGAAGTTCTAGAAAACTTTCTCCAGTAGCCTGCTGTGGGAGTCGCAGGGTCCTACTGTTTAGTGAGCCAGGAAGAGAAATGAGCCTGTTGCTCCCAAAGGGCAGACTGGCTGCTTGATCTAAAATAGGAGGGGAAGAAGGTTGACCTGGTTTGTGCTGGGTTTTTTTTGGGGGGTGGGTGGATGGCCTTCTAGGACTGTACCCCAGGGGGTTGGGCCAGGATTCAAGGCAAGAGCAGGGGACCTCTGGGTGCTGCTGGCACTTGCGGTGGGTGGGCAGGGTGGAGGGGAATGACTGTTTGGAGGAGAATGAAATCCTGCCCTGGCCTGTGTCCATCTGTGCACAGCCCCACGTGAGGGACCCTGGGCCACTAAGGTTCGGTCTCCCCTACCACCTCTGGTCTCTGTGAACTCCAGGACTTCATGACACCCCAGATCTATTTTTAACAAGCTTATTAACTTTAAAAAGTTTATTTGCATTCAGTTTTCACTCAACTAAAGCCAACAGCCTTTGCAAGCTTGCCTTATGGAAACTGAAAGCTGGAAGGGGCCTTAGAAGTCACAAGGTCTAACCCCTTTAGAGGGTTCCCCATGTCTCAGGAGAGGGTCCTATCTATAGCACAGGACTAGAGATCTGTCACATGCTGGCCCCAGGACGCTTCCAGCTCCACTCTGGCCACAGTAGACATTCCCCCAACATGTTATGAACCTGCACTGCTGTGGGCCTTGGCTCCTGTGTTGCCCCATCTGGAATACCCTGAAGACACTTCCCCTCTCCCACCTGGTCCAATTCTAAGCATCCACCATGAGATCGCGTCTCCTCCTTGGAACCTTCCTGATCCCACCAGGCAAAACTAACTGCTCTGTCTTTCATCTCCCATTGAGGTCTCAGCTCAAATGTTCCCTTCTCACAAAGACCTTCACTGACCCAACATCTGATGGGCACTGTCCTTTCCCCACCTCAATAGCATGACCCAGTTTTGATTTCTTCACTGTACCTGTCCCTACCTGGAATAGTCTTGCTGATGCATTGCTTATCTGTCTCTTTCTGCCTCCCCATTCCATGGTGTCAGCTCTTGGGGTGCAGGGACCTTGTCTGTTCACTGCTGCAGCCCAGGCCCCACACAGGGCTGCACAGGGTGGAACCACAGTGAGCCTTTTTGGGGTGAATAAGCCTGAAGTTGAGCCTCCTCCAGATCCCAGGTTCTGTCCCTCCACTGTTCCTGAATGGTTGCTGCTCTGGAGCAGAACACCCTCCCTCACCTTGGCTGCCCGTACTGGCCATGCTGGCTCTCTGGGGCAGCACGAGGAGTTCAGAGCCCCAGGCTGGACCCAGCCAGACCACTCCCCTGTGATGCTTTATGGTTCCTCTCCGGGCTCCTGAGATCAGCCACATTTTGAGAGTTTGGAGAAGGAACGTTAAGGCAGCCAAGTGGATAAATCACATTTTTAAAAAATGGGCCAAACATGGATTTACACAATAGCTTGTGACAAATGCAGCTTCAGGGGATGATCTGGCAGGAAACATCCACTTTTCCAAAGGGCACCACGGCCCTGGTAGAAATAATGAGGGCTTTTTTTAGGATTGTAATTATTCCCAGGTGCTGACAGGCCAAAGATCTGATCACTGCTGTCACTCAGCACTCACGTGTGCACCCAGCAGGCTCTATTCTTGGGACTCCAGGTAAGCGTCCTGCTCCCAGGGGTGGCTGGCATGTCCAGTGTACGTCCTCGTGGTTCCTGACCCCCTCCTGCCCACGCACAGTCTTGGAGGGAATAGGGCACGGGAGGCTCCTGTGAGCGCAGGGCCAGGGAGGCAGCAGATCCTTGGCCAATGGTGTGTCTTTTCTCCTGCCACAGCTCTAGGGCAGGGGAGGCTTCAGGGTCTCCTGAATGTATCCAACAGGCTCATGAGGCTGGGGGTGCAGTGATTAGTGATCGGGGCTATGAGGCTGTTGCTCAGCAGAGAAATAAGGGCCCCTACTGTACAAGCTGGAAAAGGCTGTGGTGGCTGCCCACCTGATGCTTTGATGGTCCTGAGCGGGGAATAGAGGCCTATGGGAATGCTGAAGGCTGAATGACGCGAGTGTTGGATTCTGGGAGAATTGTCAGTGCCGACCTCTCTGCAGGAGGGATGGACTCACTCATGTGGTGCAGCTGCAGAGGGCCAGGCACAGCCCTTGGCCTTGGCATCTGTATTAGGCTGTCCTTGCATTGCTATAAAGAAATACCTGAGGCTGGGTAATTTACAAGAAAAGAGGTTTAACTGGCTCACGGCTCTACAGGCTGAACAGGAAGCACAGTGCCAGTATCTGCTTCTAGGGAAGCCTCTGGAAGCTTGCAATCATGGTGGAATGCAAAGAGGGAGCAGGCAGGTCACATGGCAAAAGCAGGAACAAGAGATAGAGAGTCTGGGGGAGAGGCCACACACTTTTAAATGACTGGAATCTCCTGTGAACTCAGAGAGAGAGCTCACTTATCACAAAGGAGGTGGCCCAAGCCATTCATAAGGCACCTGCCCCCATGATCCAATAACCTCCCACCAGGCCCCACCTCCAACAGTAGTGGATTACATTTCAACATGAGATTTGGGTGGGGACAAATATCCAAACTATATCAGCATCTCACTCAGGGCTCACAACAGCCCTGTGAGGTATGTGTTAGCCCATTTCCCAGATGAGAAAAGTGAGGCTCAGAGAGGCTAAGCGACTGGCCCAGCATCCCCTGGTGAATCCCTCCTCCACCTTTTCCACCTGGAAAAGACACCCAAACTTCCTGGCTTGTGCACCAGCCAGAGATGCCCCAACCCCACCACTCCAGGGCTGGAGTGTGAAGGGGGCTGCAGGGCAGGCCATGGGACCTTGGTTGGGTTCTGCTCACTGGGAGATGACTGAGGACCAGTGGCGTCTCTCTCCTGCCCCCATGCCACAACTTCCTGCAAATCAAAGGGAGATTGAAGCAATTATATGGACAGCAAGGGTGAAGATTATGGCTCTGGGCCAGTGCCTGAGTGGCTCACAGAGCTCTGGGACCAATGGGCTTCATGACATCCCTGCTCAAGGCAGCTCTGCCCCAGGCCCAGAGCAGCTGCTGGCTCCACTCATGCCCGGCTCCACCCATCCTTCTTGAATCCTAGAGGGCCCACTGCCCCGAGGAGCCCTCCCTCCACACTGAGCTCCCCTAACTCTGCCTCAGCCTTGAGGGGGATCTTGGTTCTGTACCCATCAGTTCCCCTGCACTGGGGGAATTCAGGACCCTGGACAAGATCCTCAGGGGCCAAAAGTTCAGGAGCTGAAGCTACTATCTGAAGGACCCATCTGGCCTGGGTCCTCTATCTACTGCCTCCACCTTGGACCAAACTTCACTATATCTGCCTAGACCCTGCAATCGTCCCCAATATGTCCCCTGTCTATTCTTGTCCCCTCTTCCCATCCATTTCTATAGCAGCCAGGAGGTTCTTCATAAAAGTTGAAGCAGAGTAAGTCCCTCCCCAGCTTAAACTCTCTAGAGGCTTCCCTATTGCACTTCAAATGAAATCTGAATGCTCATCAAGGAGTATCCACTATCAGTCAGGGTCTTAGCAGGGAGCAGACCACCAAGGACCAATGGGAGAGGGTGATTGAAGGGAGGGTAATGGAGGGCAATTCACCAAGGTGTGGCAGGGATACAGGAAGGCAGCAGGGGATGGTGAGGCCACTGGGGGCCGGCAACAGTGGGGGGCTGTTTCCATCCCGGTCCAGAAAGAAGCTGTTACCAGACCTCAGAGAGAGCTGCAGCCTCAGAAGAGGGGTCACCAGATGGAGCTGGGGCTTCAAGAGAGAAAGAGAGCCATTGCAGCTATAGTTAAGAGGGAGGGAGCCAGGGAATAAGCACCCAATATCTTTCTACTCCTGTTACTTGGTCTCCTCTGGTGCTTCTAGAACACACAGAAGCTGGGGCACAAGAGGGCACAGGAGCCCTATTGATGCCATCCATTCAGATCAGTCTCCTGGCAGGAGGCTGAGGTTGGGTCTGGAGGGCACTCAGAGGATGGCAGCACATGTAGCCCCAAGGTCCACCCGATCTGCCCCTGCCTGTCCCTCTGACCTTGTCTCCTGCCCTCTGCTCTCACTGACTGTTTCCACTACACTGACCTCTGCTCAGTAATATGGTTTGGGTGTGTGATCCCACCTCCCACCCAAATCTCACATCAAATTGTAATCCTCAGTGTTGTAGGTGGGGCCTGGTGGGAGGTGATTGGATCATGAGGGTAGTTCTCATGAATGGTTTAGTACCACCCCCCTTGGTACTATATAGTGAGTGAGTTCTCAGGAGATCTGGTTGTTTGAAAGTGTGTAGCACCTCCCACCTTGCCCTCTCTTCCTCCTGCTCTGGCCATGTAAGATATGCCCACTTCCCCTTTGCCTTCCGCCATGATTGTAAGTTTCCTGAGGCCTCCCCAGAAGCAGAAGCCTCCATGCTTCCTGTACAGCCTGTGGAATCGTGAGCAAATTAAACCTCTTTTCTTTATAAATTACCCAGCCTCAAGTACTTTTTATTTTATTTTATTTTATTATTTTTTTTGAGAGAGTCTCACTCTGTCTCCCAGGCTGGAATGCAGTGGCACAATCTCGGCTCACTGCAACCTCCGCCTCCTGGGTTCAAGTGATTCTCCCACCTCAGCCTCCTGAGTAGCTGGGAGTACAGGCATGCACCACCACACCTGGCTAATTTTTTGTATTAGTAGAGATGGGGTTTCGCCATGTTGGCCAGGCTGGTCTTGAACTCCTGACCTCAAGTGATCCACCCACCTTGGCCTCCAAAAGTGTTGGGATTATAGGCATGAGCCACCGCACCTGGCCTCAAGTACTTTTTTATAGCAATGTGAGATCTGACTCATACACTCAGTTTCTCAATTACGCAGAATGCATTTCTGCGTCAGGGCCTTTGCACCTGCTCTTTCCTCTCCCTGGGAGGTTCTTCTTCCTCATCCTCTCATGGCATTGAGAGCTCAGCACAAATGTCACCTCCTCCTAGGGGCTCTCCAGACACTCATCCAGCTCTGTCCCCGCATCCTCCACCATCACTTCTGTTGCATTGTGTCCCTTCATTTGCACATAGCACACATCTCTATCTGACGTTTGTGGTTTACTTCTTGACCAGCTGGTGCATCAGCACCAAGAGATTAAGACCAAGTCTCTTTTGTTCCCTGTCATATCCTCATCACTGAGGGCAGTATCTGCATCCACAAAGTGATTAAGGAATGCTTGTTAAATGACTGTCTAATAACCAAGTGAGAGGGTAATGGGTAAGAGCACAGACCCTGGTGTTGGGACATAATCTGGGTTTGAAGCCCAGCTCTACCACTTTCTTAGCTGTGTGCCTTTGGTCAAGTCACTCAGCCTCTCTGAATGACTCAGTTTCTTCATCTGTTAAATGGGAATAATAAGATAACACTCCCCTCTGGGTTGTTGTGCAGATTGAATGAATAAACATTTGGCACTGAACCTTGCCTGTAATGGTAGGTGGTAGAGGGGCATTTGCTATTTTCCTTATTGTTGTCCCTGATTTTGGCATCTGAGCTGCTACCTTGCTCCTCCTCTTGAGACCCCAGGCCATCTAGGGCTGAGTCTCAGCCTCTCCCCATTTCCCACAGCTGTCTTTAAGCTGTGCGGCATTCCTGAGCAGGACGTAAGAACTCCTCCAGGCTCTGACCACTCTCCCAGCCTCGCACAGCGCCCTCCTGCCTCCTTCCCTGAGTGGCAGCTCCAAAGTCTTCCTTCAGCTCCTCAGACAAGCCCTGCCTCCCCCACCTCAGGAGGCAACATGCATGCTGCTCCTCCTGCCCCCCGACAGCTTTCCTCTCCTCTCTCCTGCATCTCTCAGTCTCAGATCAAATATCACCTCCCCTGACCTCACCTGGGCCAGGTCAAGCCTATCATCCATCTTGGGTACCTGCCCATCTCCTTGGCAACACCCCTGCAGGTAGTCATTAACTTTGTTAGCTAGTAAATATTTTCCTCCCCTGTGGGAAAATATTCCCTGGGTTCCGTGCTAGGGGTAGTGGGTCTTTGGGCAGCTGTTACCTGACCTAGGCATGGCATCTGATCCCAGGTTACCCTGACCCTTTCACCCAAGGCTCATTCATTCACTTCTCTCTCTAACTCCATCCCTCCCTCCCTTTTTTCCTCCCATCCCCCAAAGCATTTACCAAGTTGAGTTAATCTTTTATTTTAGGCCCTGTGCTAGGCATTTTAGTTCTAAGATGCTGCTCCAGACCTGGGCTTCCAGCCCCCTAGTGGGCGTCGGAGGGGCACACAGCACAGAGTGCCAAATGTGTGAGAGGGATGAGAAGGAGATGCAGGGGAGAGCAGAGGAGGCCTTAACCCAGCCTGCTGGGTGTCTGGAGTGGGTAGTCAGAGAAGGCTTCCCAGAGGAGATATTTTGAAAGAGTTTTGAAAGACACATGAATTTCCTAGGAGCTGAGGAAACAGCATCTCAGGCATAGGGAGCAACATTTGTGGAAGACCAGAGCATTTTTGAAACTTCAGCAGCAGACAGGTGGAGGGAGGGTAGCGAAAAAGAAGACATTTATGCAGCCAAAAAACACATGAAAAAATGCTCGTCATCACTGGCCATCAGAGAAATGCAAATCAAAACCACAATAAGATACCATCTCACACCAGTTAGAATGGCGATCATTAAAAAGTCAGGAAACAACAGGTGCTGGAGAGGATGTGGAGAAATAGGAACACTTTTAAACTGTTGGTGGGACTGTAAACTAGTTCAACCATTGTGGAAGTCAGTGTGGCAATTCCTCAGGGATCTAGAACTGGAAATACCATTTGACCCAGCCATCCCATTACTGAGTATATACCCAAAGGACTATGAATCATGCTGCTATAAAGACACATGCACACGTATGTTTATTGCGGCATTATTCACAATAGCAAAGACTTGGAACCAACCCAAATGTCCAACAATGATAGACTGGATTAAGAAAATGTGGCACATATACACCATGGAATACTATGCAGCCATAAAAAATGATGAGTTCATGTCCTTTGTAGGGACATGGATGAAATTGGAAACCATCATTCTCAGTAGACTATCACAAGAACAAAAAACCAAACACCACATATTCTCACTCATAGGTGGGAATTGAACAATGAGATCACATGGACACAGGAAGGGGAATATCACACTCTGGGGACTGTTGTGGGGTGGGGGGAGGGGGGAGGGATAGCATTGGGAGACATACCTAATGCTAGATGACGAGTTAGTGGGTGCAGCACACCAGCATGGCTCATGTATACATAGGTAACTAACCTGCACAATGTGCACATGTACCCTAAAACTTAAAGTAAAAAAAAAAAAAAAAAAAAGATGTGGTGTGTTAGATCCGGTGTGCCTGCAAGCTCCCCCCACCCCGAATGCATGCCTTCTGGGATGTGATGTTTTGGTTCCTCTGATCAGGAGGCTGAATCTATTTCTCCACACCTTGAATCTGGGCTTGGCTTGACAATTTGCTTTGGGCAAGATGACAATAACATAATACAATCAGGGACTTGAAAGATGCTTGTGCGTGGGGCCAGCCTGTGACTGCCATCATTGGCTACTCAAGGATTTGAGACCATGTGGAGAGATGCCCCATTTGAGGCCAAAACAGGTGACTGAAGCTGTCTGAGGCCATCCAGCCCCAGCTGAGCCAGCCTGGACTTGTGGGTCAGCTAGACATAACCCACAGAATCATTAGAAATACACGTGTTTGTGTGTGTGTGTTTTCCCAGAAACTCCCCATTTGAGAGGGGATGATTTTTAATTTATAAATAAAATACACATAACATAAATTGACCATCTTAACCATTTTTAAGTACAATATAGAGGTCAGTGGTATTAAGTACATTCATAACGTGCAACCATCACATGCATCTCCCTAACAATTTTCATCTTGCGAATATGAAACTCTATACCCATTAAACACTAACTCCCTATCCCCTCCTCCATCGTCTGCTCAGCCCCTGGCAACTACCTCTCTACTTTCTGTTTCTATGATTTTGCCTATTCTAAGTATCTCATATAAGTAGAATCATACAGTATTTGTCCCTTTATGATTGACTTATTTCACTTAACATAGTGCCCTCAAGTTTTATCCGTGTAGCATGTGCCAGAATTCCCTTTATTTTTAAGGCTGGATCATATTATGTTGTATGTATATATCACATTTTGCTTATCCATTCATTCTTCAATGGTCACTTGGGTTGCTTCCACTTTCAGCAATTATGAATAATGCTTCTATAAACATGAGTAAATAAGTATCCCTTCCGAACTCTGCTTTCAATTCTTTTGCATATGTACCCAGAAGTGGAATTGCAGGGTCACTTGGTAATTGTGTTTTTAACTTTGTGGGGAACTACCATACTGTCTTCCATAGTGGCTGCACCATTTTACATTCCTACCAAGAGTGCACAAGAGTTCTGATTTCTCTACATCCTTGCCACACTTGTTATTTATTTATTTATTTATTTATTTATTTTTTAATAGTTGCCATCCTAATGGGTCTGAGGTGGTATCTCATTGTGATTTTGATCTGCATTTCCCTAATGATTAATGATGTTGAGCATCTTTTTATTTGCTTATTGGCTATTTGAATTTTTTTGAGAAGTCTCTATTTAAGCAATTTGCCCATTTTTGAATCCAGTTTTTGTTGTTGTTGCATTTTAGGAGTTCTCTGTATATTCTGGATATTAATCCCTTATAAAATAATTTGCAATATTTTCCCCCATTTTACGGGTTGCTTTTTACTCTGTTGACAGTATCTTTTAATGCAGAAAATTCTAAATTTTTATGAAGTTTAATCTGTCTATTTCTTTGTATATTGCTTGTGCCTTTGCTGTCATATTCAAGAAATCATTGTCAAATCTGATGTCATGAAGATTTTGCCATATGTTTTCTTCTAAGAGTTATATTGTTTTGAGTCTTATATTTAGGTCTTTAATCTGTTTTGAGTTAATTTATGTATATGGTGTTAAGTGTGGGTCCAACTTCATTCTTTTTCATGTGGATATCCAGTTTTTCTAGCACCATGTGTTGAAGACTGTTCTTTTGCCACTGAGTGGTCTTAGTGCCCTTATCAAAAATCGTTTGACCATGTATGTGAGGGTTTACTTCTGGGCTCTCCATTCTACTCCATGGTCTATATTTCTGTCTTTATACCATTACCATACTGTTTTGATTACTGTAGTTTTGTAGTACATTTGTAGTCTTCCAAATTTGTTCTTTTTCAAGATTGTTTTGGCTATTGGGGTCCCTTAAGATTCCGTATGAATTTTAGGATGAGTTTTTCTATTTCTGAAAAACACATCATTGGAATTCTGATATGAGTTGCATTGAATATGTAGATTGTTTTGGGTAGTATTGACATCTTAACAATGTTAAGTCTTCTTATCCATGAACATGGAATATTTTTCTCCTTATATCTTAAACTTCTTTCAGCAATGTTTTGCAGTTTTCATTGTACAAGTCTTTTACCTCATTGGTTAATTCCTAAGTATTTTTTTGATGCTATTGTAAATGGAATTGTTTTCAAAATTCCATTTTAAGATTGTTTATTGTTAGTATATAGAAATACAACTGATTTTTTTGGTGTTGGCTTTGTATCCTGCTACTTTGCTGAACTCATTTATTAGCTCTAAGAGTTTCTTTGTGAAATCTTTAGAGTTTTCTACATATTAGATCATATCATCTGTGAACAGAGATAATTTTACCTCTTTCTTTCCAATTTGGGTTTATTTTACTTCTTTTTAAATTTATTATTTTTTTGCCCAATTTCTCTGGCTAGAACTTCCAGTACTATGTTGAATAGAAATTTTTTTTTTCCTGATCTTAGAGGAAAAGCTTTCAGTCTTCCACCATTTAGCATGATGTTTACTCTGTGTGTGTGTGTTTTTAAATAATGGCTTTTATTATGTTGAGGTAGTTCCTTTTCATTCTTGGTTTGGTGAGTATTTTTTTTTTTATCATGAGATGATCATGTGTTTTATTTTCCATTGAGATGATCATGTGGTTTTGTTTCATCATTCTTTTAATGAGATATATTACATTAATCAATTTTCTTGTGTTGAATTATCCTTGCATTCCAGGAAGAAATTTTGCTAGGTCTTCGTGTATAACATTTTTATATGCTGCCAAATTTGGTTTGTTAGTATTTTGTTGAGAATTTTTACATCATTGTTCATAAAGGATATTTGTAGTTTTCTTGTAGATGACTTTGGTATCAGGGTAATGTTGGCTTAATAGAATGAGTTAGAAAGTGTTCCTTGCTCTTCACTATTTTTGGAAAAGTTTGAGAATAATTGGGATTAGTTCTTTAAAGACTTGGCAGAATTCACCCATGAAGTTTTCAGATGCAGAGATTGTCTTTGTTGAGAGATTTCTGATTACTGATTCAATTATGTTATTATAATAGTTATAGGTCTATTCAGATTTTCTATTTCTTTGTGATCTGGTGTTCATAGATTTTGTGTTTCTAGGAATTTGTCTATTTCATCTCGCTTATTCAATTTGTTGGCATACAGTCTTTCATAGTATTCTCATATAATTCTTTTTATTTCTGTAAAATTGGTAGCAAGGTCCCCACTTTCATTTTTTATTTTAGTAATTTGAGTCTTCTTTCTTTTTTTCTTAGTTCATCTAAGTAAAAGTTTGTCAATTTTGTTAATCTTTTCAGAGAACAAACTTTTGGTTTTATTGGTTTTCTCTTGTTTTCGTATTATCTATTTCATTTATCTCTGCTCCAATTTTCATTGTTTTCTTCCTTCTTCTAGCTTTGGCTTTAGTTTGTTCTTCTTTTTCTAGTTTGTTAAATTGTAACATTAGGTTGCTGATTTCAGATCTTTCTTGCTTTTTAAAATGTAATCATTTATAGCTATAAGTTTTCCTCTTAGCACTGCTTTCACTGCATCCCATATGTTTTGGTATGGTATGTTGTGTTTTCATTTTCACTCATCTTTAAGTATTTTCAAGTTTCCCTTAGATTTCTTCTTTGATCCATTCGTTGTTTAAGAGTGTGTTGTTTGATTCCCATGAATTTGTGAATTTTCCAGTTTTACTTCTATTACTGATTTCTAACTTTATTCCATTGTGGTTGGAGAAGATACCTTGTAATCTATATTTTGAAATATATTGAGACTTAATTTTTTGTCTAATGTGTATTTGGTCCTGGAAAACTTCCCATGGGCAGCTGAGAAGCATGTGTATGCTGTTGTTATTGGGAATAATGTTCTGTATATGCTTGTTAGATCTAGTTGGTTCATTGTGCTAAGTCCTCTATTTCTTACTTTCTTCTGTCTGGTTGTTCTATTCATTAGAACACCTTTTAAAGGACAGCTTTTCCAGTTATAGGATTCTTGATTGACAGCTTTCTCTTTTAGCACTTTGAATATATCAGCTTATTTTCTTCTGGCCTCCAAAGTTTCTGATGAAAAATCTGTGGATAATCTTATTGAAGATCAATTGTATGTAATAAATTCCTTTTCCCCTGATGCTTTTGTCTTTCAAAAATTTGATTATAATGCATCCTGGTGTGGCTCTTTGAGTTCATCTTACTTGGAGGTCACTGAGCCTCTTGGATGTTTACATTCATGTCTTTCATTAAATTTAGGAAGTTTTCTGACATTATTTTTTTCCAATATTTTCTGTGCCCCTTTCTCTTTTTCCCTTCTGAGACTCCCACAATGCATATATTTGTCTGCTTGATAGTGTCCCACAAGTCTCCCTTAGGTTCTATTCAGTTTTCCTCACTGTTTTTCCTTTCTATTCTTCAGAATCCATAATTTCCATCATTCTGTCTTCAAGTTCATGGTTCCTTCTGCCTGCTCAAATCTGTCTTTGAATCTTTCTGGTGCATTTTTAATTTCAGTTATTGTGCTTTCCAACTCCAGAATTTGTTTCTGGTTTATTTAAGGTTTTCTATCTATTAGTATTTTCATTTTTTCATGCATAGTTCCTATGGTTTTAACATGTTCTCCAAATTTCATGTGTTGGAAACTTAACCACCAAATTCATATGTTGATGAGATTTAGAGGTGGGGTCTTTGGGAGGTAATTAGGGTTAGATGATGCTATCAGGGTGAGGAACCCATGATGGGACTGGTGGTTTTATAAAAAGAGGAGGAGGGATCTGAGCTAGCACCCTCTTGCCCTCTCATCATGTGATGCTCTCCATTATGTTATAATGCATGCAGCAAAAAGGATCTACCAGATGCCAGAGTCATGCTTTTGGACTTCCCAGCCTCCAGAACCATGACCTAAATAAACTTATTTTTAAAATATATAAATTAGGCTGGGCATGATGGCTCACACCTGTAATCTCAGCACTTTGGGAGACCGAGGTGGGAGGATCACTTGAGGTCAGGA
This sequence comes from Homo sapiens, assembly GCF_000001405.40. Taxonomy (NCBI): domain Eukaryota; kingdom Metazoa; phylum Chordata; class Mammalia; order Primates; family Hominidae; genus Homo; species Homo sapiens. The sequence continues at coordinate 29,662,785 of NC_000001.11, forward strand.
GTTCGAGACCATCCTGGCCAACATGGTGAAACCCATCTCTACTAAAAATACAAAAATTAGCCAGACATGGTGGTGCACATCTGTAGTCCCAACTACTCAGGAGGCTGAGGCACAAGAATTGCTTGAACCTGGGCAGTGGAGGTTGCAGTGAGCCAAGATCGTACCACTGCACTCCACCCTGGGCCACAGAGTAAGACTCTGTCTCAATTAAAAAAAATATACATATACATATACATATACATATACATATACATATACATAAACATAAATTACCTAGTCTGTGGTATTTTATTACAGCAATGGAAAATGAACTAAGACAGTAGTTCTTGAGTTTCTCCACATCTTCCATTAGTTTTCTAAGCATCTTTAAGACAATCGTTTTAATGTCTTTGTCTAGTATATATGCCATCAGATCTTTCTCAGAGACAGTTTCTGTTGATTAATTTTTTCCTTTGAATGATCCATATTTTCCTATTTCTTTGTATGTCTTAAGATTTTTTTTTTTGTTGAAAACTGTACATTTGTACCTAGCAGTGTGGCAACTCTGGCATCAGATTTTCCTTCTCTGGGGTTTAGTGCTTTTTTGTTATTTTTATTTTATTGATTTTTGTAGACTGTCTCTGTGTTGAGGATAAGCTTGAGGTGTAAACTTATGGTCTCTTAAGATCTTTTCTGAGCCTTTCCCTGGGCATTCATGGTCACTTTCTAATTTCCCCCATACATGCAGTTGTTTTTGAATGTCCTAGCTTTTACTGTCTACCTCCCAAAAGGGTAAAAAGAGAAAAACTAAGGAGGAAAAAGGGGCATTGGCTTTTAAAATTGCCTGGAACTCACTTTATTCAGAGGGAGAGACAAGTAAAAGTGGGGGAAGGTGCAGCAACAATAGCCACTTGCCTCTTTGTCTGTACTTCTGTAATCAGAAGCAGAAATTAGTGATCAGATATCCCTGATATTTGGAGGGCAGGGTCCTGTTTTGCCCATTCTGGCTCCTGCAAGCTGTGTACAACCTACTCCAGGAACACATGCACAACTGATTACACATGGCTGAGAGGGGTGGGGAATGGATACCTGCTGCTGACTGCCATTTACCGTCTAAGCCTTTCTCTGGAAGTTGCAAGCCTTTAATATACTCTAGGGTTCCAAAATGGATACATGACATAGAGGCTGCCAGTGCAATTCTTGTCTAGATGGGGAGACAGATTCCTGGTATTTCCTACTCTGCTATCTTCTTAGCATATGTGTGTTTCTAAGCTCCAAGTTTTGGAATTTTTTTTATGCAGCAAAAACTAAATAATACACATGTGAAAGAGCCAAACTGGGGAGAGGGGTTGACTTCTGTGTTAGACTGGGAGTCTGAACTTTATTACAGTGACTCTAGTGCATTGAACCCGTTGGCCTGGGTTTAAATCTTAGTTCTTCTACATACCAGCTGTGGGGCTGATGAGTCATTCTGCCTCTCTATACCTTGGTTTTCTCATCTGATAAATGGGGGTGGCTTACCTGGAGCATGGTAAGTGCTCAGGAAACATTGGCTGCTGATTGTTGACCCCACATTGTGGTTGCTGATGGTCACACATAAAGACTCTAGGACTCTGGCCTATGTCAGCTGACTCAGATCTTCAGGACCAGATGAGGTACTGGATGTGACCCTTAATCTTTTGATGTGTGTTGTTGTTAGGCCATCCCATGGGTCACACGGAATCTCTGCTCCTGACCTTTTGGCCCACTCAGGCCTAACAACATGCAATACCTTCTGGAAAGTCCAGATATTCCGTTGGGGGCAGTCTTCTCTGTCTCCATGAGCTGAGACTCATTTGGTTTTAAAATAAGAATGTGCAACATGCACAGCAATCCAGGGAGAACATCATTCCACATGCACATGAGGCAGTAGCCATATTGTTAGGTTGTTCTTTAAATACCTGGGGGCCTTTGGGTAATGACTTTATTTAAATGGAGTATCAGAGAAATTAGAGTTGACACCAGTGTTCCTACTACAGGCTGTGTGGCTTTATGAGAAGTTAGTAAAGCATTAAGCCAACTCCATTAACAAGGGCCTCCTAATCTGCTCTGAGACAGGGGCATTGAGATTCATTGTCTCCGTTCCCTGATTTCCCAACTCAGAGCATAGAGATGCAAAGGATGAAGATTCTAAGCAAAGGGGTGAGCAGGGGTTATTGGTTTAAAAGGGGCTGAGGTAAAGTGCTGTGAATAGGGCCTGGCATGTCTTAGTACTCAAATGATAGCAAGAATTCTGCTTTCAGCCAAGATGGAATAACAGAGGCCACACTTACCTGCGTGCCTGAAACAGCTAAAAAGCAGACAAAAGATATGAAACAACAGTTTCCAAAAGATCAGGTAGTAAGTGAAAAAAGACAGTGATCCCTAAGAGATGGGAAATAGCTCTATGCTTTCCCCAGCTTATTGCCTGAACAGAGATTACAAGCTGGTGGCAGGAATGGGGAAGCCAGGCTTCTATCTGTCTTCATGAGTTGAGGAGACTGGGCTAGAATATGGGGAAAATGAGGCAGCTGTAGTTTTCAGGGCAGAGTACGGCAGATGAGAGAACTAGACAGGATGACAACACTGGAGATTTGCAGAGAGCCTGATCAAGTCTTCAGCTGAGTACCTATTACCACATGTGTGTGAGAAAACTTCAACCTTAAGGCTGAAACACAGCCAAAAGGATTTGAGGGAACAATCCTGCAACTCAAACAGTTCTTACTCCCACCAGTCAGAATGGGAAAACAAATCAGTCATGAGGCATCAGATAGATTATTCAGGAGGATCTGCGTTAGCTGTGGGGGAATGTTGGCCCTAGACTAAATGGAGCTTTGCTTATTTTTAACAAGCTTAAGAGCAATACTTGAAAGGCATATATCTATGTTACTTAACTATACCCCCAAAGCAAAATTTAATAGTATTTATGAGAATACAAAGCTATCAAGTGCCCCAAAAGGCAAAATTCACAATGTCTTGCATTCAATCAGAAATTTCCAAGCCAGAAAGCAGGAAAATAAGACCTATAGTAAGTATAAGAAGCAATAAAAACCAACTTAGAACTGACACAAATTACATATTTAGCAGACATGGACAATAAGAACAGTTATAACATTATTTCACATGTTCAGAAATATAGGAGAAAGACTGAAAATAATAAGGAGGGCCAAGGAAGATATACAAAAGACCAAAACTGAACTTCTAGAGATGAAAATTACAATGTGTGAGATGAAAACTACACTTCTACACTAGATAGCTGAAATAGCAGATTAGACACTGCGGAAAAAAGATTGCTAACTTGAGGAAGTAGAAATACAGATTATCCAAAATGAAACACACAGAGAAAAATAATAATATAAAAAATGAACACAGCGTCAGTGAACTATAGGAAAACTTCAAGGTGCATGTAATTGGAGTATTTGAAAATGAGTGGGGATCAGAAAAATATTTGAAGAAATAAAAGGCCAAATTTCTTCCAAATGTGATTACTACTATAAATCCATAGATCCAAGAAGCTCAACAAACTTCAAGCACAAGAGACATGAAGAAAAGTATACTGAGGGACAGCATAGTAAAATTTCTCAAAGACAGTGATAAAGAGAAAATTATAAAAGCAACCAGAAGAAAAGGACACATTACTTACAGAGGACCAACAATAAAGAGGGCAGCAGATATCTCATCAAAAATAATGCCAGTCAAGTGACAGTGAGCAATATCTTTAATAAACTGTCTATAGTCAGTGAAAATAATTTTCATCAGTGAAGGCAAAATAAAAATGTTTTTAGATATACAGAAGCTGAAAGAATTCATCACTAGATGAAATGTGGAACAGGAAATGTTAAAGGCAGGCAGAAGGAAAATGTTACCAGCTGGAAGTACGGATCTAGACATTTAGGGATAAAAAGCTCTGAAAATGATAAGTATGTGGGAAATATATATATTTTTCTCATTATTTAAATTTCTTTAAGAGAGAATTGACTACTATTCATTATGTAGAAACAGATGTATGACAACTTTAGTACAAAGAATGGAGGTGCTGTTGTGAGGTTCCTATAGTAAACATGAAGTGGTACAATGCCACTTGAAAGAAGGCTGTAATAAGTTAAAAGTGTTACTATAAACCTTCAGGCAAAGACCAAAATAAAAAAGCAAAGAATTATAAGTAAGAAGCCAACAAAGAAGATAAAATATAATTATAAAACTCACCTAATTAATCCAAAAGAAACCAGAAGAAAAGGAAAAAGGAAAAAAGAACTAACGGAAGAAATAGAAAACAAATAGAAATATGGTAAATTTAAACCCAGCCGTAGCAGTAATCACCTTAAATGTGTCCAATTAAAAGGCAGAGGTTGTCATATATTGGATAAAATAGCAAGACCCAGCTATAGGCTGTCTATAAGAAACTCACTTTAAATATAAAGATAGAAACAGGTTAAAAGCAAGGGAAGGAAAAATATATACCATGGAATACTAATCAAAAGAAAGCTGAAGCGTCTTTATTAATAACAGATGAAGTGAACTTCAATGCAAATAATATCAGGGATAAAGAGTGTCATTTCTTGATGATAAAGGTGTCAAATTACCTAGAGGACACATCAATCCTAAATGTTTGCAAACCTGATAACAGAGGTTCAAAATTCGTGAAGGAAAACTGACAAAACTTCAAGGAGAAATAAACAACTTACAATTGAATTCACAGTACCTCTCTCTCAGTAATTGAGAGAACAAATAGAGAAAATTAGTAAGGATATAGAAGACTTGAACAACACTATCAACAAACTTAATCTAATTGGCATTAATAGAACATTCTACCCAGCACCAGCAGAATACACATTCTTTTCAAGGGCACACAGAACATTTACCAAGATAGATGATATCATGGGCTATATAAAACAAATCTCAAATTTTCAAAGGATTAAAGTCACACAAAGTATGCTCTCCAATTATGGTAGAATTAAGTTAGAAAGCAATAATAGAAAGATATCTAGAAAATACCCAGATATTTGGAAAGTAAACAACATAGTTCTAAATCATCCATGGTACAAAGACATCCAAAGGGAAATTAGGAAGTTTCTTGAACTGAATGACAATTAAAATGTAACATGAAAATTTGTGAAATGCTGCTAAAGCAGAAGTTAGGGGGAAATTGTACACAAATATTCAGAGCAGTTCTGTTTGTAATAGTTAAGAACTGGAGACAACATAAATGTTGATTAACAGAGTCATCAAGGGATAAACAAATTGTGGTGTATACATAGAAGGGAATACTACTCATATATAAAAAAGAATTTACTATTGGAACATACAACAATATGGATAAATCTCAAAATAATTATGCTGAGTGAAAGAAGCCAGAAAAAATGACGACAACATATGGTAGGTTTCCATTTATATAAAATTCCAGAAAATGTAAACCAATCTTTAGCGATGAAAAATAGCTCAGTGGTTTTCTAGGGACAGGGTTGGGTGAGCATTACCTTTGCAGGTCAGAATTACAAAGGGGCACAAGAAAACTTTTGGGGGTGATGAATAGCCATTATTTTGATTGTGGTAATAGTTTCACAGAAGCATAAAGATGTCAACACGTATCAAATTGTACACTTAAATATATTCAGTTTATTGTATGTCAATTGTACCGCAATAAGAATGCTAAAAATAAATCTTAGCTATTTTTAATATTTTGTCTCAGGCATAGCGCTAAGATAAGAACTGTTATACTTTTTTGGTGATATTTTACTTTTAAATAAGACATGAGAGTGATTCTATTAGTATTCCCTTTTTTGGAAAAAGGACACTTATGTATAGTAAAGTGACTAGTGTAATGTCATACTACATGCCAGTAGGTGACAGAGCCAGGATCTTATCCCAAGTCAATTATACTCCAGAAACCAGGCAATTGAGATCCGGGATGCAAATTTCCAATCTTATTTTGGTTGCTATATTTGAACCAAATCATAGTGACATTTGCACGGAGCCCTGGAAAGTAAAGAGACATCCTGGCAGAACTCTCTGTAGTGGGGGTGAGAGTAGAGGCTCTGTGTTCTTGGGGAGATAATTAAAATCCTGAATTGTGCCTCTGAATGAGAGACAGCAAACAGCCGTGTGTTACTCCATGGTGGTGGAGAAGGAGAGGTGCTGGTTCACAGACAGCGTCAGGTTCCACAGGGTCATGGAGCCAGCGCTTGGTGGAACTGGGATTGACTCCCAGTTCTGCCTCTCCAAAGCCTGTGTCCTGCCTTCACTCCTCCACCCACCCTAGTTTCATCTCTGCGCCTCCTTTACAACTTTGAGCTTTTCTGATTCTGAGAATTCTGAAGTAGGTAAGAACCTTCAAAGGAAGGGAAAAGGGACAAGATCCCTCCAGCAGGAGTGACCGACTCTTGAAGAGGCACAACGGAAATTAAACAGCAGACCCCCAACTTCACTCAGCTCTAACAGAGGAGGTTTTGACCGTAAGCAAGTTTCTTTAATTTCTCTGAGCCTCAGATTCCTTAGCTATAAAATGGGGCTACTTTCACTCAGGTGGTTCTGATGAGGCTCAGAGCAGGATGCAACTCACAGTCCAGTGACTCATACCGCAGTGGGGCAGCACCTCCTTCTTAGAGAACGAGAAGATTCAGAGGCTCTGCTTCTCTCTCTCTCCAGCCCCTGTCCCCCTAAACTTTCTCTAAGAACCACAGAAGAAAACATGCTTATCCCAGGGCTTTGGTCCTGAGAACGCAGGCAGATGGCACTGAATTAGCAGCCCGGCAGACCCAGGAGGTTCCAAACACGATCAGCTCAAACAGCCTGGATCTCCTCTCTTCCTCCAGCCTAGTGTGGGAACAGCCCTGGGTCAGTGCCCCTCCCCACTCTCCTCCTGACCAGGCATCAGGTCAGCCAGAGGCCTAGAGAGAGGCCTCAGAATCATGGGTCTCAGGAGGAGGCTCAGAGTGACAAGACATCGTCCATCACCATTGTGGAGGGTCAGACAGCTGTGCCGTCCAGGAGTTCACGCTACCCTTCACAGTGTGGGGCCAGTGCTGGGCAGGGGCTGCCCAACTAAGGATGATGTGGCCCAGCCCCCCTGCATCTAGGTGGGGCCACCATATAGCTCTGGCCAGTGGAATGTGGGTGGAAATGATATGGACCCCTCTGGTCGAGGTGGTTAATAATCTGTGCACCTGCTCCTCACTCACTTCCCCTTCCCTGGTGCCCCTGGAGGTCATGCATGTAGATGACATCATTCCAGGTCAAAGATCCTGGATCCCTGCATTACCACTTGGAGGAGGCACCCCCTGGAGGAAATGCCCCAGGCCAGCAGCAGCCACTTGGGCTTTGCCTAGGAGAGAAATAAACTCTTCCTGGGTGACGTCACTGGGATGTGGGGGCTGTTTGTTACATACCTCACCATCCTGACTGATACAGCCCAGCCCCATTCCTCGTCCCTCCATCCAGCAGTTATCAATGGGGCTCCTCTGTGTGCTAGACTCTGTGCTGAGGATGGGGACACAGCTGTGACTGAGATCTACCAGGTCCCTGCCATCACAGGGCTCTTGGCTGCAGTTGGGGGAACAGCCAAGTAAAATGAGCAAATGAACAACAAAATAATTCCATGCTGTGAAAAGGGCCAGGAAAGGAAGGGAAGGATGATGAGAAACAAATGCCAGATCTGGGGAGGTCATGGTGGGAGGGGAAAGGGACCTGGGAAGGGAGGCTTGAAAGTGTGGGAGGGAAAGAGGGAGCTGCAGGGTGGAGGCGGTTCCTGCAGAGAGGACAGAGGGGCAGCCCTGACCAAGCCTGGCCACACACTGCCAGCTTTATGAAAATTACTTTATCCTTACAACAATTGGGGGAACGGGGCTGTTATTGTCTTAGATTTATAGGGGAGGGAACTGTGGTCCCAGAGAGGTGAAGGGAAGGGGCCAAGTCACACAGCCAGGAAGGGTCAGGGTCAGGGTCAGGTTCAGAGGAAGAGCTTGGCGGCCTGACTTGACTGAACACCAAGATCCTTTGGGATGGCCTAGAAGGCCCCTCTAACCCCCAGGAATATGACCCTAAGGGCTGCAGGAAGCCTTTGGGGCCAGAAACATAGTCTAGGGGAATAGGGAGAACCCAGGGCCCGCCGGATCTGACCTGTGCTCTCCCCAGCTAGCTGTGTGACTCGGGCAATGCATATAACTTCTCTGGGCCTCAGCTTCCTCATCTATAAGGTGGGAAGCCGCACCACCACTCAGGGCTGGGGTGGGAGTGAGGGAGAGGAGGTGAGTCAGTGCCTCCAACCTCAGAGCCCAGGGCCTGGTTCTCTGCTGTTGCCTTCATCCCACAGGGGTTTACTGAGCTCGATGATGTACACGCTCTGTGTCCTGGGCTTCATGTCCCGGATCCCCCCAAGGCTGAGACACAGGAGGATTGTGCACTAGACGGAACACCACGGGAGCAGGGGCCCCATCTGTCCCCACCACTCTGTCTCTGGCACCTAGAATGGCAGTGCCTGTCATACTCCAGACACCTGCTACATATTTGTTGAGTGAACAGAATATTCCAATTTTATAGACAAGGAAGCTGAGTCCTGAGGAGTTCAAGGAATGCCTCAAGGCCAATGTCTCTCTTCCTGTCCTGGAGATGAGTCCTCGAGTGTCAGCACCCCCAGGAAAAGCCTTTTGTGCATGGATGACCTGGGAAACTCATTAAGGTGCAGATTCAGATTCTGGTCTGGGGTGGGGCCTGGCATTCTGCATTTCTGGCAAGTCTCCAGGTGATGCCCATGGGCCGGGCACCACCCCCTGAGCCCTGAGGAACCAGAACTCAGGACCTAGCCAGACTGACGCCATGCTGGGCAGTCAACCTTCACATTGAGCGTTGAGTGGGTGGGGCCATCCAGGAGGCTTCCTGGAAGTGGGTGGGGCCATCCAGGAGGCTTCCTGGAAGTCGGTGGGGCCAACCCAAATCCTCAGAGGTGGCCCTGATGGGGGAGGGAGACAGTGGGTTTCCAGGCGGGAGAGGTTGAGCGGCTCCTTCCGTGTTCCTTGTTCCCACGGCTGGTGAGGAGCGGAGGATGCTCACAGCAGCTCATATGGAGCCTCTGCTGGTCCCCGGGCTGAGATGCTGGGATTCTCCCTGCCTTCTGCTATCTGGAATGTGTCCAGCTCAGCATGAAGGGGACATGTAAGAAATGTTGTGCACCAGAAAGCTCTCAGTTCTACTCGGGGTGCAGAGTAATTTACTCCTGATTAAGTCAAATGTCATAGGTCACCCTGTGACCATTTTTACTACTGGATCTTTTCTGATGTCCTCACTCCCACAACCTATTAATCGCCAATTTTCTCCTCTGCCTCCAGTTCTAATTATGCATCTGAAGCAAGGCCATTTAGTCCCCACACCACCCCCCTTCCCTTTTTCCTTCTATCTACTAGTTGTGAGCTTCTGCTATGAGTCCTCAATGTCCTAGGCCCAGGGAAGCATCCTAGAGCTTCTTGTACTCAGGGAAGATGACAGGAGATGAAGACGTGATGACACCTGCCCTCAAGTGTCTGTTTTCCCTCATGGGACCCTGGAGATGGAGATGGGTAGGGGGTCAGCACAGGAATCGGCACCAATAAGGCAATGGTTTTGGTCACACTGCAGTCTCCCTCTGTTAGTGGACTTGTCTCCCCAAGATAGACCCCAGAGGGCAAGAATATTTCTCCAACAGCAGGTGCCCACCTCAGAGTCCTCACCTAATTGGTATCAGAAAATACTTGGCAAAGAAAGGCAAGCAGGAGGAAAAGGGAATTTGAGATTTAAAAGAATCACTGACTCAGCTTCCTCGGCCTACCTCTGGAAAGCTGATCTGTGTAGAGAATCGATGAGCCTTCCACCCACGCAGGCATCTGTCTCCCCAAATAGTCCCAGCTTCAGGGGCCCCACCTGCACACCAAGAATACTCCTTAGCAGCTGAGCTGATGTGTATTTTCACACCCAAGTGTTGTTTTGCTTCTGCAAGTTCATTATGGGAAAATGGGCTGTCAACCCAGGCTTCAGAGGCAGAACAGGAAAGAGAAATGGACTCATTTCCCCAATTGTGGACATAATGGGGGGATTCTTACTTACCTTCACAGGATGCTGCTCACATGGGGAATTTGCAAGAGAAATTTCAGGGCTTGTTGATTGTGCAGTTCTTGGGTGACTGATGAGACACTTTGCAGGGATTATCGGTGTGGCTGGTGGGGCTGACTGGCTGATGAAATGTGGTCTAACGGCCTCATCAGAGGCGCTTGTGAGACCATCGTTCCCCTCACAGCAGATGGGCAAGGGCTCAGCCATCCTCGCTCCCATCCAGGCACACCTGGGCCCCAAACCAAGTAAACAGGACATTCCTGGTCCACCTGGCCTGCCACCCACTACCTGGGAGCTGCCTCCCACCCGGGCCTGGACGCAGCTCCACTTGCTCTGGAGAGAGGGTCCTGGGAAGCCTGCCCCAAGAAGGCCAGAAATATCTCATGGAGAATTCCAGACCCAGAGGCCTAAAGATCTGGCAACAGCAAACTGCTTGCACTTCTCCTCCAGTGTCCTTCAGGGCTCAGCTTAGGCTCCCCCTCCCCCAGCAAGCCCTCCCTGATGCCTCCAGCCCATGCTGCCCTCTTCCATTCCTAACTCCTCCCCAAAGCTCTGCAGGGCAGTCTGGGGTGGGCAGGAGCATGGACCTTAGTGACAGAGGCTTGGGTTTGAGCCATCTCTGCCATCTTGAGCTGTGTGACCTTGGGTAAGATACTTGACTTCTCTGGGTCTCCATTTCCTCCATGTAAAATGTTATATTTGAGTTTATGAATGCATACATACATTCTGTGGTGGTAGAAATTAAGGTATGGTTTTGTTAAAGCCCAGTGGCCAGTGGGAATGTGAGGGATGACATTCCAGCCACTCTGTGTCCAGCTCCCCTCCTGAGAGACCTGCTCTCACGGTTCTCTGCAGAGTGCCTGGCCCTCCTGGGCATCCTGGGGCCCACCTGGTGACACATGTCCAGACATCCATCTCCCTAGCAGGATGTGGGGAATCCTGGGATCTCTGCTCCCCTGGAGAGATGCCAGGCAGCTCAGGAGGTGGAGCTATCTCTCAGGAAAGTGGAGAGAGCTGAGGTGCTGAGGAAGGAGAATGGCCGAGTCATTCACTTCTTTGTTCACTTAGCACCTCCTGTGCACCAGGCATGTGCTTCTCCAGGTGTGTGGGGCTGGGGAGCTATCATGCAGGAGTAGGACTCATTGAGTAGATAGACCTTAACTCAAACTGGCTTAGATAGGAAAAGAGTGTATTGGCTCAGAGAAGTCTTGGGGGCTGCTGGTTTCAGGCCTATCTTGACCTGGGGCTTAAGAAATTGCAATGGCTTTGTGTCAGGCAATGTTCCAGTACCAAGGAGAGAGTGGAGCAAAAGAGAAGATGCTCTCTCCCTTCCCAGGGCTCATATTCAGTGTGAGCAGGCTGCATGTGCACATACATACATGAACACACATGTACACACGTGCACACATGTGCTTGCACATGCACACACCTCCATTTTTCAGACTTTTATGTAGGTTTTATTCTCAGGCAGGCTCATTTCACGATAACCACTAGCAGCTCTGGTGTGTACTGACTTAGATACATCTAAATTTTCCAGAGAAACATGTCAGTTCTAATTCTGATTGGACCATCTTGGGTCATGTGCCCAGTTCTGAGCCAATCACTACAGCCAGACAGAGGATATTGCTGATCAGTCAGCCCTCAGATACATGCTCACCCTTGGAGCCAGATATACGTTCAGTGCCTGCCTCACTACCTGGATAAAGAATGGGGAGAGATGGGGTGGACGGAGAAGGAGGGCAATGCACAAAGTGGGTTTGATCCCTGGCTCTTGCTTGGCAGCTGGGCTGGGATGGCCAAACTCAACTGGACTTATGTGGGCACACTGAGGAACTTCCACAATCAGAAGGAGATGATGCACCTGCAATCTGGCACCACCTCTGCACTCTGACTACCTGGCTCAGGTGACCATACCTGCCTTCAGTCCACCCCAGCTGACCCGGCCTCCATCTGAGGGGTGAGGGTGGGCAGAGCTGTCCTGATGCTGCTGGGCCCACAGAGCAAGCGATGGCTCAGCTGCTCCCTGGCTGTGAGACCCAACTTCTCTGAGCCTCTGTATCCTCATCTATAAAATGGGAATGATTAAACTGACCTTGTAGCAGGAAGGGTTGTTGTGAAGGTAGTGACAACACCTGTGACTCTCCTGGCCTCGGGCTGGCATACAGTAGGCACTGACTGAGTACAGCTGTTGACAGCAGGTGCTCATGGAATGGCAGCCATTGCTGTGACTTCTCGTCTGGTGTTTTGCGGGTGGGTGGTGTGTGTTGCTGGCAGGCCTGCCTCTGCCATCTGACTATGACCTCTCAAGCATAGGAACGTGAGTGATCTTTTTGTCTCTGAGCCCAGGGTCCTGCACATGGCCTGGGACTCTGTGGGACTGGGTATTTATGAAGAAAAGAGGTTTAATTGACTTACAGTTCCACAGGCTGTACAGAAACATGGCTGGGGAGGCTTCAGGGAACTTAACAATCATGGCGGAAGGTGAAGGGGAAGCAGGCACGTCTTACCATGGTGGAGCAGAAGAGAGAGAGTGAAGGGGGAAGTGCCATACTTTTAAACCGTCAGATCTTGTGAGAACTCATTCACTATCACAAGAACAGCAAGGGGGATATCTGCCCCATGATGCAGTCACCTCCCACCAGGCCCCTCCTCCAATTCCACATGAGATTTGGATGGGAGCTAAATCCAAACCACATCACACTCCATGGTGGATCCGCTGAGTCATTGGAAACTGGCTTCCCAGAGGGCAAAGGACAGAGTGGGAGCTTCATGGTCATTGTCCAACAACAGCCAGGCCCTGAACCTCCCTCGAATGTCTATTCACAGTGCACAGATTTCTTGGCAGCAGAGGGAGTTATTTAAAGTCCCTGTGAAAACAGCTGAGCTTTGATGGAGCAGAACAGTTGTCACTGCTGGGGCCCCAGTGGTGCCTGAGAAGGACAGAAATATGCGGGCAGGATGTAATCTGTTACGGCTGTGCTCAGGATGTAAAGACAATGCCTGACCTTGGCGCTCACCCTGGGCAGGGATTTGTAAGCGCTGCTGTGACTGGGGACCTGGGGATCCTCATTCGTTTGTCTTCTCATCTCATTCTTAGAAGTGTGGTGGGAGCCAGGCTGCACATGGCAGATATGAGAGGAGGCGCCTTTTCAGCAGTATCAAAAATACACCTCACGGATGGCTGCTGGATTAATCAATCTAAGCGTCATAGACACCCCTGTGTGTTGGGCCCTCAGCCGCTGCTTTACAGAGAGCACTGAGAAGGAGGCTGGCACACAGTAGGTTCATGATACATGTTAGCTGCTAGTATCTCTACTGTTATTTGTATCCTCCCCCCATTCCTAGCACTACTGTCCAGGCTGTCTCCCCCTTCACCTTCCCGAGGATGTCCCATCAATGGGACTTCATTCCTTTTCATCAGGTCAGTTAATCCTAAACTCCATGGATTAGAGGAAGGGCTACATTTTTATCATCTGGGCATATCATCTGGGTTGAGTCACTCTGGGAACTAAAATATCCTCTGTCAGGTCAGTGGTGACCAGCATGAGGTTGTGTCTTTTTCGTTTCTGATTATGGTTCATAGTCTGGGTGGTGTTGTTTTATCCCATCTCACCTCCCACATAGAGATCCTCATTGATAGACCCTGGATCCTTTGTTTCCACATATCTGGGCCAAACTGTCCTGTATAGAATGGTAGAGTCTTGGACCATCAGAGCAGGGAGGAACTAGGCAGATCATTTGGTTCAACCCCTTGATGGTACAGTTAAGAAAATGAGGGCCCTGAGTGGGGACGTGACCTGCCTAAGGTCACACAGTGAGTTGGTAACAACAGGGACCTGGACTCCATCTCCTGACTCATATCCGATGCTCTGTCTGCCCTGCCTTACACAGTGAGGACTGGGGAGGAACATGATGAAATTAAGCCCATGGCCAGGCATGGTGGCTCATGCCTGTAATCCCAGCAATTTGGGAGGCCGAGGCGAGTGGATCACCTGAGGTCAGGAGTTTGAGACCAGCCTAGCCAACATGGTGAAACCCCATCTCTACTCAAAATACAAAAAATCAGCCAGGCATGGTGGTGGGAACCTGTAGTCCCAGCTACTGGAGAGGCTGAGGCAGGAGTATCGCTTGAACCCGGGAGGCGGAGGTTGCAGTGAGCCGAGATTGTGCCACTGCACTCCAGCCTTGGCAACAAGAGCAAAACTCCGTTTCAAAAAAAAAAAGAAAAGAAAAGAGATTAAGCCCGTGGAGCAAAGGCCTCCCTCGGGGACTTCTCAGATTCTGGAGGGGCCTGCGAATGAGGGTTTCCCCGGTGCTGACTGGGGCCCATGGATAGACTTCAACCTGAGGTCATGGCAGCCAATATCATCGGTCTGTATAATGTTGCCAATGGTTAACACCTTCCGAACGAGGGTTCCTTGATCCCAGTTTGGGAAATGCATTGAAAACTGGCTGTGATCCAGCAGTGAACTTTTGCAGAATTGGCTGGGCTTTCCTGAGCATCTGCACCCGGCGTTAGGAGGTGTGAGCCTGCACACGTGTCTGCTCCATTCCTCTGCCATCTGGGTAATATATCATCCTGCAGAGGCACTGCGATGTTGGAGCGCCACCCTTCTAATTCAGACACGCATTGGAATCCCTGGAGAACATACCAACACCAGCAGAAATACCACGGGCCCCCACATCCTGGGCTCATCAATTTGCCTTGTCAATTTGCGTTTCCCTGTTTCACGCATGGATGACATTGTCAATCCTGGGAGTAGGTTCTGGTGGCCTGAAGCACCCTAAGGAGAGTGAGTCTCATGGGTGGCCCCTGTCTGAGTGGGAGAGGATGGAGCCATTGTTCTTGGCTTTGGGGTCTGGGTTTGATGGCAAGTTAATATCACTGCCGAGAAGGTCTGGACCATCCTCTTGTTCCCCACAAGAATTGTCCCCACCTCTGAGACCAGGGTCATCTGGTCTTTGGGTGTTTCCCCTCAGTGGCTGCCCACTAGACTGGGTCCCTGACTGGGACCTTCCAGGCCACAGGAGGCATAGCCCTGCCACATCCCTATTGGTCACCCTCTGCAGCCACTTAGGTCCCCTTTCAGTGCTTCCAGTCCCTCTTATTCCATGATCCTCCCTTGCATAGGAAGCTCTATCTCTATTTCTATCCCTATGACCAGTCCCCCCCATATGAAGATGTCATCTTTTGGGAGCAGGAGCCTTTTCCACTCCACTCTCCACGGGGTGCCCCACGTAAAAGCAGCAGTGGGCATAGTAAGCACTAAATAAAGAAACGTTAGAAATCAGCATTGTCAGATTTTCTTTCTTTCTTTCTTTCTTTCTTTCTTTCTTTCTTTCTTTCTTTCTTTCTTTCTTTCTTTCTTTCTTTCTTTTTTTTTTTTGAGATGGAGTCTTGCTCTTGTCACCCAGGCTGGAGTGCAATGGCACAATCTCGGCTCACTGCAACCTCCACCTCCTGGGTTCGAGCGATTCTCCTGCCTCAGCCTCCTGAGTAGCTGGGATTGCAGGCGCCTGCCACCACGCCTGGCTAATTTTTGAATTTTTAGTAGAGATGGGGTTTTGTCATGTTGGCCAGGCTGGTCTCGAACTCCTGACCTCGTGATCTGCCCACCTTGGCCTCCCAAAGTGCTGGGATTACGGGCATGAACCACCACGCCTGGTCACATTGTCAGATTTTCTAAACTAACCTTTTTAAATGTGCAAAATGTCAACTCCCTAGTGAGACAAATCAATGATTTATTCACAGTTTTTTAAATAAAAGAAACAAAAAGCCATACCTTTAAGCAACATTTTTAAAAGACATTTTTAAACATTTCCTTAAGCCTGCATGTCTCTAAGTGAAATGGTTCAGTTCCTGATACTCAAGCGTGAGATACCCTTGGCAAGGAATTTGTGTGGGAGATGCGGAAAATGATTTTCCATCAACGACAAACTTGGGTACACGTAAATATTGGGCAAAACTGATCATTCTTCTGAGGAAAGGAAATGGAATGGCCTTGAGGACATGGCACCAAGATCTGAGATTCCTGAAAGCCATGGCAGGGCAGGAGACACACGAATAAAAGTGGCTGAGGCAGTCACCTCGGGTGTCAGGTTTACCCCCCGAAACAGGCCAGGGATCCAAAGTGAGGCCGAATCACTTTAGTCATAATTATTATTGCTATCATTATCATTATTATATTATTTTATCATTATATTATCTATTATAATTATATTGTATGATCATTATTGTAACTGACTTTCCTATGTGGCAGGCACAGTGCCAAGTCATCCATAAACATTGACAGTACAGAGTTTCATCCAACACAACAGCCTTACAAGGTAAGTCTCAAGAACAGCCTCATTTTGCAGATGAGCAAATAGGTACTGACAGGTTGAGTCATCCGTCCAGGTCCCATAGGCGTAAGTGGTGCCAACCCAGGTCCACTGGACCCCAGATTCCATGTTTCAGCCTCTGGGCTGCACCACCCTCAGAGCCTCAGTTTCCCCATCTGTAGGATGAGTGTAGGGCTGGGGGAAGGGAAACTTCTAGGTATAAGGGGGACGGAATGAAGAGGTGCTTGGAAGTGCTCATGAGACATCCCCTCCCTCTTAGACCCTGTGACCAACCAGCTCTCCCCCTGGCTGGGGACCCCCCAGAGCAAGGCTGCATTCTTGGCCTCTGGCGAGAATAATACCCGTCACACTCAGGCATCTTTTCCAGCCAGGAGCTGGTCGGGTCAATTTGTTCCTATCACCTCTAATCTCACAGCCACTGAAGGGGATGTCATTTGCCCATTGTGCAGATGGGAAAGTGGAGGCTTGGCCTAGGACCACCCCCAACCCACCCCAGCCTCGCTCCTCTTCTGAGACTCCCACCTTCCCAGGGGAGAGTGTGCAGTAATTCACTGTCACTGTGCATTATATTTTGCCACCCTCTTTCCCTCCTTCTCTTCTTTTTGGTTTTGTCTTTTCTACTTGCTATGCAGCTGACAATTTCATTACTTGATTTTTCATTTACCCCAGAAAAGCCAAGAGGTCTCGAACCTAAAGAACCAGGTCGATGTTCCACTTCAGGACTGGAGCAGGGAGAGCTGCTTTTGGACGGGCCTGCCCTCCATCTCCTGTCTCTGGACTTGGGAGGCCTGTCCCCTTCACCCTGTTTCAGACCCTGCAGGGTGAGTGGGTGGAGGGGTGGGAGAGCCCAACAGCCTGAGCTGCTGGCCAGGGGCCCTTGGGCACCTCTGCAAGTTCAAACCAGTGCAGCCCAGAGGAGCCTGGCTCCCTTATTCCTGCACATCTCAATTTTGCATTCTTCCTGACAGTTTAAAGGCTAAGAAAATCCCAGCAGTTGTGCGTCCCAGGCTGAGACCCTGCAGGGAGCATAGGCCCCCTGGCCCGCCGCAGGGGTGGTTTGCTGTCTCAGTTGTCCTGTCCCACTTCACACACAGGCTGTGTGCTTGCTCTGAGTTGTTGGGGCTACCTGAGTGCTCCCTGGATGGGAGGTGGTCCTGGGAGGGGCTGAATGGGGAGGAGAGCATCTCAGGCCCACTAAACAGGATGGTCTGTCCCCAGGAGCAGACCCAGAGGTGTCCACGTGGCTGACGTGGCTGGTGCTTCCTTCACACGGATTTTTTTTTGTGTGTGTGTGTGTGTGTGGAGTTTCGCTCTTGTTGTCCAGGTTGGAGTGCAATGGAGTGATCTCGGCTCACTGCAACCTCCGTCTCCTGGGTTCAAGCAATTCTCCTGTCTCAGTGTCATGAGTAGCTGGGATTAAGACATGTGTCACCACCCACACCTGGCTAATTTTTTTGTACTTTTACTACAGATGGGGTTTCGTCATGTTGGTCAGGCTGGTCTCGAATTCCCGACCTCGGGTGGTCTGCCCGCCTCGGCCTCCCAAAGTGCTGGGATTACAGGCGTGAGCCACTGTGCCCGGCCCACACTGCTTTCTCCATTCCAGTCTCGCCTCAGCCAGGCCACAGAGCCTTGGCCTGGGTCAAACTCACCCCTCACTGTGGCCAATTAGTTTTAACTTGTCATAAATTTTTTAACGAATTGCTGATCGATAAGAACTTGGCAGCTACTACTGAGCCTCAAAGTCAAGGGGTAAAAAGAATCTAAATGATGTCTGCCAGGTTGTTGTATTAACCTGGCTCCATGCTTATTGCCTGTTGTTTTGAGTTAATTACCTGGTGCCTAAGTGTATCACTTCTACATCTCAAGCACTGCTCTTACAATCAATTCATATTTAATTAACGCGACTCTGATTGAATGGCAATGGTGTTACGGTGTGCGACACAGAGGAGGAGCGTTTCCTGCACGCACAGCTGCAGGAAGGAGGAGCTGATGTGGATGAGGGGAGGGGGCACTCTTACAGCCTCTGAGCTCCCCCATTAACTCCCCAAGGTGACCTTGGCAGCCTGGAGTGGGGTCAGAGTTCCTGGGTTGCTGGGATCAGAGTTCCCAGACTGCTCCCTTCTAGTGGGGCCTGTGGTCTCAGGAATTACAAAACCTGAGTGGGAGATTTTCTAAAAAGGGGACAGTAATGCCAATTTCATGAGGCTGGTCATTCCTCCCTGAATGTGAGTCTTTGGACAGAAGCCAAACTCAGTGAATGTTGGTGGAAGGAAGGGGTGGGTGAACAGAGAGGGGAGGCAGGTCCTGAGGACAGAATCCTGTCCCCTCTCCCCTGCCCGACCCCCCTGCTAAGTGCTACGATGGAGGATGTGCCAGGTGCAGGGACAGGTGGGGTGGGGGCTGCCCATGGAGAACATGATGCCTGGCCTGGGTCTTGAAGTGTGAGTAGGAGTTTCCTGGATGGACAGGCAGGGGCAAGGGTGTTCCAGAGAGAAAGCACGGCATGAACAAAGGCCTGGAGGCAGGGACTGAATGTCACTGTTGCCCGGAAATAACCAGAGCACCAGAGAAAAGAGAATGAGGGGTCGGGTGAGGTGGCTCACGCCTGTAATCCCGGCAGGCTGGGAGGCTGAGGCAGGTGGATCGCTTGAGGTCAAGAGTTTGAAATCAGCCTGGCCAACATGGTGAAACCCCGTCTCTACTAAAAATAAAAAAAAAAAAAATTAGCCGGGCGTGGTGGCGCATGCCTGTAATCTGAGCTACTCAGGAGGCTGAGGCAGGAGAATCGCTTGAACCCAGCAGTTGGAGGTTGCAGTGAGCCGAGATTGTGCCACTGTACTCCAGCCTGGGTGACAGAGTGAGACTCCGTCTCAAAAAAAAAAAAAAAAAAAAAAACAAAAAACAGAATGAGGGCCAGATGGAGGGAGCCAGTACTGAAAGTGTCAACATCTAATCACCCCCGCCAAGGGTTGTTGGAAAAATTTAAATGTAATATAGAAGTTCACTTACCTTGGAGTCAACTGATTGTAAATCCTGCCTCCTCATTTTTTGCCTCTGTGATATTGGGTTAGTCACTTAACTTCCTCGTGCCTCAGTTTCCTCATCTGTGGGTGGGGATAATGACAGCACCCCCTCACTGGGCTGGGGCGAGGACTAACCCCTGTGCAGCGTTTCCAGCAGTGCCTGGCTGCCCACAAGTGTCATGAGGGCTGTTGCTGGGATGAATGCTCATGAGGTGCCTGATGCCTGGTGTTTTCCTCCCATCCTTGGAACCACCAGGCAGGTGGGTGGATAGGACTGTGGATCATGTTGAAGAAGCTGAGCCCCAGGGAGGTGACGTGGCTTCTTCAAGGTCATATGGCTGAGCTGCTGAGTGGGGGAGCCAAGATCTGGTCTATCTATGTGACTTTGGAGCCCAGCCAGTGCCCAGTGCAGTGTGTGACCCGTGGCAAGGCTGCCCTGCTCCCTCTGACCCCACTGGGGAAGCTTCTATAGCCCCAGCGCTGAGTGAGCCCAGGCGAGAGTTCACGCTGAGGGCCCCGGATACTGGGTGGAAAACAGCCCCACCTGCAACCACACTGCTGACAGATGCTCTCCCTCTCCCCACCCACTCAGTCCCTCAGCCTCGGCACACAAAGGCCCCTTCTCCATCCCTCCAGCAGGAGACAGCAGCCCCTCCTCAAATGGAACAGAGCCCCAGTTACCAGCTCCTCCTTGTAATTAATATAAGAATAGCATTTCTGTTGAAATCCCTGCCTGGATTAACTGGCTGGAGGATTTAACTCATGTACACACAGAAGATCTCCACAGACCTGTCTTCTAATATTTATTCTGGTGACTGTTACATGCAGATAAGGTGAGTGCCTGGCGCTGGAAATGCAGAATAAATTTACATTCTCTAAGTGACAAAGAGCTGCATAGACATCCTGTTATGGGCCTGGCTGGGGGCCCAGGAAGAGGGAAAGCCAGCTCCTGGCCCTTGGCAGCTTCTGTGTGGTGCTTCTCCAGCAGCAAAGGCTTGTGCGTGAGAATCTCAGCACCTGAGAACCCCATGGTTCTCGGCTACCAGAATCTTACATCTCCAAGTCTTAAGGTCTTCAGTCAATAAAATCTTAGAACCAGGAAATAATAAGTCAGAATCATAGGCTTTTAGGATTTGGAGATCTTAACCATCATTCAGCCCAGACACCCAACTGGCATTCCAGTCCCATTCACAATATTCCGAGGAGTGCATTTCCAGGTTTCTGGTCTGCTCCAGTGTCTCCTCCTCCGGGAAGTCTTTTCTGACTCCCCAGCCAGATCAGCGCCCCCATTATAGGCCCTGATAGCTCCATCTGCTTTGTTTGATAAGACCTACCATGAGTGTCACTTAAAACTTGATCTGCACTCCCACTGTGAACCCTCACAGGTAGGGGAGGGTCTGCTTTTGTCCACCAAGAAATCCCAGGCACAGGGGCTGGCACATAGTAGATGCTCAGTGAACGTATTCCACAAGGCTACGCTGCACGCACTCCCAGCTGCAATGGATCTGCCCCAGAAGGCTGGATTAGTGCCAGTCTTACCTCTGGGTGCCTGGGTCTTCATGGTGGCTCTTTAAGGTGGAGGGCATGCAGAATCAGTGATGAGCCCTCTTCCTACCCTTTGTGCATTTTTGTCTTCTGAGGAGGAGTGGGTCAGAGGCACTTCCTGGAGGAGAGAACAGGACCAGGACCCATTCTGGGTGTTCAGAGAAGCTCTGTGGAGCCAGATGCCTGCATGTGAACCCTGGCTCTTCCAGTCCCTAGCCGAGTAGCCTTGGACAAGATACTTGATCCTTTCTGTGCCTCAGTTTCCCCATCTATAAAATGGGGATGGTGAGAGCTCCTATGTTATAATAAATGAACTAACAGATGTAAAGCTCACAGCTCAGCACCTAGTACAGTAAGTGCTCAAATCTTTGTGTCACAGGTTCATGGTCACCTGAGAGCATTCCCCAAGGCAGGCGGGGGCAACACGAAACAACCAAGTAGGTGATCCAACTGGTTGGCATCCTTCTCTGCCCTCAGCCACCCCAGTGTTGGCATGATGGGGGTGGAGGCTGTGCACAGGCACAGCTGCCCTCAGCCACCTCAGTGTTGGCATGATGGGGGTGGAGGCTGTGCACGGGCACAGCAGCATGGCTCCTGCTTTTCCAGGCTGATCTCCCGCTGCTGCTTCTGGAAACCAACATGCCAGCAGCGGAACCATGGCTAAGTCCCTGCGATGGCACCAGGCCTCACGGAGGCCAACTGACAAGTCAACTCCATTACACTGGGCTCTTCCACGTGGAAGGCACAGCAGTCTAATCTCAGAGGAACAACCATCCATTCCTGGGAGGGGTTTGTCTTTCCTGCCTGCAGGGTCTCAGCCGGCACTCCTACCCCGGGGTTGATGGATTGTTCGATCCACTGGCACAGGATCCCACATAATAGTGTGTCAGACCAGGGGACCCACTTTACTGTAGAGTAGGTGCAGGCACAGACTCACAACGAAGGGCCCATGTTTATATCACATACCATACCACCCAGCCGCTGCCCACCTTACAGAGTGTGGGAGGGGCCTGCTGAGGGCCCAGCCAGAGCGCCAGCTTGGAGGAAATACCCTGTGAGCACAAGGTTCCATCCTTCAGGATGCAGTATATGCATCTAATCAAAGCCCTATATAAGGGTTGCTCCCCAATAAGAAGAGTACATGGACTTAAGAAAAACAGGTAGGAGCCAAAGTGGCCCCACTTACTATTCTCCTAGTGAACCACTGCCAGACTTAGTGACTCCCATCCCTGCGACTCTGGGCTCTGCAAGGCTGGACATCCTGGTCCCCAAGGGGGACCTGCATGTTCCAGGGAACACAGTAAGAGTCTCTAGCTTGTTTGCCATGGTGGCTGCCTGGGTATTTGGGCTCCTTGTACCCAGGGACTAGAAAAGCAAGAAGACGAGGTCGCAGTCTTGGTGAGGGTAATGGAGTCTGATCAGCAGGAGGTGGGGGGCTGCTGCAGTGCAGTGGGGGCAGGGAGGAATGTGTGCAGAACCTGGTGATCCCTAAGAGTTCCCTGCATGGAGAAATGAATGTGAGCAGCACCAGGGGAGTGCTGTGACAGATGAGGAGGGGCCCACTTGGATGCCCTGACAGTTTATCCTTCCTATCCCGCTCTTGTGCTCGAAAGAGTAGGGACCTACTCACTCTCTTGCACTTGAACTTTTAGCCTGTGTGAGTAGTAGACAAGGAGACGCACACCCAGAGGCACCATCAAGGAAAGGCTTGCTCCCAGCTCCGAGAGTGCAGTCCACAGAGGGCCTCCTTCTGTTAGCTCTGCTGCAGGGGCTCCCTTCCTGGGAGCACACACTCAGGGGCTGAGCAAGACAGGGTGGAAATGCCCAGCCAGTTTTGCCCTGCGCTGGGCAATTCTGACAGCTGACTCAAGCTACTTACCTTCTGGCTGTGGACCAGGCTGACTTCCTCCCCTCTGGCCCCTCCTTCCTTCCTTTCCCCTTTCTGTCCATCCCTAATAAGCATCTCCACTCATGTCCCCAACTCCATCTCAGTGTCTGCATCTCAAGAAGCCCTTGTGACCCAGGGAACCCAGTGACTTTGTATCAGTCAAACGCGAGTTGGAGTCCAATGGCCATGACTTAACTAGCTGGGTAACTTCAAGTGGTAAACATCTTACCTGTCTGTGCCTCACTTTCCTCATCTATAAAGTGGGGCTAATAAATCTCCTGGCCTTGCAGAGATGTGGAGAATGGATAGGAAAATGCTTTGTAAAGGAGAACACACACGCACACACACACACACACACACACACACAAAATTAATTAAAGTCCTCTCTGCTTGCACCTATGCCTATGGTGTAGGCTGAGATCTATAATAACGGGGGCCTGGCTGGATCTGAGATCCTTCTGGGAAAGAGGTCTGGGCAGCTTGATGCCGGTGACCAACACACCGGCATGCCCACAGTATAGCTGCCATTTCGGGACCCCACAGAAGGGAGGTGCAGGCGGTGCAGAGGGCTGGCTGGGCAGGGCAGGATGAGCTGGGGTGAGAATGGTAAGTGTGGCGGAATTAATCCCTTCTCTCCTCCTCCTTCCAGGAAGCTTCACTCCTCTGCTCAGCTGCTGCACCACATTTCGGATCAGAACATCTAGATCCATCAAAACAAGAGGTGGATGAGATATCTGCACATTCAGGGAGGGGAGGATAAAATCCAGGGGGCCTCATGAGATTGCTCTCCACGTGCGAGTGAGCAGACAGGCGGTGTATTTCCTGATTGCCCCAGGCTAGGTGAGGAGTGGCTCAGGCAGCCCAGGCTGGGCAGGGACACTAGAGACTGATGCATTAAAGAAAAATTTATCAAAAAATCAGGGAAGAAGCTAGTTTCTCTTTACCCCCTCTATTTAAGGACCCCTTGAGTGATAGTTCCCGGATCCTCCTGCGCTGGTGTTTGTCTTTCGCTGAAGGTGATGGATGTGTAAGCTGCACTAATGAGCAGGGCTTGGGCCATCAGACAGTCACAGGGCCGTCCAGCTCCATGCACCTCCCAGGCCGTGAGACAGTCACAGAGTTGTCCATCTCCACGCATCTTCCAGGTTCTGAGACAGTCACGGGGCCGTCCATCTCCACGCACCTCCCAGGTTGTGAGACAGTCACGGGGCCATCCATCTCCACGCACCTCCCAGGTTGTGAGACAGTCACGGGGCTGTCCATCTCCATGCACCTCCCAGCTGTCAGCATGGTCCACCGGGGAAATATGTGATTAATGCAGAGGATTATGTGTGTGTTGGGGTGGAGGGAGATGTAGCCCAATGGAGAGGAAAGGCATGGACCAGCTTGGGGGTGGGAGATGGGGGTCAGGGGGATCTGGACCTCAGTTAGTCAGGACAATTGAGAGAGTCTCAGTAGGCTCCCAAGAGATAGTGAATGAATTCTCCAGGGGCTGGGGGCAGTGGGTCAGTCCAAGACCCTGCCTGCCCCTCTCCTCAGCCTTAAAGGTTCACAGTAGAGAGAGGAGTCTTCCAGACCTGAGTTCAAATCTTAGCTTGGACTCAGCTTTGTGACATTGGACTTGTCAATGAACTTCTCTGTGCCTCCTTTTCTTCCATGTATGTCCATTTAGCATTAAAAGAACTAACGAATGCGTGGCAAGCCCTTTGCACAATAGTTGACACAAAGCCAGGGCTCAACCAACAGCTTTTCTGTCTCCTTATTGCTGTTGTCAGTAGGATTATCTAGCTTTTCTATAGGCATGTATTGTAGATGTTTATATACGATATATTTTGTCATTGAGATCTTACTGTATTCACCTGTCTCTCTCTTTTTTTTTTTTTTTTTTTTTGCTTACCATTCTGTTGTGAGCATTTTCTCACATCATTAAAAAGTTCCTCAAAAACGGGATGTTAATAGCTTCATAATGGTCCCTCATTGAGATGCTTCATAATTGACTTTTTCATTCTTTCTGGTTGGATAGACAGGGCATTACAGTTTCCAGCTTTTCACTGTTATTATCAGGCTGCAATAAGCATCTCTAGGACAAATTCCTGGAGGTGGAATCAGTGCATCAGAGCACTGACATTGCTGAGGCTCAAGAGCGTTCCTACTTAGTTGTCTTCCAAAAAGGTTTCCAGCACTGCATGAGAATGCCTGTCTCACCACACATTTACCAGCTCAATTGTTCCCTTTTTATTTAGTCTTCATGAATTTCTCAGGCCCCAAATTGAATTTCATCGTCTTTTGGAGGCACAGAGCTCTGGCCCATGGCTCTTGTTTCCCAGCAGGGTGATAATTAGATTATCTTCAGAGGCTTCCAGCAAACCTCATGATGAAAGGCAGGGCAGCCCTGGGCATGGAGTCAAAGAAGCTGGGTTCCCATCCCAACTCTGTGCTCTCTCACTGTGTGACCTGGGTATATTCTATCTCCCTCTCTGGGCCTTTGTTTATCAATCTACTCCAACAGCCTCCCACTTGGTCTCTCTGCCTCCAATGCATCCAATGTCTGGAACAGTGACTGGCATATAATACGTGCTCAACAAATATTTATTGAATTCTGAAATGAAAAAGTGACCTTTCTACAGGAAGAAGCTGCCACATCATTATGCTGCCTCCAACATTTGCTTAAGCTTCCTAACATTCTGTTTACTTTTTTGGTTCTCGCATGAATTTCTGTTTCTACTTAGGATATGAAAAGACACATGAGACAAAATGAGAAAAAAGGCCAGATAATCTACAGAGTCATAACTTTTCTTGAGCCCTTCAGAGAGCTGGAGTCGCAAGGCAGCCAACTGAACTGAAACCTAAAGGATGACAAGATCTTCTGAGAAAGACAGAACCACCCACTCCTGCACCTCTGGCAGAACCCTGGAGGGAGAGTGGGCTGCCATAACAGACAGCTAACACTGCAATGAATTCTTAAAGGCTGAGTGTGCAAAGGCTTTACAGCTGAGCCATCCCAGGAGCCCCCACACTTAAAAGGAGTTCACGTTCCTTCATCAGCTGCTTCCGGTAAAGCTCAGGACAAAGACGGGACAGGACAGGGATCTGAGTCAGCCACCTCTCAAGGGCACAGGGACATGAAAACCCTCCCACTTCCCAGACCCTTCTCTTATCGGAAGCAAAAGCCTCAAACCACTTCCCTGGGGCAGGAAAAACCTTCTACCCTGGAGGCTCAGACAAAGATCTGTTGTCTCTGGGGGAGGGGCTGGAGCAAAAGCCGTTTTCTGCTGGGGAAGGGGTAGGAAACCCTTCCACCTTGGTTCCTGGTTGAGACGTAGAAGTTGAGATCTTTGTTCTCAAAGAGGTCTGGAGAGATGCCTGCAGCCTCTCACTGGAGGACCAGCCGTGCTGCTCTTGCACACAATGTCACCAACGAGCTGGTCTCCGGGGGTCCTCAAGAGCCCTTCAATGGCCAAAGTAGGGGGCAGGCTGGGCTCTCAGGAGGATGTTGGGCCGTAGGAGAGGGTGGGCCAAGGGAAGGAGGCCATCAGAGAACAGCCTTGTATGGGCGGGGCCGGTCCCCATTGTGGGGAGGGCCATCCCCACTGGTGAGTGGGGCCATCCTGGAGCAACGAATTAACTATTTTAGAGGTAGAAATGGGGTCACAGAGTCCAGTCAGGTGTGAGTCCACTGGAGAGGCCCTGGACCTACTGTGAAGCTAGGGCAGGGGGCAGCTGTAATGCCAGAGACTCTGTTGCTCAGAGCTGGGAAGCTGGGGCCTAACAATGCAAAGACCCCACCCATCCCCAGCTGTGCCCACCCGGGGCCTTTGCCCTCCCAGCCCTCCTGCTGGGGCCTCCCCTCCCCCCTCCGGCGTTACAGCTCCCACGACACCAGGTGGCACCCTTGGCACAGCTGCGCCTCATCACCTGGAGCTTCCCTGTCCTGTCTCTCCTGCTGGAGCTGAGCTCCACGGGGACAGGGATGGGTCTGCTTCCGTCATCGCTGTGTCCCTGGAGAAGGGTGGGCATTCAGTGGGCACTTGGTACATTTGGTGAAGGAACAGGGCAGGACTAACTTTTACTGTGGGGGAGAGATAAAGGAGAGGAGGTATCTCTTGGCTTCCCAGTCTGGGACCCTGGTGGGGATGGCAGGACGTTTCTGGGATAGGAAACCCCAGGGAGGAGCGGGCTTGAGGGATGGATGGGGAGCTCTGAGGGCCCTGGGCCCAGCCAGCAAGAGCCAGGCTTTGGTGTTCTCCCATCTCCCTCCCCCTTGACAGCTTATGGCCACACTTTGCCCCAGTGGGTGGGATGGATGCCTCTCCCGCATCGTCATTTTCTAGCGGTAGTTTGAGAAGTTCTTGCTTTCCCCTCATCTGAGGGCTGCTAAAGACCCAGACACATCCACCAGGCACCTGGACGGAAAAGGCAAGGGGAGGAGAAGGAAAGTGAGGAAGGAAATCAGTTTTCTGTATCTGGTTTAGATCTAGATTTTTAAATGTGAAAGCTGGGAGAACCTAATGATGGGCTGGAATTGGGCTTCCTCCGGGGGAAGCTGGCTTGGCGTTTTCCTGCAGCATCCCTGTCTGCAGCACCATTCCTCACTCCAGCTCTTAATTCTCCCTTCTCCTTTACAATTGACAATTATTTCCTGGGCACAGTCCCCAGACACGGCTGGGAGGCTGGAGACGCCATCTGCAGTCGAGGTGCCAGGTGACCCCCTCGGGCTGGGCTTTGCTGAGGCCAGAGGAAGAGGGGAGGAAGATGCACAGGACTGCGAGCTACCGAGGGAGACAGGCTCCATCCTAGCCCTCACTCTGGGTTGGCACAGAAGTGTGCTGAGGGCAATTTCTGTTTCCTCCATGCTCTCTGGTGATTGTCAACTCAAGAAATCACCGTGGGGCTCTGATGAGAATCCCACAGATGGGGTGATGAAGGTCTGCTGTGTGATCTTGTGCAAGCCTCAGTTTCCCCATTTGAACAGTGAAGTCGTTGGTGTAGCTCCGTGGTTTTCAACCCCAGCTGCAGAGATTTCCTCTTCCAGTCAGGATGGAGTGACAGGGATTGGATTCACGCTTCCTCCCGAGGTGATGAAAAACAGACAAAATCGGTGAAAACAGTGGTTTCCAAGACACTGGGCATGAGGCAATGAAGGAGAGATGAGAAGCAAGTGAAAGGAGGCTTGCAACTTCCCTGGCTTACGGCCCTGAGAGCACTTCCAGGTCGTGAGGTGGGGAAGAAGGACCCAGCGGAACCCAGGGAGGTCCTGGAGCTGAGGAGATGGAGCTGAGATTGCAGAAGATCAGGGTGGCTGGATCTTGCACACGCAGTGCCAGAGCGGAGAGAGCCGCATAGAGAGAGAGCGAGAATGCTGGAGAGTACGCAGGAGGGTCTTGCCTCCACCTGGGGAAAAAGGAATTCTAGACTGAGAGGTGCCCTGGTCTCACCTTAAAAAAACCTTAAAAGCAAGACCCAAAAGGATCCCACTGTTTTCAGGCAACTTAACTGCATTACAGAACTGCTGGGGTTTAAATGTGTCCCCCAAAGCTCACATGTAGGAAACATCATTCCCAGTGTGGCCGTGCTGAGAGGTGGGGCTTTTAAGAGTTCAGTTGGGCATGAGGCTTTCTGCTTCATGAATGGATTAATGCCAGTTATAAAGGGCTTGGGGCTGCGAGTTCGATCTCTTGCTCTCCCTCTCATCCTTTCTCACCTTCTCGCTTTCTGCCATGGGATGATGCAGTAAGGAGGCCCCCTGAAGATGTGGCTCGTTGACTTTGGAATTTCCAGCCTCCAGAACTGTAAGAAATAAATCTCTGTTTGTTATAAATTGCCCAGTCTCAGGTATTCTGTTACAGCAGCGCAAAATGTACTATGACAAGAACAAAGCTCGGGAATATAGAGAAAAAAAAAACCCCAGCACTCAACAAGGTAAAATTCACAATGTCTGGCAAAGACAGCTGGAGTGGCTATAGTCATATCAGATGAAGTAGGTTTCAGAGCAAACAATATTACCAGAGATAAAGAAGGCCATCATGTCAATTCATCAAGAGAAGATAACAATCCTAAACGTTTACGCACCTAATAACAGCACTTCAAAATATACGACACAAAAACTGATAGGACTGCAAGGAGAAACAGACAAATCCACAGTTGTAGTCAGAGATTTCAACACCCCTCTCTCAGTAATTGGTAAACAAGTAGATAGAAAGTCATAAAGGATAGAGAGGACTTGATCCACACTATCAACCAACTTGACCTAATTGACATTTACAGGACGCTCCACCCTGCAATAGCAAAGTATACATTCTTTTCAGGTGCATATCTAAATAGGCCAAGATAGACCATGCTCTGGGTTATAAAACAAATCTCAATAAATGTAAGGAGTCAAGTCATACAAAGTATGCTCTCTGACCACAACAGAATTAAATTAGAAATTAGTAACAGAAAGATCTCTGAAAGATCTCCAAATATTTTGAAACCAAATAGTATACTTCTAAATAACCCATGTGCTAAAATAAGAAATCAAAAGAGGAAGTAGAAAGTATATATATATATTTTTAACTGAAAAAGAAAACACAGCATATCAAAATTTGTAGGATGCTGCAAAGCAGTTCTTAGGGGAAATTTATGGTATTAAATGCTTGCATTAGAAAAGAAGAAAGGTCTGAAATCAATGACCTCAGCTTCCACCTTAAGAAACTAGAAACAGAAGAACAAATTAAATCTGATGTAGGTAGCAGAAAAGAAAAAAGTAACAGAGTAGAAATCAGTGGAGAAGAGCAATAGAGGAAATCAATGAAACCAAAGCTGGCTCTTTGGGAAGATCAATAAAATTGATAAACCTGTAGCCACACTGATCAGGGAATAGAAAAGAAAACACAAGTTACCAATATCGGGTATGAGAGAGGTGGCATCACAGATTCTACATGCTTTATTTGGAATTCTTCTGCAAGGGAATCTATCTGCCCTCCACCTCTATCTATCTATCTATCTATCTATCTATCTATCTATCTATCTATCTATCATCTATTATCTAATCATTTTAGTATGAATTCATGTATATTTATTTGATACTGTGGTTATAATTCAATACCAGTTTTCTTTTTTTGCTCGAATTCTTCCAGCTTTGGCTCTTGAGAACACTTTCAACTGGTTCCTGTATTCCTTTGATATACCCCCATCATTGTGAATTGTTTTTTTCTTTTTGAATACATCCTTATTTTCTGGCACTAAAAGGTGTGCCAGGCCCATCTTGTTTATTTCCTGCCCAGTCCTAGCATCAGCCATTTTTCTTATTGGAGAAAGATATTAGAAACCAAGATTTGGGCATTAACTGTGCTCATTGCTATGGGGGTGTCATTGCTTCTAAGCCCTCTCAGCTAACAGAGCAAGGAAATATACTTCTGTACACTAACGCATGCATACATATACAGTATTTATTTTCATACATATACAGTATTTATAAATAAATATAAATATGCATATATATATAAACATCTGATGCATATTCAGTTACACGAGTTCATACTGAAGTCTCCAACTCTGATCCATTACCACATGGATCATTCTAGCTGCCGCCTCTTGTTTGCCTGTAACCTCCCACTTTGCTATGAGAATCTTGGCTCCCACCATCTGCCATCCTTGCACTTAATTGTTCACTCTTAGTCTACATGTATCGTGATTTCAGAATTGTTTCCCCCTGGGAAATGACTTATTAACTAAAGCACAGTGCTTATGTGCAGTTCTTAGTGATATAGGCTCCACTCATTTTCAGAGTTACACAGGTCAGCACCTGTTATCTCTCCTTCCTCAGTGATGTTGTTTCGTGCATTTGTGATACAATTAGATTCTATTGTGTCTGCATCACATCCTGGGATTCTTCTGACCTTCTAAATGATTTTTTAAAAATTTGCATTGAGTGTGTTATGGTTCATGTCAAGGTTCACTCTGCTGTAAAATTCTATGGATTTTGACAAATACATAGTACCATTTATCCACCATTATAGTATTATACATAATAGTTCCACTACTCTACAAAATTACTGTACTTCACTTCAACCTTTCCCACTTCTCAAACCCCTGGCAATGACTGATCTGTTGATTAGCTTTGTAATTTTTCCCTTTTTCCCCAGAATGTCATAGAAATATAACCTTTTCAAATGGGCTTCTTTCCCGAAGGAACAGGCATTTAGATTCACCCACCTTTTTGCATGACTTGACTGCTCATCTCTTTTTGTTACTGAATAATACTTCATTGTATGGATGTACCACAGTTTATTTCTCCTTTCACCTATTGAAGGATACCTTGCTTGCTTTCAGCTCTCAGCAATTATGAATAAAGCTTCTATAAGCATTCACATGCAGGTTCTTATGTGTTCGTAAGTTTTCAAATCAGTTGTGTAAATACCTGGGAGTGTGATTGCTGGATCGTATGGTAAGGCTATGTTTAGCTTCGTAAGAAACTTCCAATTGTCTTCCAAGTGGCTGTGCCACTTTGTATTCACACCAGCAACGAATGAGAGTTCCTGTTGCTCCATATTCTCTCCAACAGATCGTATTGTTTGGGGTGGCACATTTTAAAAAAATGTGGATACCTGGGCTCCATTCCCAGAGATTCTGACTCCATCAGCCAGAGGTAGGGCCCAGGCACAGCTGAGTTCACATAACCAGCGTCCCAGTGACAGTTACTAACAGTGACTGGGCCCCAGTGTGAGCACCAGGTGAGCACTTTGGAATCACTGGTCCCATACATCCTCCTACATCCCCAGGCAGCAGGTACAGTGACCGTCCTCAGTCCCCAGAGGAGAAGCTCAGAGAGGTGCAGGCACTTGCCCAGGGTCACACAGCCTGGTGAGAGGCTGACTGGGGATTGGAGCCCAGGGCTGTCAGACTCCTAAAATCATTTAGGAGGTCAGGGGAATCTCAAGATGTGATGCAGACTATGACAAAAGACTCTAACTGTATTATTTTTATTGCTGAAAAGTCCCCAGAGATTCTGATGCATAATCAGGCATGGGAACCACTGAGCTACACTAACCAGCTCACCGTACAGATGGAGAAATTGATGACTTGGGGGCCTCGGTGGGGCTGATCTTTAAGGCCCTTCCAGCTGACAGTCTGAGACACTGAGTGACATCCTGGTTAAGAGCTAGGACTCTGGAGTCTGGCAGCCTTGGGCTCCAGTCCCCAGTCAGCCTCTCACCAGCTGTGTGACCTTGGGAAAATGCCTACAACTCTCTGAGCTTCTCCTCTGGGGACTGAGGACTGTCACGGTACCTGCTGCCTAGGGATGTGGGAGGATGTATGGGACCAGTGACTCCAAATTGCTCACCCAGTGCTCACACTAGGGCCCAGTCACTGTCAGCAACTGTCACTGGGACCCTGATTACGTGGACTCAGCTGTACCTGAGAGTCCCATCCTGGAAGACCGTGCTCTGCAGGACCACAGGGACTCCCCCTGCCCACCCTCCCACTTGCTGTTCCCACTTCCTCTCCTCCCCAGGATTGCAGGGGGCTGCAGTGGCTCCATCTGCTCCTCCCCCTCCCATCCCTTTTCTTCTCTCACTTAACAAACAGCTTCACTTAAAAAGCCATCTGGGAGGATGGATGGCACAAGGCACATTTTGCAGAATAAGTTTCCAGGGAGAAAAGCCAAGAAATTAAAGGTACAGCACTTACTATTCCAATCTCATTAGGCCCCATAACTCTGACTGCTGGAGCATTGTATTTCTGAATTATAAATGCATCCCTCACCCCCATCGCCTGATGTTCTGGGCTTTGTTCTTATTTGTCTTCCAGTGGGCCTGCTCCCAATGTCTCCAGTTGGCTTCCCTCCCTTGGGATAAACTCCCTCATATTTCAGGGATGGGCTACATCTGGGGCTTTCCTCATCCAACACTCCTCTTCTGTGTAGTTGCTGCCCCACTTCAGGTAGCTGCTCCCTCTCCCTACAGGAGTCCTGGGTGAAGTTTCCTAGGGCAGATTTGGGGCCGACGGGTGGATGTCCTGAGAAGAAGAACTGTGCTCCAAGTTGGGATGGATAGGTGCCCCTGGGGAGGGTAATGAGCTCCCCGTCACTGGAGGTGTGCACAGAGGATGGGTGAGCACTCAGCAGAGAGGGCTTGCAGAAGGCAAACAGCAGAGAGGCTGAGAGCATGGGCTTCGGAGGCCCAGAGTTCTGGGCCAAGTCCTGGCCACTCTGCCTACAAGGTGTCTGACCTTCTGCAACCCACTTACCCTCACTGAGTCGTGGTGTCTTCATCTGGAAAATCAGGCAAAATAATAATTGCTACTTCCCAGGGTTGTCATGGAGACAAAAGGACATAATGTGTGCAAAGCGCTGAGCACAGGGTACATATTATCATACCCAGGAGGAGGAGGGGCTGGGTGTGACACCCTTGAGCAATCTAACATGCAAAATTGCTGTCGTTTTAAAAACTGAAGACTCTGAGATCCAATGATTCAATTATCCTAAGATTATAAGATTCCCTAAGATTCTAAGGCTTTAAGAAATGATGATTTTGTTATTCTCATCTAAGGCTCCTCGGAATTCTAATGCTGTGTGATTTCATGATTCACATTCTAAACCCATCCCTCCATCAGTGAAGCTTGTCCCAGCCATGAGTGACATTTATCTCTGTCCCTCTTTCCACTTCAAACCTTACGTCTCTGTCCCCCACAGGCCCTTGCTACTTCTCTTGGGTTCTCTTTTTCTGATTCCAGCCTTATCTGCTGCACCCTTTGTTCCAAGCACACCAGGACCTTTCAGCATTTCTGACTTGTGCCCTGCACACACCCTCAGCTTGTTGTCTTCTGTGCCTCCCACCCTCCCTACTGATCCCCTTCTTTGTCTATGGAACTCTTACACCAGTTTCAAGGCGAAAGTCAAAGGCAGACCTTCCATGAGGTTTGCTTCACCTGCCAGTGGAAATGAACGTCCTTTGCCTCTGGATTCCCAGCAGACTGTTGAAATGACCGTTCCAGCAGTCAGCAGTCTGACCATTATTGTCGGGGAGGAAATGTCCTCCCTTTGCCTCATGCCAGACCCACCTCTGTGTCCTTCTAAGACCCCTTCATGCTCCCCAAAGAAGGAGAGGTGTGGATCTGATTGGACAGAGGAGGACACTAACTGGGCCACATAACAAGTGTAACAAGTGGGCAGGGTCAGGGCATGGAAGGGGATGGCGGCCGGCCCAGCTCTCTCCCTTCCACCTCTCCTTGTCCCGCACCTGCAGCTAGGAGGCAAGTCAGCTTTGCAGACCCAGCCGTGGTGAAGCTGGCATGGGCACCCCTGGTTCTCCCCAGGGCCCTCCTCTCTTGTCCTTCTGTGTGAGTTCATCCACATCCATGGGTCTACCCGCTGTCCATGTCCAGATCACCACCGTCTCCTGTGGAAGCTCTTCCTGAGCCATGGTCTTTATCAGGGACTCTGAAGTACCCACATGTCCTAAGTGCTGCCCATGCAGTGCGGAGCCGGACAGGCCACGCTGCCTCCTGGACCTTTCCGTCTGGGGCTCCTGAAGCTGCTGTCCGCCTGGCAGCCCACGGCCTCCTTCCACTGAAAACATTCAAAGCCGAACCTTCACCTTCCCATCAAACTGCTCCTCAGCCTCGTGCCCTGCAGCCCCTGCTCACCCTAATCAGAAACAAGCGGGCATCCCCGACTCGCCCTCTCCTCACACCTCGGGCACCGTCCAGTCCTGTCTTACCCCTCTGGAATCCCTCCTCCCCTGCCCTGTCTCAGACCCTGGTGGTTTCTGACCCAGACATCCTCATGCCCTCCTACTGGTCCCTCTGCCCCACCTGTCCTAAAATCCATCTACCCTGCACACCCCGAGGCCTGAGTAAGGGGGTCCCGGGTTTAGAAGGGCCTGCCCCAGCTCCTGATACTCCGGCCCCAGGACCCACGTGGCCTCTTCTCTGTGCCAGTGTGCCCACATGAAGACTTCGACGTGCAGCTGTGTGTGAGGAGGGATGGACAGAGCGTAGACTTGCAGGGTGGGGTGTCGCACACCGTGTGAGACTGTGGTGTGGAGCTGGGCTGCAGGAGGGGAGGTGAGGTGGGGGCTGGGCCTAGGCTGGATCAGGGATCAGGAGTCAAGGCCAGCTTTCTCCGCTCCCACATTCCAATGAGGAGCTGGATAATTCGTTGAGGTAGGAGGATAGAATTTGTTTATTTGGCATTTTGTTAGCTTGGTTGATAATTCCATGTTTAGTTTGCTGGCCTGTGGGTCTCCATGAGTTCTGTTGCTTTGGGCTGCACAAATGCTGGGAACCATTGGATCAGCCACCCCAGCCACTAGATAGAGTGATCATCCCAAATATAGGATGGTCACATTGCTTCTGGGTCTGACCCCCTTCCGTGGCTCTCACAGGTCTTGGGATGGCGTCCACACCCCATGCTGACTCGAAGGACTTTGTGCTGTGACTCTCCCTGTATCTTCCCTCTGGGCACCAAAAATGTCCTCTGTGAAAAACCTAAACTCTGCCCAAAATACTGCCCTTCCCCACTTCCCCACAAGGAGGCTCACAGGCTTGGTGTTCCCAGACCCAGCCGCAGGGAGGGAGTGGAGGAGCAGGGAGGGAGTGGAGGAGCAGGGCGGGGCTGGGGGTGGTTTATGTCTCATAGCAGCTGAGCCTGGGCTGTCACTCAGGAAGCCAGAAGACCCTGGTCTAGATGGACGTGGCCAAGCTGGAGTCGGCCTGCGTGGGAGGGAGGCAGGACATGGCAGAAGGCCCTAAAGGCTTGGCCAGGGTTGGGAGCCTTGGAGACCAGGGAGAAGCTGACCCAGGGGACTGTGGGGGCACTACCCACCCCTCAGAGCCTCAGCTCTCCCCCAGAAAAGGAACAGATGGAGCCACAGAAGCCTCTAGGTCATCATAAGTTCAGTCCTGGTTCCTTCTGGGCTCATCTCAGAGGCCTCCATTTTCAGCCCCAGTAGCTGAGGTCTCTAGACCTAAAGGCGCCCAGCTGAGCCTGGGCTCTGCTCGTCTCTGCGAGCAGGACCTTGATGGTGGACGAAGGCTGCTCCAGAAGGTACCTGAATCCTCTGTCTTGGGGGTTCTGAAGGGGCTGGTTGCTTCCACCTGCACAGTGGGAACAGTGGTCACGGAACCCGGGGGCCGAGGCTAACTGCGCCCTTGCTCTGGATGCTGGAGCCTGGCTGAGGGGGCTCTGCTCAGGACCACCCATTTCCATGGCAACCAGAGCCCTCTGGCTGGGGCTGAGCCCCACCCCCACACTGGCCCTGCTCCTGCCCCTGCCCCTGGGAAGGGACAGCCGGAGGGGCTGGCTTTCCCACCAAGGGCATGTGCTCTGTTATAGGCCATGGCGGGGCCCGGGTCGTTGTAGCTGGGTCTGGGAGGATCAGCCGGGCTGTGAGATCTGTAACCAGGTGATGTGTCAGGGCTCATTACAAATCCACGCATCCTCCTCTCCCCTGCTTGTTTTTGATGAAAATCAGGGAAGCTTTCGCACAGGGAGGAAGATATGTGTGCCTCCTGTGAGGCCTAATACATCATTCATCTCCTGCCTCCCCGTTTCTGGCTCAGTCCTCATCCTGTTGGTTATCTCCGGGCTCTGTGGTGGGGTCTGGATGGCCACAGGCTGCTCCGTTGCAGTCTGACTACATCTGAACCCCTCTGTGCCCTGGCGGCCACTCTGCCACCTCCCTTCCTGGCTGCTCACCAATGTCGAGAACTTGGGCTTTAACTCTGGATCCCCTGAACCACATTCTCAAAACCCACGGCGCCCTTTGGGTGCTAAGACCCCCCAGGGTATCATCTTTTTTTTTTATTCCTCCTTCCATTCCCTTCCAGGCATCTCCCCCATCACAACACTGGTCCACACCTCCTTCAGCACACTCCTGTGGGACCTCCTAGCCTCTCGTCTCCTGCAATTCATGCAGCAAGATCTTTCTAAACCAGCTTGGCCACATACCTCCTTAAGATCCTGGGATCGCCCCTCTTTGCTCTAAGGATAAGGTCTGTGCTCCATAGCATGACTCCTGCCTGGGCTACAAAGTGAGACCTTGTCTCTTAAGAAACAGAACAAAGCAAAGCATGACTAATGATGTCATTCAGTCATTCAACATATATTGAATGAGTCCCTGCTCTGTGCCAGGTACTGGGTATAGAACAGAGAGAAACAACAATTTCTGGCCTCAGAAAACTTATCTTCTAATAGGCAGAGATGGGCAATAAACATCTAGATTAAATGTATTGGTAACACAAGGACAAGTGCAATGGAGAAAAATAAAGCAGGGAAGGGGCCCAGGAATGTGGGGAGTTGCGGTTAACACAAATGTTTTTGCAGACTTAAAGGAGGTTAAGTGGGGAGCCCTGTGGATGTCTGAGGAGGAGCATTCCAGGCAGAGGGAACAAGTGCAAAAGCCATTCAGTCCTCAATTTAAATATCAGCTCCTAAGACACTCAACCATCCCGTAGTTGAGTTAGTCCCTCTCAGCATCCTCCTGTGCATGGCATACTTGGCCCATCCTCAGGTGAGTTGCACTAATCTGTTGGGACTTTTTTTTTAAAAGGTCACATCCCCCTCTTGACTGTGAGCCCCAGAAGAGCGGGCACCTAGTCTGACTTGTTTATTTCTTACCCTTGCATCCATATATGCCGGGCACATAGTAGGTACACAGCAAATCACCCGGATGAAAAAGCAGAAAGATAACAATGGGAAGGAGCAAAGAATAAAAAAGCTCATGCTCCTTTAAATAGAGCAGAAATAACTCGGAATATTGTTGGTTGTTTTTACTTGTGGGATGGGAAGATTGGATTCTATCCTCCTATTCTATTCTATTCTATTCTATTCTATTCTATTCTATTCTATTCTATTCTATTGTATTCTATTCTATTCTATTACTTAAAATCAGAGCTAATAATTACAGCTCCCATTTCTGATTTGTGCCTTCTAGACTTAGCCCTGAAGGGAGGAACTGTTTCATATTTAATCAGTATTCGTTCTGGAATGCTCTTGGGGAAGCAAACTCACTTCAGGGCTGTGTAGTTGAATTCTCAGCAATGCTAATTAGATTGGGAAAGAGCCTGTGCTCACAGCAGGACTGCTGCAGGGTCACCCACTAACAAGCCAAGCCCCACCTGCCATCCAACTGCCCATACCTACCTCACCCTCCCTGTTCTCATCTCTCCAGCCCCCACTTCCATGGAGAGCAGAACCAGTCATACTTCTCATGCCTGTAATGACTGATGAATCTTCTTTGTGAGGAAGAATAGCAGCCAAAGTTCACAGGGGAAGTAGCTGCCCTCCCCACAAGTGTCCCTCATAAGCTTCCTGGAGCTGGTGGTGAGGGGTAGGAGGAAGAAGAGGGATGGGCAGTGGGAGCATCAGTAGATAATCAGCCTATTCCTTCTCCTGGTGGGGACAGGAATTCCCTTAATCAACTCTCTTCTCCCTATTAATTCTGCTCAATCCAACCTGTTTATTATCATCACCATCATCACCATCATTTTAACTACCAGGTCATGGATGTTACTGGGTACCAGACAATTTAAACACAAGATTGCAAATACCAAAGGAAAACCTGCAAGACAGTATCATTATCTACATTTCACAGATGAGAAAACTGAGGCTTAGAAGGTAAAATCAAGTTGGGCGCAGTGGCTCACACCTGTAATCCCAGCACTTTGGGAGGCTGAGGTGGGCGGATCACGAGGTGAGGAGTTCGAGACCAGCCTGGCCAATGTAGTGAAACCTCATCTCTACTAAAAAATACAAAATTAGCTGGGCATGGTGGTGCATGCCTGTAATCCCAGCTACTCAGGAGGCTGAGGCAGGAGAATTGCTTGAACCTGGGAGGCAGAAGTTGCAGTGAGCCGAGATCGCGCCACCGCACTCCAGCCTGGGCGACAGAGCGAGATTCCATCTCAAAAAAAGAAGGTAAATTCACTGGTCCTATGGCTTGTAAGTTGGGGAGCGAAGACTAGAACAGAGGACAGTAAAGCCTGCATTCCGGCTTCACAGCTTACCAGTTGTGTGAGCCCCGGGCACCTGTCTTAACATCTCTGAGCACCAGTTTCCTCCTCTATCTCATTTTACTTCAAGTCCCCAACAATACTACAAGGTGGTGGTTAGACACTGTGTCCGTTTTGCAGATTCAGAAGCTGGGGCTCAGGGAAGGCAGAGCTTTGCCCACGTTTCAGCCGTCAGGACATGGTGGCGCTGGGATTCAGCCCAGGTCCATCTGATGGTGTTATCCCTTCTGCTGTCCTGTTTTTGCTGCACTCAGCTAGGTCTGTGGAGCAGTTTGCCTTCCCTGGGACCCTGGGGACAGAGGGCTTGCTCAGGGCTAAGGCGTATCTGGCATGTTCAAGCCCATGCCATGATGCTCCCTGTAGAGGGTCAGGCCATCTGAACACATGAACCCACAGGATGTGCTGCGGCATGTGCCAGACCATGGCCTGGATCTCCCCCAGACATCCAAGGGAAGGAGCCTCTCTCCTCTCCCCTCCCACCACCTTCCCTCCTTTTCTCTCTGCCTGGGGCTCATAGAACAGGGGTGGCTTGGAGGCTCTAGCCCTACACTGTCTGGGATGGACTCCTAGCTCTGCCATGTGCCCGGCAGGGTTTTTTTTTTGGCTGGTCTTTTCTCTTCTCTGAGCCTCACCGAGTGGTCTTCTCTGCAAGGAGAGACAGACAATAATGGCACCTGCCTCACTGAAAGTTGAGAGGGAGAAATGGGGAAAGACACACACACTGCTTAGCATCAGGGCTCATGCATGGGGACCACCCAGAACACAGCAGCTACTGCAATATTTGGATTTGGTTTGATTCTCGGGTCCACTTTAGAGGGTAGGCCAGGCCAAAAGTCCTTGGCCCCAGTCCACACAGTAAACTGTGGGAGATGTGGCCTTGGACTTGGATCAGGTGTTCCCAATTCCTTCTCTTGGACCTACCATGATCTTCTCTGTGACCTCAGACACATTCGCCTCTCTCTGTCCCTGACTCTCCATCTTGCCCTGAAAAATCTAGAGTAGAAAGATGACTTCAGGGCTCTCTGCCACCTCTAAGACCCCAGGATGCTGAGCTCATCTGAATCCCCATCTACAGAGGCACTAAAGCTCATTCGGCCCTATCAACATGTTTAAGGCCTGAAAAAAGTTATGAGATTCAAATACAAACAGAAAGATACAACCTTCAAATTGACATGTTTAATTAAATCTCTGCAAAATGTAACATCATCAACTGTCACTTTGTGCTCTCCTTGGCTCTTATGTAGTTATATACATACACTGATTTAATGTGCAATCTTGATATGTTTGATCTGATGGAGAAAGGAGCTTCTAAGAGTATGAAGACCTGGAGCTGGAAGAGGCCTTAGAAGAATAAAGCTTGAGGTGGGTGCGTGGGGTGGAGTTGGGGTTGGAGGAGAGCAGCTTGAGAAGACTGCATGGAGGAGGAGGTATGTGGCTGGGAAGGACATTCGTGGCAGAGGAACAGCATGTGCAAAGGAGCATGGTCTGGAGGGGCCCAGCACGCCTGAGGAGCAGGGACAAGCGATTGCACCTGCAGCATAAAGAGGTGTGGGGCAGGGAAAGAGGGGCTGGAACATAGGTTGTTCTTCCCCCTCTTGAGCCTCTCTCCATCCTGCACCTTCTTTCCCACCATTAGAGCCCAGCTCTGTTGGTGTCCTCACTGAGGCTAGGCTTGATGTCCTCGGCCATTGCAGAGGCCCCAGGCCTGGTTGGGTCTCTCTGCTGACTGCCGGGGCCTGGCTCGAGACTTCTGGTCCTGTCAACTCCACTTCTGCCCTCAGGGCGTTGGCATCAGAGGCAGAGAGGTAGGATGAAAAGAGAAATAGTTTAAAACACAAAACCAGCCCAGACTCCCTTCTCACTCAATTTCCAGAAATAAGCTAATTTCTACTTATTGATATCTCTCTCCGCAGACCAGTGTTTTAACTGAAAGAGCCCAAGTATGCCCTAGCAGTTGCAAGGCCATTTGGGAGAAAGATGCCCATTCTTCTGCCCAACCATAAAGTGCCCTTTGGGAAGTGATGGGAGCCTTGCAGATGTCCAGCTTCCTTGCTGCTGCTCCTTCCTGGAGCCCCTAGTGGCAAAGCTGGGGAATTATTGGTGCTGGATATTCAGTCATTGCTGCAGGTTGCATCCGACCATTAGTGCAGATCTGTGTGTGCAGCCTCACCCGGGCAACGGTCTGGGCGATGGTTCCTTCCCTCAGAGATGCCAAGCACCCGGAAGGAAGGAGAGCACCCAAGCAAAGTGGGCAGCTTTCAGGTGCTGTCGTTCTGGGGTAGGGGCACTCTAAACTCCCTCTGCTCAAATCCATTGATCTGTCATGCCCCGGGTTGGCCCCTGAGCTCCCACCATCGACAGATCCCATGATCTGTCATGCCCCAGGTGACCCCTGAGCTCTGACCCCTCTCCCTGTTGGGTTTTTCTCCTGGTATTTCTTACTGCCTGAAATGATCTTCTTCAGCTGTGTGTTTACATGGCTTCCCAGGGATCATCCACCTACACTGAGGCTTTAGGTTGAATGATGCCTTTTTCTGCAGGCTTCCTTTGCAAAGTGCACAGCCCCTCTGACCTCAGGGGGATTAATGGATGCTTTTGTCTGTGGAAAGCAGGATATTGGAGCTCCTAGGAAACCTAGGAATTGGGGGAGGGCCAGAGGATACTGAGAAAAGAAGAAAAGAGAATGGGGATGGGGGAGGCTTCCAGACAAATTGCACCACCTCCACCTGGCCATCTAGGAGGAGAG
This sequence comes from Homo sapiens, assembly GCF_000001405.40. Classification (NCBI taxonomy): domain Eukaryota; kingdom Metazoa; phylum Chordata; class Mammalia; order Primates; family Hominidae; genus Homo; species Homo sapiens. The sequence goes on from NC_000001.11 coordinate 29,704,399, forward strand.
GCTGAGCAGGCTGAGCTCCCAATGGCTGTGTAGCCATTGAGGAGAGGGAGTCTCTGCCTATAGAGGACAGTACTGGGACAAGAGAGGCAGGAAGTGACAGGACAGCAGGTTTTGGAATGATAAAGGTTGCTTCCAATGGAAATAAACATCTCATATTAGGAGGGAATCTAGTCTAAGTTGCATGGCCTCCTACACAGAAGCTAGGTGGGTGGAGGGGTGGGTAACCAGTTAAACCGTATTACAAAGGAAGGTGAATTAGATTAGTTGTAAGAGCATTAGTACAGCTCACAGCTCACTGAGTGCCTGGCACTGGGCTCAGCTCTCCACATATAATAACTCATTGACTCTTCATAGCAACGCTGTCAGTCACAAATTGTTATTATTCCCTTTTAACAGAAAGGAAACTGAGGCACAGAGAATAAATCAATGCTCAAAGACATCAGCTGTTAATGATGGAGCCAGGAGTTCCTTTCAACTCCAAATTCTAAAATCCTAGGGTTCTGAGACTTTCAAGATCTTGTTTTTTAATTCTAAAACTTCCATAATTTTATCATGCCATTTAACGTGTTCGATTTCTAACATTCCATGATTCTAAGAGTCTCAGAGTCTATAATTTGATGCTAAGTCTGAGGATCTAAGGCTTGATTGCTCTAAGATTCTCTGTGTCTAATATTTTATAGGTAGCATGGGACTACCTGTGGGAAACCAAACAGCATAAGGTAGGGAAACTCTTCCTTACTCTCCCATGAAGAGAGAAGTCAAGGCTATGTTTCCAAGGGTCAGAGATGTCCCTTCCCACCCCTGGCCTTTGGCAGGGGAAGCCAAAAACGTTGCTTTTCTTGGCCGTTAACCTGAGGTATCCCCAAGGGAGATGGTTGGAAGCCAGTGCTTGAAGCAGAAGGAGACTAGCGAGAAAGAAGAGGGGTCTTGAGAAGCATTTTCCCAGAGGTGGGCCATCAGAAACTCTCCTTGCAGCCCCCACAGTGTCCAGGAGGGGAAGGGAGGTCCTTAGAGGGGAAGGGCTGCCAGGTATGTCCTAGAAGTTGAGCCTATGGGAGGAGTTCTTCCTTTGGACCCACACCCTAGTCCCTTGACTCCTCTCCCTGTTGGGTTTTTCTCATGGTATTTCTTACTGCCTGAAATGATCTTCTTTAGCTGTGTGTTTACATGGCTTCCCAGGAATCATCCATCTACACTGAAGTGTCAGCTACCTGAGGGCAGGGAGAAAGTCTGAGCAGGCTTGCAGTAGGTATTTCTTCTCTGAGTGAGTGGGTGTCCGAATGGCACCATCAGCCCAAGACCAAGATGGCACCCTGGCCTCCTCCCTCACCAATGACTTAGGTCAAGAGACTTAACCTCTTGCTGCCTGTTTGTCTCCATAAAATAGAGGCAGTGATAATGTGCCTTCCCCTTAAGATCAGTGAACGAAGTGTCTAGAGTGTTCAGGATGTTCCTGGCAGATGGGAAGCCCTCAGTGAGGGTTAGCTGTGGCTGTTAATGTTACGATTACTTTCTACCTCGTCTCCCTCATGCCTGGTGAAGAAGGTCCCCGATACCTTTCCTCATCTGACCTCTGATGCTCCCCCAGCCTAACCCACCGGTTTCCCCTCCGTCTTCAGCCACACAAAACTCCCTATCTCTGAAAGCCTCTGCTCTTTCCAGATTCCACACCTCTGGGTACCTCTCCCCTGCCTGGAATGCCCTTCCCATCATCTTTCCCCTGCAAACTCTTACTCCATCTGGATGAACCTGCTCAGATGCCACCCACTCTGTGAAGCCAGTTCAGAGCCCCCTCCCTCACCCTTCTGGAAGCCCCCCCCCCCCCGCCCGGTGTGCCAGCACCTTCTCTGGGCTCCCACAGGAATTGTCACAGGCCAGTGTCATAGCTCCAATCACCCAGCGTGAAAACTGTCACCCCACTGTCATTTTGTTAAGGGATAGGGGTCCTGATCCAGACCCTAAGAGAGGATTCTTGGACCTCACACAAGAAAAAATTGGGAGAGTCCACAGAGTAAAGAAAAGCAAGTTTATTAGGCAAGTAAAAGAATAAACAGTAGCTGCTCCATAGGCACAGCAGGGTGTTCCCGAAGGTAAGAGGAGGAACGTGCCCAACCTAGGTACAATGCTTATTTGTATAGAAGATAAAACATCATGGGGAGATGTGCTGTACTACAAGGGTTTGTGATAAAGGATCGTTCATCTTTGTAACTACTATCTTTCTTTTCTTTTCTTTTTCTTTCTCTTTTTCTTTTTCTGGAGGTAGAGCCTTGTTCTGCCGCCCAGGCTGGAGTGCAGTGGCGCTATCTCAGCTCACTGCAATCTCCGCCTCCCGGGTTCAAGTGATTCTCCTGCCTCAGCCTCCTGAGTAGCTGGGATTACAGGCATGTGCCACCATGCCCGGCTAATTTTTGTACTTGTAGTAGAGACGGGGTTTCACCATATTGGCCAGGCCGAGCCCCTTCCCCATGTGTAAGACGGTGTAGAACCCCCATGTGGCCCGCCCTCCCAGGACAGCAGAGATCGCTGCATCCTCAGGCCGGTGGTCCCCGGAGCAGGCCGTGAAAGGGAAGGGATTCTGTTATTAAAGTCATCAGTTCTGGCGCCTGGGCCCTGGGGAGCCGAGCTTGGCTGGTAATTAGGGTCGTTAGTGGAGACGGAGCCAGCTGGGGCTGATGCCAGCGTGGGCGCAGAGCAGGCAGAGCCCAGGCTGCGGGGAGGGGCGGCCCCAGGACGGTCGGGGCGGGACCTCCACCACCTCTAGGGCGGGACCCGGGCCCGCACCTCCTCCTTGTGGGTGTTGTTGGGGGTGCCGCACCGCTCCCGGCCACGGCCTGAAGGTGGCGGCGCAGGGCCGCACTAGCGCGGCTGGGCGGGGCCGGGAGGAGGTGGGGAGGGGTCTGCAGAGAGGAGGGGAGTGGGGAGGGAAGGAGGGAGGGAGAGAAATGGGGGAAAGGGGAGTATAAGGGAAGGAGAGGAGAGGAGAGGAGGAGAGGGGAGGGGAGGGGAGGAGAGGGGAGGGGAAGAGAGGGGAGGGGAGGAGAGGGGAGGGGAGGGGAAGAGAGGGGAGGGGAGGGGAAGAGAGGGGAGGGGAGGGGAGGGGAGGGGAGGGGAAGAGAGGGGAGGGGAGGGGAAGAGAGGGGAGGGGAGGAGAGGGGAGGGGAGGGGAGGGGAGGGGAGGCAGGAGAGGAGAGGGAGGGGAGGGGAAGAGAGGGGAGGGGAGGAGGGAGGGGGGACGGGGGAGAGAAGGAGGGACACAGAGAGGGGGAAAGATGGGGGTGGGAGAGAGAGACACAGAAGGCCAGAGGGAGGGAGGAAGATAGAAGCCTTCTCCCCTCCCCACCATTTGGGGGATCTGAGGAGCCCAGATCCTCTTGGAACACCCTCTCCCCGATGCTTACAGAGGTCACTTCCTCCTGTAGCCCTCCCTACGCCCTCTGTGGTCTGACCCAGGTGGACCCCAGCCCCATCTTTCTGCACCTCCCCACCCTCCTCTTCCTCCTCCCCACCCTGCTCTGGCTACGCAGAGCTGCCTACCATTTCCAAGGGTGCCAGGCTCCCCCTTTCTCTGCCAGTGCCGTGCCTGTGCCTGGCTGCTGCCACCCACAGTAACCTTCTCCCCCCTAGCGAGCGCCTTCCCCTGGCTCCCCCACTTCTCCTTCAGGTCTCAGCGCAGACACCACCTCCTCCCAGAAGTCCTCCCTGTCTCCATGTCCAGGGCCTTGCCTGCCCCTAGCTCGCCAGCCCCTCGCGCATCTTCCCCCATCAGCAGTGGCCAGGCTGGGCTGTGATTGATTCTGTGTCTGTTTCTCCAGCCAGACTGGAGGCTTCCTGAGGACAGGGACACGGTCTTGTCCCTCTCTGCGTTCCCAGTGTGGCCAGCCCAGTGGATGAACAGCCACAAGTGGACTATACATGATGCCTGAGGGATGAATGGATGATCCCAGGAGGGGCTGGGTTTGGGAGATGAGGAAGAAAGGGACGTGGAGCAGGAGGGAGAAAACACAGCGGAGAGGAGGTTAATTAGGAGAGAGGCCCCAGAACACCCCAGCCACCAGGGTTCAGGGCCTGGGCCCCAGCACTGCAGGTTTCCTGCCCTCCCAAGGACCTCAGTGATCTGCCTTCTGAGGTCAGAGCCCATCTGGCTCTGGGCATCTCTGAGCATCAGGAAGTTGCTCTTCCTCATGGGAATCAGGGCTGCTTGAGTCACAAGTGACAGTATCTGCTCAGCTGCAGGGGAGAGGGGCTTTTGTGTAAGGATCTGGTTTTGCAGATGCAGTGGGAACTCAGAAGGGACTTGGAGCAGGGGTGGGGGCACCAGCCAGAATCAGAGTCACCCACAAACTCCCAGCTCAGTCTTTTTCTAGCTGTGGGGCCTTCAGGAAATTCACTTTAGCTCTTTGGGTCTCGGTATTTTTTCATCTCTAAAAGAGACAGTTTGCAAGCAAAAGCAGAGAGATTTAATAAACTATTTAATAAACTCCCTGGCAGAGGCAGATGGAGTCTGTGCCTAGCAGGGCATAAAGGGGAGAGAGCACTGCAATTACAGCCGCCAAGCGACAGAAGCTGTCAGCAGGTGTCTGCCAGGTGGAAAAAAACCACATCTGGGCCCCATTCCTCAGACGATGACACAGAGTGGGCCACAGAAAGGGGCAAGGGTGGCTGCTGAGCCTGAGTAGGGCTTGGTCTTCTGGAGAACAGCAGGGTGCAGACGGCTACTGCCTGGCCCCTGTGAAAGGAGATCTTAGAAAGACGAAGAGGGACCATTTCCTGTGCAGAGTAACTGATACTCTCTCAGCCTGGTTTTCATTAGCCCAGCCCAGCCTGGGGAGAGGGATGCTTTCCCAGGAAGGGGTGCCCGGGGCTATTGCAAAGCAGGCTGGGAAATGGGGGCAGGCCCTGTCACCGATGTCCTCATTAGCACTCACGTTGATGTTATTTGTGGAGCCCCTGTTCTTGGCCAGATGCTGTGGGTCGTTCTTTTACATCTTCCTTCAAAACTGCCTGGGCAGTGTTTATTTCCTCATTTTGCAGACGAGGGCCCTGAGGCTCACAGCTTGGTCCATCCCTCCACATTCCCAGATTCTGTTCCCTCCTCTGTGGTGACCTTGCTGAGTCACTGTGGGTGAGTCCCCTTCCCTCTCTGGGTTGGAGAGAATGAACCTCAAGGCCCCGTCTAGGCCCAGCACTGGTGGGGGCTGTGCCAGGTAGCATGGTCGGCAGGGCCCCTTCACCCCACATGTAGGCAGCTGGCAGACCTAGTGAAGCTCATCTTCCATTTCCTCCTCTCCTATGATTTGCTGTTGTGGTCCTTGGAGAAGCCCCCGAGTAAATATTAATAATGTACCTTTGTGTACGTTGGCTGAGGGAGAAAATGAATCATTTCCTGCTTCCCTCCTGGGCTCAGAATCTTAACTAAAACTATGCTGGATCTTTCAGCAACTGGGATGGGCCTGTTGGAGGGGGCCGAGGCAGAGCCACGAAACAGCTGCCTCCCCTGGCTGCCCGGATGCTGAAATTTCACCTTTCAAAAGCTGTGCCTGGATTTCCCAATATCACAAAGAGCATGGGTACCAAAAGCTTAGGTTCAAGTCTTTGCTTGCCCCAGCATGCCCCAACTGTGTGGCTATAGTGACTCTTTGAATCTCAGCACAGCCTAAGATGTGTGCCCCATCCGGTAGGGTAAGCTAGCTGCTTTCACGTGGTGAGCTCATTCCATGGCCCTCCTGCTGTCTGAGCAGTTCTTAGGTGCCAGTTTCTGCATGGAAGGCGATCATGAAACATAGGAAGGAAAACACAAATCACACTCCAGCTTGCAGAAGGGACACCGCAAAGGGAGACAGGTGGAGCCATTAGCCAGTGCTCAGGCACTAGTTTGCTGTTTGCAGAGCTCTTTTTCCACTTGATTTTTCATTTGATCTTGAAAAGGAGCCTGGGGGCTGCCCCATTCTACAGACAAGAAAACTGGAACTTGTCAAGGGACTTGAGTAAGGGCTCATTACTAGTGAAGGGAGAAAGGAGATTTAGTCTAGAACTATTTCCAAACCTCATGCTCCTGTCCTCACCGGGCTGCCAGGCAAGGCTGAAGGGAGGTGGCTCAGGAAGAACATGCTCAAGGAGGAAACTTTTGAGCTGGTTTTTGGAAGAAAAGAAGGAACACGATGGAATGGGGAGGGAAAGTCTGGGGGTGGGGAAGCCTCTACAGGTGCAGTCAGCGCATCGAGTCAGGCCTACCTTCTCCACCACCCTCCCCAGACACCCTGGAACACACTTTTCTGCCCCTGCAGAGGCCTTGCCTTCTGCTAGCACTTGGAACTCCAGCCTCTCTCTTCTTGCCCATACTACATTGACTCTATGAAGCCAACTAAGTGGATTTCTGTGCCCCCTTCCACTTGAACCAGTTACCTGCAGAAGCTGGCTCCATCTTCTTCCTCCCCACTGCCATCATTTCTTGCCTACTACAGTCTGATTTCTGTCTTGTCAAGGTTACAAATACCCTTCCTATGCCTCCTCCTTGTGGACATGTCTCTGTCCTTGTGGCCTTTGGCTTCTCAGCGGCATTTGACCCCAGAGATCACTTCTTCCCTCTGGAAACACCATCTCACCTAGGTATCTGTGACTCAATTCTAGTTGGCTGGTTTCTTTTCTACTTCATAGGCTAAGGACCAATAAGGATAAATTCTAGAACTCTCTGTAATTCAAAGATGTCCAGCAGGTATAATAGGCTGCCTCAGGAGGAAGAGGGGAGAAAGGAGGAAGAGGGACTGCTCATATGGTGAGCACTTACTATGTGCCAAGCCCTGTACAAGGCGGTTTAGGTCCCATTGCCTTGTGGGGTAAGAATGTTCATCCCTTTTTTTTTTTTTTTTTTTTTTTTTGAGACGGAGTCTCGCTCTGTCCGCCAGGCTGGAGTGCAGTGGCGCAATCTCGGCTCACTGCAAGCTCCGCTTCCCGGGTTCACGCCATTCTCCTGCCTCAGCCTCCCGAGTAGCTGGGACTACAGGCGCCCGCCACCGCGCCCGGCTAATTTTTTGTATTTTTAGTAGAGACGGGGTTTCACCTTGTTAGCCAGGATGGTCTCGATCTCCTGACCTCATGATCCACCCGCCTCGGCCTCCCAAAGTGCTGGGATTACAGGTGTGAGCCACCGCGCCCGGCCTGTTCATCCCTTTTTTGAGATTGTAAAGCAGAGTCTCAGAACATATGAGGGATGACCCATGGCCACACAGCTAGTAATGGAGGAATGCTGGACTTAAATCTCAATAGTAATTGTTACCGTTTATTAACACCTATGGGTGCCAGGCCCTGAGCATGTTCTATGAGCTGAGCCATCTGGTTCTCACCACAACCCAGACGTGGCTGTCATTCATAGTGCTATGAAATGCAAGGACGTTGTGCCCCAGAAGGTAAAAGATTTACCCAAGTCCTCTCAGGAAGTAGGTGGAGGGGCTGGGTCTGGAGTCTGGGTCTGTCTGAGACCCCAGCCATATTCTTTACCTCCCCTGTTCTTGCAGGGAGCTAAGCATGAGATGACCCTTGAGAGGGTCACTGCTTCAGAAGCCCACTCAGGACTTCATGGCATGGGACCTAAAGACAGAGAAGGTTCTTCCCTGCCCCAAGATTCCAGGAGGCTCCCCCATAGACATTGTTCCTGTAAGTGCCTGTGTTGGCAGCGACTTCCTGTGGTCTCTGAATCATTGTGTTCAGGCTTCATCACAATCAGTTTCTGCAAAAACAGTCATTTCTGCCGTGAAATCTATTCAGCGTGGCCAGCGGGGCAGGAACAGAAGAGAAAGGCCAAGTGGGGTCAATGTGGTGTTTTATGTGGTATTGACCCAGCTTGTCTGTGCAGAGGATGCAGGGAGGGGGACCTGGTGGGAGGGATTAGGTGGCATGTGTTGAGCACCTACTATGTACTGGGCACTGTGCTGGCTTGCTGGCTCTTGGCTTGCTGTAACTCATTTAATATTCAATGAAACAACTCAATGAGAGGAGAACCCGTTTTTGTTTGTTTTAACAAAAGAGGAAACAAGTTCAGAGAAGTTAAGCAACTTGTCCAAGTTCATATAGCCGCTAAGTCGTGGATCAAAGATTCATGCCCAGCACTTCCTGATGTCAAAACTTACGCTCTTCCTAGTTCACTGAAATGAAAGAAGGAGAGAAGAAACCTTTATTGTGAACACTTATTGAGCCCTTTCTAAGAGTCTGGGACTTTGCTTGATAATTCTATTCCAATGTTATACACACTAGGATTCATTACTTGTGTCACCATTTTACAGATGAGGAAACCGAGGCTTGGAGAGGGGACTTGATTGCCTGGGGTCTCATAGCCTGTAAACAGTAGAACCAAGGACTCTGACCCACAGATCATCATCCTTTCCAACATTTTGGGGAGAGAGGAAGAGCCTCATCAGATCACAGTCATCAAGGTGGAGGCTGTAATCTGTGCTAAGAAGGAGGGGTGGGTGAATGGGAAGGCAGTGGCCACTAAAGAGTCATGATTCCTTGAAAGGTGTCACCCTCCTCCTAGGGCCTGGTGGCTGAGGCTGCTCCTGGGTGTCCACTTGCAGTGTGCTGTCACTGGCTGAGGGTGATCACGGGGGCCCTCAACCCCCGTGTGAGCCCACAGCCTTGCCTCTCCGCCAGAGTGTGGCAGGCAGCTGTGGGATGCAGAGGATGTGCCGAAGGAAGCGTCGCATATGGCAGATGGGGAGGAAGGCCTGGGATATAAAACGAGGTCTTGATAGGAAATGAAGGGGAGAGGAGGTGCCCAGGTTTTCAGGGTCCAGGGGTAGTGAAGGGTCCTGGGAGTATGCAGAGCACCATGGGAAGGGGTCCTCAAATACCAAGCCAGAATGACTGCCCTGGAGCCCTCTGGGTCTTGGTGCAGGAGTCATGAGTGTTGATGTAAATGTGGGTCCTGGTAAATGTTTTCTGGAAGCCACTTGAGACAGTGTCTGGGGAACTAGGTGCAGAATCGAGAGAACGAGCAAGGGGCAAGGTGTGAGTCTGACTTTCCTCCTAACCTGCTGTGCAACCTCAGGGAGCTCACACAGCCTCTCTGAGCTTTAGTTTCCCTCTCCAAGTAAAGGATGAGAGTTAAAATCTAGGAGACCTGGCTAGTCTGAGAGTTCTGGATTGTTCAATGTTGTGTCTCCATCATAGTCTTGTGGTTCTAGAAGCTTTAGGACATACATCTTTTGTCATATATATTAGTAAAAATTATTAATTATAGTAAAATACATGTAATGAAATATACCATCTTAACCTTTTTTAAATGTACAGTTCAGTAGTATTAAGAACACTCATGTTGTTATACAGCCATCACCACCACCATCTCCAGAATTTTTCATCTTCCCAAACTGAAACTCTGTACCCATTAAACACTAACTCCCCATTCTCTGCTCCCCCAAGACCTTGGCAACCACCATTCTTCTCTCTGTTTCTATGAATTTGACTCCATCTAGGTACCTCATGGAAGTGGAATCATATACTATCTGTCTTTTTGTGGCTGTCTTATTTTGCTTATAATGTCCTCAAGTTTCATTCATCTTGTAGTTTGTGTCAGAATTTCTTTCCTATTTTAGGTTGAATAATATTCCATTGTGTGTACATGCCAAATTTTGTTTATCCATTCATCCATCTATGGGCAGACACTTGAGTTGCTTCCACCTTCTGGCTATTGTGAGTAATGCTGCTGTGAATATGTGTGATGGTTGATTTGGGATGTCAGCTTGACTGGGTTAAGGGATACCCAGACGGTTACCCATTTTACATATAAGCATTAATTATTCCCAAATGCCCACCCCTGGAGGGTTGCTTTGCACCAGAACCCTGGGAAAGGACTTCTGCTTTGGGTGGAATTCGGGGGTGCTGAGCCCATCTGTCTTGTGCTCTAAGGGAAACCCAGGTGGTTTGGCATTTGATTGAAATGATTGGGCTGCTCCAGGTGTGTCTGTGAGGTGATTGGTGTATGAGTCAGTGGACTGAGTGGGGAAGGCCCGCCCTCAATGTGGACAGGCACCATTCATTCAGCTGAGGGTCTTGATGCAGCAAACAGGCAGGGGAAGGGCAAAGTCTTGCTTCTTCTACCCTTCTCCTATCCTTGGACATCAGAGCTGCAAGTTCTCCGATCTTTGAACTCCACACCAGCAACTCCCTGAGAGGCTTTCAGGCCTTTGGCCTTGGACTGAGAGTCCATTGGCTTCCCTGGTTCTGAGGCCTTCAGATTGAGCTGAGCCACACTACTGGCTTCCCTGGTTCTCCAGCTTGCACATGGCCTATGGTGGGCTGCTCAGCCTCCATAATGGAGTAAGCCAGTTCCTCTAATATGTCTTCTCATATCTCTCTTTATGTCTCCTATCATCAGTTCTGTCTCTCTGGAGATCCCCAACTAAAACTATATGGATATACATGTATCTGTTTAAAACCCAATCTCCACTTCTTTTGGATTTATATAAGGAAGTAAAATAGCTGAATCATATACTAATTCTATTTTTAATTTTTGAATAACTGCCATACTGTTTCCACAGGGGCTGCATTATTTTACATTCCCACCAACAGTGCACAAGGTTCCAATTTCTCCACATCCTCACCATCACTTGTTGTATTCTGTTTTGTTTTGTTTTTGATAGTAGGCATCCTAATGGATGTGGGTGGTGTCTCCCTGTGATTTTGATTTGCATTTCCTTAATTAGTGATGTTGAGTGTCTTTTCGCATGCTTATTGGCTATTTGTATATCTCCTTTGAAGAAATGTCTATTCAAGTCCTTTGTCCATTTAAAAATCTGGTTGTGGCCGGGTGCAGTGGCTCACGCCTGTAATCCCAGCACTTTGAGAGGCTGAGGCAGGTGGATCACAAGGTCAGGAGATTGAGACCATCCTGGCTAACACGGTGAAACCCTGTCTCTACTAAAAATACAGAAAATTAGCCGGGCATGGTGGCAGACGCCTGTGGTCCCAGCTACTCGGGAGGCTGAGGCAGGAGAATGGCATGAACCTGGGAGGCGGAGCTTGCAGTGAGCTGTGATCGCGCCACTGCACTCCAGCCTGGGGGACACAGCGAGACTCCATCTCAAAAAAAAAAAAAAAATCTGATTGTTTGTTTTCTTGTTGTGTTGTAAGAGTTCTTTCCATGTTTTGGATGTTAACCCCTTATCAGATATATAATTTATAATATTTTCACCTATTTTATAGGTTGCTTTTTCACTCTGTTGATTGGGTCCCTTGATGCACAGATGTTCTTAATGTTGATGCATGTTGCTATGTTTTGAGGCTGCTCAGAGGAACAAAGTATTGGGAACAGGCCCCAAATCTGGCCATAAACTGGCTCCGAAACTGGCCATAAACAAAATCTCTGCAACACTGTGACATGTTTGTGATGGCCATGATGCCCACACTGAAGGTTGTGGGTTTACTGGAATGAGGACAAGGAACACCTGGCCCACCCAGGGTGGAAAACCACTTAAAGGTGTTCCTAAGCCACAAAGAATAGCATGAGTTATCTGTGCCTTAAGGACATGTTCCTGCTGCAGATAACTAGCCAGAGCCCATCCCCTTATTTTGGCCCATCCCTTTATTTCCCATAAGGAATACTTTTAGTAAATCTGTAATCTATAGAAACAATGCTTATCACTGGCTTGCTGTCAATACATATGTGGGTAAATCTCTGTTCGAGGCTCTCAGCTCTGAAGGCTGTGAGACCCCTGATTTCCCACTCCACATGCTATATTTCTGTGTGTGTGTCTTTAATTCCTCTAGCACCCCTGGTTTCAGGTCTCCATTACTGAGCTGGTCTCAGCAAATGGTGTCCAATGTGGGCTTGAACCCAGGTCAGAGGGTTGCCAGAGCGACGGTTGGAGAATGTGGAACTAAGCTGGAGGACACCTGAGTACTTTTAAGCAATCCCTGTGGTGAGTAACCACAACACTATATCCTGAGCATCCGAATCTGCAATCACCTTTTTTAGAGACTCCTGTAACCAAGCTATAAAATCTGTGTACGGTTCTTTTGGTCCCTGCTTTACAGCACTAAAGGAAGGGTATTGCTCTTCTCCCAAAGTGATTTTTTCCCACGCTCTAATGCACACTCCTCTAAGCTGCTCTGTGTCATCATCCTGCATGACCACTGGTGCATCTAAACCAGCCCAGCCACTGACCCCCAAAGTTGGTCTGCAGTTATATTAATTTGAGGTCGGGCCTGGGCATTGCGAGCAGCCTGAATGGAAGCTTCATCTGCCCACCAAGTTTTAAATTGTAAGAACTGAGCAGGAGTCAGACAAGCTCGAGTAAGAGGATCCCAGGCAGTAGGAATCATCCGACTGGAGACAGCAACATTCTTTAACAGTCCCGTTACAAAAGGAGAACCTGGTCCATATTGATTAATAGCTTGCTTAAATTCTTTGAGTAATTTGACAGGAAAAGGCTCAAATGTAGCTATAATATTTCCCTGTTGATCTGGGGGGTGTATTCTAACAGGGAACTGCCAAGCCTCTAAATCACCCTCTCTTCTAGCTTGCTGGATTCCTGCCTGATTAGAACTGAGAGTGGTTGCTCGAGGCGCTGCTTGAACAGTTACTGGGGCAACTACTTTTCACCCAGCGTCCTCCAGAAAAGAAACATATGGAAGGTCAGGCTGCTCTTTTTCTTCAAAATAAGGAGGGGGTGCAGAAGGGTAGGGAAGAATGTCTTTCTCCTTTGCTGCTTTAGCTTTAGCTGACAAACAAACCTGCTCTGTTACTTCATTATACTCTCCTTCCTCCTCAACATCAGTGTGAAAAGTTTCCAAGGTGGAATGAACCAGAGCCCACACTTGTTCCATTGTTACCCTGATGTTTCTGAGCTCCCCTTCTTACTCACCATGGGGATTGCTCACGTATGGGTGCCACTTGCCGAGACCAGCTTGGTCGTGGAGACCCTAACCCAGGGGCACTAGAGGAATTAAAGACACACACAGAGAAATATAACATGTGGAGTGGGAAATCAGGGGTCTCACAGCCTTCAGAGCTGAGAGCCTTGAGCAGAGATTTACCCACATATGTACTGACAGCAAGCCAGTGATAAGCATTGTTTCTGTAGATTATAGATTTACTAAAAGTATTCCTTATGGGAAATAAAGGGATGGGCCAAAATAAAGGGATGGGCTCTGGCTAGTTATCTGCAGCAGGAACATGTCCTTAAGGCACAGATTGCTCATGCTATTGTTTGTGGCTTAGGAGCACCTTTAAGTGGTTTTCCGCCCTGGATGGGCCAGGTGTTCCTTGCCCTCATTCTGGTAAACTCACAACCTTCAGTGTAGGCATCATGGCTATCACAAACATGTCACAGTGCTGCAGAGATTTTGTTTATGGCAGGTTTGGGGTGAGTTTATGGCCAGATTTGGGGGCCCAGTTCCCAACAACAAAGTAGCAATGATCACGTTTCAGTTAGTTCTGCCCACACTCAATTTTCTACCAGCCCCTCCATTAATGGTCTCCCTGCAGGGAGGGGACTGGATTCTACGAGATTAAAAAAACAAAACCATCTGTATTAGTCCATTTTCATGCTGCTGATAAAGACATATCAAAGACTGGGGAAAAAAAGAGGTATAATTGGACTTATAGTTCCATGTGGCTGGGGAGGCCTCAGAATCATGGCAGGAGGTGAAAGGCACTTCTTATGTGGCAGCAGCAAGAGAAAAATGAGGATGAAGCAAAAGCGGAAACCCCTGATAAACCCATGTGATCTCGTGAGACTTATTCACTATCACGAGAATAGCACGAGAAAGACCGGCCCCCATGATTCAGTTACCTCCCCCTGGGTCCCTCCCACGACATGTGGGAATTCTGGGAGATACAATTTAAGTTGAGATTTGGATAGGGACACAACCAAGTCATATCACCATCCCTCTTTGTGTGGCATCAATGTGCTTCAGAGAATGGTACTGGCTGTGACTTTACACAGATGTGGAATGGATTTGGGCAGTCCACATTCTGCCTCTGAGTCCAGGTTCTCATCTGAAATGAGGAAATAACTCTCACCTTTGTGTGAGAGCTCAGGCTCTGGCCTCCATAAACTCTACAATTCATGTTTGCACTCTTCCTCAGGGCAGAGGCTTCTGGGGAAGCTGACCACTTCCTTGACATCAGCTTCAAAGGACCAAGGGCTTTCTCTCCACACTTCCACCTCTGTCAATAACCTGTGACAGCCTAGGTTTACCCAGGCCATCCATGATATTTCTCCCTTCAGGATTAAGGAGACTGACATTTGCCCTCTCCTCAACCTCTCTTGAGCTGCAACCCTCTCCCACCCCCCACATTTTTGTCTCTGTGATTTGAAGAACAAACCTGTGTCCCTCCCTTCACATTTCATGATTTGCATACCCCACAACCCTCAGCTAAGAATATTCACTAAATAGACATTAATGATATGGGGATGAAGACAAAGATTTGTTTATCAAATCCCAAGGAGGATGGGAGGATGGATTGTGAAGACATCTCTGACCAAAACAGAGGAAGGAGCAAGAGAGAGGCAAGCCACAGGACCCACCTTCATCATCATCACCATCACCACTACCATTATTATCACCACCACCATCACCATCACTGTCACCATCATCATCATCACCATCATCACCACCATCACCATCATGATTATCATCACCATCATCATCACCATCACCTTCACAATCATTATTATCATTACCACTATAATTATCACCACCACCACTCCCACCACCACCATCACCATTATTACCATTATCACCATTGTAATAAAGAGTCCAACTCCATTTTTGATGTTGCACTGCAGATGACTCTCACCTCACATTCCTCTTCTTTTCCTTTTTCTTTCACATGTGGTCAAACTGAGAAGAAGGCCCATACTCCCTCCCTTGGCAGGGAAGTTCAAACCAGACAAACAATGTCTCATATTCAGGAACTCTCGTCCTGGCCTCACCCCAAACCACAATAAAAACCAGAGCCATTCACCTCTCTTTTTGCTCAAGCCAAATGGGTAGCTTGGGTATGTGCCTTGCTCTTCCTAGAAGCCTCATTATGTGAATAATACATCTTTTCCTTCCTCTTGGTGAGTGCGTGACATCATCAGATTCAACATCTAAACCAATTTTGAGTGTGTGGGAGTTGGTCCCACCCTCCGTGGAGCAATCATGAGACATTAATTGTCGCAGTCATTGCCTCCATCACCATCACCACCCTCCTCATCACTAAGACTCCACTCAGTGCCTTGTGCTGAGCACAGCACTTTACATGGATTAGCTCATTTAACCCACTTGACAATGGTGAGACAGATACACCTGTTGTCCCCATTTTACATAATAGGAAACTGAGGCATGAAGAGGTTAAGTCACTTGCCCAGGGTCACATGGTAAGAAGAGATCTGGGCTTCACACTCACACCGTCAACTGCTATATTCTGCTCTGTCATGGTGAGAAAGTTCTTCTCTGTGTTTAACTTTTCCCTCTCCTGCTGTGGCCAGAGTCCAATCCCTCTTTCTGACTTCAGAGGAGTCCAGGAGTCCATGAGCAGAATCAAGGAAGGGATTCCAGGATTCCACCCTCGTGCTGCTTTCCCTTCATCTCTCCTCTTCCCACATACACTCCCTGGGGACCTCCTTCACCTGAGATTTCAGTTATCACCTCTCTATTGATAATTCCCAAAGCCATCACATTCCAGAAGCTTTGCCTGCATCTGGACTGCCTACAATGACCATGTGAGCACCTGTTCTGAGCTAGGGACTTTGCTGGTTTATCATGGATATGCTCAGCATCCCTGTAAGGTGGGCCCTGTCCCTGACTTACAGATGGGAAGCTGGGGCCCAGAAGCAAGCAGCAAGCAGCAGAGCCAGAGTCCAGGCCGCTCCCATCTGGTTTCAGAGCCTGTGTCCTCCCTGCACCTGCTGCCTCTGGGCTCTGCCCCCTGGATGGGTCACTAATGTCACCAAGCAGGTCTCAGTGACCCTTGATAACATGCATGTGCCCTGAATTTCCAAGTTCAGTCCTTGTCCTGCAACTCAGCCAGGCAAGTCTCTGCTGAGCTGCTCTGTCCCCTTGGAGGCAGGCAACCTTCTCCAATTATTGGCTCTTCGATCATCCCTTTGTTTCCCAAAAGAGGTGGGGCCCTTCTGTCCTGCAGGGAGGGCAGAGGGAAGATGCAGAGGGCTGGAGATTTGACGGATGAGAAAGTGGGGATGGAGCTTGGATTGATGACAGAAAAGTGGAGGAAAACAAGCAGTGTTTTTATTATAGATGTGTGTTTATTTAAACTCAGATGGATTTCTGTGTTAGTCCATTTGTGCTGCTCTAACAAGACCATAGACTGGGTCATGTATAAAGAACAGAAACTGGTTTTTCACGGTTCTGTAGGCTGGGAAGTCCAAGGGTAAGGCACAGGCAGATTTGTTGCCTGGCGAGGGCTGCTGTCTACTTCCAAGATGATTCCTTGTGGCTGTGTTCTACGGAAGGGACAAACGCTGTGTCTTCACTTGGTGGAAGGGATGAAAGTGGGGGAAGAGATCTCAGAAGCCTCTTTTACCAAGGGCATCAATTCCATTCATGACGGTGGAGCCCTCATGACCTGATCACCTCCCAAATGCCCCATCTTCTAACACTGTCTCCTTGATGATTAGGTTTCAATGTATGAATTTTGGAGGAACATATATATTCAAGGCATGGCAATTTCCAAGTCAGCCAAGACTTCTGGTGTCAGGAGTGAAGGGGTAGAGTGAAGTCAGGAGCTTGGGGGATGTGACTGCCTGGCTGCAGGGAGGAGATGGGGAAGTGCAGCAGTGAATGCTGGGCCTGTATCAGCCCATGCAGTTCTAGGAGCCCAGTGTATGTGTGTTGGGGGCTGAGGATTTTTCAGGGGACAAACATATATTGAGCACCTATTGTGTGCCAGGCCCTGCAGATGCAGCAGGAAACAAGGGAGTGAGGCCCTGTCCTCTTGAAGTACACGTGGCTGGACATTTTCTGCCCTCTCCTACTGCCCAGCCCCCAAAGAGTGGCCTACCTCTCTCTTTACTCCCACCTGGAGTGTTGATATTGGGGCAGTATCCTGTCCTGGAAAGGGCTGAGTTCCAGCCCCTGCTCTGTTGTCACTGTGCTCTGTGACTTCAGGCAAGCGTCGTTACCTCTCTGGATCTGAGTTTTCTCACCAATAAATTGAGAGACACTTCTTTGCCTGCCTGAGCCTGCGCCCCTCAAATCTCCACTGCTGATTGACCTCAATCCCTCCTGCAGAAGGGAGCCAGCCATATGTGACCATTGCTCTCATCTTAACTTACAACCATCAGTTACAACAGGTGAAACCAATACTTAAGTCGTCTGGCATTCGGCAGAGCAAGATTCCCTCCTATTCCCTGCCTGCAACTGGACCTATTGGCTTTATTGCTGCCCCATGACTGGAGGCTGGGGGAGAATGAATGGGCAGCCCTTGCAGAGACTGTGGCCTCCCCCAGGGAGTGTATTGACCCTTGCAAAGTGCAAACTTTGAGCCTCTATTGGAAATCAAGTGCAGAGAGCATGGATGGGGGAACTCAGAGGCAAACCTATCCTGGAGAGGTCAGGAGAAGAGTGTACTGAGCCTTAGCCTTAGATGGAGGGTGGAGGGGAACTCTCAGCTCTGTCTCCTTCTGGCCACCCTTGGGCAAGCCCATCACCCAGAAGATTGGAGATGGTAGGGTCTGCTGCTCTCTGAGAGTACCCATGCTGGGCATCCCTGGAGGGATCCTTCTGGGCCTTGAGGTCTCTCAAGCCCCTTGAACTCATACCCCATTGCCATGTAGTGCAGAAAGCAGGGGAAATTGTGCCTCTTCACTAGTAAAGGTCAACATCACCATGAAGCAAATGGCCTCTGACTGCTTGGGTACATGAGCTGCCACCAACCCAGGGCAGGCAGGGGTCTGGAAGGCCAAACCCCTGAAAAGGAGGCTCCTGAGTCCTGGGTGTTTCCAAGCCTCTTGGTATCCTCTGAGACCCAGGAAAGGGACAACACGTGGAGGAACAGCAAGGGGAGAGTAGCCTGAGGATCTGGGATCGGGGACCACAGAAGGGCTGGTTCCTGCTTCTCTGCCTCCTGCCAAGTCATTGGACAAATGCTTTAGTATGCATCTGTCGTGTGCCAGGTACTGGGTGTGAAGCAGGTTTGCTATGTGTTGGTTACCAACTTGTTTGAGTCTGGTGAGACAGAACAAGCCCAGACACAACTTACACAAAGGAGGTGTATTCCTTACAGATAGGCAGCAAGGGACAACAGAAGCTTAGGATTCATTGTGAGCTGCTTCCCCCAGACTCAAGAAAGCTGCCCAGGGTGGGTGGAATCTCATCTGTGCAGGCCTTACTAGCACTGCTGCTGAGGGATCCTGGAAAGCCTCCTATTCTGGGTTTCATACCTTGGAGTGACAGGACTTGCTGAGCCCCAGCAGTGAAGGACATCCTGTTTTTGAAGGAGCTGGAACAGAGCTGGCTGTTCTGGCCAGTCCCTCTGTGTCTCAGGATGTTGTATTCTCAGCACATCCTACAGTTATTCCTGAGAACTACAAGTGAGAAAGGGAGGATGGGTTTGTCCAAGAACACTCAGAGAACTGTCCTGCACTGAGCCTTCTGCTGGGGATAGACCTGGGACTGAGACAGATCCAGGACCTGCAGCTGTGGAAATGACAGTCCAGGGAGGGTCAAACATGGCTCCAACATAGCACAGGAGCAGGGGAGTTGCAGCTGGGAGCAGGGCACTGAAGGAGGAGACTATTGCATTATGGGGATGGATAATTAGGGGTGGGCATCAGGTGTCACTTGTGGTTTTCTGCCTTGATACTCACCCTCCATTACTACCCACCACCACCATTATCACCATCCCCAGCACCACCACCATCACCACCACCACCATCACCGTCACACACCACCATCACCATCACCACCACTATCACCATCACCAGTACCACAACCACCACCATCACCACCACCATCATCACCACCACCACCATCACCACCACCACCATGACCACTACCAACATCACCACCACCACCATCACCACCACCACCACCAACATCACCACCACCACCACCAACATCACCATCACCACCACCACCATCACCACCAACATCACCACCACCACCATCACCACCATCACCACCAACACCACCATCACCACCACCACCATCACCACCACCATCACCACCATCACCACCACCACCACCATCACCACTACCACCACCACCACCACCACCACCATCACCACCATCACCATCACCACTACCACCATCACCATCACCACCACCACCACCATCACCACCACCATCACTACCACCACCACCACCATCACCACCACCATCACCACCATCACCACCACCACCACCACCACCACCATCACCACTACCAACATCACCACCATCACCACTACCACCACCACCACTACCAACATCACCACCATCACTACCACCACCACCACCATCACCACTACCAGCATCACCAACATCACCATCACCACGACAACCATCACCACCATCACTGTCACTACCACCACCATCACCACAATCATCGCCACTACCACCATCATCAGAACCACCACCATCACCACCACAACCATCACCACCACCACCATCACCACCACCATCACTGGCATTACCATGGCCATCATCATGTTTATCATCACCACCTCCATCATCATCATTGTCATCACAGCTCCACTCCCCCCGACTCCCAATCAAGCTCGTGGCCCAGGCACTGTGCAGTGAAGGGCTGTGTGACAAGACCTCATTACCAACCCTCCCCCAACAACTCCAAGAGGCAGGTCCTACCATTCTCTCCTCCCAGGAGAGGAATGGTACAAGGAGGTGAAGGAAGTGCCTGGGTCCCTGTTTAATAGTTGGAGGGCCCAGAGGTGGCTCCAAGCCTCCATACCCCAATGCAGAGCTCCCTCCACCATGACACGGCCTCTCATGGCCTCCCTCTGGGGTTCCGCAGATGTTGGCCATGATGATGGCCCCACCTCAGGAGGAGAAAGAAGGATTCTTGGGGCTGGAGACTCAGCCCAGGGCTCCCCTCCCAGCTACATCACCCTGCCTGGCTGGGCCCTTGGACACTTTGTTCAGGGTGTGTGGAGGGTGAGTGAGAGGACACCCAGGGAGCTCCCAGCTCACATGAGCACTTGGCTAAGAGTCTCTGCCTTCATTGAGGCCTGGCCTGAGCTCCACCCATTTCCTTTCCTGTAACTCTCATTCTGTCTGACCCCTGCTCAGCCTCCCCCTCAGCCTCTTCTTGGCCTTCATCTTAGATGAGGCCCTGCCTGTGCTCCCAGGACCATCCAAGTTCCTCTGGTCACACAGAGGACATTTCCATCCTAGACCCAGACCCAGGGCCCTCACCGAGTGGCCTCCAGAGCCCGGCTCCCCCGAAGCCCCTTCCATGGGAGGTTGGATGAAAGCCCACTCCTCAGGCTCTCCCAGCCCAGCAGTGACAGCTGAGTGACAGGCAGATGCCTTCTCCTGCTCCCCTCAAAGGGGATGGCCCCATTAATATGGATCCCTATTTGTGGTCATGGAATTCTAAACTCTATTTTTCCCACTGAATAGTTTCTTCTAGTTTAAGCAGATAAAAATGGACACAGAGAACTAGCCTGGAGAAAATCAATAAGTAATAAAAGTTAACATGAGAGCAAATGAATGAATGAGCAGAAGGGGCCAAGAAAATGTCTGCAGGTGAGAGGTCTGGATCCTGGTGCAGAAACTACCTGTTGAGTGTGCTGGGTGGGGGGTGGGGTGGGTTAGACCTGGGAACTCTGCCCACTGCCCACTGGATCCACGATCTCCTCAGAACCCCCTCAAGCCGAGGCAGGGGTGGAAGGAGCTGGATTAGAAGCCCATGTGTCCTGGGATACTGCTCTCAACATATTCATTCATCTATTCAGCAGCCATATGCTGAGCACCTACTATGTGCCAGGACAACCTAGCACAGTGGTGAAGAGCATGAGCTCTGACTCACACCACTCTTCAGTGGTGAAGAGCGTGAGATGTGACTACCTGGGTTCACATCTCATCTCTGCCACTTGCCTGCTGTGTGAGCCAGGGCCAGTGACTTGACATCTCTGTGCCCAGGTTTTCACATTTGCCAAGTGGTGGATATTAATATTAGTACTTACCTCATAGGAATATAATAAGAATTGAGGGAGATAATTGATGCAAGTTGCTTAGATAGATGTCTACACATAAGCTCTTGATAAATGTTAGTTATTTTAATGTACTAGGCTCTGTACTGAATAAGACAGGCTCAGTCCCTCCCCTCATAGAGGAAAGAAGAGGAAACGAAGCTCAAGGAGGCGAAGGACTTGTCTGGGATCGATATTTAGTAAGAAGACTCAGAAGTGGCCCAGGTCTCTACACCCCAGCACTGTGCCCCCTCTGCTGGCATGACCTCCCAGGACCTCCCTCTGGGGCTTCCACAAAGGTTTAACAACTTTGTGGTAGGCACCACCAACTCTATTTTAACAGACAAAGCAATTGCATTTAGAGCAATGTAGAGAGGTTGCACAGGCTAACTGTCTGACATCCTGTGTCTGTCAGAGTAAGGACTGCCTGCTAGTCTGTCGGAGTAAGGACTTGAACTCAGGCCTGTCTGTACCAGTTACAACTGTGTTTAATTGCAAGCAACAGATAATCTGGCAAACAGTGGCTTGAAAAATTAGAGGTTTGTTTCTTTCACCTGAAAAGAGGTCCAGATGTGGGAGATAGTGGCCCTGGCTAAGCTGTTTGTGATGCCAGGTAGGGATCAGCCTCCTTCTGCTCTGCCATCTTCAGTAGATGTGGCTTCTTGTGCTGGGGTTTGTCGCTTCATGGTCATGAAAGAGCTGCTACAGCTCCAGACATCGTGTCTGGATAGCAGGCAGGAGAAAGGGTTTGGGCGAAGGGCAAGAGAGTTGTACCAATTGAATCTATGCCTTTTATTCAGAAAAGGAATCTTCTCTAGAAGCCTCACCTGAAAGAGATTCGATTCTATTTCACCAGGTGGAACATAGTAACTCCTGGACCAATCCCTGGCCAAGGAGATGAGATTACCATGGCTGGATGAGAACGACCAAGTCACCCCCAAAGCTGAGTTGGAACTACCCTCTCCAGTAGCAGGGAATCCCTGCCAATGCCAACCGCAGCCTCAACAGATAGGAGACAATTGGTGCTGGCCACACAGTGTGACCACTGGGACCCGCTGCCCCTCCACACTCTGCCAGCTTGATGTTCTTTGTGCCTCTGTCAATGTGCCCTGAAGCCCCTGACTGGGCCAGGCCTGAAGCCAGGTCCAGGGGCTACAGGAGTGAGTGAGATGCGCCTCTGCCCTCAGGTGGCTCCCAGTCAGATGTGGGAGGCAATGGGGAAATGGGTGGTCCATTTAGGTGGTCAGTCCTATGATGAGAAGGGAACAGACGGCTGTGGAGCACAGAGGAAGGAAGCCCCTCTTGGCATGGGACAGTCAGGGAGATCCCTGTGGAGACATGGAGGCTCGGGGGCGGGGGTGGGGTCAGTGAGGAGGAAGGGGCTTTCAGGGCAGAAGGAAGAGTTCCTGCAAATGTCCGAGAGAGCAAGTGAGTGAGACACTAGCAGAATGGCAAGCAGGTCCCTGAGGCTCCTGTAGGTTGGGGGAGTGGGAGCTGGCCAAGGATTGAGAAGACCCCATGGGACCTCAGAAGCCAAGAGGAGGGGTTTGACCTTGACCCTGAGTGCAGTGGGGAGTCCCAAGGAGGCCTTGGAAGACTCTGGGGTGCACATTTTAGAAAGATCGCTATGCTGCTACATGGAGAGAGGCCTGGCAGTGGAGGGTGGAGGAAAGGGTGGGCTGGGGAGGGGTGGAGGGAAGGGTGGGCTGGGGAGGGGTGGAGGGAAGGGTGGGCTGGGGGAGGAGTGGAGGGAAGGGTGGGCTGGGGGAGGGGTGGAGGGAAGGGTGGGCTGGGGGAGGGGTGGAGTGTCGGGTGGGCTGGGGGAGGAGTGGAGGGAAGGGTGGGCTGGGGGAGGAGTGGAGGGAAGGGTGGGCTGGGGGAGGGGTGGAGGGAAGGGTGGGCTGAGGGAGGGGTGGAGTGTCGGGTGGGCTGGGGGAGGAGTGGAGGGAAGGGTGGGCTGGGGGAGGAGTGGAGGGAAGGGTGGGCTGGGAGAGGGGTGGAGTGTCAGGTGGGCTGGGGGAGGAGTGGAGGGAAGGGTGGGCTGGGAGAGGGGTGGAGTGTCAGGTGGGCTGGGGGAGGAGTGGAGGGAAGGGTGGGCTGGGGGAGGGGTGGAGTGTCGGGTGGGCTGGGGGAGGAGTGGAGGGAAGGGTGGGCTGAGGGAGGGGTGGAGTATCAGGTGGGCTGGGAGATGGGTGGAGTGGAGGCTGAGCTGAGGGAGGAGAGGAGGGAAGGGTGGGCTGGGGGAGGGGTGGAGTGGAGGGTGGGCTTGGGGAGGGGTGGAGGGAAGGGTGGGCTGAGGGAGGGGTGGAGTGGAGAGTGGGATGGGGCAGAGGTGAAATGTAAGGGGGGCTGTGGGGGAGGGGGTGAGGGGAGGGAGAGCTGTAGGGAGAGATGGGTGAGGGGTCGGCCCGGGGGAGGTGGAGCCTGGGCTGTGAGGAGGTCTTGGTGTTCACCATGGCCTGTGTGACAGTTCTGGGGACCAAGGTGTGGGCAGCCAGGATGAGAGAAGGGCCTGGCACCAAGCTGGTGATCATTTGGCTGTGGGTGGTGGAGGGTGGGGAGGTGGGGGGTGACATGGTGCAGACCTTGGGGCTTGGCACGCGGGTGGGCGCTCAGTGACATGTAGGAATGGGGGCGTCACTTAGAGGCCGAGCTTCCCCAGTGCAGTTCTCTCTCAAGTGACCCAGCTCATGTCCTAACAGGTCTGACATCAGAGGAACAGCCCTGGGGGCTGGGCAGGGGCAGGGCCTTCTGTCCTCTGGGGGACGCAGCCCAGAGCAGCTCTGCCCCTCCATCCCCTGACAGCTTCCCTCCAGCTTTGGCTGCAGATGTTCCCATCCCATGTTGTCCCTGATGTCTCACCCCTCCCCGCTAGTCTGTCAGAGTAAGGACTTGAACTCAGGTCTGTCTGTATCAGTTACAACTGTGTTTAATTGCAAGCACTAGATAATCTGGCAAATGGTGGCTTGAAAGCTTAGAGGTTTGTTTCTTTCACCTGAAAAGAGGTCCAAATGTGGACCTCTTTTAACCCTCCATCGGATCTGATGACCTTTACAATGGCCGAGGATTGGCCACCCTGGGAGAATAACCACAGCTGAATCCACAGGGCCTCAACTATCAGGCCCTGAACTAGGCAAATCACAGAGCCCTGTGAGGTAGGTGCTGTTACTGTCCACAGTGTACCAATGAGGAAACTGAGGCACAAAGAGGTTAAGTCACTTGCCCAAGGTCACACTGCTCATATGTCATGTACCAACCTCCTCACACCCAAACTCCCTCCCCACAGCTGGTGAAAGGCCCCTGTGATGACATTGTCCTTGCCTTATTACGAAGAAGAGGAAGCTGAGGTCCAGAGAGGGCAAGTGACTTGTCCAAGGTCACACAGCACATCAGTGGCCAAGCCAGACCTCTTGATTCTTGCCCAGGCCTCCACCTGCAGGCCGCTCTGGCCACCTCCTTCTCCATCCCTGGCGGGGAAGAGACCCAAAGGCTGGAGGAGGCTTGGCACAGAGGCCCAGGCAGCTCTGGAGGGCGCCATGAAGATGGGCCGTGCCCACAGCCACCAGCAAACCGCCGAGAGACCCTGTGCTCCCTCCTGCCCACCACACACGGCACAGAAACACATCCTGTGAAAACGAAGGTTGGCTCGAAGTAAACAGGTTAGTAATGGTTATTGCCAACGCTTTATTAATTGTCTTGAATACATTTAAAGCTGGGCATTTAATTTAGATTTATAGGGATAATTTAGATTTATAAGACTAGTTAATATGCATTAAATACAGAAAATGCCTGTTGATTTTCATGGACAACATTTATTGAAGAGTATAAAAGAAAACTATGGAATATTTAATTACTTTGAATTAGTCTGAGAGCTGACAGGGAAGGTAGGAGGGTGGAGTGCCTCATCTCACAAGGCGTGGGCTTCTCTTGGGTGTCCTAATTCCATCCTCCCCTTGATAGTTATTTAAGAGAACACAGCTGCCCCAGCACGGAGGCGGCTCACACTTAGAGATGATGCCCTGGGCTGTGACCGAGGTGGCGTCAGGGATGCTGGGCATGTGGGGCCAGAGTGTCACTGTGGGGTGAGCTGGGAGTCTGGGGCCCTGGGGTCCTGTCCCAGCTCTGGCGCTGCCTGGAAGGTGACCTGGGGGAACTCCCCTCTCCTCTGGGAACTTTTGTCTCCAGAGTTCAGAACGAGGAGGGCTTAGGACGGGGCATGGGTGGGCTGTGGGGTGAGAGAGGTGTGGGTGGATGCCCCTGCCCTGCTGGTGCTCACGTGTGGGGGACCTGGTCCAGCTGCGCAGGGATGACCATCTGCTGATGGATGCTATGGCTGTGACTTCCCCATGCTTCTTGCTCTACCACAACCCCGCTGCGGTCCTGGGACCTCTGCTCTCACAATTCTGAGGAGGCCACATTTGCAAGGCCATGGGGCTCTGTGGGCACCATGCTGAGAAGCACCCCACGAAGAGAAATAAGACAGTGAGGGCTCAGAACAGGGCCTGGAGCAGTTCACGGTTTAGTGAGAAGATGAGACGCCAGGCTCCAGAAGCGGGATACAAAGACAAGGTTGTGAGTTCAACTTGTAGTATAATTTTGCAACCCATGGAATTAAATGTGGGGCCTGATTTCTAGCTGTGTCTTCCTTGTGACTGCATGAGTAAGACATTTCTTTAGGGCATCATAGAAAAGCTATGATTTTCTGGCTATGTTTGAATGGCACGTGTTGGCACAGTGTCTCACTTGCCCGGCTCCCAGCAGCTGACCCGAGGAGCCAGGTGCCCCCCAGGGATGCACCAGGCTGTCTACCTGCTGGGCTTTGGGCTGCACACCCCAGGCTAAAGTCTCAGCACCTCTTGTCACTAAATAATGTGCCCTGGGTTCCACAGTTAATCTCACTGACAGTCAGGTCTCCCATGTCCCATACTGGAGCTGAGGACACCTGCCTTTCAGGCTGCTGTGAGGACGAGATGAGAAAGCATCATCTTCCCATCGCCAAAGCCATCATTTCTTGACCATGGTGCTGATGATCCCTGTGCCCTTTCTCTGAATCCCCCAGAGGAGATAGGTACTGTCATGGTCCCCCTTTGGCTGATGGGGAAATGGGATAGTCTGCTAGGTCAGTAGCACACCCAGGTCCCAAGCTATGAGTGGCAAGGCCAAGGCACGTAGCTGAGCTCCTGCAGCTCTGTGCATTCATCCACTGCCTATGCACCATCCCGCCCCCCAGCCCAGTCCTCCTGCAAAGATGACACACCCATTGTGAAGGGGGCTGGTGCTGACAGAGTGGAAGGCAGAGCTTTTGGACGAATAAGTGGTGGATCAGGCCAGTGCCGGTCACATGCAGCTTTTATGACTGCCCTTGCTTAGCACATAGACCAGAGGGACAGGCAATCTGGTTATACATGTTGAAATATTGCTTGACGGTCCCTCTGTGAGGGGACAGATTGTCCTGACATATTGGCCTGGAGGGAGGGAGAGACAGAGAGAGAGAGAGAAAGAATGTGCACAGACTCTCATGTCAGGACATGGTGAGTGTGGAAATGAGCTGCTTTTGTAGGACTACAGTGTCCAAGGGCATTTTGAAAAACAAGATCCCTTCCCTGGCAGAGACAGGAGGGCACTTCCAGGTGTGGGGCCTGCAGAACACAGGGGCTCCTGCAGAGTGTGTGGGCAGGGAGATGCCGTGGGGGCAGCAGGAATGACTGAGTCCAGATGCAGGACGGCCTTTGGTGAGCAAAGGAGAAACACGTGCTCCTGGGAACCTGCTGCCCTCTTCTCAGTGTGGTCCTGGGACCAGGTCTATTCTGACAAATGAGCCAAGCAAATCAGCCCAGCTCAAAGGCAGAAGTCAGGAGGAGGCCAGAAGGATGGCTCTGCCTTTCTCTCCCACTCCAAGGCTCCACAGTGTTCAAAGGGTGTAGGGACAGATTCTGTTAGCTGACCACATAGTGGCCTATGCCTGCCTATAGGTGTGAGGGATGGGACAGGAGCTTGGGGAAACTTTCTGCTTATCCCTTGCCCTCAGAGACCGTCTCTGGGTCACCTGATACGCACCCCAACTCCTCCTTCATGTGTTCATTCAATAATCATTTGTTCGTCTGACTCCATGCCCAGTTTGTGGGGGTCCTGAGGACGACATGAATGGACCTGGTTCCAGCTCTTAGGAGATCCCAGACTGATGTGGAGAATGAGAAACAGATGTAAACAGATACTGGAGGTGCTGCGATGGCTCTTCACCACACAACAGCGTGAGGAAGAGCCAGCACTGCACCCCAACATGTATTGAGCACTTAATATGTGCCAGGAACCAGGCCTCGTCTTTTTACAGGAAGGGAAGTCCTGTCCCAGGACTAGTGAGCCCACAGTGGGGTAGTGTCCTCCCGGTTCCACTCCTGCCCTGCCAAAGCCAGCCAGGGATAATGCAACTGGCTGCTTCCTCCATGTCTGTGCTAGGTCTCCAGCAACTACTGAAAACGCTGCATGCCAAGGAGGACAGGTACCATCACCAGGGCACAGGTGCCACCCGTGGCTGTCACCAGTGTCACCGAGCCCTCCTGTGACTTTCCCTTTCTCCCCTAGAACTATTCCAGGCCTCTGTCCTTCTCAACTCCTGCATCCAACCCCAGTCCTGCCACTCCCTGCAGGTTGCCTTCACCCCTTCAGTACTGGGAAATAGAGGCCATAGGGCACTCACCCCACCTTTTGTGATCTGTGTCGTCTCCCAGCTCAGGCACCTTTGGCTCAGGTACTCAGGTCAGTACTTCCCAATGGGCTCCGTCTCATTCTGCCTCTGTAGACCAAGTTGACCATGCCTTCTCTCTCTCTCTCTCTCTCACACACACACTCTCTCTCTCTCTCTCTCCATTTTTTCAGTTTCTTTAGCTCCACCACTTCGCACTTTCCTGTTTACAAGCTACTCAGACTTTTCCCACCCTTGACCTTAAAATAAATTCTCTTCATACCCCTCAGCCCCTTGAGCCACTGCTTTCTTGCCTTATCAGCAGCCACTATTTGAAGGAATTGCCTTGGTTCTCTCTTTTCATTTTGTGACTTCCTGTTTCAGCTTCCTGGATAACCCATTCCCCATGCACTTCATCTGACATATGCTGACTCATTCCTCCAGACCCAGCTCAAATGTTGCCTCTTTTGGGACAGTGCAGCAGATGCTGTTGCTACCGCATGCCCGTGACCCATCCTGGGTTGTCCTGAAGTGGTGTCAGTTCCTGGCACCCTGGCAGCACCCCTGCTTGCATGTATCATCTCTTCTCTGCCCGTGGGCTTTCTCTGGCACCATGGAAGCTCACCTGGGAGCAGGCACAGTGTTCCTGCATGGAGGACCCAACATAGGCCAGGAGCAATCCCCTAATGATGGAGATGAGTGTCAATGGGTAAAAAGACCCCAGCCTCCCCAACCTCTAAGAGGCATTTCTGATGTGTGCTCCACACGATTCCTCAGAGGTCCCCAGTGGGATGAGCCCAGCTGCTGTCAGTGGTCAGTCAGCATCGATCAACCTTCCCTTTGTTGGCTTTGCTCCTTTCCTGAATCATTCTTTGCACCTCTTCACTGTGCTCCCTGGAATCACCTCCTGAATAAACAACCAGGACCCAAGTGCTTTTCTGAGTCTGTCTTGGGGCCACCCATCTAGGGTAGATGCCTGCTCTACCCAACCTTCAAAGGAGTGAAGTGCTGCCTCCTCCTCCTCCTCCTCTCTGATGCCCACTAGGGAACTTCTTGTGCCAGAATTTTTATGTCCTGTGCAAGACTGCAAGCATCTTGGTGAAGTCTGGTTATTATGATCTTTGTATTCTCATCACCAAGTAGAATGCCCTGGAAAAGAGATGGCTATAAAGTGTTTGTTGAGAGAGTAAGAAAGTGAATGATTGAACACATGAATAAGAAACGAGTCCACAGGGTATCTACGCTATCTGCCCAGATTCTGTGAGGCAAGTTATATGAAGGCATCTGATCCTCTCAAAGCCAAACTTCACCAACACCAGAAGGTCTACACTTGCATACCCAGGCCAGTCTTGGAGGCCCTTTGCTCTGCACACCAAGCCTCCACCCTTTCTCCATGAAACAGTGTGCTCTGTGCAGCACATGGCATCTTCCTTCCAGGAGAATTCCTCAGAGTGCTGAGCCTCTTGGTGGGAGATTCCAACTCCAGTTAAATAAAAGCTAGAGGGGCGCAGTGAAAAGCTATGATAATCTGGATAATCGAATGCCCACCTCTCCAGAGATGTCATGTTAGAGGGATGGGTTTGTTTTTAGCTGGACTTGTGGGCTTATCCAGAAGCACCATCTATTTGCAGCTAATGAGAATAGCACCAGGGAATAATCATTTCCATAAATCAGTTTATTTGGCTCAAATGGATCCATGGATCAAGGTCTCTGGAGGAGCAATGAAAGTCGTTGTTGGGGAGTTGAAGTGGCTGCTTGAAAGCTGAGGTTGGCTGAGTTGTGTAGCCCATGTAGGCTTTTATTCCCTGGGGAGGGATGGGACACTGAGCATGCCCAGGATGCCTGGGACATTCAAATGCAGCATCCTTGTCCCACAAACAATCATTTTACCACAAGAAAAAAGGCTTTCAGAAGTGGCAGAATGACCCAAGGTTACACTGTAAGTTGGTGGTGGGAGTCGGAGTCTTAATGTAGATGACTCCACCCCTGATTTCTCTGCAGGGCAGGCAGGGTGGGGACTACACTGAAATCCAAGAAACATTCTGGACTGGTTTAGAGGATTTTGCCTGACACTATGTTAAAGACACTGGCCTGGGAATTAGAGAATTTGGAATCTGGTTTTGGCTCCGCCCTTCACTTGCTGTGTGACATTGGGCAAATCTATTTCCTTCGCTGGGCTTCAGTTTCTCTATCTGTACAATGAAAAAGTTGGTGACCTTTAAAGGGATTCTTTGTTTCAGAAATCTATGGCACTCTGGACCTCAGTTTCCCCGTATTTTAAGTGGGTACAATGCTGGGCTATCTAGGATGCTATGAGTATTTTGTGAAGTCCAGAAGCTCCTTAGCACAGCTGGATGGAAGTAAACAATGGAACAGTATTATCATCACTCATCTACAGTGAGGTGGTACTGAAGCTAGTTGCCTATATAAGCTGCTAGGTGGAGTGAGGAGCTGCTAGGTGGAGTGAGGAAAAAACCAATGTGTCACTCCCATCATCCCTGTCCACAAAGTCAAGCAGTTTTCACAGTGGGGGAGGGTCCTTCGGGTAAGCTGGGGGTGGGTCTCTGAGGCCAGGTCCCTTTTGCTGTTCCACACGTGAGTTGGAAGCTCAGGCCTCAGGCTTCCAGCACAAAAACCTTAGAAGTATGGGTTGTGAGCAAAGAGCAAGGTACAGAAGGAAAATGAGAAAGAGTGGGGGTCAGGGGAGAGGCGGGGAGAGGACAGGTTTCTATCTTTAGTACAAAATGTCAAAAGCATGGGCTCTAGAAATGGAGAAACCTGAAATCAAAGGCTGGCTTCATTACTCACTAATTCAGTGACTAATTCAGAGATAGTTACCCAGTTCTAATTCTGTTTTCATATTCATAAAATGGAAATGAGAATGGCATCACTTTTTTTCTTTTTAAGAGATAGGATCTTGCTCTGTTGCTTAGACTGGAGTGCAGTGGCATGACCATAGCTCACTGCAGCCTTGACCTCCTGGACTCAGGGGATCCTCCTGCCTTAGCCTCCCGAGTAGTTAGGACTTCAGGTGCTCATCACCACATGTGGCGAATTTTTATTTTTTTGTAGAGATGGGGTTTTGCTATGTTGCCCAGGTTGGTCTCCAACTCCTGGCCTAAACAGTACTCCCGCCTTGGCCTCCCAAAGTGCTGGGATTACAAGTGTGAGCCATTGTGCCCTGCCAGAATGGCACATTTCTCTGAGTGTAATGCTGGCACTTAGCTCTCCACTAGTCCAGTTTAAGTTCTCAATACTCAGTAGCCAGCAGTAGCAGCAGCAAAGTATGTAGAGTTGTTGCATATCTACAAAGCGATGTGTCCTTTGGGGTTGGGGGCACTGCAGAATATCTTCCTTGCTGACCATAAGGACAGAAAGACAATGGGAGTTTTTTTTTTTTTTTTCTGCAGAGAAATATACAAGTTTGCCCAAGAGGAGAGAGGCCGGAGAGGCAGTCAGACCCAGGCCTGACATGTGAAGGAGTGAAGCTAATGACTTTTTTATTACATTAATGAGAGCAGGAATTATTTGCATCTGCCTGACAGTAATTACATTAGTGTGGAGTTCATGTACTACATTAGTTGTGAGTTCATATACTACTGATAATTATAATGATTATTATAGTAAGGAGCCAAAGGTAAAAGGTAAAAGTTCATGTCAATAGATCAATCAGGAAGAAATGTAAATGAAGAACCATGAGCAAATTACTGTCACATGTATAAACAATGGGTGTGACCATTAAGTATCTGGAGAGGAGATTCACAGTGATGGGGCACTGACTGTGGCAGCCACCCTGGGGCACTCACAGGGGTTGTTTATATTCCTTCCTGGAATTTTACGACTGCTGAGTTGGGAAGATTCAATATCAAATGAGGAGCAGTAGGTTAAACAACATCCCTCAAGTCCCACAATGGGAAAGTAGAGAAGCCTGGACTCCAACCCAGCTCTGCCTGAAGCCAAGGCTCTGAACACTCATCAGAGTGGGCCAACACCATGTCTGCAGTCTGGACCTTCCCAGGCCCAGCAAGATTGGGAGACAGAGCTACCCAGGACCAAGGGGTATAGATGCATGAGGTGTGGGGACCTTTTCTTCAGTGCTGATGGTCTGGACAGGAGTTATAACCAGAGACCATGTCTGCAAGGCCAGGAGGCTGGAAATGATCAAACATATTTCCATGGGATGTTGCAGTAGCCTTAGATCATGGAGTGTATTGGCTGGAAAAGCCTTTAGGAACCATCTGGTGCAGCACCCTTATTTTAAAGGTGAGGAAACTGATATTCGAGGAGGGTGACTTGCCCAAGTTCATAGTTGAGCCAATGCTAAGAGAGGGAGACTTGAACCCTGGGTTTTACCCCTCCCTGTTTCCCCACAACTGCCTAATGACTTTCTCTACCTGTTTGTAAGGATTCGGTGGCCTTGAAAAGAGCTGCCTAGATACAGTAGGTTTGGCCAGGTGAATTTTCTGTGAACTGGACTTTGCCTTAGTGCCATCAGTTGAAAGTCACCAGGTTCCCCTTTCTGATCCACTCATGCTGTTTCCTGGAGAGCCTTCTCCAAGAAGGCAGGCTCTGTCCATGGTGCTGAATGGAATCCTTCTATTTCAACAAATGAGTACCGGCCTTAAAGTCCAGCCCATCTCTGTTCTTCCCCTGAGCCCTCCCCCTCCACTGCCCTCACCTACTCCAACCCTAAATGATGTTGCTGTTTGGGGTCTCTGGGCTATGTGATCCAAGTGAGTTTTCTATCTCTGATGAGCTCCGGCTACTGCTCCCTTACCAAGAGCATCAATGAGGGTTCCCTCAGCAACCTGTTAAATGCTTGTTGCCATAAGAGCCTTTATCAATCTTCAGTTAGTTTTGCTTTACCATGGATCCAGCTCATTTCTTTAGTAAAGCAGTGTAGGAGCTTTAATAATATTTTCCCAGAGAAGGGCCGAGGTCAGAATTAACGCCCCAAGGGGTCTAGTAATGAGGGAAGGAAACCATACATAATGAATTATGTGCCAGGTGATATGGTAGATGGTATTCATATGTTATGCATAATTAATCCCATTTCACAAATGTAAGAACAGATTCAGAGAAGTTTGGGTACTTGCCTGAGATCTCCCAGCTCATATATGCAGAGACAATATACAAGCCTCTCCACTGCCTCCCTTCCCTGGAAAGCTGTTGGATTTGGCTGTGGAAGACACACAACTTGCTCCTTGAGGCCTGAGGACTGTGTTCTTCCTAATTCCATGTGCCCAGGTCACCGAGTGAGCAGCGGGACCCCAGCAGCCAGAAAGAAGAGCCCACTCTGACATGTCTATATTTCTACTTGAAATTTTAGGACTGCTGAGTTGGGAAGATTCTTTTAGAAATGAAACCTTAACCCAAGTCCAGCATCACCAAATCAGTCAAGGGAAATAGTCGATAGAGAGTTTGGGGCTTGCGGTTAGCAGGTCTGGAGTTTAGTCCTGACTTGACTGCTTCTTGGCTATCTGACCTCAGGCAAGTTACCTAACTTCTCTGAACCTCCTTAAAATGGTGTGGAAGGTTAAATGCAGCATCTACAAGACCTGGTCCCCAGCTTACTTCTGGAAACTTCCCTTTCTCCTCTTTCCAGTCCACCCACTTGGTCATTTCAGAATATACCATGACTGAATTAGGACTCACTCTCTGTACATAGTTGATTGGTTCAAATATGAGGTTCTGACCCAAGCAAATAGAACCTTCTGGGCATTTGAAGTTAGAATTGAAAAGGGTGAGTCTCCTCTTGCCCTGGTGGAGGATACTGAGCTTTTGTAAGCTTGGGAGTTAATGGCAGCCATGTTCCTGGGGTGGGTGGTTTGGGGGGGACTGTGGCAGGGAACACATGTCTGCAGGAAGAAAGCAAAGCAAAAGCAAGCAAAGCAAAAGCAAGCAAACAAAAACCACAAACAACAACGACAACAACAAAAACTTCTCATAGAGGGAAACTGAGCAAGAGGAAGAGGGCACTTCCTGTATTGGCCTCTCACCAACCCATCCCCAGCATGCATCTCAGCCCTTGGATTCCAAATGCTCCTCCGAAATCTGCACCTTTGTTGAGGTTAGCTAGAGTTGGCTGCCATTCCTTGAAATAAAAAAAAGCCTAATAAAATTAATATAAACATAAGTACTAAAGACCACAGTCCTAGGCAGGGCATTCAATGCCTTTTGCCCTCACTCAACAAAAACAATGATGCAATGCATCAGGCCTGCAAAGTCCCTGGGGGACCTTTCCTTTCCCCAACACCACCCTGTGCTTTTGGCATTACCTCTAACCAAATGTCTCTCCCCGCTTTGAAGACTTTCTGTCTAACCTCTGATCACACTCCAATGCCACTTCCTCAGGATGGTCTTCCAGGATTGCCTTGGCAGAGCCAGTCCCAGTCCTTTGTCCATGAGCTGCACATGATGGGTGTCACTGAGACACTGGACCTGGAGGCTCTGAGTCCCCAGTTCAGGTAGAGTACCCTGGCTGCCTTAGGCCCTTGAGCAGGTAAAGGATAAAAATAGTGGTGCCACCCTAGGCATAAGGTTTTGTGGGCCAGTCCCACTCCCTAGTGGGTCTCCCTGGTTCTCTGGGCCTCTGCTTCAGGGTCCCCAATACTCCACAGCCCCTGAATGCTTGGGTCTTGAGCCCCTGGGCCAAGCACTGAGGACAGACTTCATGCTGGTGGATCCCTTTTCCCCTCCTTCCATGTTCTGGGAGACCAGGGATCTGCCTTCACCTTGCCCACTTATGCCTGCGTCCTACTCTGAGTTGGTTTGCCTCTGCCCTCCATGTCCCTGACAGGCAAGAGTCCTGGAGAATGGGGGCCAAGGTGGTTTCTCCCAGGCCCTGTTCTATCATCCCCACCTTTGACTCCCTGTCCTGCAACTCCTAACACCACCCTGAACGGGGCCCAGAAACTGCTCAACTCCCAGTGCCCCTGGACAAATGAAAAGGAATGAGTGAATGAATGAGTGAGAGACTCCCACCCATAGGAGTCCATTTGTCCTTGGCTTGTTGGGTGGGACCTGCTCCCTGATGGGGGAGGTGAAAGCCACCTGGAGACCCAAGGTCATTGGGAACACACAGGCACCACTCAAGCCCACCTGTCTCCTAATAGGAGCTCACGGCAGCTGCTCAACATGTGATTGGCTGAACAAATAAGCTCATCTGATTGGTCCATCTGACTGGCAGTCCCTGCTGATTGGTTCCTCCTCTGATTTGCTTGCTTGATAAATACCTTCCTCCCCAGTCCTGGGTTATTTAAGGCACCCACCTTCCTATGGTTTATTCATCCTGGCTGCAGCCCAGGAGTCTAGCAGAGACCACAGCCTTTGAGAGCACCTGGGCATTTGGCTCTTCCAGGGGCCATTGGGACTGTGGTGGGCAGTCCAGTCTCCAGTCTGTCCCAAATTTCTTTCTTTTCCTACTCCCAAGTGGAGAGCTGGAATAGCTGACTTGGAAAAGTCTTTTTCCACGAGTCTTACCCTTGAGCCCTTTGACCTAAACAACCAGCACAGGGATGCCACTCTCACCTTCTGTGGGCTTAGGGGGATGGATACAGTCATGTCAGGGAAACCCTTGCTTTCCCAGGATCCTACAAACCAAAAGGTGCACAGGTCACGTAGAGGACCTCTGGGGTGTTTGTCTGGAAGCCCTCTTACCTCTTCCAGAATTACCTTTGTGGTGAGGAGCCAGTTCCATGTGGTGGAGCTGAGGGTGCATTCCTAGTCTTCCCAGAGATTTGACAGGTGGACACTTGGAGGGAGAAGGTCTCTCCTCTGGGATGACAAGCTGCAAGGACCTTGGAGCCTGGGGCAGTGCATCTTCCCCATGGGGAGGAGAAAGTCTGCCTGAGGAGGGCATGAACAGAGGCAAGCAGAGCCAAGAGGCTTGTGCATTCTGGAAGATTGAGAGGAGGCCCCATGAGCTGCAGGGCTGAGAAGAAAGAAGGGACGAGGCTGAGGTGGTCACTGGGGAATCTCCCTGCCCCTGGCCCTGGGGCTGGGTCATCCCTTCCCCAGCCCTGTCTGTGCCACACCCTGTGTTGGGCATTAAAGCTCCTGGGGTTGAGGACAGGAGTGATGAAGACCTCTCTTGGCTGACTGAGCTCCCTCCTCCACCCCCAGCCTGTGGTTCTACTGACCCTGAAGGGGCCCAGGGTCGGGGACTGGCAGTCAGGGGATGGAGGTGCATGTGCTGGTCATGTGACCACAGCCCAGGACCAGATCTGGGCCATGGATTCCCACAGATGGAATCGGTCAGAATCCTGGGCTCAAAGGAGCAACATCCAAAACTGAGGCCTTCCCCAACCTCCTCCCGAGTTACCTAAACAAGTGAGAGGGTGCAGTGGGCCCTTTCCTGGCTTCCTGACAGTCCAGCCAGACCGATTTCACTACCCTGAGCATAACAGCTTAAAGTTGAAGCCGTGAGCACCAGTCAGGAGCAGGTACTTACAGACAGATTACCTGTACCGCGAAGTTGCTGGGTTTTACATGCTCACACTCAGTGGTATTTCATGTTGCAGGTTAAGGTTAGTACATCTTTAAGAGCCACAACTTCTCAGAAACTTGTGAATTTTGTAGATTCATCCTCCTTTGTGGATCTGTCCTGAGAGAGGAGAGCAAACAAGAAATACTGTCATTTAAAGAAAAGAAGGAAAGGTAAAAACTGTACGGTGGAAATTACTTTTTACATAGTATGTCTTGAAAGTACCGATTGCATTTTCCTACATTGTCACTGATGAGCCCCTGGCTGGTGAGGGTAGAGTGGGGCAGGTGATGTGGTTTGAATTGTGTATAATAGTACAAAGCAGACCCCAAAAGGTCTGTGCTCCTGTCACTAAGTGGAAAGGAAAACTGTCTTTTTTGATTCTTGGGGTGAATTGTCAGTTTTCACGGACACAGAAAATCCTTTTCCCGAGACTTAGTTGAGGCTAAACTCCCACTGTCGAAGCCTGGTAGAGGAAAAAAAAGCAGCAAAGAACAGGAGTAGGACAGCTCTGGCCTTCATGTGGGATTCTGGAAGGGACAAACAAAACGAATGATGGCTATGGGAATGACAGCCTCTCCTGTGGGTCCAGTATTCACATCTGAAAGCCCCCTCCGCACCCCCCAGCTCGGGGTGATGCCCGCTGCTTTGATCAGGCATCTTCTGTCTTCTGTGCTGGGCCCCATGCCAGGCACTTTATAAGGATTATCTCCCTGATTCTGCACCATGACTTGGAGGGACTTGCTATTATTTTCCCCATATTGCAGATGAGGAAACTGGGGCTCAGGAAAAGAGAAGGGCTTGCCTAGGGTCACATAGCCAGGAGGCAGTGGAGGAGGGCACAAGTCCTCGAAGTGTGACTGTGGAGCTGAGGGTTAAATGAGGTGGTGGTGTGAATGGACAGGGTCGTGTAAATCTCCATAAATGTAAATTATAATGCTTTTGAACTGTGCTAGTTCACACAACCTCCAGGAGCACTAGCTCCCACGAGTGACTTTCATTCCAGTGGTTTTGCTGATGCTGGAATCCAATCAGAATGGGATTTTTTCTCTCTCCATTTTCCCAGCTCAATAAGAGTGGGACGAGGAGAAGTAGCCATCCAGGTGCAACCAGGAAAGAAATCACAGATGAAGAGAATTAAAGTTGCTCAGCAGCTGAGTGAGCTGCAATTAGTCTCATTTTCAACCTGTTTCCCACAATAACAGGAAAATCAAAGCCCTGTCCCTCCTCCTCCCCACCCCACCCCTCCAAAGCCTGACCCTAGCCCCAGCCCTGGAGGACCTGGATGCCCAGTGATCTGCATGTTCTCTGCTTACTGGGTGTGGAGAAGGGATGGGGATGAAGTTTACTAGGGGTATCAGGACCCCAAGTCCGCTTTCTAAGTCAACGAGCCCTTAAGAGCTGTGCGTGATTCTCCTCACTCGCTCTTTCTTTCTGCCTTAACAACCAGCATGTGTGAAGCGAGAATGGCGTGAATTGGAGCCCCAGGTAACCGACAAGGACAGGTAGCCTGAGTGAAAATGAGTCCTTGTGGTTTCAAGCCACCGAGATTCGAGGATGTTTGTACCACAACATCACTCATCTAGATGGATATTGATACGAAGATCAGTGCTTAGGGTTGGAGATGTAAACTTAGGAGTCATCAGAAATGGACAGAAAGCCACATTTGTTTCTCAGATTAGATGAACCTGGGAGAGAGAGGAGGGCGAGAAATACCCTCTGTCTTTTCTATCTCTGATGTGAATGGGCTTCACTGTCTTCTCCCCACACCTGGCTCCATCTTAACCTCTCCCTACTTGAGTCCCGGGCTGATTCTCAGTCTTGCCTTCTCCCACCCCTGGCAGCTTGGACTCTCAGATCTCTGCATCTGCCCCTCCTCCTCCCCCACCCCATGGCCATGGTTCCAGGCATGTCAGTCCTGTGTGGGGATTGGGAACATGGGCTGTGGGACGGGAAGTGCCAAGTTCAAGTCTGGGGTTTTCCATTTACAAGCTGTGTGATACTAGGTCACTTAACTCTCTGAGCTTTGCTTTCCTGGAAAAAAGGGGACATTTGTATAACTTACTACATAGAGAGGTTACGAGTGTTAAATGAGGAGAAGCATTTGAAATGCTGAGTAGAGAGCTGGGCACACGGTTAAGCACTCAAGGTTTGCTCCCTTGTGTAACCTCATTATTGTATGGTCAAGCTTGTGATGGTTAATTTTGTGCCAACTTGGGGAGTGTTTGTGGATGAGATCAATTTTTAAATTGGTGAACCTTGAGTCAGCAGACTGACCTCCATCATGTGGGGTGAGCCTCCTCCAATCCGTTGAAAGGCAAATAGAGAAAAAGATTGGTCCACTTGAGCAAGAAGGAATTCTCCAGCATACGGCCTTCAGACTTCACTGCCCCATTGGCTCTCCTGGATGTCTGCCTGCTGGGCCATACAACAGACTTGGACTCGCCAGTTTCCATAATTACATGGGCCAATCCCTTATAATAATCTCACTCTTGCTCAAAAATCATTCATGGCTCCCTATTGCCAACAAAATAAGGAAGTGCAACCTCCTTGCCCTGGCATGTTTCTGACTCCGTCTCTTATGCCCTGCCCCTGACAGGTGCTGCCTGCATTCGAACGCCTTGCCTCACCTCATCCCCCTCACTGGTGGACCCACAAACATAGGCTCCCATGTGCCCCCTCATGCACACTCATGCCTTTACATGCACAGGCACGCACACATACATATGCACACCTGCAGTCACATTTGCTCAAATACACACATGATCATGCACACAGGTATATGCACTTGCTCATGTATAAGCACATGAACATACACAATTGCACAACATGTGCATGTCTTCACATCCACACTTACCCCCAGACTCCTTCCTGAATGAAGGCCCCTCAGGGACCACCTCTGACTCCTATTCCAGGTGTGCTATGAAATTCACCATCAGATTCAAGCCTGAAAGGCGAGCTGGGCAAAGCTGAGCTAAATTTCATTTTAATTGTTTGTGGCAGGAACCCAATTTCTCAGGTGATAATTATAATAATTAAAAATGTTGTTATCAGAATGGTGAGGGGGAGATGCTCACTGCTGGCTACGAGACAATGAGCAGGCAGAGGGTTCCCAGATGGGATCCAGGGATCCAGTTCCAAGTCTCCCACCTCCAATGCAGTCTCGGGTAACTCTGCAGTAAGTTCTGGGGATGGGAGAGACTGGGGAGAGACAGGGAGCTCAAGCCAGAGAGCCAAGGGGCTGCTGTTCCAGGGAACACACCTGACAAATGGCCCTTCTCTGTCCGGGCTAAGAGCTGGGTTCCTGGAGACAAAAGGAGCCAGCAGGGCTGGACCTCCTTCTGCGACCCGCTGCCTGGCATAGGAGCAGGATGTTCCCAGAGGAAGGGCCGGCTTTGCTGGGCTGTGGGGTATGGAAGTTAGTGGGGTTGCATGGGAGGTGCCACTGCAGGGCAGAGTCATGAGCAGGCTCTGGGGCCAGGCTGGCCTGGGCTGTGCTGTTGGCCTTCCATGTGCCCCTGGGTGAGTCTCTCGTCCACTCCGCATTGCCATGGCTCTCAGCAACTTCACCGACACCTTCCCAGCCAGGTCTTCTATGTAGCACCTGATGTCCCTCCCAAGGGAGCTCTGTGTGAGCAGGGCCTCATCTCCACTGCCCACCTCTGTGTCCTCAGGACCTCATCTCCACTGCCTATCTCTGTGTCCTCAGGGCCTGGCACAGAAGAGGCTCATCCAAAATATTAAATATGTGTTTAAGAACTACAGGAATGTGTAAATAAACAGGACAAATCCATGAGGCAGGCATTCTTACCCCATTCAAAATAGGAGGAATCTGAGGCTCAGAGAGGTGAAGCAACACACCCAAAGTCACACAGCTGGTCAGCAGGGCCAGAGACAAGGCAGGGGAGGGTTGGTGACAGAGCTGGGGAGTGACATGGATCCTGGGGAGAGACAGCAGAGCTGCCGTGCACGTAGATGAGAAATCAAATGTTTTACAAAGCTCAGCCAACACGTGGGAAACTCAATCCAGCATGCCTGCATGTGGGAAGCCCCAGTGATCTGGGGGAAAATGTGGGAGGAGGTGGGGAGCAGCCTTGTTTGCACAAAGGCCTCACCACCTCCAATCACCTGGATTCTCAAGAGTCGGGGACGCCAGGGCCTGGCCAGTCACCAGGAGGTTGGGGGCAGAGAAGGGTGGAGCAGGGCCAGGCCCTACCCAGGTCAGCAGCCAGGCCCCGCCCCTGTGCTCCTGGCTGCTCTTCCCACCTAGCTTTTCCCTCCCTGACCTCTGTAGGTCCTCCCAACAGCCCTGCATTAAGGGCAGGAATCATCTCCACTTTGCAGATGAGGCAACTGAGGCTCAGAGAGGCCAAGTGACTTGTTCAAGGTCACACAGCAAGTCCACAGCAGACCCAGAACTGACCAGGCCCTGACTCCCAGCCCAGGGTGCCGAGTCCTGCCTCTCTGGCTTCTTCCTGGCTGCCCTGGCCCAGGGCCCCTGCTGGGATCCCCAATCCCATCCTGTCCTCAGCTACCACCAGCCCTCTCTGCTCCACCAAGGGCCCCAGCCAGGGCTTAGCTCAGAGCTGCTGGAGACTTCCAATCCCTACTCCAGCCTCTGAGCCCAGACCCTTTGCCCCCACTGTCCCCAGACATTGGGCCAAGGAGACATAGGATATCTGGGTTGGCAGGGACCCCATGAGGCCTCTGGCCCAAACCCCTGGATGGGTGAGAGCAATGGTCCCTCAGCAGCCACACTGTGCCCCTCACCTCCATCCCCGAAGCCCCCCAGGGCCCGGCTTGGGCAGCTGCTCTCCTCCCTGCATGTCTCCCAGCTTACTGCCTTATTTATCCCCTGACAGAGTTATGTGAATTCAGGTCTAAGGTTTGAGTTACAAACTTCCAGGGGAAGGAGGGTGGCCGGCGGCACCTGCAATTACTAAGAGGCATTGGTGATTTACTCTGCAGGGAAATGTTTGCTTCTCTGGAAGGATCATCTCAGATCCTCCTTGAAGTCTGGGATTTACTGAGGCTTCTCTTCCCCAGGGAGCTGCAGGGCAGACGAGGGTGGGGGTGGAGTGACAGAGGTCGAAGCAGCCCCAGAACCCACATACAGTGAAGAGCAAATCTCGACAGTGTAGTTGGGAAGAAGAACATAGGAAGATGGACTTAGGGCTCATCCAGGGTCTGAGTTTGAGTCCCTGCCCTGTCACAGCCAGCTGTGTGGCCTTGGGAAAGTCACTTGACCTCTCTGGGACTTGATTTCCTCTTCTGCAACATGAGGACAGTGACATCTGTTCCATAGGTAATAAGGCTTAGATGAGAAGTCACATGGAAGCTCCCTGCTTGATAGGTGCTCAGCAAATCTGTCTTCTCCCTTCTTGCTTGTTTGAGTCTCTCCTGACCAGATCACCTGCTCCAAGTCTCCTTCCTAGAATTCCTCCAAGGGCCCTTCCCTGCACAGGCCCTTCTGCTTCCAGGGGTTCTGGACCTTGTTCTTCTTGAGGTTCTGCCCCTTCTGCAGCTGGAAGGAAAGGCCTGGGCCCAGGCTGTGCTGGCAGGAGCAGAGACTGGCCCGGCCACAGGGGACCCAGGATGCGCAGAAGGTGCTGCATAAGCCCAGGGGTTGTTGGAGCGCAGCTGCTTCCCTGCTGATGAGTTAACAAATCTTGCTGTTGGAAAGGGCCATTGGCAGAGTCAGGGGCCTCTGGGGCCCAAAGTTCTGCTGTGATCTAAGGGTCAGCAGAAGTCTGTGATGCGCCTGATTTCTAACAAAGTGAGGAGGGACTGGCAGGGGCTCTGGCCTTGTTAGGTGACCCAGTGTCTGACCTTTCTGGAGTAGGGATGAACTCAGAACCTGGTGGGAGTAAGTGGGAAAGGTCAAGACTGGACCAAAGGACCCCAGCGTGCTCCATGGCCTCCTGAAGGGAGGTTCTGAGTCTAATCAGAAACTGACAATCCCCTGCACTACCGCATCACAGCAGGCAATGTCCCTCCCCAAGGAGGGAGCTGGCGTCAGATCTGCCAGAACCCACCAGAAACCAAGACCCAGGGCTGGCCCTGGGCAGATCTCGGCAGCCCCTCTGTGGCTGAGCCTCAGTCCTCTCACCTGTGAGTGGGAGGGGTGGTTCTTCCCTCACTTGGTTGTTGTTCAGGTTAAACAGAGTCCCTGCATGGTGCCTGGCAGATACATATTAGGTCCTCTTCAGACGAGAGCTGTGATCACTTGGAACCATCTCCTGGGGGTAGAGTTGGGTAAGGTGTGGACTTGGGAGCCTGGCTGCTGGCTTCAATCCCTACCTGGCCTATACCAGCACTGTGACTTGAGGAAGTGACCTAACCTTTTTTTGCTTCAGTTTCCTCATTTGTAAAATGAGTTAATAGTAGTAAGTCCTTCCAAGGTTGTTGAGAAGATTCAGTGAGATAATATTGTAAAGTTCTAGAACAGAGGAGGCACACAGAAAGTCTTAATAAAGCCAGCTTTTCACGGTTGTGTGCTGGTGTGGTTTCACGGTCATTGTCCAGCCTTTTCTCTTAATGGCCCCTCCAGACCCTACAGGCTAACTCTGCATCACTGTGGTCTGTGAAGGACCTTGTGGTTTCCTCCAGGGTCTGCTCTGACCTCTTCCTGCTCTGACCCCTATCCTGCCTTCACACACACATGCACATATGCACATGTGCACATATATACATGCTCTCTGGACCGCATGACTCAGGAGGGCCCAGGGCCATCTTTGGATCCTTGCCTCTCCCTGCCCAGGGCTGCCCATCTCCACAGCAGTGTGGGCATCGGGCAGAGGCTTGGCAGGACTGGTTCTGCCCTCCTACCTCTCCCTGAGCTGCCCCATCTATTCATGGAGCTTGGACTCTGACAGCCCAGTGCACCCCTGCATTGAGGGGATCTCGTGATTGTCATCCCCTACCGTATACTAGGCACTCTGCAATACCCTCCTTCTC
Source organism: Homo sapiens (assembly GCF_000001405.40). NCBI lineage: Eukaryota > Metazoa > Chordata > Mammalia > Primates > Hominidae > Homo > Homo sapiens. The sequence continues at coordinate 29,747,657 of NC_000001.11, forward strand.
TGTCATTGAAGGAACAGTTTTGGAAAAAGGAGCTCTGGAGGCCTGACCCACCCATGGACAGGTGGGGACTTTGCCTACACAATAGGTTTTATTTTCTTGTTTGTTTGCTTTTGAATTAGTTGATAAAAATGTAAAATCTAAAGATTTTTCATAAAGTAACATCTGAGAAACTGACATCCTGGGCCTGTGTTTCACCAGGCAACAGTGGCTACAGCCAAGTGCAGTAGCCTCTGTGCAGGGCCCCCGGCTCTCCATGATCCCCACCTGCCTCCATCTATCACTTGTGTTACCTGCTTGGCCCCTAATGATATTTGAGCTTGTGACCCTGCTGCAGAGACCCAGCTTGCCCTCTCTACAGATGAATAAATTGAGCCCAGGGAGTAACGGGGTGCCATGAGTTCGTTCCATTCTGATTGTCACCTCCTTGAGCGCAGGGACATTGGTCTGTTTTAGTCACTGCTATGTCTCACCAAACCAGAGCTGTGCCTAGTACGCAGCAGGTGCTCAATAATATTTACCGTGTGTTAAAATTCTTGACTGTCACTTGGCAGATTTCAAGCAGAGTCAGTGCTCAAAGCAATTGCAGCCCAGCTGCATTTTCCCTTAGACTATCAGGTCCCAAGACAGGTTCCTGCACCCCCATGTATGTGCATGACCCCTCCCCCACCACCACATGCCCCCCACAAACATACGCATTGCCTCAACTCAGATGCTTTTAAGGTCTAATCCAAATTATCCCTGGAGTGGATGGCAGGCCTTCTGCAGAAACCATCACTTGTCACTGTGGTATGTGACTTTTAGGACCAGGCAGGAATCAGCCCAGGAAACAAGGAAGAGAAGCAAGGAGCATCCATTTTTATTTTAAATCTGCTCAGCCTCGTTTTCACTTGCTCCTTTAACACCCTAATTTTCCTTTGGGAAATTAGCATTAATGAAATAAAATGTGGAAGCCTTATGTGATAGGGTCTGTCCTTTTAAACAGCAGGTGGTGAGCCCAGTGGTTAAGGTGCTGATTTGCGCAGACCTGGGTTCAAACTCTGAATCCACAAAGTCCTGGCTACGTGGCCTTGGGCATGGCATTTCTGAGCCTCAGTTTTCTTATCCATAAAATGGGGATACTAACAGTATGTAACTCATCTGGCTGTTGTAAGGGATAAATGAGATAATACAGGTAAATCGCCAAGTCCAGTGTTGGCTGCACATGGCTGATCGTATCATTATCACCAACCTTGCACGGATATGACTCTGTGAGGAAAGGCACAATGAATAAACATTCATCAGCATGCTTTCCCATGCTGCTTTTCAATGAATTTCTCTGTCACTATAATCACAGGTAGCACATACATATAATAAAATAGTGGTTCTCCCACGGCAAGCGAGTTACCTCTTCTATAGGCAATGCCTGGTACAGAGATAAATTTGGGATCCTTTGCAATAATCAGGAATTTTGGACCCTGGTCAAAGCCAATGAGATTTCTGACATTCACAGTTATGGGGATGCTGCGGTGACAGGCACTGACTGTGCCCAGCCTTGCCTTCCCTGCCCCCACCACAAACACAGCATAGGCCTCAGGCAGCCTTCTGCTCAGCCCAGAACTTCAAGTGCTATTAGCTGAGGTTTGTGGTTCTCTTTCTTCCTGATGAATATGTAAGTGCCCCCTAGGATGGGCAGAGATGACAGTTGTAATAAAATTGGTTCATTACTTCCCTCTACACGGAGCCATTTAATGAACATGCAGCTGAAGGCACCAAGGCCCCTGAGCAAATGCAAATGAAACAGGTTCCACAGTATCGTTTAATTTGCTCAGAGTGGGGGTCTGGGAAGTAGAGGAGAGAGTATAGCACAGAGGCAGAGAAAGCAGGGTGAGGGAGGGAGGGCATCAGGAGGGGGCAGAGAGGATGAGGGAGGGCAGGAAGGAGGGGAGAGAGGGGGAAGGAAAGGGAGAGTGAGCAAGGAAGAAGGGAAGAGGAGAGATGGCTCCCTTCATTATTTTGTATTTGACTTTCCAAAGCCCCCTTGCATGGAAGGCAGGGTTGGGCAGTCTCATTATTCTCACTGGAAAAGTGAGGACACCAAGTCCTACCATGTGCTGTGCAGGGCATTGAGTGCTGGGGACCCACAGTGGATGAGACAGACAGGGTCCTGCCTCTGTGAGATTCAGTCTGGTGGAGGAGACAGACACGAAGCAAATAATTATGTTGATAATACATGGAAGTGCAAGTCAGGCCATGTGAGCCTTGCATGATGATGTATAGAAGAAGGTAGACAGCCTTGTTAGAGGTGAGCTCTGAAGAGTGATGGCCTGGGCTGGGATCCCATCCCTGCAAGGCTGTGAGACCTTGAGTGAGTTGCCTAACTTCAACAGCCCTCAGTTCCTTGACTAGAATATTGAGATCATAAAACAGCTACCTAATAGGGTTGTTATGAGAACTAAATTTATTAATACATGTAAAACACTCAGAACAGTGTCTCAATAAATAAAGTGCTCAATAAATGTTAGCTATTATTATATTAAGAGCTAAAAGGGAAATAAAGAGATTGAAAGGTCCTGGCTTAGATCAATAAATCAGGAAGTTCTTCTCCATGTAAGTGGCAAAAAGCTGGAACCTAGAGGGATGGGCAAGAATCAGTCCAGAGAACAAGGAAGAGAAGCAATGAGCATCTATTTTTGTCTTAAATCTGCCCAGCATCCTTTCCTCTTGCTCATTTAACACACTCTAATTTTCCTTTGGGAAACAGCTTCCTATATCACTTTCAGTGCATGTAGGTGGGGCTGACCCCAAGCTCTTACTCCAGAGTGGGCATGCAAGCCAGGCATGGCTAATGAGTGAATTCCACTCCTGGTCACTCCTGATCGGGCAGGAGGTTGGCAGATGATCCAAGCCAGGCCCCCCAGTAAGAGGAAAATACCAAGGACTTTTGTTTAAACTATCAGCAAAGAAGTATGATAGGCCAGCACGATGTACATTTGGAGCTACCTCTGACCATTTTCAACTCAGATGGTAGAACCTTCCTGAGAATGAAGTCAATGCAAAAGAAAACCCAGCTAAGAGATGGGAAGAGGAGGTATCATTTGACTTCTTGGACCCAGCCATGCCTGATTGGACTTTTCAGGTTAAAAAAAAATAGCCAGTAAATCTCCACCCCTGCATCACCAGTTTCTTCATTTTGCTTATACTGAGTTGATTTTCTGCCCCTTGTAATGGGAAGAGTCCTCTGTGATAATGCACATTCCTGCCAAAGGTCATGGAGTGTAATGAGGCCCTGTGGAGGGCAGAACCACAGTCTACAGAAGAACGCGAGTGTGGCCGGAGCACAGTGAGCGAGCAAAAAGTGAGGACTTTGTTTCAGATGCAGAGGGCCCATGGATCCTGAGCATAAACCGGAAAAGAGGAGAGATCCAATGTAGGGATTAAAAGGCTGGACATGTCCAAAGCAAAAACATCCAGCTCCTCTCATAGGTGTCCCCCATGGCCTTCCCAAAGGCCTTGCTTCTCATTATGGCTCAACACTCAGTGCTTTCTTGGAAGGGTCGAGCTAAAGACCCAGAGACAGGACTGGAAAGGCCCTTAAATGCCACATAGTCTAATATCCCCGTATATTATCTAATTTCTAATTGGCTAAGTAATGCTTGAATATATTTTCATGGAAAGAAGGACGGAAGTAGGGAGGAAAGAAGGGGAAAGAAGAGAAGATGAAAGGGAAAAGGAAAAAAATTCTTACCATATGGATAAAATAAGGAGACTCATTTTCACATGAGGAATGAAGTTTAGAGAGGTTATATGACTCACCCAAAGTAACACAGCTCATTTGAAGCAGTTGGGCCAGGCGTGGTGGCTCACACCTGTAATCCCAGCACTTTGGGAGGTAGAGGAGGGGTGATTGTTTAAGCCCACACATTTGAGACCAGCTTGGGCAACATAGTGAGACCTCGTCTCTACAAAGGATTAAAAAACATAGCTGGGCATGGTGACGAATGTCTGTGGTCCCAGCTACTCGGGAGGCTGGGGTAGGAGGGTTACTTGAGCCTGGGAGGTTGAGCCTTCAGTGAGCTATGATTGGGTTACTACATTCCAGCCTGGGTTACAGAGACCCTGTCTCAAAAAAAAAAAAAAAAAAAAGCAGTTGGTATTAGGATCTGGCTTGAAATTTTATATCCCATCAAATATCCCATAAAATGCACCCCCCAGCAAGGTTGTCAGGTGACTGAAGACAGGAATGCAACTTCTGAAGCAACACCTCTCCCCTATTAAGTACAAAAGCTCTTGGGATAATAATAACTACTTTTCAAAGCACTGACTATGTACCAGTCTCCATACTGAGTGGTTTATTCTCATAATTTCATTTAGTTCTCATCACAGTCCTATAAGGTAAGGTACCCCTGTTATCTTCACTTGCTGGACACAGCAACCAAGGCATAGAAAGAGGTTAAGAAATGCAGCCAAGTTCAGACAATTTGTAAGTGGTAGATCCAGGATCTGAACACAAGCAGTCTAACTCCAGAGTCTATGCCTTCATTTCTGATCACAAAATACAGTTTGCAAGAGCAAATTTCCCATAGCAACCAGCTAATTCCGCCCAGGAGACAAAAGCAAATGAGTGACCCCAGAAGTCCGAAGACGAAGGCATCCCCTCAGAGCTCTCCGCGGTGCTGAAACCCACCTGTCTGTAACTCTGGCTGACTTCAGTGTTTGTCCTCTTTGAACCCGGCCCCTTTGTTTTGGCTACTTTTGATAACCCCTCTATGTTTTAAGTTGCCATCGGATCATTCCTTTTCCCATAAGGTGCCCTAGCTGAGCCCTGGGCCGACAGTCCTGTTACCAGGCCATGTCCTTATTGGCTTTTTCTCTTAATCAAATCTTTACTCATCCCTGAGCTTAAAGGAAGAAAGGAGAAACAGTCCCTGTCCCCATGGAGCTACAGTCAGTTTGGGGGAGATAAGGCAGACAAGGGACACATTAGATGAAACCCAAGACTCCCAGCACAGCACATAAGGTCCCACAGGATCTACTCTAATGTCACCTTTTGCCTCTGACATTACCTGTGTGTCTGCTATTCTCTGGCCACAGGATGCATCTCTAACTTCTGGGACCATTCCCAAGCTGCTTCATCGGGCCTGTAAGGGTGGAGTATGGAGTTAAAAGGCAAGTGGCACTACTAAATGGGTCTGGGGGTGGGTGGGGGCAAGGGCAGGGCCTTGTAAGCCTTGTTGTGGGGTTTTAATTTTTCTCCTGAAGGCCACATCCTGGAGCCACTGACAAGTGTGAAGTGAGGAACTGACGTGATCAGATGTGGATATCAGGGGTCAAGGCTGGAGGTCAGGAGATCATTGAGGAGGCTGTTGGAAGGTCCAGGTGAGAGATGATGGCAGCTGACCAAAGAGAGAGGAAGCCCTTTTACACCACACTTCCCTGCTCGATTTCCTCCCCTGCATCCATCATGCTATACATTTTCTTGGCATTTTTTCATTGGTTATTATTTGTCTGTTTCTCTGCATGAAATTCAGTAATAAGGAGGCAGGAACTTTGTTTGCCTTGTTTACCACTGCATCCCTGGTTCCGGATATGCAGCAGGTGGGTGAGTGATGAGTGTAGAGAGGGTTGGAATGGGGAAGATTGGTGATGGTGTATACAGGATGTCTGGCAGAGAAAATGAAGCTTAGGGTGCAGAATATGTGAGGAGCCTCAGGGTCTGGGGATGGAGCCCCCACACTCTTCTGCTACAGGTCTGGGTTTGGGCAGTGAGCCTGCAAGTGAGACCAAGTTGTCTCAGCTGTGATGGGAAGCAGTCTGCTGAGGCTGGGTTGGGCAGGTTCTGCCAGGGCTCTGATGCTGATCCACTTCCATAGATGTAGACCACAGATGCCCAGGATGAGTCTGGGGCAGGGGGCCAGGCGCCAGTCCCTCCCAGAGACTCTGAACTCTATGGCCAAAGCTTAGGTTTCCTGGAATTGTTTCCTACCCCCACCCCTGTTACCATTTCTATGATGTAAGGAACCCAGTGATTTAGGGCATGGATGTAGAAGATCCCTGAGTGAGATCATCTGGAAGGCAGCTCTGGCTCATCATGCCAGATCTGGGCTCCTCCACCTTCCTGGATCCTGACTCCTCTGCCATGACCCTGGGGATGGTGTAGCCAGGGTCCCACACCCCAATGGCACTGACAGGTACCTCCTCTGGGAGGCCCCATGGTGGCTCTGGGCCTGTCCCAGAGGCTCTCTCTGCCCTTAAGGAGCTCCTGGTCTAGCAGGGTTGGGGGTTAGGGACAATAGGTGGACCTGCTATCACTACCCAGGGGCTGAATAACTAACAGGAGCAAGCCCGGGGCTGTGGGGACCCTGAGCAGGGGCTCCTGACCTCTCCTGGGGGTCAGGGAAAGCTTCCTGGAAGAGGGTGATACCTGAGCAGAGGAGCAAAGAGTGTACTGGAATTAGACAAGTGAAAGGCAAGCAAAGAGCTCCAGGGAGAAGGGCCAGCAAGAGGAGAGAGCTGGGGCCTGAGGGAGTGGGGCGTGGGGGGAGTGGAGTCTGGGGCAGGCAGGAAATGAGGCTGGAGACATGAGACATGAGTGGGGGCTTCTTCATGTTCATCCCAGAGTTCCCACTGAGTGCCAGGCCCACCGCTGAGGGCTCAGGGACAAAATAACTCTTTCTGCTTGAGACCACATCTGTGCTGACTCAGAGACAGAAGGGCCAGAGCCTCCTCCCTAATGAATCCTGGGCCTGGAGTGCACACACTCTTCAGCCCTGTCCTCCTGTCCCCCTCCTGCCCTCTCCTGTGCATCTAGGGCACTATGGTAGGGTGAGGTCTGGGTGGGGGAACTGCCAGCAGGCTGCCAATTTCTCTTCAGGCAATTTGTGGAAGAGGTTTCCAGAAAGGGCAGCTGTGATTAACTCAAATGAACTGTAAAACTCTATTTAGTTTAAAGGCTTTGCAAGCCAGGATATTAGTGGCAGGCAGGGTGGGGTTATGGGAGACTGATTAGCAGCCAGTGGGGCTGCCCCTGGAGCTCACCAGTCAGCAGACCCTGGCCAAGCATCCACCATGTACCAGGTCCCATGCTGGGCTCTGGGCCTCAAAGACAGGTGAGACCCAGGTGGCCCTGGAGAGCTCACAGCCCAGGCCCCATGGAGAGATGAGAAATTGGCAGTTTTAGAACAGTCAGGGAAATGCTTGTGAGGGGGAAACAGGAGTGTGGAGGAGGGGCCCTGAACCCGGGAAGAGGTGCCTGGGATGGGCAGAAGCGACCTCGTGCAAATGACCTGACTCAAATCCCAGCTCCATCATTTACTTCCCAGATGAGAGCCCTTGGCCAGATGCTTCATGTGTGAACCTCAGTTTTTCTTCTGTAAAATGGGAATGGATAATAGCTATCCCTGCAGGGTTGCTGTGGGTGTTAAATGGGATAACCACGTAAAGCCCACAGCACAGTGCCTGGTACACAGTGGCTCTCAGTACACACCAGCTGCTGTTGGCCCTCAAGCAGGGCTGTGCAGAAAGCTGGCATCAGGCAGGCCTGGGAGAGGGTGTTTCGGGAAGATGGCCCAGCACACGCAGAGGCCTGCACACAGCTGACTCTGTGTGGCGAGTGTGAGACGAGAGTGGGAAAGACGAGGCTGCAGAGGTTTGTGTGGCCGTTTCATGAGGGCCCTGCCGTCCACGCTGTTGTTGGGATTTTAGTCCTCAGAGCAGCGGAGCCGTGGAAGGACTTTGAGAGGGGGCATGGCCTGTTCATGTTGGCTGCAGCCTGTGAACTGCAGGGGGAGGGTCTGGGTCCAGGAGACTGGAGCAGCTGTGCAGTGTCTGGGGAGAGAAGATGGTGCCCTGGACTGTGTGAGAACAGTGTAGACAGAGGGTATGGAGGGAGACCCCAGGGAGGCAGGGCTGGAAGACCCCCAGCAGGGGCTGCAGGGCAGCAGCAGCTGAGGACAGGCCCAGGCCCAGTGTTCTGAAAGGAAGGTGGTGCTGAGCTCCAGGAAGGAGCAGGTGTCTGGGCCCCGGGATTCTGTGCCTGTTGGAGGGAAGTGCCAGCTTGGCCATGGGGGAGCGACTGGGACTGCAGACCCTTCAGCCTCCCTCAGGCTGAGGGAGGGGCTGCCCAGACCCCCTTCTTCCAGCCAGGCCCTCCCTGAGCCCCGCAGCTGGTCTGGCCCAGCCTGGCCCTGCAGCCCCCTCTGTGGGCACTCAGGCTGCATCCAGCCCACGCAAACTGTAAAACTCTATGTAGTTTAAAGGCTTTGGAAACCAGGATATTGGTGGCACGCAGGATGGGGCTATGGGGGCTGCCCACGTGACCCCCTCACCTCAGCCCAAGCTGCTTCAGAAGGTGAACTTGAGCACTTCACCCTGTGCTTTTCCCCTCCCCTCATGGAGAACATCAGCCTCTTTAATGCAGGGGCGCAGGGCGGTGGCCTCCCCCGCAGTCAGGACCGCAGAAGCCCAAACCAGGAGAGGGTCAGGGACAGTGGGAGACAGAGACAGATGGTGACAGGGACTTGGTGACAGAAGGAGCCAGTGATGAAAGAGAAACAGAGGGAGGGGAGGCCGGAGGGAGGCCTGGAGACAAGGCACCTGGCCCCAGGGACTTGCTTGGGGCTGGGGAGTCACTGGGGCTCAGATGACCCCCCTTCTCTGTGGCGGGTCTTCTTAGAGAAAAGAAATCACTCTCCAACCAATTAATCTAGTTAGACATAATCAAGTTGTGGGGATCCGTGCAGCAGGGTGAGTGATTAGGAAAAATTACCTCCCTGCAAAGGGTTTAAATTTGATTTTCATCCCATAATCTAAAGACCAAATACCGAAGAGTAGGCTTTCTGCACACCTCCCCTTTCTTCCTCCCTACAGCCGCCACCAGCTGATGATCTAAGAGTTACCTGATGAAGGGGACCGGCTTAGAGGGTCAAACTACAATCTGCACAGTGACATACACAACTCAGGATAGCCACAAAGTAACACATACATATGCCCATGCATGCATACGCACGCATATACAGGCACACACATGCACACAACCATGCACACATATGCAAACACACCCATTTCACAGGGATGCAGCAGCAGGCAGGAATCCTGAGTGCTGGTCCTATCTCTGCCACCACTGGCTGTGTGAAACTCTGGCACTTTCTCTGGGTCTCAGTTTCCCTACCTGTAACAATAAGAGTTATAATTCACTTGGGAGACTGCTTCTGGTTGTTGCAACTTAGAATTTGATTTTCGCTCTGTCAGGCTCCCTTTCTCCTCCTTTCAAATGGAGGCTGACTCAGAGGAAATAAAGTCTGGGATGTGGCAGCTCAGGGGGGTTCATATCTGAGGCTTCCTCTCCCTCAGCAAACGGGGAACTCACCGCAGCTGCCCCAGCTTAGCCTCGGAGCCTGGGTCCAGGGCCCAGGGGGGCAGAGGTGGCTTTGCTGGCTCCACATGCACGTGCACACGCACCTGCACACACATGTATATCACCTTTCATGCTGAGCCACGTCACCACGGGCTCCAAGGGATGGGGCTTATCAACCAGCACTGGTCCTAGGGCCAGGCCTGTGCCCCCCAAGGCCAGGACTAGCCTCCAGCCTCTGGTCCTTCTATATTCCTCTGAGGATGGAGCTGGTGAGGGACTAGCCCAGAAAGGTGAGAGAAACATTGTCTGGAGCCAGAGCTGAAGCTGCATTAATTTATGTCTGGCTGCTTCTTCAGCCGGGGCTGGGCCCTGGGGATAGCTTGGGGGAGGAGGTGGTCAGGGAACTGGTGAGGGGCCTTGAGCCCCTAGGTGGAGGCACAGCCTGAAGGCTGGGTGAGTGTGAGCAGAGGTGATGGGCGTGTCATGGAGGGGTGACCTTAGGCCCCTACAGGCTGTACCCTGTCCCTCCCCTCCCTGCGTGGTTGTAGCTGCAGAGCTCACCTGCGTGACCAGAGGCTCCAGGGCAAAGGGCCAGTCCTGCCCCAGCAGTGGGAACTTAAAATGTTCTGGGGAAGGGAATGTAGGGAGGGGTGGGTATGGATTTGGGGAGTGGTCTGGTGTTGAATCCCAGCCAAGTGAATCTGAGCAGCTTCTTCCCCTTCTCTGGACCTCAGTTTCCTCATCTGCTCAGTGGGGCAAGGAGCCTGCCTGGGAGGACATGTGGGCTTCCCTGGGCACAGGAGTGGCATCTGCAGGAGCTCAGTGCATGTTTGTTCCCATCCCCTCTGAGGCCCTGCAGCCAGCACCTGGCTCTAAGTCAGTGCCCAGCAAATATCGATGAGCCTGGGGACAGAATGAAATGAGCTCATGTTTGCATCTGTACTCACAGCAGCAAAATCCAAAATTGTGTTGGGTAATTGAACAACCAGAGGCCTCGCTGGGTGGCACCCTTGGGGTTTGGCTGTCAGACATCAGGGAGGACTTCCTGGATGAGGCCAGCCTTGAGCTGGGCAGGCTTTGAATAGAGGAGGGGAAGGCAGGTGAGGACGGGAGAGAGCATGTGCAAAAGGGAGAGGGGCCAAAATGAGGCCACACCCTCTCTTGTGGGAAGGCATTTGGGTTTGGAATGGGACAGATCTGGGTTCGACCTGAACAGGTCCCTCTGCACTTGGAGCCTCCTTGCTGTCAGTTGTGAAGTGGGGGGAACAGCACCCCCTTCTCACAGGGTGGTTGTGAGGCTGCAACCGGCATTTTGTGTGTGTGGAGCCCCAGCACAGTGTGGGGGACCCAGGGACGCTCTGTACCAGGGACTCCTGCCCCTCTGCCAGCTCATCCAGGTCAGCTGCTCTCCTTTGCCCTACAGGTGGCCTCCCCACCAGGTCACGTGTGGTCTGAGCAGGGAGCAGGCTTTGGTGCAGGGACCTGGGGTTTTAGGACATGCCACCCCTCTTGGAGAAGACCACCAGGCTTTACCTGGAGGGATGGAGCCCATCCAGCCCCCACCCTGTAGGAATCCAGCAAACAGAGAGGTTAAGAGAGTGGCCTAAAGTCACCAGCCCCAACCCAGCCTCTAAGTGCTCTGCTTTCTAACCAGCTCTGGGGTAGGTGGTGGGGGCACCTCCAAACACCTGGACCGAGAGCCTCAAGGATTCTTCTCTCCCTCTGTGGTCCCTCTTTCCTCACATTCACTTGTTCCCCAGGCTGAGAAGAGCCTGGAAACAGGACCCAGGGTCCCTGGGAGCCCAGGCCAGTGATCTGCAGAGCTGTCTGTCTGACACCTTGGCCTGTGCTAGGAAGGGGAGGGTTAAGTCTTGAGCAGCCCTTCCTGGTTAGTGTTTAACTTGCAGTTTCTGAAGGCCATCAGGAGCCCCATGGAGTTAATGTTTTCTCTCTTAATGGCACTGCAGCAGATTAAGGCGGGACCCATCTCCCAGAGAGCATTAAAAAGAGGCATCCATTACCCAGAATGGCCTGGCTTCCCTGGCAGCTGGATTAACTTTCCCAGAGACCTGAGTGGAGGAAGAGCCCTCTCATCCTTGCCGTCAGCAAATTTTGCCTGGTCCCCGTGGTTCAGGATCTGAGGGAGTGCAGGATGTCCAGATACCAGGCTGGGAGGACACTGAGACAGGCTGAGGTTCAGTTCAATGTGAAAAGGTCTTCCAGACCTAGTGGGTCACAGGATGACCATTGCCTCATTGGGCCGTATTGCATTAAAGGTTAGCTTAGGCAGGGGGAGCTGTCTTCTTTTGGTGCTCAGCAGAGTAAGCCTCTGGGTCCCAATGTGGACAACCCCATACGGAGGGTTATCCAAGGTCTCTCCTCCTCAGGCCTGAGGTGCAAAAGCCTGGGTGCTTAGAACAGACACTGAGCTTGGAGTTAAGAGACAGGGATCTGTGTCTTGCCTCTTGGGACTTTGAGAAAGTGACTTTCCTCAAAATGACCACAGCTCCCTTTGCTTGAGTACCTACTATGGGCCCAGCTTGTGCAGAAGCTTCCCATCCACCCTCTCACTTGATCTCCATGACAGACAGGTGCTCTGTCCCCATTTTATATACAAGCCAGGCTCAAAGATACAGGGGAAGACATGGGCAGAGCTCACCCACCAGAGGAGCTGGGATTAGAACCCAGGTGTGTCTTCCCCCAAAGCCCAGGTTACTTTCTACTGCATGATATACACCTCTGTGCCTCAGTTTTTTTTTACCTGTAAAATGGAAGTAATAGAGGATTGGATAGTACCAGTGATATGATGGATGAAAAATACACCAATACACCATGCACCTGGAAAGAGTGTTTGACATACATGCACGCATGCGCGCGCGCACACACACACACACACACACACACACACACACGTACACATACTCACATGTAGAAGTCAGACCACCCAGGATTCTGTTCCCAGTAGATTACAATCCAGGAACAAGGTTTCAAACTGAGTGAGTTTTCTAAACAATGAGCGTTAACCTTTAATTTAGCATCTAAAATGTGAAAATGCCCTGATATGACTATGAGTTTGTAAATTCCACAGTATGTATCATAAGCTTTAAAACTGTTTACCTTTTTTTTTTAACATAGCAGTTCTACCATCAGAAAACACAGTGAAGGCTACGTACTGAGCTTTACATACAAGGATGTTCACTGCAGCGTTGAAGATAACAGCCAATACTTGGAAACAACCCTAATGTCCGATAGGGAAAGCGATGGGTAATTGTCGCAAATCCTTGTAATGGAATATTGTGCAGCCAATAAAAGCCATGACTGTGAAGCTCCTTTAATAGCACCGAAATGGAGGAGCAGAAATGACACCTGCCGTCCTATGTGCTCCCCACTGTGGCATCTCTGCAGGTAAGATGACAGGTGATTACTATTTCTTCTGCTTGTTTTTCTGCATTGAGCCAACCTATTTAAAAATGGATGATAAAGTGTACTTCACATTCCCATTTCTGGAATAGGCATGGCAGAACATAATTTAAGCTTTGCTCCAGGCCCCCAGAGAGTCTCACTCACTCTCAGCTCTATGTGCTCTTGCCCCCAGGGTGTCTCCAGCAATGTCACCACATTTGGGGTTCAGCCTGCAACCCACCCTCTTCTGGAGTCTCCTGGGCCCCAGATGTCTCTTCCTGCAGGTTTCCATGTACTTTCTGCTAGCAGGCCCCACCCCTCCTCATGCCCTACCTCTAACCTGCCCTGCTGGGCTAACAGATCACCAGGCATGTAAGAACCCTGCCTGCAGGAGGAGCCTCCATACTTTCTGAGTGAGGACAAGAAGGGAGCCCTTCTGATTAAAATAATAATCATTATAAAATGAATGTTTTGGAACATGGCTTGCATTTTGATAGCTCCTGAGCCTTTTGAGTTTGTTGTTTGTTTCCAGAGAGCAGAAGCTGCCCGATACCTGACTTCTGAGTAAGTGGAGGATGGCTGAGTATAACTCTGCACCTGTAGCTGTGACCTACATATTCACTCACTCAATCAATCATAATTTTGAGCCCCTAATCTGCATCAATCACAGTTTGAGATGCTGGGGACACAGCAATGGATGTGATAAACAAGGCCCCTGAGGTCAAAGTTGGGGGAGAGGAACAATAAGTAAGTAAATGAATCGAAGGCGCAAGGTCCTCTCAAGTGCTGATGGGGCTATAAGGAAACTAAACTAGAGTAATGGATCAAGGATCCACCTTCATAGTATGGGATGGGGGCATCAGGGAGGGCTTCTCTGAGGCCAGAGTGACACACACACTCCACACAGGCTCTCAGCTTGACCGTGTAGCCAGCTTGCTCAGAGTGGGCAGGGTTCCTTGGGCCCCCTGGGTGTGCTGGATGGTGGGGGCAGGGCTGAGGGGTCTGGCAGGAGGGCACAAGCCTGGGGGGAGGGAGAAACACTGCGGGGTGGTGAAGGTGGCCACTTCCCTCTGAGTGGCATAAGCTTCCTGCCCCCAGCCCCAGGAGTTCAGATCACACAGGGTTCTCTGGGGATAGCCCAGGGGAGCCCCAGAACAGAGATGACCAGCTTCTGCCTTACATCATCCCCCATTCAATGATGGTCCCTTTCCTGTTCTAGATCCACAGGATGGTCCTTTTCCTGTTCTAGATCCACCAGGTTAGTGCCACCTCCACCCCACTGTGGATGTTTCTGCTCCCCAGGGGATGTCATGGCCTAAGACTGCCTCTGTATCTGGGTGGAAAATCACACTGTAGTCTGTACGTCTATGCGTGGATGACCTGCAGGTGTTTACATGTCCACAGTGGTGCTGTGTTCATACATACACCTGTGTGAGTCTGCAGCTGGGTCCATTTTTGTGGATACACATGTGCTTGTATGTGAGCCACAGGATCCTGGGTCTAGGTATGCCTGTTTATGAATGTGCATGTTGGGTTTGTGTGTGTTTGTGCAGCCTCATCTGATTGCTTATGATTTATTCCTGTGATTGATAATAGAAGCCGATGCCTCCCTATCTTTTGATTGTAAGCATGATTCAGAGTGTTCTCATAGATGGGTTCTCTGTGGCTGCAGAGCTGTGTCTGTTTCATTGTCCATTTCTGTGTACAGCGTTCTGTATTTGTACATTTGTGTGATTACGTATTTCTGCTCTCCGTGTATTTCTGATTTCTGTGTGTTTGTGTTGAATTTTTTGTCACCAGTTTGTATGTGTTTATGTATGTGTACATGTATGTCTGTGTCAATCAGCTTGGGTCTGGGGTCTACCTGGGCCCAGGTGTTGCTGTGCTTGGGCCTGTGTGGCTGGGTGTCTTTAAGTGTCTGTGTCTGAGTTGTCTGTGTATTATATCTGTCACTTTGTGGCTCTGATCTTCGGTATGTGTTTGAGTGTCTGTCTGTAGAGGGTTGGTTTGTGGGTCTTTTTCTTTTAGAAGCAGGATCTCACTGTTTTCCAGGCTGGAGTGCTGTGGTGCGCTCATAGCTCACTGTGGCCTCAAACTCCTAGGCTTAAGTGATCCTAATCCTTCTGCCTCAGCCTTCCAAGTAGCTACAACTACAGGTGTACACCATCATGCCCAGCTAATTGTTTCTTTTAATTTTTAGTAGAGACTGGGTCTCACTATGCAGCACAGGCTGGTTTCAAACTCTGGCCTCAAGTGATCCTCCCGCCTTGGCCTCTCAGAGTGCTGGGATTATAGGTGTGCACCACCATGCCTGGCCATGTTGGTCTTTTCATTCAACTATTAGTCTGCATGTTAACTAGTTTCTCTTTATAGGTATGCACCTAAGTGCCTCTCTTGCTCTGGGTGTCTGTACGTCTCAGTGTCCAGGTGCCCACATGTGCCTGCAATGTCCTCAGGCTTGTAAAGAGATCTCACCTCAGTCCTGTGGCTTTGGCAGAGGTGTCTCCAATGTGATGGACACTGACAGGCTCAGGAAGACTAAACTGTGGGAGGCTTCGCCCCATCCTGTGAGGCAGTCCTCTGCCCTTGAACTAATTGAAATTAATAGGATACTATGCTCAACAATTGCCAATTACATTTTCTTGATAAATGCACATGGAATGTTCACCAACATAGACCATGTGCTGGGCTATAAAAAACATACCAATAAGTGTAAAAGAATTGGAGTTATACAGAGTATTTTCTTCATTTGCAATGAAATTAAATTAGAAATGAATGACAATAGTGCATCTAAAACCTAATACATATTTGAAAATTAAACAATACATGTCTAAATAACCCATGGATCAATAAATCATAAGAGACATTAGAAAACATTCAGAACTCAGTGATAATAAAAACAGAATATCAAAATTTGTGGATGCAGCTAAGAGATACCTTAAAGTGAATTATTGAGGTTAAATCCTTATATTAGGAAATGAACACAGTTTAAAATCAATGATCTAAGTATCTTAAGAAACTAGGAAAAGGAAAGAAATCAATATAATAGAAAACAGACAATAGACAATACCAACAAAGGCAGAAACTGGTTCTCTTAAAAGATTAATAAAATTGATAAGCCCTTAGGAAAATAACAACCATAACAACAGCAAAAAAGAGGGAAAACAAAAAATTTCTAATAACAGAAATGATAAAGGGGACATCATTACAATAATGTAGTCATTAATATGGTAATAAGAGATTATTATAAGTAACCTTGTGCAAATAAATTCACCAACTTCAATGAAGTGTGCAAATTTTTTGAAAAACACAACTTAACAAAACTGGCAGCAGAAGAAATAGAAGCACTGAATAGCCCTATATTTATGAAATGAATTGAATTTGTAATTTCAAAACTTTCTACAATGAAAGCTTCAGGCTTGAATGGCTTCACTGTTGAATTCCATCTGACATTTAAGGAAGAAATAATACTAACCTTATACAAATTATTTCAGATAATGGAAGAAGAGGAAACACTTCTTAAGTTGTTATGAGGTCATCATAACCTTGATACAAAAATCTGACAAGGACATTAAAAAAATCTCAAGAGTATCAATGCAAAAGTTGTTAACAAGTATTAGCAAATTGAATTCAGAAATATATAAAAAGGAGAATATATCATGAACAAGTGGAGTCTATCTGAAGAATACAAGGTAAGGCCAGGGGTGGTGACTCATGTCTGTAGTCCCAGCACTCTGGGAGGCCAAGGCAGGCAGATCACTTGAGCCCAGGGGTTCGAGACCAGGCTGGGAAACATGGTGAAACCTCATCTGAACAAAAAATACAAAACAACAGCAAAAACTAGCTGGGCGTGGTGATGCACATCTGTAGTCCCAGCTACTCAGGAGGCTAAGGTGGGAGGATTGCTTGAGCCTGGAAGGTGGAGGTTGCAGTGAGCTGAGAGTGTGCCACTGCACTCCAGTCTGAGTGACAGAGTGAGATCCTGTCAATCAATTTTCTACATTAACGGAATAAAGGAAAAAAAATATGATCATCTTAATAGATGCTGAAAATGCATCTAACAAAATTCAATACACACTCATGATAAAAACTCTCAGCAAAGTAAGAATAGAAGGGAAATTCCTTATAAAGAACATCTATGGAAAACGTATAGCTAACATTATGCTTGGTAGTTAAAGATTGAATGCCCCACCCTGTTAGGAAAAATTCAAGGACGTTCATCTTAATCACTTCTAATCAATATTTTACTGGAGGTCCTAGCCAGTTTAATAAGACAAGAAAGAAATGAAAAGCTTAGAGTTTCACAATATTGAAGCAAAACTCTCCATATTCAGAAATGACATTTTTATCTGACAAAAACAAGCAATGGGGAAAACATTCCCTATTTAATAAATGGTGTTGGGGAAACTGGCTAGCAATATGCAGAAAACTGAAACTGGACCCCTTCCTTACAACTTATACAAAAATTAACTCAAGATGGATTAAAGATTTAAATGTAAGAACTAAAACCATAAAAACCCTAGAAGAAAACCTAGGCAATACTATTGAGGACATAGGCATGGGCAAAGACTTCATGACTAAAACACCAAAAGCAATTGCAACAAAAGCCACAATTGACAAATGGGATCTAATTAAATTAAAGAGCTTCTGCACAGCAAAAGAAACTATCATCAGAGTGAACAGGCAACCTACAGAATGGGAGAAAATTTTTGCAATCTATCCATCTGACAAAGGGCTAATATCCAGAATCTACAAGAAACTTAAACAAATTTACAAGAAAAAAACAACCCCGTCAAAAAGTGGGCAAAGAATATGAATAGACACTTTTCAAAAGAAGACGTTTATGTGGCCAACAAACATATGAAAAAAAGCTCATCATCAATGGTCATTAAAGAAATGCAGATCAAAACCACAATGAGATACTATCTCATGCCAGTTAGAATGTCGATCATTTAAAAAGTCAGGAAACAACAGATGCTGGAGAGGATGTGGAGAAATAGAAATGCTTTTACACTGTTGGTGGGAGTGTAAATTAGTTCAACCATTGTGGAAGACAGTGTGGCGATTCCTCAAGGATCTAGAACTAGAAATACCATTTGACCCAGCAATCCCATTACTGGGTATATACCAAAAGGATTATAAATCATCCTACTATAAAGACATATACACACATATGTTTATTGCAGGACTATTCACAATAGGAAAGACTTGAAAGGTTAGAAATTACAAATTCAATTCATTTCAATGGAATAGAATAGAGATGACTGAAACATACCCTGACATAATTCAATATTTTCAACATTAAAAAGGATAGTGTTTTCAACAAATGATGCTGAATCAACTGATTATCCATATAGAAAAATAGCACACCCAATCCCCTACCTAACACCAAATATAATATTCAAAATATTATTTTGAAGTGGATCATAGACTTAATGTAAAAGTTAACACTATAAGCCTAATAGATTAAAAAATGAAAAATATCTTCTAGACTTTGGGTAGGAAAGATTTCTTAGGCATAAAAAAGGCATTAACATAGAAAAAATAATGAAATGTACTTTATCAAGATTAAAACCTTTTGGTCTTCAAAAGATGTCATTGAGGAAATGAAAATCCAGGTCACAAAGTGGGAGGAAATAGAATGCATAGACCTGGTGATGGATTTTTATGTACTATATATATAACATATGTATAAAGAACTACAAATAATAAAAATACAAGCAACTCAATAAAACATGGATAAACTTTTTGAGCCGTTACTTCACACAAAAAATAAATATGGATACCAATAAACACATGTGACGATGCTAATGTTATCATCATACATCAGGATATGTAAATGGAAAACACCATGAGACAGCAGTCATGGCTAAAATGAAAAAGTCTGACAATACTATGTATTGACAATACTAAGAGGATTGGGAACAACAGGAATTCTTACACAATGCTTCTGGGAGTGTAAAATGGTAAAACGATTTTGAAAAACAATTTTGCACTTTCTTATAAAGTTAGATATACAACCTCCCTGTATCCCAGCAACTTCACTTCTAAGCATTTACCAAAAAGTAATGAAAATCTTCATCCACAAATGGACTTATACAATTATTTTCATAGCATCTTTATATGTAATGGTCCAAACCTGGAAATAACTCCGTTGTCCATCAAGGGTTGAATGAATAAACAAATTGTGGCCTATGAATAAAATGGGCAATTACAGAGCAATAAAAAAGCACAAACAACTAATAAAGATAGCAACATACATCAATCTCAAAAAAACATTATGTTGAGTGAAAGAAGCTAGAAACCTACTGTATGAGTCCATTTATACGAAATTCTACAACATACACAGCTAATCCATAACGTGGAGAGATCAATGGTTGCCAGAGGGTAGAGTGGGGAGTGTGTTTTTGGGGGGCATTGGGGGGCGATTGTAATTGGGCACAAAGGACGTTATTGGTGTAATGGAAATGCGCTGTGTCTTGACGGGGTGTTAGATGGGTGCATACAAAATTTTTGGTACATATACATAGATGAAGAAGAGAGCACTTTCACTTGCTCATCCACCTGGGTGGCTCTGCTCTCTCTCCCCACCTCTGTCCATCGCAGTCCGCCAGCCCCCTCCCAGCGTCTCTTAAGCCCTCCCCTCTACTCTCCTCTACTCTCCTCTAATCCAGGGCTCTGCCCTGGAGTGATCCCTTCTGTCTGGGTGGGGTCCCTCCAAGGCGCAGGCGGCTGATTTGGGAGGTGACCCCCAGGAGGCACAGTGGGGAGGGGATAGCAGGGCGGGGAGAGGCTGAATCACAGTGAGGAGGCTGCGGCTCAGATCCTGGGTCCATCTCTGGGACCGTGTCTGGGGTACTGATTCTGCCCCTCGAGGGGAGCCGGGCATTTATCCGCCAATGCCTGTCCCTCGCGGTGAGGGCCTCTCCTGGGTGTCGGACCCCTGGCTCCCCGCGCTGCCCTGCCCTAGGCTGGTCTCGCCCCAGGACCCTGGAGCCGCGGAAGGGAGTGTTCAGGGCGCAGGTGAACGCAGAGGTGGTTAGGATACCCGGGCACACAAGCGCCTGCGTCAGCCATCCTTCCTCACCCTCGTGCCCCATATGTCGCTCCCTGCAAGGTGGCTGGAGTGAGTTTCTCAAAAGGCAAGCCTGATTGTGTCAAAGCCCTGCCTCACACTGTTGATTTGCAACTCTCGGCTTTGGGAGGATGGCGTCCAGCATAGGGTATGACTTGGAGCGGCTCCTCTGGCTTTGACCTGGGATGCCCTGGAAACAGCGCTTTCTCCCTCTTCAGACATCCCAAACTTCCAACGGGATGGTCAGTGCCCACCTCCCTCCCTCTTCCAGTGTGTGAGGCAGCCCTGAAGATGGCTCTCAATGACACCTGACCCTTCATACTCACTTCCCTCGAGCTGGGCTCTAACTTCTATGCCAAAAGGATGGGAAAACCTTGCGTGCCGACCTGAGTGCTTCTCTGGAATTGTCTGCTCAGGGAGAAGCCAGCTGTCACGTCCTGAAGCAGCCCTTTGGAGAGATCGTGTGAGTAAGGTTGGAGGCAGATACTTTCTCCCTGAGTCAAGCCTGAGTTGACTGCGGCCATGGGGCCACCTTGATTGCAGCTTCTTGGGAGATCCTGAGCCTGAGCTGCTGGCCACGGATGGAGAGCTCCCACAGAAGCTGTGAGACAGTAAATATTTATTGTTTTCAGCAACCACAAGTTTTGGGGTTGTTTGTTATGCAAGAATAGATAACTAAGACACCCAGTCCCCAGGGTCATTTGTGGTGTTGGTGTGATTTCAGAGCTCCAAGGTACTGAGGCTCCCCAGCTGGGAGGAAGCCCTGCCTCTGCAAGGACCTGATACGGCTTTACCAGCCTGAGCTGTTGTCACCAGCGCCCGCCCATTGTAGACAGCCAAACGCTATCTGCACTCCAACCAGCAAGGCACCTCCAACTTCACACTAAATGCATAATTTGCTGCAAATCAAACTAATGGAAATAGAGTAATTATGTTGACTTTTAAAATATTTTCAGATACATACATAATTAAATATTTGATAATATAATCCTTTACTATTGTGTTTCACAAGGGAACCCAGGGAGAAGAGGCTGAGGCAGGAAAGTGAGAGAGAAGATGCTGAAGGAGGTGTGAGGGAGGCCTCAGAAACCTGTTGAGCCTTCATGGGGAGTGGAACCCAGGCCACCTTTGCAGGAGGGCAATTTCATAACACATATCAAAGCCTTAAAAATGCCCATATCCTTTGACCTGATGAGACCAGAAATCTATCATAAGGAAATAATCAGAGATGAAGACAAGGATCTATGTGTAGAGTTGGTCATCGGAGAATCATTTATGGCAGCCACATGGTGGGGAACATCCATGTGTGTAACAATGAAGATCAGCTACATAAATTATGACTGAAAAATAATTGTGATGGCATATCGTGGCCATCAAATGAAACCTTCAAAAGTAATTTATGTTGAGAAAATGCTTATAAATAAGCATTTATAAGAGCTAGAGAAAAAAGCAGCATATAAAGCTGGCTGTAAAGTACATTCCAACTTTTCTTTATATATACATGGGACTAATAAAACTCAGAAGGATGCATGTAAAAATACCAATGGCTGTTATCATTGGTGGGGAATTTTAATTTTCTTTTCTGATTTTTATGCTTTCCATTTTTTCTGCAATGAACATCTAATAATATATTAGTTTAAGCGTTTAAATGGATGTAGGTGAGAAAAACTTTCTATACCTCCTCACCCCGTGAGGGGGCTTCTTGGATTAACCTCTAGGATCGAGCTTTGCTCTCAGGGTCTCCTGGTCCACATTCAAGTATTCCTGTTCTGGTTGGGGCACAGGCTGCCAGTCATCTCCTATGATCCCATTGCCCCTTCTCCCTTAGTTGCAGAATGCCAGTTTGGTTGGCATGTCCATCTGTCTTCCTAAGGTATATTACTCACCCCACTCTTTTGTTGAGGTAGTTACTATTACCATCTACATTTTATATATGGGGAAACTGAGGCACAGAGAGGTTAAATAACTTACTTAAGGTCACCTTGCTAGTAAGAGGCAGAGCAAGGATTCAAACCTAGGAAGTCTGACTTCAGACTCTATGCCTATAACCGCTATAGTATTTGTGAGAACACAGAATCCAAGAGGTGGGACAATTTGAACCTGGCTTTGGCAAGAGACCATACTCAATGACAAATATTTGTTGGGCAGTAATTATTATTTTTTTAATTTTCATTTTTATTTTAGATTTGGGGGTACATGTGCAGGTTTGTTAACAAGGGTATATCGCATGGTGCTGAGCTTTGGGCTTCTATTGACCCCATCACCAGATAGCGAACATAGTACCCAATAGGAAGTTTTCAGCCCTTGCCTCCCCCTCAAAAATCCCTCCTTTTGGAGTCTCCAGGGTCTGTTGTTCCCGTATTTATGTCCATGTGAACCCAAGATTTGGCTCCCATTTATAAGTGAGAGCCTGTGATACTTGGTTTTCTGCTTCTGCATCAGTTCGCTTAGGACAATGGCCTCTAGCTGCATCCCTGCTGTTCCAAAAAGACATGGTTTCATTCTTTTTTTATATGGTTGCATATATTTCACGGTGAAATGTGAGTGGAAGTCATGGGTGCATCTCCTAGGGAAGCTCTTAGATGACAGCTTTTGCAGCTGGCAGGAGCCTCTTTGCTCTCCCCCTTCCTTTTTTCTTTATGCCTATAATGGGGCTGTGATTGCTAGAGCTTCAGCAGAGCTCTGGCTAGAGCTGTGTTGTGTTCATGACACAAGAATGAACTCATGTGTTTTGGTCAATAGAACAAAAATGAAATGGGTGCCTGGGATATTGACAAAATTGTGCATGAAGCTACCATAGAAGTCCTGAAATTCTTAAATCCAGAATTTTCTTACATGAGGGAAAAACAAATCTTTCTTGAAGCCGCTGTCTTTCAGATTCCAATTAATAGCTGATTTATTTCCTAACAAATACACTGAGCCAGGGTCAAAGATTATATATATATATAATATATAAAACATATATAACATACTATATTTATTTATTTTATTATATTAAATTTTATTTATATATTTTTAAATATATGTAACACATTTATGTTTTATATATGAATATATAACATATTTATATATTTAATATATAAACATATATGAAACATGAATATATATTTATATATAAAACATACATGTGAATATATATTTATATATAAAACATACATGTGAATATATATTTATATATAAAACATACATATGAATATATATTTATATATAAAACATGTGAATATATATTCATATATAAAACATACATGTGAATATACACATATAAAACATATTCATATATAAAACATGTGAATATATATTCATATATAAAACATATGTGAATATTCATATATAAAACATATATGTGTATATATATAAAACATATGTGAATATATATTTATATATAAAACATATATGTGAATATATATTTATATATAACATATATGTGAATATATATAACATATATGTGAATATATATTTATATGTAACATGTATGTGAATATATATTTATATGTAACATGTATGTGAATATATATTTATATGTAACATGTATGTGAATATATATTTATATGTAACATGTATGTGAATATATATTTATATGTAACATGTATGTGAATATATATTTATATGTAACATATGTGAATATATTTATATATAACATATGTGAATATATTTATATATAACATATATGTGAATATATATATAACATATATGTGAATATATATATAACATATATGTGAATATATTTATATATATAACATATATGTGAATATATACTTATATATAACATATATGTGAATATATACTTATATGTAACATATATGTGAATATATACTTATATATAAAACATATATGTGAATATATACTTACATATATATGAATATATATTCATATATCAAACATATATATGAATATATATTCATATATCAAACATATATATGAATATATATTCATATATCAAACATATATATGAATATATATTCATATATCAAACATATATATGAATATATATTCATATATATAAAACATATATGAATATATATTCATATATATAAAACATATATATGAGTATATATTCATATATATAAAACATATATATGAATATATATTCATATATAAAACATATATATGAATATATATTCATATATATAAAACATATGAATATATATTCATATATAAAACATATATATGAATATATATTCATATATATAAAACATATATATGAATATATATTCACATATAAAACATATATATGAATATATATTCACATATAAAACATATATATGAATATATATTCATATACATAAAACATATATATGAATATATATTCATATACATAAAACATATATATGAATATATGTGTTACATCAGGGATATGTAAATTGAAAATATCATGAGATGGCATTCATAGCTGAAATTAAGAAGCCTGACAATACCAAATGTTGGTGAGGATGTGGAGCAGCTGAAATTCTCATACACTGCTGGTGGGAGGGCAAAGTGATACAACTATTTTGGAAAATAGTTTGGCAGTTTCTATAGACAACCACCTTATAGCCCAGCAACTTCACTTCTAAGTATTTAACAAAAAGTACTAACCAATCTGTGTGTGTGTGTGTGTGTGTACGTATGCATGTGCAGTATTACTGTCTATATCTCACAGATGTAAACTCCATGAGAACAGGGACTTTGTTGATATTCATTATTCTCTCTCCAGTCATTAGAACATAAGATCAATCTAAGAAAACTTTATTAAATTAATCCATGTGAGCTGGTTCCCATGCCCTTCTCAGTCTGGAGGCACTTTAGACAAGGTTCAGCTTATCCATGACCATCTGGGTTTGTTCCTCAGAATTGCAAGTAGGTCTGAGCCTCCCAGTCACATAAGACTCTCTCTTCCCTTTTTCTAGACTCCATACCTGTATTAAAATGCCCTAAAAGGCAGCAAAATATGCAGAGAAGTGTGTTGGCTTTGGAGTCAGATAGACCAAAGTTCAAATCTTACCTCTGCCACTTACTAGATGTGTGTTTTCTGAGCCTCAGTTTTCTGTCCTGTAAAATGGTGCTAATAATAGCAACCTCGAATGGTTGTTGGGAGGACAAATCTCATGTGAGTATTTAGCACCGGGAAATCACTCAATAACTGGTGGGTATTACCATTATTATTGTTGTTGCTGCTGTTATTAAGCTAGCCAGGTTTTAGGACCCTCTATGTCCTGGGAAGAGCTTTGGCTGGGAAGGGTTTGGCCTGGGGGTGGGGAGGGCAGCAAAGAGACAGGTGCCATGAGGGACATCCCTCCAGGGTCCACACTGAGCTCCCTTCTCAAGGCCTGGCTCCCTTCCCTACCTGTGCCTTGATTTGTTTTTCTCATCTCAGCTCAGAGCCTTGCACTACATGCTAAATTCACATTTACATTGAAATACCATCCTGTGAGTCTGGCTCGGGCTCCAGCCTGTGTGGATTTTCTTTACAACCCAGGTCTGGCATCCAAAGTGCTCGCTCTTCCGCCAAGAACCTGTCATCTGAAATCTGAGATTTCAGATCCCCAGTCAAATTACTGCTAGCAATGTCATGGGTGTCTTTCCTCTTGGGGGACTGACCTTTCCTGGGCAGCAGGGATTGTAGCTGACCCTTCAGTAACCACTCTCCCAAGCGTGTGTCTCCTCTCTTTTAACTGAAGTGTTGAGGTTATTTATAATTTTTGAAAGAAGTTTATTAAGGCATAATTTATACAAAAAGCCACCTTTGTGTTGTACGGTTCTATGAATGTTGACAGCTGCATATATTCATGAAACCACCACCAGAATCAGCATGTAGTGAGTCCTCTCCCCTGACCCTCAGCCCTTGGCATCCCCCAGTCTGCTTTTAATTCCTCCAATTTTGCCTTTTCTAGAATTAGAGCACTTACATTTGATAGAGTTATTTACATGGTTAAATTTAAATAAACTAGCTTGCTTTTTATTGTCTTTTTGTCACATCTCTTCTTTGTTGTCTCTCCTTTCCAGCCTTCTTTTGTATCAATTAAGTGATTTTTTACGATTCCATTTTATCTCCATTATTGGCTTACTAGTAATCTCTTTTTTTATTTTTATAATGATTGCTCTAGCATATACAGTTTCCATCTTTAACTTATTACAGTCCCACTTCATATGATATTATATTTCTTCACCTGTAGAGGAATACTGTTATAACAGAATATTTTCCTTTCCTTCCTCCTGTCCCTTGTGCTACTGTTGCCATAAGCTGCACTTGCACATGTGTTATAAATCTCCAATACATTGTTACTGTATTCTCTTTTGATAGGCAATTATCTTTAAAAGAGATGATGGTGAGAAAAATATTTCATGTTTACCCTAATTCTCACCATTTCTGGTGTCCTTTTCTGTGGTAGCACTGAATTTCTACTAGGTATTATGGTCCATCTGCATGAAAAAGTTCCTTTAACATTTTCTGTAGTGCAAGTCAACTTTTATTGATCTGAAAAATTTATTTCACGTTTGCTTTTGAAAGAGAATTTTTCTGGGTGTAGAATTATTGGTTGAAAGAATATATATATTTATATATATGTTTTTATATATTTATATATAGTTATATATATATTTATATATTATATATATTTATATGTTACATATATTTATATATTATATATATTTATATGTTATATATATTTATATATTATATATTTATGTTATATATATTTATATATTATATATTTATATGTTATATATATTTATATATTATATATTTATATATATTTATATATTTATATATATATTTAAAGATAACCCTCCATTTTCTTTGAGACTACAGAGCTTCTGATGAGAAGTTATCTATAATTCTTATCTATAATTCTGTATGCAATGTTTCTTTTTCTCTGGCTGCTTTCAATATTTTTAATCTCTGGTTTCCAGAAGCTTAACCGTGATATATCTAGGTGGTGTGTGTGTGTGTGTTTCCTGTATGGGTTTCTCTGAACTTGGATTTATGGCATGCTTCTTATTAAATTTGGAAAATTCTCAGCAATTCTATCTATCTATCTGTCTATCTATCTATCTATCTATCTATCTATCTATCTCTATCATCTATTATCTCACTATCTCTTTCTGTTAATCTTCTGGAACCCCAGTTATATGTATGTTAGACCACAGGTCTTGGATGCTCTTTTTTTTTCACCATTTTTCTTTGTTTTTCAGTCTACATAATTTCTACTAATTAACCTGTTTTCCCTTTTACTGATTCTTTCTTCTGCTGTATAGTATGCTAATAAACCCATCAAAGCAATCCTTCATCTCTGATCGTGTTCTGTAAAATTATTTCTTGCATTTCCATTTGGATTCTTTTTTTAAAGTTTCCTTCATTTCTGAATTTTCTGGTCCATTCAAGCACTTTTTCCACATCTCTAACTAGATTATTTAGCATAATTATTTTAATATAATTATTTTGAAACCTCTGTCTAAAAATTTCAACCCCTGGGTCATCTCTGAATCTGGTTCTGTGACTGCTTTCCTCTTGTCAGTGGGTTGTTTTTCCTTGATGTTTTTTTATCTCGTAGTTTTTGAATAAATTCTGGACATTGTGAACATGACAGTAGAGACTGAGGTAAGCAGCATTTATGCCCAGAGATGAACACACCTATTCTTCCCTCAAGACATTATTATGATGATTTGAGTCACGTCTAGTGAAGAGTTGAGTTTGGTTGAGTTTTGTTTGTGCTACACTCTAAGTGCACCCAGGTATCAAATTCCTCCAGTAATGGTCTTCCTCTACCTTATTCTCCTGTTTGAGGCCCTTAGAGATTCCACACATATCCTAGCTCACACTCAGTCTATAAGAACTCATTAAAAAAATTAGCTGTTTTCTTCATTCCAGTTTTTATGGTGGCTGCATCTTCACCAAAGCTCTGCTAAGTGTGAAATCATTTATATTTCCCTCTATCCTCAATGGGACTGGTCAGTGCTTAAATTTCATTTCCCTGTTCTATTCTGTATTTTTAAATTTGTTTTTTAATTACTGCCATACAAGTTATCACAAATATAGTGGCTTAAAACAACACTCATTTATTATTTTGCATTTCTATAGGTCAGAAGTTTGGGCACTGTGGGCTCAGCTGTTCTTTTGTGTCTTTGTGTTAATAGTTTTTATATAATTTTAAAAAACCAGCCATTATTTCTTCAAATATTTCCCCTACTCTTCTTCTGGGACTCCAACTGCATGTGTGTTAGATCTCTTGATAGTGTCCCATGGGTCACTGAAACTCTGTTAGTTCTTTTTCCTTACAGTCATATTTTCCCTTGGTGCTTATGTTTGGATAGTTTCTATTTTTCTTCATCAGTTACACTCATCTTTATTCTGTAATGTCTAATCTATTGTTAATATTCCTTAATATAATTTTTATATTATTTTATTTTTCAACTGCTGAGCTTCTTCTTATGATTTCTCTCATTAGTGTTTAGTAGTTTTCTGCATACAGATATTGTACATATTTTATTAGATTTATACCTATATATTTCAATTTTTTGTGCTATTGTGATGGTATTATTTTTCTAACTTTAAATTTCAGGCCAGGCACAGTGGCTCATGCCTGTAATCCTACCACTTTGGGAGGTCGAGGAGGGTGGATCACTTGAGGCTAGGAGTTCAAAACCAGCCTGGCCAACATGGTGAAACCCCATCTCTACTATAAATACAAACAAATTAGCTGGGTGTGGTGGCTGGTGCCTGTAATCCCAGCTACTTGGAAGGCTGAGGCAGGAGAATGGTTTGAACCTGGGAGGCAGAGGTTGCAGTGAGCTGAGATTGCACCACTGCACTCCAGCCTGGGTGACAGAGCGAGGCTCTGTCTCAAAACAAAAAAATCAATTGTTCGTTGTTGCTATATAGGAAAGTAATTGACTTTTATTTTGACCTTGTATCCGGAAACTCTACTACACTCGTTTGCTCATTCCAGAACGTTTTTTATTTAAGATTCTGTGAGATATTCTACAGACAATTATGTCATTTGTAAATAAAGACAGTTTCATTTATTCCTTTCCAAACTGTATGCTTTCTATTCTTTTCTTTGTCTTATTGCACTATCAGTTCCAGTATGATATTGAATAGAAGTAGTGAAAGGAGACATTCTTGCTTTGTTTCCAGTCTTCTGAGGAAAGTGTCTAGTCTGTCACTATGTAGTATGATATTATCTGTGGGTTTTCTTTCTTTTTTCTTTTTCTTTGGTAGTTGTTCTTTATAAAGTTGAAAATGTTTCCATCTATTCTCAGTTTTCAGAGAGTTTTTATCATAAACGGGTGCTGGATTTTGCCAAATGGGTTTTCCACATCAATGATCTGATCATACAGTTTTTCTTCCTTTTTTTATTTTTTAGAGACAGGGTCTCAGTCTATCACCCAGGCTGGAGTACAGTGGTGTGATCATAGCTCACTGCAGCCTTGAACTTCTTGGTTCACGTTATCCTCCTGCCTCAGCCTCCTGAGTAACTGGGACTACAGGTGCGTGCCACCATGCTCAGCTAAATTTTCTTGTACTTTTTATAGAGATAGGATCTTGCTATGTTGCCTACGTTGATCTCAAACTCTTTGCCTCAAGCAGTCCTCTTACCTTGACTTCCCAAAGTGTTGGGATTACAGGCATGAGCCACTGTGACTGACCTAAATTTTCTTCTTTAGCCTATTGATATGGCAGGTTACATTGATTGATTTTTGAATGTATATACCTGGAATAATGCCCACGTGGTCATGGTGTATAGTTTATTGTATACATTGCTGGATTTTATTTGCTAATATTGTTTAAGGATTTTTGTGGCTATGTTCATGAGAGATACTGGTTTTAGGTTTTTGTTTCTTGTAATGTTCTTTACCCGGATTTGTTATTAGAGTAATGCTGACCTCATCATAGTATTTTAATATGATATTTAATGTCATACTAAGTAAAAAATATTAAATTATTAGCATAAATTTTACTGTTCACCTTTATATTATGTCAACTTTAAATTCAAGTATAAGAATATTTAACTCCTGTGTAGGATCTTCAAAATCATGCAAATTGTATTTTGTAGCCTGTCATAGACATATATTTAATTCCTACCAGAATGGTGGAAGACCTCCATAAAACAAACTCAGCTGTGCTTATTTCAGTTATTGATGTATGCATTTTCTACCCACACTCTACATCTGACTGATTGATGAGTAAGGAAGGACAGAAAGGAACTATAGTTGCCCTGTTTTTCCCTTTGGTGCTATGTCATCATTTTCAGCATAAGCGGTTGGCTAATGCAAGGAAGTAACAGGTGAGAAAGGATGTGCTGGGGTTTCTTGG
This sequence comes from Homo sapiens, assembly GCF_000001405.40. Lineage (NCBI taxonomy): Eukaryota > Metazoa > Chordata > Mammalia > Primates > Hominidae > Homo > Homo sapiens. The sequence goes on from NC_000001.11 coordinate 29,777,756, forward strand.
TCACACATGCTTCATGCTTCTGAGAAGACCATGGCCTTCTTCCTGTGTTTGAAATAAGTTCTGGTTCCAGTGGAAAGCATGGCCTCTCGGTGCTGGCCATGACCCCAGATACTCAATCATAAGATGTAACATACTTACCTTATTTTTACTTTAAAAAATTATGATAAAATATACATAACATTTACCATTTCAACCATTTTTAAATATACAGTTCAGTGACTTATATAGATTCCTATTGTTATGCAACCATCACCACCACTACTCTTCAGAACTTTTTCCATTTTCCCAAACTGAAACTTCATACCCATTCAGCAATAACTCCCGAGTCTGCCATCCCCCTAATCCCTGGCAACCACCATTCTATTTTCTGTCTTTATGAATTTGACTACTCTAGGTACATCATACAAGTGGGCTCATACAGTATTTGTTCTTTGTGACAGGCTTTTTTCACTTAACATAATGTCCTTAAGGCTCATCCATGTTGTAGCATGTGTCAGAGTCTCCCTCCTTTTTAAGACCAAATAGTATTCCGTTATATGTATATACCGCTTTTTATTTATCTGCTCATCTGTTGATAGACACTTGGGCTGGTTTCATCTTTTGGCTATTCTGAATAATGCTGCTATGAATAATGGGTATACAAATATCTGTTTGGGTTGCTGCTTTCAATTCTTTTGGGTATATACCCAGAAGTAGAAGTGTTGGATCATATAGCAATTCTATGTTTAACTTTTTGAGGATTTTCCATACTGTTCAACATTTTACATTCCTACCAATAGTAAACAAGTGTTCCAATTTCTCCATATCCTCACTACCACTTGTTATTTTCTTTCTTTTTCTTTTTCTAAAAAATTAGTAGCCATATTTCCACGAGGTACAATGATACCTCATACTCACCTTGAATATCTCTGAACTTCCATGTCCCATGGATGGCAGGGAACAGCGGGCACACACATAGCATGTATCTCCTTAGCTCACGGGCATCCTCTGTCCCTTTGGACTTCACTTTTAAAACACAAGTTCAAAGATAAAATTGTTAAGAATTTCAAAACTGTGATAACAGAACAGTAAACCAAGTGCAGGTGTCTTCTAAGCACAGAGCCCTGTGCAAATGCACAATCACATATGCAGGAAGCCAGCTTGCTTCTGCTTTGTGTAGGAGAAAGGATGGAGGTGGAGCCTGGGCCAGAATGGCAAATGGAAAAAGAAGATCTAAAGTGCCAAGGCCCCATTGTCTCCTAAGGCCCTTTATTTTACCATCGCCACACCTCTGCCCATGTCCTTTATCCTGCCCACAGTGTTGTTACCCCTTCATGATCAGTCAAATCCTGCCAATCTCAGTTCAAATCCTATTTCACTAGGGAAATCTTTCCTGGCTTTCCTGACCCAAGACATCCCTTCTCAGAACCTTCTCAGCATAAATTTTCCACATCACCCGTATGACAATTAGCCTGGTCCTGACTCCTTTAAGTCAGTCAAGTCTCTCCAACTAGATATGAGACTCCTGGGGACAAGGTCTGTGTCTCTTGCTTCTGTAATACATCACCAGGACTGCACATCAAGACTTGCCCCTGGCTATCTCACCCTCCCCTTCCTCCTCACCCCACTGAGAATCCAGCCCAACTAATTAGACCTCTCCACGTCCTCCTCACTTGTCCACATGCATGCTCTCGCACTCGTTATCCGTCAGCTGTGAATGCCTGTCCTTCTCATCAAGGGCTGTCCAAATCCTACCATTCTCCAAGGTCTCACAAAGTGCAGTAAATATGGCATGGATTTGCAATTTATAAATACCTCATTCTAAATCCTGACTCTGTCGCTTTCTGGATAGAAGGGCTGGGCGTGTCCAGAAAGTGATATTCCTTCCCCAAGACTTTGTTTGCTCATTTGTAAATCCAGGGGTTGATAATAACCACTGTGAAGGGTTGTTGAAAAATTTAATGGGGGATATTCATTTAATGGGAGAGATAACAGGACAGTATAATGAATTAGTGTATGCCAATACATTTAAAACTTAGATTAAATGGACATCTGCCTAGAAAAATATAACTTACAAAAAGTTACTAAAAAGAAACAGAAAGTCTGCATAGTCCTAGGCTAATTAAAATAAATTAGAAGTTTAAAATTATTCCATAAAGAAAAAAGTTAGGAACGGATTGTTTTGTAGGTGACTTCTACCAGGCTTTCAGGGAACTTCTCATTCCAAACTTTCAGAAATTAGAAAAAAGAAGACAGTTCTCAAAGAATTTATAAGGCTACTATAATCTTAATACTAAAACCCAGAGAAAGGTACTACAAGAAAGAAAGGTTATAATTCAAATACTTCTCATGATCATAGTTGTAAAAGTCACAAACATGGCCAGGTGTGGTGGCTCATGCCTGTAATCTCAGTACTTTGGGAGGCCGAGGTGAGCGGATCACAAGGTCAGGAGTTCAAGACCAGCCTGGCCAATATAGTGAAACCTTGTCTCTACTAAAAATACAAAAATTAGCCGGGCATATGGTGTGCACCTGTAGTCCCAGCTACTCAGGAGGCTGAGGCAGGAGAATCTCTGAGTGTACCTGGGAGGCAGAGGTTGTGTTGAGCTGAGTTTGTGCCACTGAACTCCAGCCTGGGCAACAGAGCAAGACTCCATCTCAAAATAAACAAACAAACAAACAAGCAAACTAAAAATAAAATCACAAGCATGATTAAATCACTGAATTACTAAATTACTGAATAAAAACCATGCATCATGACCAAGTTGGGTTTATCCTGGGATCAATTAATATTAGAAAAATCTATAAGTGATTGCTGCTATGTTAACAGATTAATCTCAATAAATGCCTTTGGGAAATGTAATATTCATTAAAAAATAATAGTTAACAAACTAGAGATAGAAGGAAATTTTTTTAACCTGGTAAAACACTTTTACCAAAAGCCTACAGCATATGTTGAAATGCAGACTAATTCCCTTTAAAATCAGGAAAACACAAGATGCTTTCTCTCACCACTTCCGCTCAATATTGTGTTGGAGGTCCCAACCTCCCAACCAGAGCCAGTGCATAAAAATAAGAAAATCAAATGAAAGGCTAATGAATGTGAAAAAACCAGACCAACACAAAATGTCATGATTCTAACGTGTTTTGACTGCATTCATAGGAAGTCCAAAAGTATTTGCAAAAAAAAGTACTAGAATTAATGAGACTCAAACCGAGTGTTTACCAGCAACAGTTAGAAATCATGGTTGGAAAGATAATATTTACAATAGCAAACTACAAAATATACAAACTACAAAACTACAAAAGATAAGGGACAGGAGAATATATCTGACAAAAAATGCTCAAGATGTTTCTGGGGAAATTTATTGAAAGGTACTCAAGACCTACATGTGCAGAGATATATTAAATTCATAGATGAGAAGACTTAATATTGTAAAGATGACAGTTCTCCTTAAATAGTTCCACAGATTCAATAAAATTCCAATCAAAATCCCAATAGCATATTTAATAGAACTTGACAAGCTGACTATAAAATTCATAAGAAAAAGGATAAGGGAAAAGATAGCCAAGGCACACCTGAAGAACATGTCAGGGGGTTTGCCATTTCAGATATCAAGATTTATAAGCCACAGTGATTAGAAGTAGACCTTGATTTAATTAAAAGGCCAGTGGAAGAGAGTGGGTGTCCAGAAACCCTTGCATATGGAAAGTGTATATCATGCGGCTGTCGTTGCAGACCAGCGGGGAAAATGTGGACCATGCCGCAACAACTGGTTATCCACGTGGGAAAAAGATCAAATCCCCAACTCGGAATAACACAAAAATCAATTCCAGATGGATAGAAATTTGAATGCAAAATGCGAAGCTTTAAATATGTTAGAAGAAAATATAGACTATTTTTATGACCTCTGGTAGGGAAGGATTTCCTTACTAATGCACTAACAGCGCAAACCACAAAAGGAAAAGGGGGAATAATTTGACTAAATCACATTCAAGGCATTCTGTTCTTCCAAAGACTACAAAATGAAAAGTGAAAAGACAAGTCTTAAATGGGAAGAAGATATTTACAACATGTAATCAATAAATGACTTACCCTAAATGGATATAGGACTCCTGAAAATCACTAGGATAGCAACAAATGAATGATAGAAAATTAGGTAAGAGATATCAACAGGTATTTCACAGAAGAAGAAACCTGAAGGCCAAAAATCATTTGAAGATATGTTTCATTTCATTAGTAATCAGGGAAATGAAAATTATGAACACAGAGAATTACCATTTTACACCCACCATTCTGGCAAAAATGTAGAAGCCTGACAAATTTGGATCTGGGTATGGAGGAATGAAAACTCATAGCCGCTGCTGCGAGTGGAAACAGACAGCCACATTATGAAAAAATTTGGCACAGTCTCGCAAAGTTGAACAAACACACCCACCACAAGCCAGCAATTTCCCTTCTAGAATGCACCCCAGAGAAGCTCCTATGCAGGTGCATCAGGAAACTTGTACAAGAATGTTCACAGCAGCCTCATTTGTGATAACAAATAAACAAATGGAACTGCCCAGAGAAAGCAAAAAACTAGGACCAACTCAAATATCCACAGATAGGAGGGTGGACACATGAATTGTGGTATATTCCCGCAATGGAAAACTGAACATCAGCAAAGCGAATGAACTGCAGATACACGTATCCACACGGACATATCTAGAAACCATTCTGAGTGAAAAAGCCAAGTCACAGAGATCCATCCACGCTTAGCTAGGACATTTGTATAAAGCTCATATGCATGCAAAACTAAACAGTGTCTTGCATGGTGATATAGACATATATGGAGGAACTGCAAAGAAGAGATGGACAAGATGAACAAACAGTGCAGGACAGTGGCCACCTCTGGGGGTCACTGGAGGAGACAGCTGGGGAGGGTCACCAGGACCTTCAGTGCCCTCGAAAATATTCCACTTTCCAAGATCTGATTCATGGCAGTTAATTTTATTGTTATGCTTCATAATTGACACATTTGTTAAATAGAATTTTTATAAAAACCAAATAGTATGTCATAAAAAGAAGAGGTCTAGTGAAGTGCTATATTAAAGCTCAGCATAGGGTCTAGCAGACACAAATTATGCCAGCTAAGATTGCACACACTTTTTCTGGAGTCAGGCACTGCACCAAGTGGTTGACCTGCATGGTCTCTTTTAGTCTTCACGGCAGCCTTGTGATTGGTACCTGTTTTACAGATGAGGAAACAGACATCCACATAGGTGATCTGTGTGACTCTCTATAGGTCCCTCTCAGCCACTGTATCCCCACCTCGTGCACAGCAGGAGCTTAATAGGTGGTGAGGCCACTCTGATCCCTCTGTTCCTGCAGCAGCACCTCCTCCATGACAAGTGTCACGCTGGATCTTGCATTCCTCTTATGCTAGCAGAATTCCTTGCAAGCTCCTCCAGTACACAGTGCAAAGTTGCTACCTGTGCCTGCTCTGTATTTCCTGTGCCAGTGCTGGTATTCAGCAGAAGCCCAATAGGTGCTTCAGCTTTGGTTGTGGTGTTACAGAACTCATCTCATGCATGGAGGACCCGACAAAAGGCCTCGTCCTGTTGGCTCAAGGGGCTGGAAGAAGAGAGCTCAGGGGCCATGAGGATGGGGTAGGAGAGCTGGGCACTCACCCCAGGAGCTGTAGCCATAGGTGTCCATGAAGGACAGGCCCAGCGCTCATCCTCCTGCATGGTGCTCTGGTCTGTGAAGCTCTGGTCCACAGTGCTCTTCATGTGTGTCCTCTGGTGGTAGTTGCAGTGGTCTTGGTCATGTTTGCCGGCTTCCTGGAGAGGGGGGTTGGGGGAGACACAGGCACTGCGTGGGGCTGGACAGCACCCAGAGGTGGGTGGGGAGGCCCCACAGTCAAGGGGCCTTGAAGCCGGGAGCCGGCAGCTGTCCTGGAAGCATCTCTGGATGCTGAGAAGCTCTGCCACCATCCTTCACTCATCAGACCCAGAGAGCTGCTGCCGCCCTGGAAAGGGGCTGACAGGGTCCCTGTTCTGAGGACGTTTGCTGAGAGCAAGGCATGGAGCAGCAGTGACTTCGGGCTGGGATTCCGGTCCTAAGTCTCACTGGCCCCACGGGCTCAGGAAAGTGAGATGAAAAGTCACTCTGGGCTCACTTTGATGTCACAGCAGACAGCTGCCCCCATTGCACCCCAAACTAGGAAGGTGGCTAGACCTAGAATCAGATCAATTATTTATTTATTTATTATTTATTTATTTTTAGCAGCGGGGATGGGCTGTGTGAAGCCATCCTCCCTCCTCCCTCACCACATGGGTCTGCCAACAGCCCAACCGAGAAGGAGTTTCTTGTCGGCAGGGGCTGAGTTCCAACCTGGGCTTCTCAGTCGTGTGCCCATTCTCCCCAGAAACCACCAGGCCTGGGGCCATCACCCGCCATAAAGGATATGGAACAGAAACCTGCCCAGGGTCTATCTTCCTGCCACGCCCGCATCAGCCCATCCAGCCCTGCTCCCCCCATCAGCCCATCCGGCTTCTGGAAGCAGCAGGGGGAGAAGGTGAGAGGCCCCGGTCCCTCCACTGGGGAGGCAGAGCTTCTGGAGCAGCCTCTGGGCAAGGGCCCTGCACGGCCCAGGCCTCCAGGCCCAGTTTCATGCATGAGGACAGCAGTTTGTGACCATGGAGGAACTTGGAGAAAGTGGGAGGGAGAGGAGGTGGGGAGGCAGGCGACAGCTCCATGATCAAGGGGCCAAGAAACAGGCACAGGGGAAATGACTTGGGACTCCTGTGAAGGCTGGAGAAGGGCCCGACGGGCCCAGTCACAGGGAAGGCTCCAGAGGAGAGAGCTGGTCCCCTGCTTGGCCCTACAGCATGCAGAATGTGAGGTAGACTTGAGAACGGACTTCCAGGTTATGAGGAGCCAGAACACTGACCATCTGTCGGGGCGGGGAGGCCAATGAAATGATCTTCCCAGACAAGCAAACTCCAGCCAGCATGTCCTGGGGTAGGGGAAAGACAGGATGACCTCTGGATGCCCTTCCTGCCAGGACTAGGATGTCCTTCCTGTGCTAAGAAGACGGCTGTGTCCTCACTGGGACCACTGCTGTCCAGCACTGAGGATGGCATAGCCTTCCCAGACTGGATGGGAGAGAGTTCAGCAGGCCCAGGCTTCCTACCCCCAGCCCCTGCCAGGCTCTGGGCATCACCCTTGCTTTGGCCCAGGGTGGAGCCAAAGCCCCCTTTGGGAGCAGGCAAGGATCAGCCTCTGCGGCTGTGACCTTGACCACCTTGAGTGGGGAGGTGTTGGGGGAGACAGAGAAGGAGGAGGGGAGGAGAAGAGAGAAAGAGATAATAACAAGGAGAGAGAGAGATGGGGAAGGGGACAGAGAGAGAGGGAGGGGCAGGCCAGCAAGCCACAAGGAAAACAGACATGGCCATGGAGAGAGGACAGCCGGCCGAGCTGCCTGTCCTCAGCCCCTGCAGGAGCCGAGCTGGGGGCTCAGCACGAGTTGGGTGTTGAGTTGCTGGAAAAGCTCATGTCGGGAAACAGCAAGGTAAGGAGCCATCCAGGGAGGAGGAGGTGAGAGACCTGCCATCCTTGGGGCTGGCCCGGTGCCCTCTGGGTCTGCTCTGCGAGGGAGGAAAAACCAGCACAGGTGTGGGAGGAATGTTCTGGAAGGCTTGCAGAGTAGAAGACAGAGACAGAAGACAGAGTAGCATCAGCAGGCTGTGGAGTCAGCAGAGGCCTGGGTTGTGTTCCAGCTCTGGCACATTCTGTGACCTCCCACGAGTCCCTTGGCCTCTCTGAGCCTCAGTTTTCTCATCAGTAAAATGGGAGTGATAAGAGCTTCTATTTCTCAGGGTAGTTGTGAGGACTCTGTGTCCAGAACTGAGCACCAGTGCCACCTTTGCTGGGCAGCCTCCTCCTCATACCCTCACATTGTCAATCTTGTTTCTCTGGGGGTAGGTAGATTTCTAAGGCACCCAAACTGCCACATAGCACCACCACCACCACCGCAAAACTCTGTCCCCTCCACTATGGCCCTCACCACCCCCAGCCCCGCCCCCGCCGAGAGTCACCTCTCAGGCCCCTGCTGGGGAGGAGTCAGGGACTTGCTATTTTGGGGCATCTCCTGTGCTTCAGACTTGATGAGGCCTTCACATTTGTGGCTGCGCCTGAGTTCAAGTCAGACCCTGCCACTGATCCACCAAATGGCGTGGGCAAGGTGCTTTCATCACGGTTTCCTCATCTGTGAAAAGGGAGTCAGAGCTGCTTTGTGGGTCAGGATCCAAGAAGGAAATGTTTTCTGATTTATCCCGAGTGCCGTAACAGTGCCTGGCACACAGTAGGTGCCCAATAAATAATGTACTCATGGATGATGTACCTGAAGCTCCTGGCACATAGTAAACACTCATTAAATGACAGTTTAAAGTGTTTTTATTGGGAAGTTGTTCAAAGACTAAGCCAGGAGACAGTCAGAGCTTAGCGCCCTGGGTAGGCCGCCCTACACTGTCTTACTGGTAGGTTCTCTCTCCTGCTTCAGCCTGGCCTTGGGCCAGGTTCAAAAAGGGCATCCTGGCAGGTGCTCTGTCATCCCCCCGACATCCTGCTTATCTGCTCCTGGCAGCCCTGGGATCCAGTGCCATCTGACCCAGTGTGCCCAGCCTGGCAGTGGCTCTGCTGAGTAAGTGGGGAGGGGCAGAGCTGGCTCTGCCTCTGGCTCCCTGGGTGACCTTGGGTAGGTCCGCATTTTCTCTGCAACTCAGCATCCCCATCCCTAAATTGAAGTGCTTAGACCACAGTGTCCTGGGCTGCCTGATAGGGAATGAGGGGTCAAAATGCCTGGGGGAAGGTGGTCAGCAGAGAGGTCTTAGAAGCCGCCACCTGCCTCCAGCCAGAGTTGCTGCCCAGCCTTCTTCTGATCCATGTACTGGGCTCCCAGGGGAGGTTCGTCTTTTTAATTTTTTTTCCTGTATTTTGAAGACAATTCTGTTAGACTGGAAGTCATAAACTACCTGGTGGCTCTACTTTCCGGGCTCTGAGCCTCTACATTTCTAAATTCTGAGATTCTCAGAATCTGAAATCTTGGGTTTATGAAACTCCAGATTCCCCTGATTCTCAGTTCTGGATTCTAAGGTATGCTGGGGTTCATGCTGCCCTCTGCAAAATGCGGTAGGAAATGCATCCCGGGCACACTCCAGTCTGGACTTTGCCTGGGAGTTTGCAACACTCTCATTGCTCAGGGTCAGCCTCCTGGGTCAGTGCAGACAAGCCAGCAGATCTCCAGGTCCCCCTCATTCCCTTCCAACACAACAACCTCTCTGCTGAGCACACTTCCCTGGACAGCACCTGGCACCCTTGGTTAGCATCTCAAGTTTGAGGGACTGAGCACATTGGCCTGAGGCCAAGGACAGGCCCCAAGAAGGTTTTATGATGTCTCTACTTGTCTCTCTCGCCACAGAGCCCAGAGCCAGCATCCAGCCACCATCATCCTGTGGCCCAGCCACGATGGCTCCCCTTCCCCAGGCCTGCTCCAGGCTCTGCCAGGGTCCTTCTGTGTCCACCTTCACAGGGGCATCGCTGGGCCCTTCTGCCCAGCCTGAGAGGAGGAGCCCTCAGTGAGGAGGGGCCCTGGGGAGGGGACTGGCAGGAAGCCCTCCTTGACCCTAGGCCTGCCAGGCCACCATCTTCTGCTCCCACAGCTCTGGGTCTTCAGGATCCACCTCCTTAGAGCCCAATGTGTCTCCGTCCTAATGCTGAAGGACCGAAGGGACTCAGAGGGAGAAGCTCTCGGGGGCTTACCTTTCTTGGTGAATCCCATGTGCTCCCACCGGTCTCCTGGAGGCACAGACCGTGGGTTTCGGGACTGCTCCCTGCATGCTCCTCCTCCCTCCCTGGGGCTGGAACCTTAGTGGGGACTCTTGGGTTGGGCTCTCTCGAGAGTCCTCCCTCGCTCATCTCCCCCTGTCTGGTTAATGAGCTGGAAGCTTCCATAATGAAGCTGCTTTATCATTTAACCTGCTGCATCAGTGGTAGAGAGGGAGGGGTGGAATGGGGGAGGTGTCTGGGGGAGGTAGGGGTGTCTAGTAGCCCCAGGGTCTACCCACAGAATAGCCCCCAGTGTGGAGGGCTCAGTAAGAGAAAGGAGGGGCTCTCCCGCATGCCCTGTAGCTCTCACTGGGAAAGTCCCCCATGCTTATGAAAGGTAAGGGGCTGGGGAGCTGGTTCATCCCACTTCATATTGGCCCTCCTGGTGATGCCAAGCTCACCCCGCTCAGTCTAGTCTTGGTATTTCCCAAAATGCTCCTACAAAAGCCCCTTTGATCACCCCATGCCCCTGCCTTGCTCCTGCGGCAATGGCTCCTGTCTCTCTTCTCTGGGCCACTGGGCATTTGTACATGCTGTTTCCTCCTCCAACACCTCCACTTCCCCTCCCTGGCCTCCCGTGGCTGCCCTGAACTTCTCCAGTCCTAGCTGTACTCTCTGCACTATAAGCAACAGTTCACTCCTCTGTCCTCCCCATGGGACTGGAAGCCTATTGAAGGTTGGCTGTGTGTCTGGCTCAGCCGCCACTGTTTCCTCAGAGTGCAGGCTGGTGCCTGACACCTTACCCAGCATTTATTGAGCACTATGTACCAGGACTGTGCTCAGTTCTTTACGGACATATATCAATTAACCTTCAAGGTCATCTTCAAGGACATACTGGAGACAGGGTGGAGTTGGGGCTGGAAACACAGACTTGAAGCGCAAGCCAGCTGGATTTGGATCCAGTTCTGCATTTACCAGCTGGGTGACCTTTATGAAGTTACATAAGCTGTCTGTGCCTCAGTTTCCTCATGCAAAATGGAGGTAATGACAGTACCTCCATCATAGAGTTGTTTGAGGATAAAATAGTAAATATATGTCTATATATACACACACATTTAATACAGTGCACACACTAATTGCTTTGTGGTGTCAACTATTGGCATTCCTCCCATTTTGCAGATGAGGAAAGCCTCCTTCTGCCTCCATCCTTTCCTATCCCCTGTGCCATCAGAACTAAATTGATTCAGGGAGCTCAATAAATGCTTGCATGCTTGTTCACTCAGGGTTTCATGCCAACCGAGGGGTGTGTAAGTTCACCATTTATAAGTCAACTGTATTTTTATGTCCTAGCAACAAAAAAAAATTGGCAAGTGAAATAAAAATACTATTTATTATCATAACAAAACCCAAAAATATATACAAAGAGATTCGACTAAAAAAATATACAAGACCTCCCTGTGAAGAGTGCAATAAAAATGGTCAACATATACCCATGGACACTTCACAATAGATTTATCATGGCTAATAAACGTGACAAAATGGACAATATTATTAGTCATCAGTGCAAAATAAAACCATAACAAGATGCAATACTCTCATCAAAATGGCTAAAGTTAATGTGACCTGCCTTACCAAGTGTTGAGAAGGATGTGGAGATGCTGGAACTCCCTCCCCTGCTGGTGGGAATATAGGCAGGTCCAGCCACTTTGGAAAACAACTTGGCAGCCTCTGATAAAGTAAAAGTAAAACAAATACCTGATCTGTGACTTGGTGGGTCCAGCTATTTTCCCTAGAGAAACGAAACAGACACCCACAGAAATTCTATCACAAGAATGGCAGTGTTATTTGTATTAGCCCCAAATGACTCAACATTCCCATGTCTTTCCAGTTTTTCCAGAGACAACTCTTCATTAAATCGCCTGTCCAAGAATCTGCACCTGCACCTCCCTCAGCTGCCACCCGAATCTCTGACCTCAACGAATCCCTATGCCAGGGGAATGCAAGACTGATTGGCCACAGGCCTGGGGCTCTGTACTCCCCTGAGCCTGGGTGGGGAGTGATTCCTCAAGGACAAGGAGAAGGGAGAGGGCTGAGCAGTGGTCCCCAAGGGAAGTGGCACTGGGGGTGGGGCAGAACCATCACGCGTTACCGATGGTGGGGTCAGAATCAGGGGGCCTGAGATATATGCTATTGGGTCCCACCCTATAGCCCTGCCCACGTCCTTCAGCTGTGGAGAGCGTGGGCTGCCAGCTGGGCCCTTTTCTGGGGAATCATCCTCAGCTGAGGAAGCTGACTGCTGACTCACCTGAAAAATGCCTGCGAGGTCTCACCTTTCCCTGGGATGACCTGCAGCCAGTCACTGGCTGACACATGGGTACAAAAGGTCTGGCTCATTCGAGGAGGCAGGACAGTCATGTGGTGCCACAGAGGACACTCCAGAGCTCCCCATGGGCCCAGATCAGGGCTAGACTAGACCAAGTCCATGCCCTGGCCTGGCTTCTTGCCCACCCTCCGCTACTTCCCTCACTCCCCTTCTTCTGAGCGTGCGCCCTCTGCAATCTCACATGTCCCCGTAAGTCCCCATCTCAGGCTCTGCTTCTAGGGAGCCTAACCTATGCAGAAGGCCAAGCTGGCTCTCGCCTGCACACCTGCCCCATGCAAGCTTCCCCTTGGATCTTCTTCCCTGCATGGGGAAATTGGTCCTACCCCACCAGGCTCCAAGGTGTGCAGCCAGCATCATCTTGGAATCCCTCTCAAACCCAGACTCCCACCAAGAACTCAATTCTCCCCACATCTGCTCCAGGTCCTTAGGAAACTCAACATCCAAATCCCTTTCATCTCCAGGTTGATTAACAGAAGATTATAAGCAAGCTTCAGAAGGAAGAAAAACCAGTGTCTCCCCAGGGCAGACACTGTCTGTTGACAAATACCACCAATATATATTTTTCTCATTTTTGTATAGATATACAGAACTAAGCCGATTAATATATTCTTCTTTCCCTCTTAGGTCTAGGACTGCAATGGGAATCTTTCTGCCCCATGGTGAACTGTGTACCAGGTTTCAATAAAGGTTTTATCTTTGCAATTACAGTTCATTAATAAATTTACAAGGGAAGGAAGATGGCGAGGTCTGTCTAAGAGGATTGTTTCGCATTTCTTCTCTTTTAATTACAGTTATCTCCTGAACCAAAGCTCTTTGAAAAACAGAGAGAAAAAAGACACCCTTTCCCCATCTGTTCCAGATATGGGTACAATTAATAAGGGAGGAGACAGGAGCTGCTCCTGGGCTTCCTGCAAACTGAGACCTCACCACCTCCTCTTCAGAGCTGCCCTGTGGGTGGGAGTCTTGGCCACCAGAGCTCAGCTGGCATCAGGTATCTTGTCATGTATCTGCCCTGGGGATTTGGATAAGGACAGGCTTGGTTCTCTATAGAGCTACTGTTTCTAGGGCACCTACTATGTGCTAGAGTCTTTACAGGGGTTTTCTAATCTTAAACTTGTCTAAGTTTTAAACTTCACAGTGATCCATTTTACAGACCTGTTTTACAGACAGAGAGTAGCTAAGGCAGACAGATGGGTGCAGGGCATTGGGCTAGGCATAGGGAGCAGGGAGGGGGCTGAACATTTTACAGATGCCAAATGGAGACTCAGAGATGTCCAGGACTTTCTTAAGGCACTCCAGATTAGGTTGGAATTGCAAGCCAGTCCTGTGACTCCAACTTACCTGCTATTTCCACTTTTTATTTGCTGGTATTTGGTGAACCTTTCTGGGCCTTAGTTTCCCCATCTGTGAAATGAGCCCCAGAGACTGGAAAAGATGAGTGTAAAGGTCTTAGGCTTTGAGGTGGCGTGTCTTGAATGGGATGGGTGCTGGAATGGCAGGTGTGGGGCTGGTATGGGGCAATCTGGCATCGGGGCGTCTGAGTCTCCAGAAATGAGGGCCTCCAGTCTCTCACACTAGCAATCTGCTCAGACCTGGTCAGAGAGAGCTGATTTCATCCCTGCCATTTGAGGAGCGCCAGAAGCTTTGGATCCCTTTAACCTCCTCCTCCCAAAAGCTTCTGAGGCGAGCAGTGACCTTGCTCACAGGGCAAATCCTATGAAAGAAGACTGTCTTTTCAGAGATTATACACCTTCTCCAACCCAGCCACCTCCAGGCTGGAATGCAGTGGCAAGATCTCGGCTCACTGCAACCTCCATCTCCTGGGTTTAAGCGATTCTCGTGCCTCAGCCTCCCGAGTAGCTGGGATTACAGACCCATGCCACAACACCTGGCTAATTTTTTGTATTTTAGTAGAGACGGGGTTTCACCATGTTGCCCAGGCTGGTCTTGAACTCCTGAGCTCAGGCAATCCGCCTGCCTTGGCCTTCCAAAGTGCTGGGATTACAGGCGTGATTACAGCCTCCTGGATCTCTTACTCTAAGGGATCTGTGTGAGTGTCCCTAAGTGGGCTCCTCTTTGGTCTCCTAGCTTTAACTGTCTAGAGGCTTTGCCTGGTCAGGGGGTGGCAGCCAAGACCTGACTATTATGAGGGGTGGTGATGGGGCACTAGTAATGGTGATCAAGAGAGTCCTAGCCAGTTCTTTTTTTTTTTTTTTTTCTTTTTTTGAGATGGAGTTTTGCTCTGTCGCCCAGGCTGGAGTGCAGTGGCGTGATCCTGGCTCACTACAACCTCCGCCTTCTGGGTTCAAGCGATTCTCCTGCCTCAGCCTCCTGAGTAGCTGGGATTACAGGCACGTGCCACCACGCCCAGCTAATTTTTGCATTTTTAGTAGGAGCAGTGTTTCACCATGTTGCTCAGGCCGGTCTTGAACTCTTGACCTTAAGTGATCCACCCGCCTCGGCCTCCCAAAGTGCTGGGATTACAGGCGTGAGCCACTGCGCCTGGCCGCCAGTTCTTAATTTATTGCGGTTGTCAAACTTTTTCTGTAAAGTACAAAGTGATAAATATTTTAGGGCAAGTGGGCCAAGAGACAAATCAAGGATATAATATAGGTATGGTATAATAGTTCCCCCTTATCCATGGGGGCTACATTCCAAGACCCCCAGTGAATGCGTCAAACAGTGGATAGTACAGAGCCCTATATACACTATGTTTTTTCCTATACATACCTACCTATGTTCAAGTTTAATTTTAAACTTAGATACAATAAGAGATTAACAACAATAAGATAGGACAATTATAATAATACACTGTAGTAAACGTTATGTGAATGTGGTCTCCCTCCCTGTCAAATTGTCTTCTTGTACTGCACTGTAGGCACCTGGAGCCTTGGAAAATGAAACTGCAGATAAGGGAGGACTACCGTATTCATGTAACCAGAGAGAAAACAAATTTCCACAATTGTAAGTGATACAATTAAAGATGTATCAATGAACACTGAAGTTTAAATGTCATATAACGTTAACATGTCTTGAAAGATTATTTTTCTCGTTTTTTAAATTATTTAAAGATGTAAAGAATCAGTCTTAGCTTATAGGCCATGAAAAACAAACATCAGGCCAGGTCTGAATGGTGGCCGTAGTTTGCAGAGCCCTGGTTTCTTCTTGCCTCTCAGCTTCCAACTTCCCCGTGAGTGCCTGCTCCTTGATGGACTGGACTCTAAGCCCTTCTTTGCAGCAAGCACGATATCAAGCTTTGTCAGTAGAGGGCGCCGGAGGGACACTGTGGAGGAAGGGGCCTTTTCATGGTCCACAGAGCTCTGTTGTGCAATTTCTTGTTCCTGTTGCATCTTCTCTTAGGGTATGAACGCGGGGGGACATCCTCTGGGGCTTTTCCTCAGCTGTGCACCCAGAATGCATGGTCCCTCGACCACCTCATAGCCCATCCTGAGCCCAGTGCCCATCTTGCTGTGGTCCAGCCCACACCTCCACCTGCACGTGCACACCACTCTCTCTCCTGTGCCCAGAGAGGTGTTTCCTGCCTGCCAGCCTGACCTGCATCTATGAACCAGCACCTCTGGGACCCAATACCTTCTCTGCCATTCAAGGGGCTGCAGCCACAGACATCCAGCGAAGTCAGGACCCCAGCCTCGGGGGCAGGTCCTTCCAAGGTTGTCTTCTTCAGCCCTAGGGTGCTGTTCCGATTCTTCCTGACATCATTTTAGGCACTCTTCTATCATAGTTTAATAATTATGTATAGAAAATGTCTCCTATTCAGATCACTGTGTGGTTTCTGTGTCTTTATTGAAATCTGATGGACTGATCCCCAGGAAGACCCCTCAGGCACCCTGGAGAGAATGGAAGCTCCCTAATCCAAAGAGTGAGTGTGAGTCCATCTCAGTCACCGTGTGTCTGCTGCATGGCTGAGGCCACGTGACTGCACCTCCCTGGGCTCAGTTTGCTCACCCAGGAAATGCGGAGAAAGCTTCCTTCTCCAATGGATGCTGAGACTGCGAAATGAGACCATGCATATGAAGCACAGAGCATGGGGCCAGGTACCTGCCGGTGTTCAAGATGGTAGAACTGCACCTTCGTAAGTGTGGTGGGCATCACATGGGACAGTGTGTGGAGTGACCGGCATGGGGCCTGGGGGGAAGTGGAGGCTCAAAACCCAACCTCCCTCCCTCTCTCCCTCCTGTCCTCCTTCTCTCCCAGGACACCCCTCCCTCAGGCCCCCAAGGCTCTAGTTTCTCTCCCCAAGTCCCCCTGTGTGGTGGTTAATACTGAGTGTCAACTTGATTGGATCGAAGATGCAAAGTATTGATCCTGGGTGTGTCTGTGAGGGTGTTGCCAAAGGAGATTAACATTTGAGTCAGTGGGCTGCAGAAGGCAGACCCACCCTTAATCTGGTGGGCACCATCTAATCAGCTGCCAGCGAATATACAGCAGGAAGAAAAACGTGAAAAGGTGAGACTGGCCTAGGTTCCCAGCCTACGTCTTTCTCCCGTGCTAGATGCTTCCTGCCCTCGAACATCAGACTCCAAGTTCTTCAGTTTTGAGACTTAGACAGGTTCTCCTTGCTCCTCAAGCTTGCAGACGGCCTATTGTGGGACCTTGTGATCATGTAAGTTAATTTTTATATATATATATATATGTATATATATAAAATATATATATGTATATATATAAAATATATATATACATATGTGTATATATATAAAATATATATATACATATGTGTATATATATATCTCCGATTAGTTCTGTCCCTCTAGAGAACCCTGACTAATACAGATTTTGGTACCAGGAGTGGTTCTAGAGGAACAGAATATTAAGGATGGAGTTTTTCATTGGCTTTGGGGTTTCTGGAGTTGGCTACTTAAGATGATTAGACTCAAAAATGCTAAGGACTCTACTTCTAATAGTATGGAGAACACTGATAGTCCTTGGGAGGAACTGTTTAGAGAGTTACACAAAATAAATCCATCTGACACTCCTGATTCACTGCTCGTGAGAGGCAAGGAGTTTAGTGACTCTATACATAATACTTTTGACCATATTTGGAGAACCAAGGAACATAATGAAGCTGGTTGGTTGCCCCTAAGTTCAGTAGATGAAGTGAGGAAAGAAAATGATGAACTCAGGGATTCCGTTCTCCAGGCTTCAGAGGCAGACACTGAGCCTCAAATCTGCTAAGATTGCCCTGAGTGAGAGTCTCATCTCCTGCAGAGAAAGAGCTGAAATTGTGGAGAAACAGACACAAACTCTTATCATGAGAGTGGCTGACCTGCATGAAAGGTGCATGCACAGCCTCAGGAGGTGTCTACTGCTAAAGAGAAGGCACTGATTGGAAGAGAATGGGACTCTGCAGCTTGGAATGGGGATGTGGGAGGACTCTGAAGAAGCTGGGGACACTGAGTTTGCACACTCTGATGAACCTTTTTTTGCCAGAAGGAACAGCTTCCCCATCCCCAGTAGTGGCAACATCCCCTCCCCGACCCATGCTGCCATCAGCCTTTCCACCTTTGTCTGAGGAGATAAATGCTGTGCTGCCTGAGGCAACAGTGATGGCCTCCCCTGAGGCAGTTGCCAGGCAAAATAATGTTGATTCTCCTCAGGATCGACCTCCAATGCCCCCGTTTGCTTCTAGACCTATAACTAGACTAAAGTCTCTGTGGGCCCCTGGAGGTGAGTTTGAGAGTGTGACCCATGAGGAGGTGCATCACATTAAAAAAGAACTGCTTGAGTCCTCCATATAAAGAGAAATCTGGAGAACAGGCATGGGAATGAATATTAAGGGTATGGGATAATGGTGAAAGGAACATAGAGTTGGATCAGGCTGAATTTATTGATTTGGGCCCACTAAGTGGGGACTCTGCTTTTAATGTTGCAGCTCAGGGAGTTAAAAAGGTTCCAATAGTTTATTTGTTTGGTTAGCTGAAATATGGATTAAAAGATGGCCCACTGTGAGCAAGTTGGAAATGCCTGATCTCCCTTGGTTTGATGTAGAGGAAGGTATCCAAAGGCTTAGGGAGAGTGGGATGGTGGAGTGGATTAGTCACTTTAGACCTACTCATCCCAGCTGGGAGGGTTGAGAAGATATATTCTTGACCAATGCCTTGTGAAACAGATTTGTGAGGGCAGCACTTGCATCTTTAAAGAGCCCTGTAATTGCTGTTCTCTGTATGTCAGATCTAACAGTGGGAACCACAGTCACTCAACTACAAAATTTAAATACAATGGGAATAATTGGATCCCCAGGTAGCAGGGGCCAAGTGGTGGCACTCAGGTATGGTAGCTATGTCAAAGGCAAGGTGGACATAGCTACCATAATGGACAGCAGAGACAAAGCAGCAATCAGAATAGTCTGACTCATGTAGAACTCTGGCACTGGCTAATTAGTCGTGATGTTCCTAGAAGTGAAATTGATACGAAGCCTACTGCATTCCTACTTAATTTTTATAAGGAGAAAACTTCTAGGTCGAACGGACAAAAGACTAATTTTAATTATAAAAACAGAGAATCATGTTCCCTCGATCAATTTCCAGACTTGAGCCAGTTTATGGACCCAAAACCTCTTGAATGAGGGAAGGCCAGGTCCCCTTGAGGAAGGACCCCACTACATTACCAACAATTTATGCAGTGAGTCTTTCCCCCATTGTTCCCCAAGGTGACCTCCAGCCTTTTACCAGGGTAACTGTGCATTGGGCAAAGGGAAATGATCAGACATTTCAGGGACTACTGGACACTGGCTCTGAGCTGACATTGATTCCAGGGGACCCAAAACATCATTGCAGTCCTCCAGTTAGAGTAGGGGCTTATGGAGGTCAGCTAGTTAATGGAGTTTTAGCTCAGGTCCGACTTAGAGTGGGTCCAGTGGGTCCCCTGACTCATCTTGCAGTCATTTCCCCAGTGTCAGAATGCATAATTGGCATAGACATACTTAGCAGCTGGCAGAACCCCCACATTGGCTCCCTGACTGGTAGGGTGAGGGCTATTATGGTGGGAAAGGCCAAATGGAAGCCATTCGAACTGCCTCTACCTAGAAAAATAGTAAATCAAAAACAATATCGCATCCCTGGAGGGAATGTGGATATGAGTGCCACCATCAAAGACTTGAAAGACGCGGGGGTGGTAATTCCCACCACATCCCCATTCAACTCTCCCATTTGGCCTGTGCAGAAGACAGATGGATCTTGGAGAAAAACAGTGGATTATTATAAGCTTAACCAAGTGGTGACTCCAATTGCAGCTGCTGTACTAGATGTGGATTCATTGCTTGAGCAAATTAACACAACTCCTGGTCCCTGTTATGCAACCATTGACTTGGTAAATGCCTTTTTCTCCATTCCTGTCCATAAGGCCCACCAGAAGCAATTTGCCTTCAGCTGGTAAGGCCAGCAATATACCTTTACTGTCCTACCTCAGGGGTATATCAACTCTCCAGCTTTGTGTCATAATCTTATTTGGAGAGACCTTGATTGCTTTTTTCTTCCAGAAGATATCACACTGGTCCATTACATTGATGACATTATGCTGATTATACCAGTGAGCAAGAAGTAGCAAACACACGGTACTTACTGGTGAGACATTTGCGTGCCAGAGGATGGGAAATAAATTCAACTAAAATTCAGGGACCTTCTACCTCAATACAATTTCTAGAGGTCCAGTGGTGTGGGGCCTGTTGAAACATTCCTTCTAAGATGAAGGATAGGTTGCTGCATTTGGCCCCTCCTACAACCAAGAAAGAGGCACAATGCCTAGTGGGCCTATTTGGATTATGGCAGCAACGCATTCATCATTTGGGTGTGTTACTCCAGCCCATTTATCTAGTGACCCAAAAGGCTGCCAGTTTTGAGTGGGGTCCAGAACAGGAGAAGGCTCTGCAACAGTTCCAGGCTGCAGTGCAAGCTGCTCTGCCATTTGGGCCATATGACCCAGCAGATCCAATGGTGCTTGAGGTGTCAGTGGCAGATAGGGTTGCTGTTTGGTGCCTTTGGCAGGCCCCTGTAGGTGAATCACACAGAGGCTTCTGGGATTGTGGAGCAAGGCCCTGCCATCTTCTGCAGATAACTACTCTCCTCTTGAGAGACAGCTCTTGGCCTATTACTGGGCTTTGGTAGAAACTGAATGTTTGACTATGGGTCATCAAGTCACCATGTGACCTGAACTGCCTATCATGAACTGGGTGCTTTCTTAACCATCAAGCAATAACGTGGGTCATACAGAGCTGTATTCCATCATCAAATGGAAGTGGTATATAAGTGATCGGGCTCGAGCAGATCCTGAAGGCACAAGTACGTTACATGAGGAAGTGGCTCAAATGCCCATGATCTCGACTTCTGCCACCCTGCCTCCTCTTCCCCAGCCTGCACCAATGGCCTCATGGGGAGTTCCCTATGATCAGTTGACAGAGGAAGAGAAGACTAGGGCCTGGTTCACAGATGGTTCTGCAGGATACTCAGGCACCACCTGAAAGTGGACAGCTGCATCACTACAGCCCCTTTCTAGGACATCCCCGAAGTACAATGGTGAAGGGACATCTTCCCAGTGGGCAGAACTTTGGTAAGTGCACCTGGCTGTGAACTTTGCAAGGAAGGAAAAATGGCCAGATGTGTGATTATATACTGATTCATGGGCTGTAGCCAATTGTTTGGCTGGATGGTCAGGGACTTGGAAGAAGCATGGTTAGAAAATTGGTGACAAAGACATTTGGGGAAGAGATATGTGGATGGGCCTCTCTGAGTGGTCAAAAACTGTGAAGATATTTGTATCCCATGTGACTGCTCACCAATGGGTAACCTCAGCAGAGGAGGATTTTAATAATCAAGTGGATAGGATGACCCCTTCTGGGGACACCACTCAGCCTCTTTCCCAAGCCATCCCTGTCATCACCCAATGGGCCCATGAACGAAGTGACCACGGTGGCAGGGATAGAAGTTACTAATGAGCTCAGCAACATGGACTTCCACTCGCCAAGGCTGGCCTGGCTATGGCCACTGGTGAGTGCTCAATTTGCCAGCAGCAGAGACCAACGCTGAGCCCTTGATATGGCACCACTCCTGGCAGTGATCAGCCAGCTACCTGGTGGCAGGTTGATTATATTGGACCTCTTGCATCACGGAAAGGACAGAGGTTTGTCCTCATTGGAATAGACACTTACTCCAGATATGGGTTTGCCTCTCCTGCACACAATGCTTCTGCCAAGACTACCATCCATGTACTCACAGACTACCTTATCCACCGTCATGGCATTCCAAACAGCATAGTAGTAGAAGAAGGTAGTCATCGATACCAGCTATGACCACGTGATCAGCTGCAGAAATGAAGACTGTAACCGTCATGGGTATTTCCTCCTTCTTTGGTTAAAAACATGTCTGTGCATGTATACACTCGTACTAAGAAAATATATTCATTTTATTTCCTTTTCCTTTATCACGTGACATAAAATTTATTGACTTCATATCAGCATTAAAGTATTGTTAACTTTATGAATAGTATTTGAGTTGGGGAATTGGTGGGTTTCTGGTTGTACAAAGGATAAGTTGTATTATTTTAGGCGTAATTTTGACCTTATTATTATCTTTATTTGAAGATTATGTATGATCTCAGGAGATGTGTACGGATTCAGGTTGACAAGGGTGGACTTATCATGGTTAATACAGAGTGTTAACTTGATTGGATTGAAGGATGGAAAATATTGATCCTGGGTGTGTCTGTGAGGGTGTTGCCAAAGGAGATTAACATATGGGGCAGTGGGCTGGGGAAGGCAACCCACTCTTAATCTGGTGGGCACCATCTAATCAGCTGCCAGCGAATATAAAACAGGCAGAAAAACATGAAAAGGCAAGACTGGCCTAGCCTCCCAGCCTACATCTTTCTCCTGTGCTGGATGCTTTCTGACCTTGAACATTGGACTCCAAGTTCTTTGGTTTTGAGACTCAGACTGGCTCTCCTTGCTCCTCAAGCTTGCAGACAGCTTATCGTGGGACCCTGTGGTCACGTTAATACTTAATAAACTCCCCTTTATACATATATATATATATATTCTGTCTCTCCAGAGAACTCCCCTCTAGAGAGGACTTCTGTCCCTCTAAAGAACCCTGACTAATACATCCTGGGACCCTGCAGGCTCTGGGGTCTGAGATGTCCCCTCAGCCGTGCTGGGAGCTGCCTGTGTCACCACATCTGTGCGGTTACTAAGGCAGCCACCTCAGCTCAGGGCAGGGAAGTGGAAAACAGGCCAGAGCTTGATGAGGCTGCACATTCTTATCTGTCCCCTGAGCCCCTGGCCCCACAACACGTCTCCCAATACTGAGGCCATGGGCTGCTCTCTGGGCCTTGAGCTGAAGGCCTGTCCCGCCTTGGCCCAGGGTGGGTGAGGGGCTTCCCTCCTTTCAAGTCTGGCCAGAGACAACAGGGGAGGTGACTTGGAGAGAGGTCTGGCTGGCCAGGACCTGGGGCTGCAGGATTGGTGGGTGCCCTTGGTTTGACCCTGAGAGACTCCCTTCTCCTTCCACACCCAGACCTCTGTACCCGGGGCTGTGGAGGAGTTCACCTGCCAGTCACCCCCGTTCCTCTCCTCCAGGCTGGGAAGCAACAGCCCAGGACTTGCCTCCACTCTCCTGGCAGGCTTGCTGGGCTGGGTGGGTGAGTGGCACTGAGCGTGTTACAGGCGGCCGCTGGGCGGTGGAGGAAGGTGTGCCTATAGTCCAGGGGTGAGCACCTGGGACCCCCAGCTGCCTTTTCTCATCTGGCCAAGTGAGTCCCTGGTGGCTGTGATTCGGCTGTCTCTGGGCCCAGCTGTGGCCTGGAAGGTCTGTTTGTGGCTCAGGCCTCAGGTGTCCCTTCCTCAATCCTCCTACAGTGAGTCATGCTATTGCTGGCTCAGTCTCACCTGTTTTCTGAAGGTGTCACTCGATGCCTGGATCTGGCAGTGAGCCTAGCACTCTGAGAAGGTTCCTGGGCTCCCACCAGCCTGCCAAGATCCCACCTTGGGCTCATGGTAGCTTCCTTTCAAGTGGCAGGTCAGGAAGAATGAGGCTTTTCATTCCTTCAAACTCTGGTTCCAGTCCTGGATCTGAAACTCTCACATGGCTCCCCTTCCTCACTGGTCAAGTGGGGATTATAACTTCCTGGTCACAGTGCTGGTGCAAAGACCCACTGGGTGTAATGCCTGTGGGGGTTTGGAATGTGGCAGAGTTGGGGGAACCCTTCTCTCCAGGGTGGGGTGGGCAGGAAGTCCTGCCTCCACTTCGTGCTGTGTGACCTTGGGTTCATGGTCAACCTCTCTGAGCCTTTGTTTCCTCATCTGTAAATGGAGATGTTGTGATGATGAAATAAGAGCAAAGACAAGTCTTTGCTCAAACTTTGTTTCCTCAGTGAGGCTTCCCTGACCGTCGTATTTAATTCTGAGCCCACCACACGTCCCACTGTCCTGCCTCCAGCATTGTGTTTAATTTATTTATACATTATGTTTATAGTTTATTGTCTGTCTGCCCCACTGGAATGTCAGGTCCATGAGGACAGTGATGCAAGTGGCTAATAAACGAGATAATTTCCTCCTCCCTTCCCTCCTTCCCTCTTTCTTCCTTACAAATACACAGTATACCAGGACCAATGCCAGACCTCTAGCATTTCAGCAGTGAAGAAGGCAGACAAGGTCCCGGCCCTCAAACAGCCCTCATCCAGCAGTCAAGACACATATTAAACAGGCAGAGGGGAGGAGCAGCAGGCCTTTGGGTCCAGTAGTGCCAGGGCCTGCCAGGCGCCTGAGCCTCAGACTGAAAAAGGCTGGAAGTATCTGAGCCGAGAGCCTGGGTCTGCACAGCCGTGGAAGCCTCTCCCCGACCTTCCCCCAGGGTGATGGTCAGAGCCCTCCCTGCCAGCTCACGGGGGCTCAGGCCTGGCCAGCTCAGGGACTGTTTCAGGGGAGGCCGCTGAGGAGTGAAGATGGGAGTGGCTTGTGTCCTTCCCATGGCCAAGTCTACGGGGCTCTGGGCTCTGGTTTCCTCTCTGTGGCAGGTGACCCTAGGACCCCAACCTTCCTGCTCTGGAGCTGCTGAAGTTAGGGTGGGCAGAGAGGGGGCTGCCCTGGGATATCCTGAGGGACCCAGTGCAGATCTGGCCCTTCCCAGAATTCCAACCCCTCCCTGATTATTCTCCCATTTCTTTCCTTCCCCGGGAATCAAATTCCTTTCCAGAGAAACCTGAACTGACCCTGGCAGGACAGTTGCTGCTTAGAGCCCACTGAGAATACAGCCAATTAAATGGGGAAATATGGAAGAAGACCTCCACGGCGGGGCAGGGCGAGTCCATCAGAAAAATAAACAGACATGAAACGACAGCGGGCTCCTGGCTTCTGGTTCTTCTGTTGCTTTTTATCTGAGCAAGACGAACCGGAAATCCCAATGGCTCCACGCTGCACTTGTCATCTCCCTTGTAATTAATACCCCTGGGTAAAAATCTGTTCAGCCGGGAGTACACCTGCTGAGGGGCTAGCCCCACGGGCTTTGTCACCTGGGACCATTTAGCCCACTCAGCTGTGGGGAGCGGGTGCAGGGGACCCTAGGGACGGATTAATTTCTGTTATTATAACAGACAACACTGTGGAGGAGCCCCCAGCAGGCTGCAGCAGGGATGCATCCACACTGGCCAGCCCTGGGCCTGGGGGGATGGCAGGTCCGGAGAAGAGAGAAGCCAGGAGGTTTCCCGTTCCTGTTTCTCCAGTCTGGGAGGCAGTGGTGTCCCCTGGAAATTATAGGTAGTGGAATCCTAAAAGCAGTTTACAGATGATGTCAAGTACCAATGCCTTCCTGGGAAGGATCTAACTCTGCTGGCAGGTTAACCAGGCTCAGGAGGAAGTGGAGAAGGAGTGGGGGCTTCTGGAACCGTTGGTCCCCCCTAAGACCCTGGATCCTTGAAGGGAGAGACTAGGGTGAGCCAGGTGATGACAGGGGATGGCGGAGCACAGAATCAGCAACCAGGACGCCATATTCTAATGCTAAGAGGAGCTTGGTGATGATAAGCCCGACGCCCTCCTTTTGCAGATGCTGAAATGTGAGAGGGGAGGGTCTTGGGTGGAGGATTTGCAGATCTCACGGTCCCTTCCATGGCATCTGTGACGCACAGAATCTTGGAATTAGAGCTTCTTTCATAGACTCAAAGATACCTTAATGGAGTGTTTGAATCACAGATTCGGAGAGTCTTATCCCTTTTACAAAATCCCAGAATGACAGGATCACAGATGCATTCATAGAATCACAGACCCAAAGAATCTTGGGATTAAGAAATCGCTAGGAAAGACTTGCAACCACATTCACAGCAGGCTTGGCCCTGAGAAATACAGAATGATCCAGGACACGTGGAGTTGAAATAGACATGGTGGAATCAGCATCTCAGCACAGGACGTGACCTTGGTCCAACTCCCCTGGAAATGCAGGAAGCCCTCTCTTCACCGTCCTGAGTAATGATTTGAACTCTGGTAGGGATGGTGTGGTCACTACCTGACAGGGCCATCTATCCCATTCTTGGGCAGATCAGGCTGCTAGGGCTGAGCCTGAATTTACTCCCACGTGACCCACCCACAGCTCTGTCCTGGCTCCTCCAGGAACTGAACATGTAAAGTGATCTGGACACACATACAGAGGCTTAACCCAGCTAAGGACAGCTTGATCCTTGGCCAAAGGGGTCTGTCTCCCTCTAGGGAAGGGTCAGGCACCAGGACGAAGGAACGGATGGAGCTGCTCGGCTCACCTCAACCCATTTCAGTTCACCCACATGAGCAGGAGGTGTCCAGTCTGCTCCTGGAGGAGGGGCCAGTCAGGGACAGGGGCAGACAGGCAGGAATGCCCACTGGGAAGGAGGCTCAGAGGGGCTCTGGGAGAAAGAATGATTCCCCTTGGGTCCCCAGAGACAGGGAAAATCCAATCATGGCCTCAACTGCAAGGAACACGGCACACACACATGCACAGACACATACACACAGATACACACAGACACACACACATAGACACAGACACATACATACAAACATACACACATACACACACAGACATACACACATACACACACAGATGCACAGACACAGAGACACACAGACAAAGGCACCCCATATGCCTCCAAGATAATACAAAGCTATGGGCGCAGCGTCTGGTGCCCCCCTGTGTCCAGCTCTTCTACCCCTCTGGTCTTGTTTCTTGCTGTTTTCTCAAATGCTGCATAGGACTGCCCTTCACTCCTGTTTGGGTTGGACAGGGTCATCTTAACTAATGGCAGTTAGTTAAGGACAAGTGAGTTGGGAAAAACCCAGGAAAAGTCTTGCAAATCCAATACATCTGAACTGTGTGTCACCTCCCCTCCCTCTCTGGAGGCCCAGAGCATCCTGTTGTCCTGGTAGAGGGGTCCAGGCTGGCTCCTGCCCCTGTCCAGGTTCCTCTCAATCCCGCCTCAAGGCTCACCCTCTCACCTCTCAGGTTGGTGTCCCCTCCTTTCCTCTGAATTCTTGCTATTCCTGCTGGCATATCTGCTAATCCCTGGCTGGCCTCCCTGCGTCTCCCATGCCGAAGCTTCTTCAAAAGAACTCCGCACCCGCATATCTGGGAATAATTTCTGTTTTCCAGTGAGCAGGGAAGTGTTAATTACTACCAGCACCTTCCTTGTCTCTTTTGAAACCTCCGTCTCAGAGCTGTGTGATAAAGGAACTAAATCCTAATTAATAACAGACAGCACCATTCTGAAATTGTGTTTTCCTGTTCTCAGAGATTATAATCAGCAAGGGAGGATGAGAGAGAGAGGTGGGAGGTTGGGGAGAAAACAAGAAAAGAAAGAAAACAGTTCTTCAGCTGGGGGAGGAATCACAGGGCTTTGAGAACACATAGGCAGGCCTCTGGTGGTCCCTGGGAGGTGGGGGGAAGCAGGTGACCATGGGCAAGACCAATAAAACCTGCAGAATTGGATTTTTGTTTCTAGATTACTGATATCTGGACACATTCCACTCTCCATGTTATGGTGGAAAGTTGATTTGTTCAAATAAAATAAAATGTGCTGCTGAGCATTCCGTGTCCTGGGTACAAATCTGGAAAGGAGGAAAGTGGTGGTTTCCGAGTACAAACAGCACTCACCCAGCTGCTGCTGTGCCCACTGTAGGCAGGCCACTGCGGGTAGGATGCGACTGCCAATGTCGCAGAAGCAAGTCCTTGATAATCACAGTGGGACAGGTTTTCTGAGCTGTAGACTGACTCTGTGTCTGGCAGCCTGATGGGGCAGGCACTGGCATGGGGACAGCAGGGGGCTGGCATGGCGGGGACACTGGAGGAAGGGCACTCCTGGCTTGGTGGCCATGGCCTCTGAATGTCTGCAGGCTTCTCAGGCCCTAGGGTAGAAATGCAGGAGGTAACAGGGAGACCTGGATTTCGCCAGCTCTGAGGCCCTCCTGCCTTAGAGGGAATCTGGTCTCTTGCAAGCTCCCTGAGAGCCACTGGGTGTCTCAGGTGGGCTCAACAGCCAACGGGTCACCTACGATCAGAGTGGGGAGGCAGCTCTGTTCTCCCTCCTGCTGCCACTGACCTGCACTTGGGAAGCCACAAGAAGGACTTCAAGGGCCTCAGTCGGGACGAAAGTGCCTAAGAGCCTGGGTCCTCATGACCTTTGAGCTGCCCGTCGTCAAGCTTCCTGAGTGGGACATGGTTCTATGCAGAAGCTGGGAGAATGCCTGCTCTCAGTTCAGCGATACGCTTTCTTCTGGGTCCTGAGCACCTAGCAAGTACCAGTCCCTAGCAGCAGTGTGGTCAAAGAGCTAAACAAACAGGGTTTCTGCTCAGACACCTAGAATCTAGGGAGTGACAGGAGCACACGCTCAATTGCTCCTCCAAAGCCCAACTGTGTAGGGGTAGGAATAACTGTGTCCCTGAGCATGCTATTGGTTCCATATACCTGCACAGGTATGTGCTGCCTCCTGCCAACACATTCCACTGTGTGGACAGGCTGGACAGACACACATAAGAACAGGGGCTGCTACAAGGTTGAGAGAGCCCATATGGGGAGGCGGTAATAGGGAATGGTGAAGGGTGCAGGCCTCGGGGCCAGGCCCCCCTGGGTTCATTTTCTGACTCCACCAAATGCTGAACGTGCCACCCTGTGTAAGTTATAGAACCTGTCTGAGCCTCAGTTTTCTCATTATCATTTCTTTTTGACAGACGGAGAAACTGAGGGGCAGAGAGATTAAGTGACTTGCTGGAAGGCATGGCAGTGTGAAGTGTCAGAGCCAGTCAGTCTGCTTTTAGAGTCCAGGCCCTCAAAGGCCATAGCATCTTGGGTGAGACTGACAATTTGCATTTCTTTTTTTTTAAAGTTTTATTGTTTTAGAGACAGAATCTCACTCTGTCGCCCAGGCTGGAGTACAGTGGCATAATCATAGCTCACTGTAGCCTTGACCTTCTGGGCTCAAGAAATCCTTCCACATCAGCCTCCTGAGTAGCTGGGATCACAGACATGCGTTGCCATTTCCGGCTAATTAAAAAAAATTTTTTTGAGATGGAGTCTTGCTATGTTGCCCAGGCTGGTCTTGAGCTTCTGGCTTCAAGCAATCCTCCAGCCTTGGCTTCCCACTTCTCTCCTGGAACCCCACTTTAAAAACCACTGGTCTACAGAATAAAGGTGGTGTGGAGAAGGGCTGGGGAGGAACATTTATGGAGCACCCACCATGTGATGGGTCCTGCCTTGTTACAAGGGCCACACTGAGTTCATCTCGGTTTGCATCTCTGTACAATGTGAAATGGGTTTGCTGTGAGGCTCCAGTAAGTCAACACACCATGTGAAGTGCTAAGCACAGGGCTGTGTGCAGTAAGTGCCCAGTGGAGTGTTAGCTGGTGCTGTCACTCTGCCTGTAGGCGGTACTGAAGCTGCATTATCCTGGTTAATCCCCTCATGAGCTCTGAGGACTAAGCTCAGACAGAAGATATTTAATGGAAAAAAAGATGAATGAGCCTGGCTTGAGATACTCAGGGGCCCTTCTGGGGCAGTGTGGCCTTGGACTGGACCTGGAGATTTGAGGAGGGGTGGGTGAGAGGGCAGGGTGGGGATCTCCTGACATAGGCAATGTTTTTGGCCTTGCAAAGTGACAAAAATAGCCTTTCCATTAGATTAATGCTCAGGAGGTGTCCTGGCAGGGTGTGGGTGTGACTGAGGCAGCAGGAGAAGGCCTAGGCCCTAAGCAGGGGGCAGGAGACTGAGGGCAGGAGCCGCTCTCCTGCTGACCTGCTGTGTGACTTGGGGCAGGTTCCTAACTGTCTTTGGTTTCATAGCATGTGATACGGTTTGGCTGTGTCCCCATCCAAATCTCACCTTGAACTGTAGCTCCCATAATTCCCATGTGTTGTGGGAGGGACCTGGTGGGAGGTAATTGAATCATGGAGGTGGGTCTTTCCCATGCTATTCTTATGATAGTAAGTCTCACAAGATCTGATGGTTTTATAAAGAGGAGTTCCCTGCAAAAGTTCTCTCTTGACTGCTGCCATGTAAGATGTGCCTTTCACCCTCTGCCATGATCCTGAGGCCTCCCCAGCCACGTGGAACTGTGAGTCCATTAAACCTCTTTTTCTTTATAAATTACCGAGTCTTGGGTATATCTTTATCAGCAGCGTGAAAATGGACTAATACAGCATGTCAGCCCAGGAGGGTGTCAAAAATAATCCGGTCCAACTCCATTCTTCACACATGGGGAAGATGAGGCCTGGAGAGGGGAAGCAACTTGCAGGAGAACCCTCAGCATGGATATCTGAGTGGAAGCAGAGCCTGCAGTTCCTGGGCTGTAAGAGTGGCTCTTGATCTCTGCACCTACTCATCGGCTGGGTCATCTTGAACAAGTTACCCAGCTTCTCTGAGCCTCAGTTCCTACACCTCAGGAAGCCCATCCACAGAAAAGCAACTCATTAAATGGGTGGGCTTCACTTTCAACAGCAGCCACTGAAGTCCTGGTCTTCGCAGACACAGGTCCTTCATAGCCGCTGCCTGCTTCTGTTTCTGCCTCTCTGGTGAAATGGCGGCCTGGTTTCCAGGCCCAGACCAGGGCTGATGTATCTGCCTGTCACTGGGTATCTAATGGATCATTGGACAAATTGATTTTTGCTAAATCGGTCATTTGATGAATTGATATTTGCTAAATGGA
Organism: Homo sapiens; assembly: GCF_000001405.40. Taxonomy (NCBI): domain Eukaryota; kingdom Metazoa; phylum Chordata; class Mammalia; order Primates; family Hominidae; genus Homo; species Homo sapiens. Next base: position 29,808,098 of record NC_000001.11, read on the forward strand.
TTTTCAGCAAATTAACCCAGAATCTCTACATCTGAGGGCTGTTCAAAAGATTAAATGAGATAATCCATGAGAAACATTTAGCATAGGGCTGGCACATAGTCGGTACTCACTAAATGTTAGCCATAATTATTATTTATTATTATTATTACCGATACTGTCATGGTTGTGACAAAGTACTGCAGATGCTGGGCAAGGGAGAATCTTGGTGGACAGGGTAATGGGGCAGGTGGAGTCGGGGGCTCAGGAACAGGGTGGGGCCTCAGGACCTGTCAAGCCTGATCCCAGGAAGAGGCCTGGTTAGGGACCAAGCCAGAGCTAGGTAACAGAGATGGCTAAGCTCAAGCTCTCAGAGCAAAGAAGGAGGAGGTCTGGGGCTAGGACCAGTCTGTCTATCCACAGCATTAGTCCCTGAGTACAGGGCAGCACATGGTTTGAGGGCAAGGTTGCGGGTCAGGCAGCCAGGGCCCAGCCCAGGCCCTGATGGCCTCTGGAGCCCTTTCTCTAAGGGTTTTTCTGGCTTTGCCACTCTGAGCTGCAAGATCACCTTTCTCTCCACGGGCTGTGCTTGCCTGCAAGCAAGGTGAATGCTCTTTGCTTTAAAACAGCCTCCCTGGGTGCCCGGAATCCTTGCTTAGCATCATTCCCCTTGGGTCAGCATTACCTTCCCAGAGCCCTGGGAGGGGCCATCCCAGCACTGGCTGTGAGCACCTCTGTGTCCCCACCCAGAGATACACATCTGCCCAGGGAAATGCACCTGACTGTTTTAGCCCAGCACCCTGTGACTACCCCCAATCTCAGGAGAAAGGCTGCCTTTGGGCCTCCATTTCCCACAGTGATGAGCGCTGGGAGGCTCAGCTTTGTCTTTCTGTCTCTTGTTGATATGGGCAGGTGTCGTGGCTGCGCCTGAAATCTCCACACACTTTACAGTTACCTTGGACACAAAAAAATTCCTTTTTGCTTAAGTTGATTTGGGTTGGCTTTTCTATTACTTACAACTGAAATATTCCAAAAGATTTTTCATGTTGCTCTGTCTTTGCAGGGAGGAGCCGTGGGCTCACAGGGTTGAGCGACTTCTGTGCCAGGTGCTGGGTTCAGTGCTTCCTCCCAAGTCATCACCACAGCCCTCCGAAGTCATCATTCCCATTTTGCAGATGAAGACACTCAGGTCCATGGAGATGGAGTAATCTGCCAAAGACCTTGAACTGGGAACTAGCTGAGCCATTCTCCTGCACCCAGCTGTCTTCTCTTGAGGCTCAGCGCTCAGGCCCTTGGGAGTCAGAGGACAGAGAACAAGGGCACCGTCCAGGCACCTCCGCAGGCCAGTCTACGGACCTGCCCAGGAAAGAGTAGGGGGGGTGGGGGTGGTACATGATGTAGGGGTTGAAATTTGAGTACTGGAAAAAGACAGATGTAGACAGAAAGGATTTTTTAAAATAACGGATAAACAACTTCAGCTCCTCTCCCCGAGTAGTTGGGCTCACATGTATGGTTAACCAAGGCTCTTTTCCTCTCCCTCCCCAACCGGGGCAATGGCAGGGGGCGGGGGCTGGGAAGGATCCCTGTCTCCTGGCTGTCCCCAGCACCCATGGCTTCTAAAAGCAGGCACATTTCGAGATATTCAGGAGGAAGAAGGAAGCTGAGCCTAGATCTGCAATCTCCTACTAAAATGAAAGCGATTTTACAGAAAGCTTAAGCCACAGTGCTCACGCAGCAGGCAAATGACTGGGTGGCCACCGGGCTCGGCTGCAGGTGAGGAGGTGGGGGCTCAGGGAGGTCGAGAGCAGCAGAGGAGGACCCAAGCCCAGCTCTGCCTGCCCCTCGGCCCTGGCTCTTTCTATTGTTGGGGGCGCCTCCGAGGTTTTGTCACTCACTCACTCACTCGCTCAGTCACTCATTCCATTATTCCTCCAGAAAACATGACTGAGGACCTATCAGGAGCCTGGCCTCTGGGAAGATTGGGTCCAGTAAAGACGGCAGAGAAGACAGCAGGAGGTCCAGAGGGCTGGGGAGGAGCGGGGAGAGGATGACACCTGTCTGCCTTCGGGGATTGAGGACAGAGAATGGGGTGCTCTGCTGGGAGGGACTGAAACCCACTGGGGCTGGCTTAAATCATACCTGGGACCTGATTCCCTGGAGACGTCTGGTGGAGCCTGGGCCTACTGGAGGGGACCGCTCTCCCTCCTTCCCTCCCTCCCTCTCTGGTCCCAGCTCCATGCTGTCTCTCTCCTGCCCTCCCTCCACCTTCTTCCTTCCCTCACTAGGGTCCTACAGGCGCCCTGGGCCCAGGTCCGGCTCTCGGGCCAACCCTGAGCTGATTGGTCTGCCTTGGGTCAGGTGTCTGCCCCAGTCCAGCCAGCTGTGGCAAGGGCGTGGCCACACAACACGTGCAAGTGCGGGGCGGGGGTCATCTCCGGGTCCAGAAGAGGTGGGGGTAGGGGTGATGGTAGGGGTGGGGGGTGGCACCCCAAGAAGGCACTGGCCGGGATCCTCACAACAGCCCTCGGAGGAGCTGTCTCCATGTTAGGGATGAGGTACTGGAGAGCCTTAGAAGCAAAGTGCCCGACTACCTGGGTAGCAAAGTCCAGACTTGAGCCCAGCCTGTCTGACTTCAGCTTCATGCTCAGAACCACGCGCCATGCTGCCCTATTGCGACCAAGCCCTGTGCCAGGGACACAGATGGAGGGCACACTGTCCTGCCCAGTGCAGCCCCATCACGAGTCAGGGAGGTCGCGTCTTCACAGTTGGTAGTGAAAGGTGTGGGTGTTTGGATGGTTCCTCTATTTAGAACTTATCCCATAGATGGGGAAACTGAGGCCCAGATTGGGGCAGGGGCTTGCCTGATGTGACAAAGCCCAGGTCTTCAAGGAGGAATGTGTGAGGCGAAGGAGGGTGGTCAGAAGCTGTGGGTGGGGCTGGCTTTGGGATGCAGCGGCTTGGGGCTTGGACCTGGGCTACAGTTCAGGGCCCAGCACAGGCTTGGGTGGGATTCAGGATCTTATGTGTGGGCTCCAGGAGGATTAACTGGGCAGCCACGTGCAGATGGATGAAGGGGAGAAGGGAAGGAAAGAGCTACTCCCTTGAATTCAGGTCGTGTGGACATGATGTCATGGCAGGTGGTTGAAAAGAAAAATACAAGAAAGCCACAGCAATAACACCACCAACCTAGTAGAGTATCGCTGAGCGTGGAGTTCAAACTGCATTGGAGACTCAGAGCTTTTAAAAATGAAACGTTATAAAGTTTGCATTTTGCAGGAAGAGAAAGAGGGTGAGGGCCCAGTGCTGGGTATAGAAGTCACTGGGAGGGACAGAAATAGCTTTTGTTTCTTATCTACTTCCAGGAACCCTATTAGGTGAGAGGGCTGACAGTGACAACATTTCCCCATTGGGGACGGCCCCGCCTTCCTGGAGATAGTGGCCTGATTATCCAAATGTCCCAGAATCCTCCAGAACATAAGTGCCCCGGGAGCAGGGACTTCTTGTATCTTGTTCTCGGCTTATCTCCAGTGCAGCATCAGATGCTCAGTGAAGATTTGGTAAATGAATGAATGAACGTGAAATCATGTGTGTTTTCCCCAACATTTCCACCAGTGGGGAAGCTTTTCCTTCACTCTATGCTCATCCAGCCCAGGGGTTATGAACCCAATTTTCAAAGTAAAGAGCTCAGGTTTAGACAGGTTTAATGACTCACTCATTTCTTTACAGGGATCAACTGGGACTTGAACTCAGAACACTGGGCTTCCAGCGTATTCTGTGTTGTGTGCTAGGGGTGCTGCGCCATGCTGTGGGTCAGAGTATAGACTCGGGGCACAGGCAGACCTGGCTGAAGTCCTAACCTGCCTTTCCACAGGTGTGTCATGGTAGGTGACTTGGGCCTCAGTTGTGTTGTGAGAGTTAAGTGAGAAATGAGTCTGGAGTAGGGGTCCTCAGCCTGGGCACTACTGAGGTATTTGGGCCAGATAATTCCACATTGTGGAGACTGTTCTGTGCATCACAGGGTGATCAACAGCATCCCCGTCCTGTACCCACTAGATGCCGGTAGCACCTCCCACCCCCGGATATGGCAACTGAAAATGTCTTCAGATGCGTCAAAAATTTCCTCTCGGGGGCAGCATGGCCCCTGCATGGGAACCACTAGAGTGGAGCACCTAGCCCGGTGCCAGGCACAGGGGACTGTTACTTTATTATCATTATTATTATCATCAGGATGATTGTCCATGGGCGCAGGGGCCTCATCTGTCTTGTTTACTGCAGCATCCCTGGGGCCTGCCCTGGCCTGGCACATAGTAGGTGCTCAGTGCTTGGGACTGCAGCCCCCAGGCTCCACTGCCAGCAGCCTGGGGTCTCCTCTGTGCAGCTGGATGGCTTCTTCCTGATGCCCCGTCTGCCAAAGAAACAGCAGTGGACTCTCAAGGAAGGAGCAGTTTCTTGGGATTTTCAATCTCTCTCTCTCTGTTCCTGTTCTCACTCTCCAGTACCGTGCCAGCTGGACTCTGGCAGAGCTGGTGGCAAAATGACAGGGATCCAAGGTTTCAGGCCTTTTGCTCCGACTTTTATCCCCCGATTTCATGCAGCTGCAGCTCTTGCTGCCACTCAGCTGGAGAAATGTCAAAACTATATTAAATCATAGGGCATGAGTGAGCAGTAAGATGACACTTGTCACCCACCTCTTGCTGTTTCCGAGGCTCTTGCGCCCTGACTTGGCCTGTCTTGTGCTCTGAGGGCTTTGCTCATTTCCCCTGCCCTGCTCCGTAATCACATCTGTGGAATTTGAAGTGACTTTCCTGGAATGAGACCTGGAGGAGGTGGGGTACATTTGTCCACAAGACATAGGAAGTGGTGGCCAACATGCCAGGCCCAGGAGCCCAAGCCAGGGTGGTGCAGGGGCGCAGGGTCCAGCAGAACCGACCTGTTAAAGGCAGCTGACAGCTGGAGTTACTTTTTCCCCTTTAAATTGTTTTAATATATTTTAACCGCTTGATTGAAGTATAACTGATACATGATGAACTGTCCTATTTAAAATGTTCAATTTGATGTTTGACATACATATACACCCATGAAACTATCCCCACGATTAAGATAGTGGACAAATCCATCACCCCAAACTTTCCCTGTGCCCCTTGGTAATCCCCCCAATCCACCCCTATCAACTGCCCTCTGCTGATCTGCTTGTTGTCTCTATGGATTAGATTTCATTTTCTAGAATTTTATATCAATGGAATCATGCAGTGTCCACTCTTTTGTTCGGACTGACTTCTTTCACACAGCATAATTATATTGAAATTTATTTATGTTGTTGTGTATATCATTCGTTCACTATGTTTTTAATTCCAGTGTATGGATGTGCAACAGTTTGTTTATCCATTCACTTGTTAATGGGCGTTTGAGTTGTTGCCAGTTTTGGGGCTTTTATGAATAAAACTGCTATGAACATTTGTGTACAAGCCTTTGTATAGAAAGTGCTTTCCTTTATTTGGGACAAATACCAGAGTGCAATGACTGGATCATATGGCAGATACATGTTTTTTAAGTTTTTAAGACACTAACATATGTGCCATCTCCCAAAGCAGTATATAGCACTAGTGTATAAGTTTTAGTTCCTCCATATCCTCACCAACACTCAGTCATGGTAATTTGACCTAATGTCTAATGACAATGAATGTCTTAATGTCTAATGACAATGAATGTCTTTTCGTCTACTTACTTGTCTTCTTTGTTGTATTTTTTAGTAAAGTTTCTGTTCAAATCTTTGGTCACTTTTTATTGAATTGCTATTCTTCTCATTATTGAGTTTTCAAAATTTGTACATATTATGAATACAAGGCCTTTATTAAATATATGGTTTGTGAGTATTTTCTCCCAGTCTGTGGCTTTTCTCTCTCTCTCTCTCCTTTTGTTTTTTTGAAGAGCAGAAGTTTTAAATTTTGATTGAGTCCAATTCTTTAATTTTTTCTTGTATGGTTGTGCTCTTGGTGTTGCATTTAGCAAACCTTTGCTTAACCCAAGGTCACATATATTTTCTCATGGTTTTTTTCTAGAAGTTTCATGGTTTTAGGTTTTGTATTTAGTCCTATAATAAATTTGGAGTTAATTTTTGTAAATGGTGGGAGGTATGAATCAAGATTCTTTTCATTATTTTTTTGACAGGGTGTCATTCTGTCACCCAGGTCGAAGTGCAGTGGTGTGATCATGGCTCACTGCAACCTTGACCTTCTGGGCTCCAGTGATCCTCCCACCTCTGCCTACCAAGTAGCTGGGACTACAGGTGCATGCCACCAGGCTGGGCCAATTTTTGTGTGTGTGTGTGTGGTTTTTTTTTTTTTTGGTACAGACAGGGTTTTGCCATGTTGCTCAGGCTGGTATTGAACTCCTTGGCTCAAGAAATCTTCCCATCTCAGCCTCCAAAAGTGCTAGGATTACATGTGTTAGCCAAAGTGCCTGGCCAAGATTCATATTTTTGCACATAGACATCCGGTTGCTTCAGCATAATTGTTGAAAAGACTATTTTTTCCCAGTGAATTGTCTTTGCACCTTTATCAAAAATCAGTTGTCTCTATGTGTGGGTCTATTTCTAGACTCTATTCTGTTCCTTTGCTTAATTTGACTATCTTTCCATCAACACCACACTACCTTAATTTTTGAAGTTTTATAAGAAGTCTTGAAATCAGATAGTGTTAGACCTCTAATTTTTTCTTCTTCTTTTTGGCCATCTAGGTCCTTTGCATATCCATAGGAATTTTAGAATAAATTTGTCAATTTCTATTGAAAAAAAAAAGACTATGGGGATTTTGCCTGTGATTGCATTGAATCTATTGATCAATTTGGGGAAAAATTGACATATTTACAATATGGAGTCTCCCAACCAAGAATACGGTGCCTCTCTGCATTGGTCAGGTCCTCCTCAATTTCTCAGCACTGTTTCGTAATTTTCAGAGTTCAGTTTTAGCACATCTTTTGACAGATTTAGTCTGATTTTATATTTTTATAGTATTATACATAGTCTTTTAAATTTTAATTTCTGGTTTTCATTGCTAGTACATAAAAATACAATTATTTTTCATATATTGATCTTTTACTTTGCAACCTTGCTAAACTCACTTATTCATTCTAGTAGCTTCTTCTGTAGTGTCCATTAGATTTTCTACAGAGGCAATTATGACATCTATGAATAAAAACAGTTTTTATTTTTTCCTTTTCAATCTGATTGCTTTTGTTTCTTTTTCTTGCTGTATTTCTTACCTAGACCAGTATGCGTTTGTATAGATGTGGTGAGAGCAGGCATTTTTCTCTTGTTCCTGATCTTATACTATTTTGCTGTTAAAAATGATGTTAGCTCTAGGTATTTCATCAGTGCTCTTTGTCTAGTTGGGGAAGTTCCTAGTTTGCTGATCATTTTTATAATTAATGTTGAATTTTATTTAAAAAGTTTGACATCTATTGTGATGATCATATGGTTTTCCTTTCTCAGTTTCTGAATGTGGATTATGTAGTTTGATTTTGACATGTTAAACTAACCTAGAATAAACCTCACTTGATCATGATGTATTACCTTTTTATTATTGTTGGATTTGGCTTGATATATTTTTGTTATGAAATTTTCTGTTTATGTTCACAAAGGATATTGGTCTGTGGGTATTCTTTTTGTAAATGTCTTTGCGTGGTTTTGTTATCTGGTTGATGTTGGTCCTATAGAATGAGTAAGGAAGTGTCTCCTCCTCTTTTAATTTCTGGAAAAGTTTGCATATGCTTGGCATTATTTCTTCCTTAAACAATCAGTTAAGTTCTCCAGTGAAGCCATTTGGGACTGGAGTTTTTTGTGTGTGGAGAAGTTTTTACTTAAAAATTCAATTTAAAAAATATCTACCATGTCTACTTCTTGATTGGACTTTGGTGGCTTGTGTCTTTCAGGGGGTTTTCTGATTTCATCTAAGTTGTCCAATTTATTGGCATAAAGTTGTTCATGATTATCCCCTCATTATCATTTTTGTATATTCAGAATCTTTGCTATGTCATGTTTCTCAATTTGATGTTAGTAATTTTCATCTCCTTCCCTGCTCTGTTGCTCTCTCTCATTTCTAAACTGTCTGTCTAGAGGTCAATCAATTTTATTGACTTTCTTGAAAAATCAGTTTTTGGTTTTATTGATTTCCTGTGTCAATGTTCTGATATCTATTTTGTAGGTTTCTGCTCTGTCCTTTACTCTTCCTTTATTCTGCTGAGTTTGGGTTTAATTAGTCTTTTCCCCCTTAGTTTCTCAAAATGGAATTTGAAATCTTTTTCTTTTCAAATACAGATGTTTAATGCTATAAGTTTCCCCTAAGTAACATTCCCCAAATTTTCGTATGTTGTGTTTTTATTTTCATTCGTTTCAAAATACTTTTAAATTTCTCTATTGATTCCTTCTTCAAGTCAAGTTATTTTAATTTCCAAATATTTTGGGGACTTTCTCAGGTATCTTTCTGTTATTGAATGTATTTACATGGAGACCAGAGAACATATTTTGTATATCTTGAATCCTTTTACATTTATTGAGGCTTGTTTTACAGCCCAAGGTCTGATCGATATTATAAAATGTTCTATGTCCACTTGAAAAGAATGTACACTCTGCTGTTGTTGCTTGTAATGTCAGTTTAGGTCAGGTTAGTTAATAGTGTTGTTCAAGTCTTCTATATTCTTACTAACTTTCTAGCTACATACTTTAATCGGTAATTGAGAGAAGGGTATTGAAAGGTCTCATTATAATTTTGCATTTGTCTATCCTAGATATGGGATTTCTGGGTCATATGGCAAGGATGTTTAGCTTGTCAAATCATTTTCCAGAGTGACTGAACTATTTTGCATTCTCACCAAACATGTATAAAAGTTCTAGATGATCTGTTTCCTTGCTAGCATTTGGTATTTTATTTTAGCCATGCTAATGGGCATATTGTGGAATCTCATTGTGGTTTTAATTTGTATTTCTCTCATATCCAGTCCTGTTGAGCATCTTTCCATGTGCTTATTTGCCATCTGTCTATGCTTTCATAAAACATCTCTTCATATCTTTTGCCCGTTTTCTAATTGAATTGTTTATTTAACTGTAGAGTTTTGGGAGTTCTTTATATATTCTAGACATTAGTCCTTTGTTGGATATGTGTTTTGCAAATATTTTATCCTCCTCTGTAGTTTGTCTTTTCATCATTTCGATGAAGTCTTTTGAAGAACAAGAGTTTTTAATTTTGATGAAATCCAATTCATCAAATTTTCCCTTTACAAATTGTACTCTTGGTCTCAAGTCTGAGAACTCTGCCTAGCCCTAGATTGTGAAGATTTTTTCCCTATGTTATGTTCTAAAACTTTTATAGCTTTGTATTTTACACTTAAGCCCATGAATCATTTTCAGTTAATTTTGTATAACATATGAGACTTAGCATGAAGTTCTTTTTTTTTTTTTTTGGCCTATGAATGTTCAATTGTTTCAACAACATTTGTTGAAAGGGCTATTTTTTCTTCATTGAATTACTTTTGTACCCTTGTCAAAAATCAGTTGGTCATATTTTTGTAGGTTTATTTCTGAGTTCTCTGGCCTGTTCCATTGATCTGTATGTCTATCATTCTTCAGATATCTTTCCCCACATTTTAATTATTTGTTTTCTTATTGCTGAGTTTTGAGAGTTCCTTATACAGTTCGCGTACAAATTCTTTGTTGTATATGTTGTTTGCAAATATTTTCTTCCACTCTAGCTTATCTTCATTGTCTTGATAGTCTTTGGCAGAACAAAAATTTTAACTTTTGATGACATCCAATTTATCAGTTTTTAATTTTATGGACTATGCTTTTGGTGGTGAAGAGTTCACTAAGAATCTGACATTGTATTCTAAAAATTGTATAGTTTTATGCTTTCTGTCTTTATCTGTAATCTATTTTTGAGTTAGTCTTGTATAAAATGTGAAGTTTAAGTCAAGGTTATTTTGTTTGATTGTTTATGGATGACCAATTTTTATAATACCATTTAAAAAAAATTATCCTTTCTCCATTGAATTGCTTTTGTATCTTTGCCAAAGATGAAGTGGTTGTATTTGTATGAGTTTATTTCTGGATTGTCTACCCTGTTCCATTGATGTAATATGCCTTTCTTTTTGCCAGTATTACATTGTCTTAATTACTGTAGCTTTATAAGAAGTCTTAAAATCAAGATGTGATTCCCCCAACATTGTTTTTTCTTTCCAAAATTGTTTATCTATACTAGTTCCTTTGTCTTTTCATACAAATTTTAGAACCAACTTCCTTATATATGTAAACAATTTTTCCTTAACTTTTGATTGGTATTGCATTATGTCACTTGGGGATATCTTCCAATCTATGAACATGGTATGTCTTTTTATTTATTAAAGACTTTAAAAAATTTCTTTCAACAGCATTTTGTAGTTTCTAGCATATAAATACTATCCACGCTTTATTAGATTTATACGTATTTATTGCATTTTTCTTGGGGCTATTGTCAATAGCGTTATGTTTTCAAAGAAATTTTCACTGGATATAAAGTTATATGTTCATCATTTGTGTGTGTGTGTGTGTGTGAATTATGTTTCAAAAAACAAGAAAAGATCTTACATTTCTGGTGCTTTTTATTTTTTTGTGTGTAGATACATATTTTCATCTGATATCATTTTCCTTCTGCCTGAAGGACTATCTTTAACATTTCTGTATTGAGGATTTTTATATGTCTGAAAAAAGTTTTTATTTTACCTTCATTTTGAAAGATATTTTTACTGGTTATAGAATTATAAGTTCACAGATATTTCTCTTTCAATACTCTAAAAATGTTGTTTCACTTTCCTCTTGCTTTTATTGTTTCTGAAAAGAAATAGGTTGCTGTTGTTATCTTTGTTCCTTTGTACTTGATTTTTTTTCTCTGTTGGCTTTTGATATATTCTTTTTATCACAGGCTTTAAGAAATTTCATTATGATGTGCTTTTTATCCTTTTTTGTGCTGGGAATTTGTTGAGATTCTTCAGTCTCTGGGTTTACAGATTTCACCAAATTTAGAAAATTTTCTGCTATTATTTCTTCAAGTATTTTTTTCTGCTCCACCCCCTTTCTCTTTCCCCTCTGGGGACTTGAATGACCAGTATATCAACCTGCTTGAAGTTGTTTCACAGCTCACAGATGCTCTTTTCAGTTTTGTAAAATTCTTTTTTTCTCTCCGTATTTTATTTTGGATAGTTTCTATTGCTATACCTTCAAGCTTACTAATCTTTTCTTCAACATAGTATACTTTTCATCTCAAACACTGTAGTTTTCATCTCTTGAATTTTTATTTGGCCCTTTTTTGTTTTTCTGAGATGGAGTCTTGCTCTGTCTCCCAGGCTGGAGTGCAGTGGCACGATCTCAGCTCACTGAAACTTCTGCCTCCTGGGTTCTAGCGATTCTCCTACTTCAGCCTCCCCAGTAGCTAGGACTGCAGGCACCCACCATCATGCTTGGCTAATTTTTGTATTTTTGTAGAGATGGGGTTTCACCATGTTGGCCAGGCTGGTCTTGAGCTCCTACCCTCAGGTGATCCACCTGCCTCGGCCTCCCGAAGTGCTGGGATTACAGGTGTGAGCCACTGCACCTGGACTTGTTTGGCTCTTTAAAAGATATTTTTTATGTCCCTACATAACTTTTTGAACATAGAGAACACAATGTTAAGAGTAGTTTTAATGTCTTTGTCTGCAAATTCTAACATCTCTGTCAGTTTAGGGTTGGTTATAATTGATTGATTTTTCTCCTCATTATGGGTCATATTTTCCTGCTTTGTATGCCTGGCAATCTTTAATGGGATGTCAGATATTTTCAATTTTACCCTCCTCGGGTGGTGAATGTTTTTGTATCCTTATAAGCATTCCTGAGCTTTGTTCTAGGACCTAATTAAGTTGCCTGGAAACAGTTTAAGCCCTTCAGGTCTTTCTTTAAAGAATTGTTAGGTGGGACCAGAGCAGCGTTCAGCCCAGAGCTAATTTTCCCTACTCCCAAGGCAAGATTCTTCTGAGAACTCTACTTAATGCTCAGCGAATTAGAATATTTTCCAGTCTAGATAATAGGACCAGTTGTGTCCCCAGCCCAGTGCAAACACTGGGAATGGTTCCCTCCAATCCTCTTGAATGATTCTTTCTCAGTCTCAGCTCTTTCCTTCACACATGTATGCGGATTGGTGCTCAGTGAAATACTCACCGAAGGTCCTCTGCAGATTCTCAGAGCTTTTCCTCTGTGCAGTTTTCTCCTCTCCAGGGTTCTGTGCTATGAAATCTAGCTGCCTTATTCTGCCAAAATTTCAGCTTCATCTCCTTAATTCAGGTGTCTACTGGCTCCACCTCGTTCTCCCTTCTCATGCTGTGAAACTCTCAAGGCTGTAAGCCAGAGCAGCCATGGGCTGACCTTATCACATTCCTCTCTCAGGGATCACTCATCATTGCCTGAAGTTCAGTGAATTGAAAACTGTTGCTTCATTTATTTTGTAACAAAGTCTGGAGGATAAATCTAGAACCTGTTACTCCACCCTAGCAGGAATGGAAGTCTGGCACCTGGGTTTCCTGGCTGTTCACTGAACAAAGTGAACATCTTCAACTCTCCATTAGTTATTGGCTTTGAGACTTGTTCCTACAAGTATGTGTCTTCTTGTGGGCCATTCACAGGAATGGAGTTTTTCATGAATAATACTGCACCTCCTCACGTCTCAGATACTGTGGATTTTTAAAGGTCTGTCATCAGTTTAGGAACAGTTTTTTTGGTGAACAAGAGATTTAAAGATCTATCATTAGTTTAGTAATAGGTTTTCAGTGAACAAGAGACAAGAAATGTATTTTTTCAATTGTAAGACACATTCCACTCTTTCTAAAAAATAGACTTTATTTTTTACAGCAGTTTTAGATTCACAGCAAAATTAAGTAGCAGGGACAGAGACATCCCATATACTCCCCACCCTGACACGCACAGCTTCCCAGGTTATCAAAATCCCACACCAGAGAGATAGATTTGTTACAACTGATGAACTTACATTGACACATCATTATAAGCCAAAGTCTATGGTTTACCTTAGGGTTCACTCCTAGTGTTGTACATTCTGTGAGTTTAGACAAATGTATAATGACATGCATCCACCATGACAGTATCATACAGAATAGTTTCACTGCCCTAAACATCCTCCATGCTTCACCTATTCACCGCTCCTTCCACCCCAACTCCTGGAAACCTCTGATCTGTTTACTATCTCCATAGTTTGCCTTTTCTAGAATGACATATAGTTGAACTCATACAGTATGTAACCTTTACAGATTGGCTTCCTCCACTTAATAACATGCATTTAAGTTTCCTTCATGTTTTTTTTTTCATGGCTTGATAGTTCCTATCTTTAGCACTGAATAATATTCCATTGTCTGGATATGAAACGGTGTCATCTGTCTCAGGAAGTACCTGAGGTTTGTTGTCCCATGCTAAGGAAATCGAAGATGTGGACACACAAGGAGTGAGTTTAAGAGCTGAAAGTTTAATAGGCGAAAGAAAGAAGAGAGCTTCCTTGTGCAGAGGAAGGGGTCCTGAATGGGTTTCTGGGTTTAGGGTGAGATATGTTTGGTTTTATAGATGAGCTTGAGGAGGTGGTGTCTGATTTACATAAGGCCTAGTGGATTGGTTGGACCAGGTGTGCCATTTACATAGCTTGTGAGGAGGCTGGCCATCCTACCCTAATCTTTTATTATGCAAATGGATTTTTTACCTGGCTGGTGCCATGTTGCCTGCTTTTCTTTGCACACATGGCAACAAAGAAAAGGGAAGAGGGAACCTTCATGTTAAATATATCTGACTTCCAGGTTTCCCTTTACTATTGGAACAACTGCTGGCATTCACATATGCAGGCTTCCAGCTTGCTCATCTATACTTGCAGCTTGATTTTTCAGGCTGCTTTTTGTTAGATAAGAAATGATTTGGGAGCTACTCTTCATTAAAAGAAAAACCTTACCAAGGACTCCTTTACCTTCACTAACTGCCTAAATAATTTCTTTTTAGCCCTGTATCAGATGTACCACAGTTTATTTAGCCATTCACCTACTGAAGGACATCTGGGTTGCTTCCAAGTTTCAGCAATCATGAGTAAAGCTGTTACAAACATTCATGTGCAGGTTTTTGTGTGGACCTGAGTCTTCCACTCCTTTGAGTAAATACCAGGGAGCATGATTACTAGGTGGTAAACATATGTTTAGTTTTGAGGGAAATTGCCAAACTGCCCTCCAAAGTGGCTGTACCATTTTGCATTCCCACCAGAAATTAATGAGAATTCCCTTTGCTTCATATCCTCACCAGCATTTGGTGTTGTCCATGTCCTGGATTTTGGCCATTCTAATAAATGTATGGTGGTAGTTCATTGTCTTAATTTGTATTTCCTTGATGACATATGATATAGCGTATCTTTTCATATGATCATTTGCCATCTTTATCTTCTTTGGCAAGGTGTCTGTTAAGGTCTTTGGCCAATTTTTTTAAATGGGCTATTTGTTTTCTTACAGTTGCTTTAAGATGTAGACCAAAATTAAGATGTGGAGGCAGAAATAACTTCTTTTATTTCATTTTCTTAAATGCTTATTAGAAATCGCATTTGAGGATCAACCCAGGAAGACCCACCAACAAAGCCAGGTGTGTTCCCAGGTCTGTTACAAGTTGGAATGCTTTTATTAAAAAGTTTAGGAGAAGGGAGGGGACTCTATATCAGAGTTGTCCATTTCCATTGGAGGGTAGAATACAAAATTTATCATCATTGGCTACAGATGCCACATACAGGCTAAGAAGTTTTATGTACAAGACAATCAGTGAAATTTCCTGATTCAGAAACAAATCGGTGTCCTTTTCAATGTCGGTCAGTTATGTATTAATCTATCAACAGTTCGAGGAAGTAACAATAACATTTGAGGGATTCACAAGTAAGATTTTTTTTTGAGATGGTCTTGCTCTTTCACCCAGGCTGGGGTACAGTGGCAGGCTCATGGCTCACTGCAGCCTTGACCTCCTGAGCTCAAACAATCCTCCCACCTCAGCTTCTCAAGTAGCTGGAACTACAGTCATGCACCACATGCCAAGCTAATTTTTGTATTTTTTGTAGAGACGGATTTTTGTCATGTTGCTCAAGCTGATCTCCAACTCCTGGGCTCAAGTGATCAGACTGCCTTGGCCTCCCAAAGTGTTGGGATGACAGGCATGAGCCACCGCACACAGCCTTCTCTGTATATGTTGAATAACAGCTATTTATGAGATATGTCTGTTGCAAATATTCTTTCTCAATATATGGCTTGTCTTTTCATCCTCCCTGTATTCCATTTTTTAGAAATACGAAAATGCAAAAAAATCTTAAGGAAATGCAGAATTAATAGCTAATATATTCGAGGTGTCCACTCTATGTCAGGCCCTGGCTCAGAGCTTTGCAGGCATTGTCTCATTTAATCCTTCCAAGGACATTGTGAGGTGGGCGCTATTATGCTGTGCCTTTGAAAGACGAATAAGTGAGGCTCAGAGGGGTTGATCTCATGCCCAAGCTACCCTAGCTAGTCAGTAGCAGAGCTGGGACTGGAGATCAGGATGGCTGGGTGCTCCCAAAGTCCAGGTGTGCAAACTCCAGGTCCTGGAATCCTTGGGTTGGTCAACACACAGGCACAGAGCTGAGGCCCCAGAGCAGACGCAGGTCACCCTGGAGCAAGCTCACCCTCCTTCCTCTCCCATGCCTGCCACTCCTGGGCTCAATGCAGATGGCCATCTGCCTAACTTATGCCTTGCTCTGTTGAAATTCATGTCTTGGCACTCTTGACTGCTTCTGGAATTGGGGGAATACAAAGAAAACAAACACGATTTAATTTTTAAAATGACACCTTTTTCCTTCAGATGAAATTGTAGTTCTCTGAAGTGTAGTGCTTTATTTTCTTCACTTCAAAAGAATATGTCTTATTTTTTATGGTGAATCTTAGGAGACCCGTCCTGCAGTATGGTGGGAGGGGCCTGGGGTCCTTACTAGACCTGCCCCCTCCTGAGTTCTCCAGGCCATCAGTCCGACACGGCAGAGGGGTGTCTACTGAGGCACTGAGTGTGCCCAGCAGGAGGTGTCATCCTGCACCTGCTGGAGGGGCAGCTCCAGGAAACTAAAGGAGCCCTGGCCTCGAGTGGGAGAGCGAGGCTGAGATCTTGACTCAGTAGCTTCTTCTCTGCACTGCCTGTGATCCAGGCCCTGTGCTGCACCTTTGCTGTGTTAAATCATTTAATCCCCCTG
The DNA here is from genome assembly GCF_000001405.40 of Homo sapiens. Lineage (NCBI taxonomy): Eukaryota > Metazoa > Chordata > Mammalia > Primates > Hominidae > Homo > Homo sapiens. The sequence continues at coordinate 29,824,363 of NC_000001.11, forward strand.
CACGCTCTGTGGTGTAGGTGTCATTACTATCTCTGTTTTGCAGATAGGGAAACTGAGGTGGAATTTACTTGTCCAGGGCCAAATAGCTACTATGAATGGAGCAGGAGACGAAGCCCCAGGCTGGGTGCGGCTGAGGGCTCCTGCAGTGAAGATGAAATCGAGCCTCAGCGACTGACCATCCTGTGATCCAGCCTCAGCTCCCTCACTTGTAAAACTGAGAGGATGACACTTCCTTGGGGGATGGTGGACAGGGAAGATCAGCAGAGGGCCCCTGGGTGCCTACACCTGTCAGGGCCTGGGGGCTCCTAAGGGCAGCCTTGTCCAACCCCTGCTGTTCCTCTCAGGATAAGTGTCAGTGGCTTTAGTCAGCGCCTGGAGAGGCTGGGCGAGGTAGGCCACCCCAGGCCAGAGGCAGGGCAGGGGAGGGCAGAGTCTCCTGCTTACACCTCCCTCCCCTGAGACAGCCATAACGGCTAACTCAGAAACGGCCACACAACGTGCTGAGCCTCCGCGCAGCATACAGTGAGTGCTCAGTCAGGGTTGGCTATGTTTGCCCTTTGTGGAGGGCTTTCAATGTAAACTCTGCAAGAGGGTTTTGTGCTTTGTCTGTTGCTGGTGTGTTTCCACTGTGGATCCTTAGCCGGGCTCTGGCCCTTCCCTGCCTGGCTCAAGGAGGTGTCTGAAAATCCTGCCTGGAGCCTCCCTCCGGCTCTTGGCAGCGCAGGAAAGTCCATTGCTGGCGCTGGGGCTACAAAATGTGTCTGAGCTGCTGCCTCCTGTTCATTGTCACTGAGGCACTGGGGTTCGTCTCCATCATTCTCTCTCTCACACATAGTCACACACACAAACACATACACACAGGCACTCACACACACTCATGCACACACACACACCCACGCACACTCATACACATTCACAGACACACATACACATTCACACACACGCACACACACACGTACTCACACCCATGCGCACACATACATATTCACACACATGCACACACGCGCACTTGCACGCACACATTCACACACGCACACACATGCACTCACACACACCCATGCACACACACTCACACACATACACACAGACACACACTCATGGACACACACACAGCCATGCACACACTCACACATTCACACACATGTGTGCGCACACACGTGGACTCACACCCATGCACACACACGCATTCACATACATGCACACACAGACACACACATGCACTCACACTCACATTCACACCCATGCACACACACATACACACACACGCACAGACACACTACACATACATGTACTCACAACCCCCCATGCACACACACTCACATCACACACACACACGCACACAGAGACACACAGGCACTCAAACACCAATGCACACACACATACACACACAGGCACACCCATGGACACACACATACATGCACACACATACACACACAGGCACTCACACATGTGCACACACACTCGCGTATTCTCACACCTGCACATACATTCGCACACACAGGCACACAATTCACACACATATACATTCACATACACATGCACACACATTCACACACAGACACACATGCACACACATGCACACACGTATTCTCACACACATACACACACACTAAAATGTATAGACACAAGCACAGTCACACATACACTCAAACCAGACACACGCACAATACACTCGCTCTCACACCCACCCTGCAAACACATGCACATACAATTCCCCCCCACACACGCACATGCTCATATGCACACTCACACGCCCACCCCCCACATTCACACATACATACTAACACACAAATGTGCACTCACATTCACACAACATGCCCTCACACGTACACACACATGCACACTCACATTCACAACACACGTACACACTCTCTCACACACACACACGCACATGCAGCAGGATCTGAGCTTTTCCATCTCTCGAATGCCCCCACCCCTGCCCACGTGGTTTTCTGGCCTTGAGGCTGGGTAGAATCATTGGCCAGGAACCCAGGGTCTCCAGGAAGCACCTTCCTCCCTGCATGAGCCTCTCTCCTGGGTGATTCTTAGTGACCACTTGGGGCCCCCTTTCTTGAAAATGGGAGATGCTGCCCTTGGGGAACTAGGCACCTGTCCTCCCCCTCTTCAGCCCCTCTCACGCTGCAGAGACAGAGCACATTTCCAGGGTCTATCCTGTCAGTGGTTTTGATGTGTGAGGGGCACAGACCCCATATAGGGGCTGGACTCCAGTGGGAGACAGAAGGTGCTGGCAGGGAGGTGGAAAGCCCCACAGCTATTCATCCCTCCCTTCCACATGTGATTCCCCGAAGGGCTGTCTCAGCTGGGGAGATCACAACCTCCACAGGATGCCTGAGTTTCCCTTTCCCTGAGCTGTGTCCAATGTGATTTCTTTTTGTTCTGCACTCTCCATATTCTTCAAGGGCATCTGGTCTAGGCATCTCATTTCTGCCCTAAGGAATGAGGCTCAGAGAAGGGCAGTGACCTGCCCTAAGCCACACAGCACGTTGGGGCAGGTTCAGGACCATGGCATGGACCTCTTGACTCTGGCCTGAGTCTTTCCTTGACTCTGGCTGATTGTGAGAACCCAGCCAAAGAAAGTGTGCTCTGAGCTGCGTGGGCATGGGCACCCGGCATCAGTGCTGGGAGGGCCTCGGTGCCAAGCAGCCTCTTTTGTCTCAAGCCTGGCTTTTGTTTCTCTCTCTTAGGGATTCCAATTTGGGGAGAATTTTTTGTCTGTTTTTAATTCATCTTTCATTGTGTTTTCTTTTCGGGTAATTTGTAGCTTGCAGGCACCCAAATATGACATGAACATTAAAACGAAATGCAGTAAAATATAATTGAACATATTTCTTTCATGTCTGAGCAGTGGATTACTTTCCCTGATGTATCCCTATTTCCTCTTTGCTCCTTCCTCTTTTTGTCTGAGGTTTTCCTCGCCTCCCCGGAATCGCTGGGATTTGAATGGCTCCCTGGCCCCAGCTCAAAAGAGATCCACACACGATCCTGACACTACAGACCTCGTCCCTGTGATGGATAAATCGCGTTCCCAGGGCTGAGGGGAGGGAACTGTGAGTGTCTTCTTGGGCCTGGGAGGGGTTCCCACTGAAGATGGGAAGGGTGGGGATCCGTGAGTGGGACTGGGAGGGTTTCCCTGGGTGCACAGACCCTCCTGGGCACATGCTCCTGGTAGGTCCTTCTGTTGCTCTAGAGCTGAGGCTGCAGATTTGTGATCCTGACTTGCAGCCAAAACAGCTATCGGGGTCCCCAGTGAGTGGTGAATCAGCAGAGACTCCCCAGACACGGCCGTGGTCTCAGGTTCAGGTCAGGAGGGAAACGAGGCATTGGAGGAGGTGAGCAGGAAGGGTGCTGCTGCCTCAGCTTACCCACTATGTGGCCTTGGACCCATGACCCCACTTCCCTGGGCCTCAGTTTCCCTATCTATAGTATGGGCATATATAGTCACAGCACAAGGGATTACATGGAGAATTAAATGAAATGATGCCTGTAACATGCTCAGCACAGTGCCTGGTACACAGTGGGTCCTGAGTGAATGGAGGCAGGTAACAGTCATTCAACCATTCGCTCACCCACCCCATTGTGAGGCCTTCTATGTGCCAGGCAATGCACCAGGCATCAGGGAGAGAAGAATCAAACCTCCTATTGCCTGGGGTAGCTCATGGTCTAGTAGTGAGACCGGAACCAGCTCTGGGAGAGGGACATAGGGGTATTTGTGGGAACAGAGAAGGGACAAGCAAAGTCAGCATCTAGGGGAATCAGAGGAGGCCTCCTGGAGGAGGTGACGCTCAAGCTGAGCCTGGAAGGGGGCTTGAGTTCCAGGGGGCAGGGGTGGGGGGTGTTCCAGTTGAGGACAGCAGGGCAAAGGCAGGGAAGCATAAAGAGTGGGGGTGGAGGTTCCAGGGGTGGTTTGGCTGGGCCTGAAGCCTGGGGACTGTGGGGACAAGTGGAGGGAGGTGGGGCAGGGAAGGCAGGTGGGGCAAGACCACAGCGGACCTGAGTTTGGACTTTGTCAGGCTGGTGCTGGGAGCCATGGATGGTTGAGGGGCAGGGGAGGGCTGTGGTCAGAGCGTCAGGTCCTTCTGTAAACGGCAGACTTGAGGGAGAGCCACAAGTGAGACAAAGCGGCCTGTTACTCAGGCTCCACCCGGGGCTTCACAGAGTGAGTGTCATCTGTGTCCCTGATGCGGCCTCAGGGGCTTGTAGGTGGAGACGTGTCCCCAAGTCCCCAAGTCCCCCAGGCTGTGGCTCGGGGCCCCCGGCTCTGCCTCCTTTCATCACGTGTCACTGTGTTCGTTCTTTAGTCACCCTTCTCTGAACGGCACTCCTCCCTCCTTACCCTTCCCACCAGCGTTCACTGAGCTTCCGTGATGTGCTGGGCACCGTTCTAGGGGCCACGGCCATGAACAAACAGATGACAGTCCCGGCCCAGAGCTCACAGCTCCATGCGGGCCCAGATGGTCACCAAATAACTGGGGACCTCCCCTGGGATCAGTGCACCCAGGTCGAGGTTGCAGGGGCAAAGTTTGTGTTTTGGGAGGGCTGAATACCTGACTCAGAGCCTGTACACAGTAGGTGCAAAGCAAATGCTGATTCTTTCAGAGCCCAGCCCGCTTGCTCCTTTACCATGATCATGCGACACGGCTGAATCACTTTCCCCCTCTAAGGTGGAGACCGGCTTTGTTGACAAGTGGCCATTTGCCTCAAGGCCCCTTGGTGGACCCTCGCTGTCAGAAAGTGCAGCTCCAGTCAGAAGGTCCCTGGGCCTTTGGGCTGCCAGGCACAGGAGCACAGCAGGGCAGACCACAGGCCTCCCAAGGCTGCTGGGGGCACTGTGTGGGCCCTGGTTGCTCAGCCTCATCTCCTGAGAGCAGGTGTGTGAACCCAGGGCCTCCTGCTGGGCGGGCACTGTGTGGTGTCTTGGCTCCACAGACACAGAAGTGGGGGACCCTACGGCCTCCTCCTCTCCCCATGAGATTCTCAGTGACTGTACCAATGAGAATGGCAGGAGGGAGATTTCAGAGCCACCCGAAACCTGGCAACAGGTGTTTCTCTATTGTTTCTTTCCCTTCAAAGGACTTGACATGGGGATATAGCAGGAGCTACAGTCACAGGCAGACACCAACAGTGTTTCGGGCTAAAGACCAAGACTCTGAGTCCCTGGTTCCACCTTAGGACCTGGGACCTGCCTCTCTCCAGCAGGGACACCAGGCATGGCTGGAGGGCAACTGGGGGACAAACTCAGGGCCTGGTGGAACCTGGAGCAGGGCAAGCATGTGCTTTGAGGGAGAGCAGCAGACCCAGGCTTTAATGGGAGCCTTTCCGCACACAGACCTCAGTCTTCTCTGAGCCTTGTGTTCCCCGTCTGTGCAGTGGAGGGGGGCTATCAACAGGGCTGGTGAGCAGATGTAGGGTGACAGTGCTGGTGATGGGGCCAGGGACATAGCAGATGGGCAGCTAGAGCCTGTCTTTCCTTCCTCAAGTCTGCCTGGTGCGTCCTGGGTACTTAGGGACTCAAGCATCCTCAGTCACAGACGACAGTGAGGACGGAGCTCCTCAGTACAGGAACTGCAGGACCATCTATCCCTGAAGGCCATGGTGATGAAGTTGCTCTCTCTGAGGACACAGCCTTGTGGGCCTCGAAGGCTGTTCAGGTTTCTGGGGCCCCTGAGAAATGCAGCCATCCCTGGGGTCTCACCCCGAAGCCTCCATGAGCTTGCACATCGAGATGGAGGGGCAGGCATCCAGGAGCGAGGTGTAGGCAGAGATGGGGTGATGATGAGGGTGAGTGTAGCCGGGGTGGAGGAAGGGGGAAGAAGGCATTGGTGACAATAGCAGTAGCCAACACATCTCCACTTGCAGATGAGGGGACTGGGCACAGAGGGGTTGAGTGCATTGTCCATGGTCACACGTCACTGCTGTTCGAACCCAGGAGATCCAGCTGCACAGTCGGGCTCTCAACCATGAACCTGAGGAGGGAGAATGTGGGCGAGGAGCTCTGGGGAGCCCACAGCCAGCCTGGCACAGTGCACCATCCTGCCCCCATGTCCCCAGTGTGAGGTGACAAGCTGGGGCAGGGCTGTCATGTGTGGCACCGGTAATTGACAAGGGCAGAGCACTCAGATCTCTCTAAGGGGAAGGAGCTGCTCAAGGGCATAATCTCAGACTGGGGAGGCATTGATCTTGGCACAGCGAACACAGATCTATGTGTCAGGCCTATAAATCGCCCATTTAATGGGCCTGGAGATGCCATGGTGGGGAGGCTGGGAGGCGTTATAGTCCCACTTGGACTGTTGGCACGTTTGTGGTCAGAGGAAAGCTGACACTAGGGAGCATCTTAGAGGCATTTTTGCAAGTCAGGGATCGCACGTGGCCCTAGACCCTCTCCCCGGGGTCTGCAGGGTGGGCCTGGTGGGGAGGAAACAGCTGCCTCATGAGGTCCTACTGTCTGGTTTCCCTCATATCTGTGGGCTTCTGGACCTGCAGCTCCCCAGGGTGGCAAATGTCATCAAGTCTGTTATTTTTACAGAGGAGGAAATAGAAGTAAGTAACAAATGCCAAATCTTATGTTTGTCCAGTTTGGTAAACTCTTTACAGATATTTTAAAAGGAGGAAAAATGCTGTTTCTACAAACCCTCCCCCTGCTCCTCATGACTCCCAGGGAAGCAGAGAGGATGAGGGCTGTGCGGGTCTCAAACTGGCTCCCAAGCCCCTGCGTGCCGTGGCTGACTCCTCCCTCACACCGCCTTTTCCAGGTGCCACAAATGTGAGACATCGGTGGGAAAAAGAACAATAACAAACAGACTCATCCGTTTTGCCAAAAACTGGCTACCCTCCCTGGATAACCCACAATTATGTCAAGTGGTTAACAGAATTCTCATGATGGAATGGGTCTTATTTCCTACCTTGATCCTATTTGCTGGGAAAACGAATTCTGTCAAATCTCTTGAAGTCGACTGTCAAAGTAAAGCATTTTGGGGAAGACAGATCTCTCACTCTGATGGCAAAATTCATTTGATTTGATTCTTTAATCCAGTCTGCTTGCAAAACCCGGCACTGAAATTTTAAAGCCTGTTCTCTCTTCTCCCTGCTGCCCCCTCTCTTGGTGCCCTGTCCTCCATCTCTTAGAAAATAATGCAGCAAAGAATTGCAGCTGGTGTAATGATGACCATTTGGTTTCTCACGACTATTTTTTAGGGAGAAAATGACAGCGCACAAAGCCTTTTCTTTCAGTGTCTGTTTGGGGAAGGGAGAGAGATGCTCACTGTTAATGCCAGCAAGAACAAGAGAAAGGGCTCAAGGGGATAGGTGAGATTTTGCAGACCTGACATCTGCGGGAGCAGGAGGGACATCTGGGAGGATGGCAGTGCCTCCATCCATGCTGAAGCAGGGGGGCAGTGAGCGCTGATTTTTTTCTGATCCCTGGTTCCCATCCTGAACCTTCTTCTATGATTCATCTCCATGAACCTGTAAACTTCTGTTACATTTTACAAAGCACTTCTGCATCAATTACGTTCATTTAATCATTAATTGACTCCTTGGCTCATTCATGTATTCATGTTATGCAGCTCCTGGTAATTGAGGTTCGATGTGGCTTGTGACCCATGTGAAGCTCCGGGGTAACAGAGACTGACAAGACACAACCTTCCCCTGCAGAAGTCCAGGCTCTGATATAGGAGAGTGTGCACAGATAGCAGTGACCTGGCCTGTTGAGGATTATGAGGACATGAGTTGGGCACATAGTAGGTGCTTGCATCATGATGGATGCATTGGGTACCAAGTAGCAGAAACCAACAATAGTGGCTCAAGCAATTGAGATATGCTTGTGCACAAAAAGATGTCTGGTGGGAGATGGTTTCAGGGTTGTTGAGATGCCATTCCGTGTCTTCAGTGGTGGGGATGCACAATGGGCACACTGGTGACACCGTGTCTTGGTCGTGAATTGGCAACTCACATTCTTTGTGAAACAAGACACAATTATGCACAACATAAGCATATGCTAATGAGGGATAATTACACTCCACAGTTATAAATTTATCAAAATATGCAAAAACCATTTCTGACAATTATACACCTACAGGCACACCAGTTTAATAACTGCTCAAGGCTCCTTGCCAGCACCATAATGTGAGCTTGGGTGCCACGTGGGATTTGAAACCTGCAGCCCAGCCCTGCTGGGGAGGCCTCCGCTGTCGCTGCTGCCAGCCCCACTCAGACCTGACCCATTGCCACCCTTCTTAGCTTTCTTGGCCCTCCCAGCTCCCCAGAGAGACAGGCTTATCATCGGACCTCGTGGGGAGGGACTTGGGAGAGACCCTGAAGACCCTGGAGAGCAACAACTGCTCCTGGACGTCACCACCGGGAAAACGGAGGTGCAGTGATCCCAGGGTGAAGGTTTCAACTCCCATCTTTTCATCCAAGGCCACAGTCACTGGTGCTGCTTCCACTTAAGCTTCACTTACTCTTCATTCATTTGTTCATCCATTCAGCAGTTTTAATTGTGCATTGATTCTGAGCCAAGACTTGTTCTAGGTGCTGAGGATGTAGCAGAGACCAAACTGCCCAGTCTTGCTGGCACGGGGCCTGCCATCAGGGTTGCTTTAATGGTGATTCCAAGGGCCAGACAGAGGCCTGGAAGTTTCGGAGGAGTCCTTTTAGCCCTGACATTGTATTTCAGTCTGTCCTTGCATATGCAGCCATCACTTATAATGAGGCACATGGCACCCTGCCATGCACGGTCCCCATCAGGCCATCAAGTACTCCCCTGCACCCATGAAGGAAGACACAGTTCTCCCACTCTTGAGATGGGGTACAAAGTGGTCCCAGAGCTAATGAGCAGCGGAACTAAGATTGAAATCCAGGCCTCTCCCCATGGCCCCATCTCATACCACCCCCGTCTCTGTGCCCAAGATGCTGTTGTGCTGTTCCAGGGTCCTGTGACATTTAGAATCTAAGAATCAGGTGGTGTCTCATTCTTACGTGAGACTGTTCTACTGCTCTGTAACCCTTACGCCATGATTTTGGCAATTATCTTAAGCTTTGCTGGGCATGGTGGTATGCACCTGTGGTCCCATATTCTCAGGAGGCTGAGGTGGGAGGATTGCTTGAGTCCAGGAGGTTGAGGCTGCAGTGAGCTATGATCATGAAACTATACTCCAGCCAGGGTAACAGAGTGAGACTCTGTCTTAAAAAAAATAAGACAAAAAAGATACCTGTCCCCAGAATGCAAGATAGGCCCTCCAGCTTGAGCCCTCCCATTTCCCTTTGAGATCACGTCCACATCATCTTCAGCTGCTCCCATCTCCGGGGCCCTCTCTAAATGTGAGTTTATGGCTGTCACATAATGTTATCAGCCATGACAATGGCAATTAGAACAATTATGTTGAACCATAAACTCCAGCTGGGTTTAGGATCCACAGTGAGTCACAGCCTCTCAAGCTGTGGAGGCCGCCTGTCACCCCAGACATGTCTGATGGGTTCTACCCAGCACACAGGACTGGCTTAGTTATAAAGTTACAAAGTGACAGGTTCCGGGCTCATGCCGGCAGAAGGCACCGACCCTCTGGAGCAGTGCTGCTCTGTGCCACCTGGGCATTGCAGAGAGGCCACCTGGGCTGTTTGGGTTCCAGGCTCCAGTCTCCCATTCCTACTCTGAGCACTCGTGTTTTCTCTCCTCTTTGCTCTCAGGACAGCATCTGAGTGCAAATTCCTGGGGGTCTCTCTTGGAGGGTGTTGTTGCATTTTGATTCTACACCCTGATGGGGGAGGCCTGGTTCTCGTTCAAGGCCTCTGAGCCCTGCCACCGATGCTGAGAGGCAGTGTGGTCCATTGCTTAGGCCACAGGCTTTGGGTGACTGTGATTTCCAGCCAGGACTCTCCTTCTTATTGGCTGTGAGACCTCAGGAAAGTTGCCTAACCTCTCTGAGCCTCATCATTTTCCCCCTCTGTGAAATGGGCACAGTAATACTGATGACATCAAGTGTTGTAAGCACTGGATGAAATGAAGCAACTGGAGGCAGATTTCTGGGTTCAAATGACACTTCCGGGACCCTCTTGGAGGTGAGAGTCTGGGCAGAATGAAGGGTCTTGACTCCTCCTCTGTACCACGGTAAGTAACTGTGGCAGCCTCTCTGCATAGGATATTGCAGGGACCCCACGACCTAATGTGAGTTAAAGGTCTGGCACACAATGAGCCCTTAAGGCACGTGAACTGGCATTGTTACTATTATTCTGCCTGCAGGCAAACACCTTGCCTTATTTTTGTGCATCAAGCACCTGATGCAGGGTCTGGGCATAGAGCAGGAAGAGCACAGACCCAGGAGCAGATTGCCCAGGTTTGAAGTCCAGCTCCACCACTTCTGAGCTGTGTGACCTTGGACAAGTTTCTAAACCTCTCTGAACTTAAGTATCTTTATCTTTAAAATGGGGGAGGGAGTGGGCAATAATTAATTTAATTATTTGAAATAATTAAATGAACGAATGCATGAAAAGTGCTTAGCAGAGTGTCTGGCACACAGTAAGTGCTAAACCAGTGTTAGCTTTACTTTAGTTTCCACGAGAATGTCACACAAAAGGGGCCTCTAATAATCTCCTTTTCTGCCACCACTGCACTTAGAGATGAAGAAACTGAGGCCAAGGGACACTAAATTAAATGTTTGAGAACAAGACAGTATATGGCCGTGCTAAATTATGCAGAGCGGACAACTAGAGAACAAAACGATCTATAATAAAGGGCTAATTGGGTGGGACCGATGCTAAGTGGACCAGGAGTCTGATGAGGGATAGAAAAATGCACCCTGGGACGAGGATGGCCTTGGCCAGGGCCCAGGTATTCTTGTTAATAACATTGAGTTTTCTTTTAAAATAATAATTCACACTTACTGTAAAACACTTGGAAAGCACAGGATATAGAAAAAATCGTGTATAAATCACTGGCATCCCACTTCCCAAAGACACTAGCTGTTAAAGTATTGATGCTGTTAAAGTATTGATGATTTCCCATCGCTGGGACTGTGTTCTGCGCACTTCCTGTTTATCCTATTGGCCGGGGAGGAATCCTCCGACTTAAACAGTATGAAACAGCTAAATACACAACACCTGACACTGGACAGATGCAATTGATGAGTTTATTAGTCAACACACAGCTCGAGGGAGGAGGATGCTGCATTTCATGTATGGCCACATGAAACCTGCACTCAAAAGCAGAGAGGACCAGCAGGGGCCATGGGAGAAAGGCTTTGTCATAACAAGAGGGTGAGGTGCCTGCAGAAGGATGTAATTGGTTTGAATAACTCCACATTTGGCAGAGAGCTGAAGCCCATTAGGTGGGGACCAGGTGGAGCGCAGCTGGCCTGGCTGATAGAGGAAGTAGCTGGGTGGGGGGACTTTCCTGTTGGGTGGGGGCATACCTGGTGGGAGCCCAGGAACTCACAATTAGGCCTTTGGGGTCCTGTGAGGCTCAAAATTGTTATGGCAGCAGATGAAATTTTGGAGCTTACAAGACAGACTGTCAGGACAAGCTAGGATGAGATTTGGCAACGCCACCTCACCCTAAAACCACAAAGATGATTTTTCACCCTTATTGCATGTCCACTGTGGCCAGCAGGGAGGGCTGCTGCTGTTTGGCTCAGCACCGGCACCCGGGGACTGTTGCTGATGGAGGCTCCACCGTCTGAGGATGTCAACGTCTCTGTGTGTGCTTCCACGGTCACTGCAGCAGGGCAGAAAGGACATGAGCACGGGCACTGGATCTCAAATGCTCCCACCTAGAAGGGACACTCACTACCTCTATGCACATTTCATTCACCAGTGCCAATCTCAGAGCACCTAATGGGAAGGCCATGGGGAGCCGTCATTCTCCTGAGGGCCCAGGAGCAGAGGTGGACATCTGTGACCCTAGCTGTGTCCTCTTCATGGAGCAGATGCAGATTTGGGGATTTCTTACCTGACACTCCAGTCTGACCAGTTTCCATCTCATTATATACTCTTGGAAATCGTCCATTTGGTTGATGTTCTGTAATTTATTGAAGTAGACTCACATTTTAAAAAACCTGGATAATTTCCTTTTTTTTTTTTAACTCTCCTGAATAATGTTGCTATGGATTCTATTCTTTAATTTTTTTCCTATAAGGAGATACTCAGTAAAATGGTATGATGTTTTAAAAACTAGTAATGCCTCATATTTATAGAGTGGATAACCCTTAAGTCCCTTTGGTTCAACCTTAACATAAACCCAGATTCCAAATCTCCTCACCCTCTCCAGGCTCCCACCCTGATCCCACGGTCATCATGTTTGGACTGGTGCAGTAGCCTCCTGGCAGGCCCATGGCTCCACTTACTCTCCATGCAGCAGCCAGTGTGACCCTGTGACACTCAGGGCTGAGCTGTCTCTGGTCTGCTTCTAAAGTCCCAGGCTCCTGCCTCACTGGGCACATCCAAGATGACAGTGTCCCCAGGCCCCCAGAGTCTCCAGCCCCCTCCCCCGTTGGCCTACTTCATCTCCTCTTCTACTCCCCTCCAGCCCCTCCAGCTCCTTCCTGAACCTGGGACCCTTGCAGCTCCTAGCTACAGGCTCTGGCCCTGCCCTTGCATCAGCTGGAACTTCTCCCATGTCTGTCCTGTTCCCTCCCACCTCCACCCCCTTCGTCCTTGCCTCAATGTCACCTGCTCTGAGAGCCCTCCCTGACCCCAATTTACAAGTGTGACCTCCAGCACTCCCTGCTCCCTCCCCTGCTTCCTTTTCCTCTAGCGCTCTTATGCACCCTGCAGTCCCATCTGATGCTCTGCATATGTCTCCTTCTAGATCTGAGCTCCCCACACAGAAGCCTTAATTGGTTCTGGGCTTTCCCCTGCGCTGCCTGGGACAGCGAATGCCCAGTAGGCGCCCAGTGAGTATTTGCTGAGAAAACAATGACTTCAGCCCTGGCGATGTCCTACGGGGAAGATGTTGTCCTAAACAAGGGGCTGTCTCATTATTTCTCAAGGCAGCCCAAGGAAGCAGGTTCTAGGGATACCCCTGTGTTTCACCTGAGCGCACAGACCTGGCCTGGCCTGGCCTGGCTCGGCTCACTGTGATGCCCAGCTGCACCCAGGTAAGTGGGGGTGGGCTTGGAATTCTCACCTGGTCTTGCCCTCATAGAGGTGTGTGGCTGCTCCAGAGTGTTCCAGGGAGGGCAAGGTGAGGCTGGGGAGCCATGCCTCCTCCCCACACCATTTGCCAGTGCCGGGAATCTTGCTAATTTGATGAGGAACTGCTGTTTCATTTGCACATCACAACTGGAGCCAGCAGGAGCATCCCTCACAGAAGTTCTGCTGGCTAAAAGAGGGAGTCATTCTGACCGCATCTCCCCCCAGCCCCAGGGTATTTGGAACAAATTTGGTCCTGGGCCTTACATGTCCAAGACCTGCATCTCTGCTCAGGGCCCCAAGTGGGAGGTTCCTCTGAACATGCCTGATTTCACGCTAAACAGTCCTCGAGCTTTTGTTGGCATTGGCCCCATTTTCATGGACAGGGTTTTTGGGGGCCTAGGGCCTTATGGCAGGTGGGAAAATAATAATAGGAAAAATCCCTCATATCACAGGGGACAGCAAGGATTGTCCATTATGAAGTGAATGGAACTACTCTTAGCTAAAAATAATTTGGCTACATGACTCGTTCTCATCTTCTCCTTGTAGTCACCAGCATGCACTTAGGCCTCCTTTCCTCTCCTTTCCTCTACCTGATTCCCTCTCACCCTCACATGATGCCCTTTTTTTGGTACCATTATTATTATTATTATTATTATTATTATTATTATTATTGCTTAACTAGGAGACAACATTTTTTGTACACAATTGTTATAAACATCCTCCACGTTAAGATAGGGGAAAAGCAAAGCAGAGCTAATAGTGTACCTCCATCTGCAGGGACCAAATAAACCACTTTTCAAATTGCAAAAAGGATTAGAAACTAGAGTTCCATTAATGTCAGTTACAGCTGGAGACAGAGGGAGGAGTGGCCAGACATGGGGCCCACCCCACTGCCCCCCAGCTGTCCTTGCTCCTCTCCAGCCCCATATTCCCCAGTCTCCCGTCTCCTCCCCAAACCCATCCTTCACACTGAACCTTAGAAAGTTAGTAGTCATAATAGTAATGCTTATTGACAACAGTGTATGTTCCAGCTGCTGAGCTGAGTACTTTATATGAAATAACATTTCCATTTACCCAAAATATCACGTATGTATTTTCCATCATTTCCCTATTCACTGGACAGTTACCAAACCCTATCATAGTTGTGGCAGCATTCAGGAAAGCAAACTAGTATTTCTTGAACGATTATTATATGCCAGTCACCATTATCTCAGCTTATCCCCACAATGATTTCTTTCTTATAAAGAAGTCAAGGCTCATGGCTCTGGATTAAAATTACACAGCACTTGCTCTGGGTCTCTTGGTCATCCACTGAGGGTCTAATAGACAATGACTTGTCTCTCCTATTCACCTGTCTCTCCAGTAAGGAGCTCCCCATCTGATCAGGGGGCAATATTATTATTGTTACTACTGCTGACGTCATCATAGTAACCAAACTGCAGCAACAACAGCCACAGCTACACTTCCTTGCAGAGTCCACCATGTGATTTGAGCTATGCTAAGCATCTACTCCCAAGATGACCTTTAATACACAAGGCAGGAGTTGGTCCTGGTGACAGAAACAGATAAGTGAGGCTAAGGACTTGCCCAGGATACCAGTGAGTCAGTGCCCAAACCAAGACATAAACCCAGGACTGGTCCATCACCTTGGCTGGCTTTTACCACAAGGAAGTGTGATTTCAAGAGAGGAGAGAGGGCCATGTCTGCAAGGTGAGCGGAGAAGCTGAGAAAATCTGGCTGCAGAAGGAAGCATGAAACAGAAGTGCAGAGAATCCAAGATGAAACCCATAAGCGGGTGGACAGGCAGGGTTGCCTGGGTCCCTGTTTCACGCTGCGTCAGACCCAGGTCCCTTAAGTTCCTTAGGACACCCTCTAGAGCTAGTACCCTCCCATATCTCATTTTTGTTTGCTTAAACTAGACTGAATGTTTTCCTGTTATTTACAAGGAACTCTAATTCCATGCCCCCCCCCAAAAAAACAAAAAAAAAACCCCTGTTCATTAAAAAATAAAATCTGCATTAAAAAAGCTCCATTTCTAATACTGAATGTCTTTTTCTCGGAGAGCCCTCATAAATAACGGAAAGGAGGTTTTTGCAAACCTTTATGGAAATTAAACCCACAATTCGGGCGCACGCTTGTTTAACAAGTGATAATTAACTGCTGACAATATAATTTCAGCTTGGAAGAAAACGTGTTTTTCATTAAAAAGTAATCAAAGAGATCCTTGCATTGGGGAGTTGGGTCTCCTCTGCAGGAGCTCAGCTCCTCTGCTGACAGAGGTTCTGGTTGGCACTGAGTATCTGCTGCTCCCTGCCAGAAATCGGGCATGACCCCAGGACACTAGGATTTCAGACCCCTGGGCTTTCCATGACCCATAAAATCCAGGGCAATTTCCAGAAGCCGACTCGGCCACCCCTTTCTCACTAAGGGCCTCCTCTGGGCTTCTCTCCCTGAGAAGGTTCCTGGAGCTGGCTGGTGGGGGCTTAGTGCTGACCCCAGCTTCAGGGAAAGAACAAATACTCCATCTCTGCAGCCTGTATCATGCTCAAGGATCTTCAGGGAGTGTACCTATCCTTCAACTTCACAGAGGAGGAAATCGAGGCTTACAGATTTGGAGTTGCTGGTTGAAGGCCACACACACAGCTGATGAGGGCCCAACTGGAGAGAGGTGTGAATTCTGACCATCTGATTCCCACATCACACGACCTCCACTCCATTCCCCAACTCCTTTTCTCTAATGAACTCCTCTGTTCTGGCTTCAATTTCCTCATCTGTAAAATGAAGATAGTAGTAGTATTCTCCTTGTGAGGCTGTTTGAGGATGAAATAAATGTGTATATATATATATATCAAACACTTATAATAGTGACTGACACATAGCAAGCCCTTCATAAGTGTTATCTACAATGTTTATTGGTTATTACTATTAATGCTAATACTTTTTTCCTCCAACCTGTGAACCAGTTGGCTCTGCCCCTTTGATCATCTCTGTATCCTCTTTGGGACTCTATCCAGATCTCCAGCATCCATTTATGAGGGAATGTGATACTGAATGTCGTGTGAGGAGTTGCTTCCCGGGTCCTGAAGATCAGAGTCCTCTGAGGACAGACATGCCCATATTCTCCTGGCTGCTGATACAAAAAAACTCCACTTGTCCAACCTGTGCTAACCTGTAACCAACTATATCTGTTGGAATATTTTTGCCCCCATTTTCATCCTCTAGGTCTTCCTAGGAGTCTCCAGAATTTACACCCCCTCCCATATACCAAAGAAAACTCTAAGATAAGTACATTTAAAATAAAGACATAAAAGAAATAATCAAAATCCTAAAAATAAAACCAGATATTATTTTAAAAGAGCAGGAATATTGAGGACCAAATGTATGATCTTTGGAATGAAAACTCAGTGAATGAGTACATGATTAAAGTAGCATATTAGGCAAAGCTGAGAAACAAAAATAAAATCCTAAGCACCCCAACAGACTAAAAAGACCTCCTCTTCACCAAGGGAACCCCAGAGAAACCTTGAAAACTGAGTTCCTGGCCATAACAGGACAGGAGGCTGGACACACCTTGTTATACCCTTTCCTTGCTAATTGCCATTAGTCTGTCTTCCCTAAGGGTTAAGGAGCAGTCAGCCCTTTCAAAAGACTCATGCCACTGCTGATTTCAGCCAATCACCTTATGCTTCTCCTCCGTTTTGTGCTTTTGACACAGCAACTGACCAGGATTCCTTCCTGATAAGAGGCCACTGACCATGCAGTGGTTCTGGCCAGGCTACAGAGGATGTGCAGTGAGGGTTTTGTGTCTTCTGCTTCATCGTTTGACACCAGAGGGCCAAAAACTCTGCCCTTGGATTATGCTAGCACTGCCATTTTTTGAACACGTGAACCACAAAGAGGCATAAAGTTCAGTTGTGTGTGCACACGTTTCTCCTTTCATAAATATTCATGACTCTTCCTATAGCTTATTAAATATGTATACCTGGCCAACCCATTCAGCAAACATTCCTGTTTATCCTTCCCTCCCTCAAAGTTTTAGCTTTTGGCTTCTGCCAGAGGCTCTGCTTCTCAGTCTGTGGGATGGCCAGCCTGTAGGCTCCAACCTTTTATAAGAAATGAAGTTCTCCTTTCCAATTTATAAACCTAGTGATTCTTCAGTTGACAAAGCTAAAGAGAAAACTATGAACATGAATGTAGACAAAAGGAAACTTTCCAGAGTACAGGTCAGAAAAGAACATTGGAGAAAAATATGAAAGCAAAATTAAGAGAAATTAGGTTAGTATAAGATGATCCACCCTACATGAAATAGGGGTTCTGGAATACAAGAAAAGAAGGAATGAAAAAGAAAACACTCAAATCAATAAGGAACAGGGATTTTTCAGAATTTGCAGAAGAGGAATTTTGGATTCAATAAGTCCTATGAATCCTAAGAAGGCTAAACCAAACTATATGTATATCTAGACCTGGATCTACCAATACCTATATCTACACCTATATCAGTGGGAATTGATAAACTGCAACTACAAACATAATGTTGAGAAGAAAAATAACTCAGATACAAATGGGAATATACTACATTTATTTATAAAATACAAATGTAAATGATAAAATATACTATATTTATAAAAACTTCTAAAGCAAGCAAATCTAATCTATGGTGTTAGAAGTGGTTATCCTTGTTGAAGGACTAGCGACTGGATTGGAGCATGATGGAGATTTGGCTATGCATTTTCTAAAAAAGCTTTAGTTAAATAGGGGAAAAAAAGGCAATCAGAAAAAGGATGGATCACAACTAAGGAAAGACACACAATGGGATGACAGCAGACTACACAGTGGCAACAATAGAGACTAGAAAACAATGGAATGTTTTCAATACCAAGAAGAATAACTAGTGAAGTAGAATTCTAGTTCCAGCTATACCATCAACTAAAAGTTGATGAGAGAGAAAAAGTATATTTTCAGATACAAACTGAGAGTTTACTGCTCAGGAGATCTTGTTAAGGGAACTAATAAAAGATCACTTCAAGAAGAAGGACATTGAACCTAAAAGGAAGGACTAAGAGGAAAACAGCAACAGTGTGCAGAAAGGTTAATGTGCTTAGGGAAAATGGCAATTATTCAGTGGCTAGATGAAGCAAGCAAAACCAGCAACAATAAGAGTAAGAACTAAGTTGGAGAGGTACAAAAAGAAGATGGAATCATAGCACTATATAAAACCAACATTAAAATGGGAGTGAAAGCTGGGTGTGTTGGCACACACCCGTAGTCCCAGCTACTTGGGAGGCTGAGGAAGGAGGATTGCTTGAGCCCAGGAGTTCAAAGCCAGCCTGAACAACATAGAGAGACCCTGTTTCTAAAAATAAACAAACATACAAACAAAATTTGGAAGGAGGAGATCAGAGTTAAGGTCCTGGTGTTGTTAGGGAGAGGTGAGAGAGATTTATTAGCATTAGACTGTTTTAATTCAAATATGCCTTCTCATTTTTAAGATAACTATTAAACGAAGCAGAACAAAATGTAGACTTTCAAAACCAAAAAGGTAATAGACAATATTTGATAAATATAACAAACAGGAGAAAATGAGTGAAAAAGAAAGCAAAGCAAAAAGCAAAAAAGAAAAAAAAAAGAAAAAAAGAAAAAGTAAAAGAAAGAAAAAAGAAACAAAAACAAAAAACAAACTCAGGATCAATAGAAATCACAAATAAGTAGAAAAAATCCTGCTATTGTTACTTTAGTGAATGACTTTAACCCTCTGGGTCTGTTTCCTCATCAGTAAACTGGAGAGAATAGCACATTTTGTTAAAGGGTTATAATTAGCACTTTCCATTTAAGAGCTATCATGAGAATCAAACTCAGTGGGCACCACATGAGGGCAGGTTGCTAGCACTATTACTATGTGACTCTGCACCAGGCACAGCCCTAAGTTCGCCCCACGTGCCATCTCACCTAAGCCTCCCACAGCCCCGTGGGGGAAGGGACCACTGTCATCTTCACTTTGCTGATGAGGAAACTGAGGCCCTGAGGTGAGAGGCTTGCCAAGATCACGCAGCTGGGGAATGGCTGAGCCTGGACACAGCTGGAGTATTCTGACTCTGAAGCCACCTGCTGACCCTGTGACCTTGACCAGCTGAGGTCACCTCTCTGGGCCTCAGTTTCCTCATCTGTTCCTTGTGGTGTACAGGGCAGTCACGAGGCTGGGCAGAGATGAGATGTGCCGGCCCTCGGCAGCGTTCCTAGAACAGGCAGCCCAGTCAATGAGTGATGGCTCCTGCTATTATCATGACCCATGCTGGGGTTCGCTGCTCTCACCTCTGTTGCACAGGCAAGGAGCCCGAGGCTTAGGGAAGCCAAGAGCTGGCTTCATCTTGCTGATCTGCGCTGACTTGTAGGCTTCAGGTCCTGGCTGGAGTGTGAGCTGTGGGAGGGAGCTTGTCTGGTTTCACTGATTTATACCCAGGGTTAGGCCTGGGTAACGAATGAACGAATGAATGAATGAATGATGCTCCACGCATCCATTATTCCCACACAATGTTCTTCATGCTGGGAGCCTCCCCAGATGAAGGCAGCTCTGAGAAGCCTCACAGTGTCAGGACACAAGCAAGCTTTCCATCGGGACAAACGAGGCCCAGACTTCCAGCCTTATTTGACTCCCTAGCACTTATCATTGTCAGACACGTTTTACATATTCATCTCTTATGATCCACATCCCCCCAGCACAACACCAGCTCCAGGAGAGCAGGGACTTTGTCTTATTCACTGCTAGGTCCTACGCAGTAGGTACTCAGTAAAAGTCTGTCATTGAAATGACATCACTGCTCTGGACCTCAGTTTCCTCATCTGTACAGTGGGAGGATGATGTCCCTTTGCGTCTGTTGTGGGAACACAGTGAGACACTGCTCATCCAGTCCTCGGTGCAGAAACCACTGATATGGGTGAGCGGCTGCCCTTCACCCCACTGATCCCAGGGTCTTCTATAAGAAGTGGATTTTATGCTCATCACAGTGTGAGTGTCTTTTTCTTCCTTCTTTGATGGTGAGGCTTTCTGCAGTCAAGCTTTATTTTATCAGAATAAGAGATTATCTAGGTGGCTCAAGCAGTCCATCAGGAAATTTCCAAAGGGACAAAAAGGCAAGAAGTGTCTGTCCCAAGACAACTCTGCTGTGTCTTTATTCTTCATTTAGTCTGTAACAGCATCAACCGTGTTTTGGATGTTTGCAGCATCCCAGGGACAGTACTGTTTTACCCACATTTCTCCTGTATACCTGTGAGAGGTGTTATCCCCAGTTTAGAAATGAAGGAAGGGAGGTTTGGGAGGTGAGTGAAACCTGCCCAATGACGTGGCTGGGCTGAGACTCAAATTCAAGTCTGTCTGACTCTGAAGCCCTCAATTCTTTTGTTCCTTAAATTCTCAGAAACCTCTAGTCTCTTCCTTACCAAATAATCTCTTCTAACCGGGGCCAGTGCTTTGTGGGAAACAGCATTTTAAATGCCTGTGTTTAATTGTGTAGAAGGAAATTTGATCTGATTTTATAGGAGCCACCTCTGCCTATTGCTGTCTTTCTCTTTTTTAAAAAAATAACTTCTTCGTCTATCTTCAGAGGCAATTTGTGATGATGATCATGGACAATTTGAAGAATGTGGCAAATGGAAGAGGAGTTGGGTCACCTATGGCTCCCCCACTTACAGGTGGCCTGGGGTGTCCTTGGCTGTCCATGAAAATGAGCAGAGTTCCCTTGATCCTGTTCCTGGGGGACATGCTGGGGCAGCCCCTGAGGCTGGACTTGCTACAGGAGAGCAGAAGGTGTTGGGGAATCCAAGTCAGAATGGCCCTGCTGGCCAGAGCCTGTGCAGATGACTGGCTGGGGCAGTCACTGCATCTCTGCGCCCAACGCCATCAGCTAAGGTGGGGAGACATGTTGGCCCTGGAACCACTGGGAGTGCTACAGGTGATAGACCCCAAGGTAACTCATGGTCACCTGATTCCCTGGACCCACCAGGGCCACTTCCAGGTTCCTGGGCCCTGGACATGGAATCTGCTAAGTTTGGCCGCACAGAGCTGACCGTTGTGCTCTCTCCGCCTGTCCTCGCTGCTCATGGGATGAAGTCCATGCTCCTCGCCATGGAAATCCAGGCCCCTTGTGGTGGGCTCCTGCCTCTCTCTTAGACTGGCCTCCTCCCTCTCTCGCACCCCTGCCTGGGCCAATCCCATCAGGCCTGACTAGGGCGGCGTGACTGTCATCCAAGCTGGAAGAAGTGGGCACAGGGCAGAGAAGTGAAGGATCAGCAGGGTCAGACACAGGTGAGTGACGAGGGGCTGTTCATCCTCTGCAGGTGGGACCAGGTACGTGTGGTTTCCACTGCCTTAGGGCAAGAAGACAGTTGAATAGGCTGGATTATTTAGGAAAACAGACTTGTAGGAGCAGGAAGAAGTCCCAGAATCACAGATGAAGAGCTGAATCACAGCATTCAGTCCACACGGTGACAGCAGGGCAGCATCGAGTCCTTGTCAACAGACCTGGATCCTCCCCAGCCACCGTCAGCCCTGCAGGGGTGAGATCCGCAGGCTGATCTCTTATCAATACCGGCGGCATCAGGGTCAGTGTGGAGACCCCGAGACGCATTGTGTTTTCCCGGGCTTTCACTCAGTGCAGACCCCTTGGCCCCATTCAGAGGCGTCGATTCTCACTTTCTTCCCAAGCTCCCCTGCTTGTTTCCATGTTTCTTAGGCCCACCTGATGTTAGAGACAGCACAAGGCAGCAGGAGGGGAGAGACGGGAGGACACTGGAGGAGTCAAGGGAACAAGGGACGGCTGGAGGAGCGTGACAAGTGACACGAGGACATGCGGTGAGAGGCACCTGTTCATCAAGCCACAGTTGTTTTGAAAAGGACTCGGAGCAGCTCCTAAAACACACACTGTACACTGAGATCATTCATTCATTCCCTGGGCCAGTGCTTACTGAGCACCTACTATGTGCCAGGCCCTGTGCTGCTGCTGAGATGCACTGAGGAGTGAGACTCGATCCATTTCCTCAGGATGAGGTGTGTGGTGTGTGTGATAAACTCTAACCCAGATCCAGGCCTCTTGTGAGAGTCCCCTAATTCCTCAGTGAGTTTTAGAATTTGGGCAACCATCCTTAATTTACAGGGGAGTAACTGAGGCCCAGATGCAGGAATGACTGGTCTGACGGTTTGGGCCCAGGTTTTTTGAGTCCCTATACCCAAGCTCTGTCCACAGCATCACCTGGCCTCAGGGTCTCATAAGATGATCACGGTGACAGCTTAACCCTTATCCCTGATTCCCACACCACACAGCAAAACTTCCCAAGCTGACATTACTCTGGTTGGAGGTTAATTTTTAGGGAGATAGTAAAAATGTGTTATTTAAATATTGATTATTAAAATCATTATGTAAATTATGTTTGCTACATAATAGGTAATAACCTGTGACTTGAATGTGAAAGCAATACAGGCAATTCTGTTTTTCTCTTTCCACTGTACCTAGGGTTTATCCTAGGGAGTGGCCCACTCTATACCAGTATTGATATTTGGTTAATAATGTTCTTATTAAATCTGAACTGAAGTCACTTTAGGAACCTTCTCTTAGAGGAATGCACTGATTTGCCAAGACCTTGGCCCCAGACGTCTGAGCAGAGATGCTTTCCTTGGAGTTGGAGTTTTCCGCTCTGTAAGTTACTTTCCCCGCATGTCCAGCTGGAACACATTCAACCATTTATCCATTTATGTATTTGCACAACTATTTATTTGCTGTTTCTTATCTTTTTACATCTATTCATTCATTATTAGCCTCTTCAAATTTTTCTTTTGTTTATTGTTTCATTTATTTCTTCACCTGCTCATTCATGTGTTACTGTGTTTCTTGTTTGACTCCTTGGTTCATTCATTCCTACTTCCATTGTTTGTCCTTTCATTCATTCATTCTTCCTTCCTTTGTCCATCGTGCACTCAGCTCCTCAGTCATCAACCATTCCTTCTGTCATCCTTTATTTCATTGGTTCATTCATTCGCTCCTTCCCAAGCCTGCTCATTCATTCATCACCTCATTCATGCATTTACTCATGATTCCTCAGTTTATTGGTTTATTCAATGATTAATGCACTTTCCAATTAATTAATAATTAATTCATGCATCAGTTGACAAAAATAATGTCGTTGTTAATGTTCTCTGTGCATTGAGTGTTTGTCCAGTGTATTCCTGCCACTCTCACCACTCCCACCCCAGCATATTCTGTGCATCTCAGCTAAAAAGGGCCTTCCTTCTGGGGCCTTCCTTTTTGTTGTTGTTGTTGTTGTTGAGACGGAGTTTCGTTCTTGTTGCCCAGGTGCTGGAGTGCAATGGAACTATCTCAGCTCACTACAACCTCTGCCTCCTGGGTTCAACTGCCTCAGCCTCCTGCCTCAGCTTCCCAAGTAGCTAGGATAACAGGGTGCACCACCATGCCAGGCTAATGTTTATATTTTTAGTAGAGATGGGGTTTTGCCATGTTGGCTAGGCTGGTCTTGAACTCCTGACCTCAGGTGACCCACCTGCCTCGGCCTCCTAAATTGCTGGGATTACAGGCGTGAGCCACCACACCTGACCCCTACTTATTTTTATAACACACTTTTTATTAAGGTGTAATGTGAAACACACACAGAGAAAGGGAGAGATGTTCCTCAACTTTATGTCTCTATAAACCTATCATTAGTTGAAGATATCGTAAGTTGAAAATGTATTTAATATACCTAACCTACTGAACATCACAACTTAGCCTAGCTGATCTTAAAAGTGCTCAGAACACTTCCATTAGCCTGCAGTTGGGCAAAATCATCTGGCAACTCAGTCCACTGTAGAGTATCCTTTGTTTAACCTGGTGATCGCATGGTTGACTGTGTGCTGCAGCTCACTGTGACTGCCTGGCATCTAGAGAGGACTGTAACTGAATGTAGGTTCAATCACTGCTTGCAGAGTCTCATTAACAAGAGCTAGGTATGGCAGAAAGAAAGTGGCTTTCTTAACCAAAACTAGTAATGGGGAAGTGGCTGGATTCCCATCCAAGGTACCCATTTTGATTTCTTGGGGGAAAGCAAGGGCATAAAAAGGGAAAACAATATGGAAGGCAGGTAAGAATTGTGCTGAGTATAATGTCTGTGTGTCTTATTTCAGTGGCTATTATGGGTTCCAGTCTACTTGGAGCACAGGCTGGCATCATCTCAACAATGGCTGGGTTGTTGACTAGCTGCCTTGAAGTAATCTCTGGAATTTTGTAGCTGGGTCTATCTGTCTCAAGATTAGAACTTCGAAAAAGGCATGTAATTATATACTAGCATATAGTTAGATAACTAAGAAGGGAGTATATATGCTGAGAAAGGAAGGGACTTGGAGTCTGTTTTAAGGCTAAGGAAAAAGGCCTCTGCAGTTTGCTTAAGGTTGTATCTTGAAACTCAAGGGAAAGGGAAAAAAAGTTCTAAAATACAGTTTGAAGTTAAGCTGCCCAGTTACAGTATCATACTACTTTCTACTGAACACATATTATTTTTGCAGCATGGTAAAATCGGAAAGTCATAAGTCAAACCATTGTAAGTGAGGAACTGTCTGTACACACATCGTAAGTACCCAGCTCAAAGGACTTGCAATTACTGGACACACCCATGGGAGGAGCACCAGGCCAGGTGCCACCCCAGCATCCCTCCTGCGCCCTTCTGTATTTCTTAGTTACTGTCTTCATTTTGGTGACAAATACAGTTACTGTCTTCGCTTTGGTGCCCCCTGGTGACAGAACTTAAAGGGTTTGAGCCCTGCAATTCAGTTGGGAGGTAGAGGGAACACCTGGGGGGCATGGGAAGGCCAGACAGGGAAACGAAGCCATCTAATAAAGGCTGTTATGAATGTGGTCCCCACTGTGGGTGACTGGAGGTTAATCAGATGGGAAAACCCAGGAGCCAGTGCCAGGCACGAGCGCCACAGTCACCCCACCAGAACTGCCATTCTGAGGTTCTGGGGTATGAACATAGCAACTGCCCTTAGTCATGGGTTGAGTACTCTTCTCAGGGAAGGGGCATTAACTCCAAGGCAGTTAAGTCCTGCCACCAGGGCATCAGAGTGGAATCTGGTGACCAGAGAAAGCCTCCACGCAAAGAACGCAGAGGCTGGTCCTGGACTGAAGTAGTGAAGACAAGACTTGACACAGCGATGAGCTTATCTGATGGTGGCTCCCTCCTCCTCTCCACCCCCTGCTCCTTAATCATCCTTCATCCGGGCTGCACTTTGACTTACTGTAATGTTCAAATCAGAAGGACCCTTAAACAGCAACGGGCTCAATGGCTTTATTTTACACACTGAGGAAACTGAGGCCTGAAGTAGGGAGATCACTCAGCCAGCTGTGAAAGAGCCCAGCCCAGGCCCCTGCTTGGGTGTGGCTCCTCCTCTTTCCTCACTGGGGTGATGTCTGACCTTGCCTGTGAATTCTCTGTCAGATGCATTGACGGAGAACAGAGTCGGCAAGCATGGAGCTGCTGCCTTTGAAAAGCTGGAAGATAATTTGCCCTGGCGCTGTCTTTTTTTTTCAGAACCCTCCCTTCACTCCTACCCCACAACACACGCACACTTAAAAGCCACATTTGTTGAGCCAAAGTGACTGTCAGTTTCACTCCAATAGAAATGTGTGTGATCTCTCGCCCATGTGAACATAGTGTGCTATTGATGTAATTACATCCAGTTAAAGTCCCATCGAGAGAATATATTACAGGAGAAAAGAGTTTGATGTGGGAGAATTCGAGTCTCCACATATGTACTTTGACTCCTCCTACGCTTACTTCTTTTAAAATGAGAAAGAGGACTTTGCCTTTAAAGGTCACTCTCCCTTCAAAATATTCTGGAGAAGAGTCAAGTAAGCACATGCTGAACGTGTGAAAGGTTAGTGTTTTATCACGATCTAATCCTGTCCTCTGTCTTTCTCCACTGCTGCAAAGATAGCACCTCCTGCGCAAGGGACTTGCCTCTGAACAAGGGACTTACCTCTTGCTCAAAGGACTGCCCCTGCAATGCATCATCAGCAAATTTTCTTTGCAACTTGAGTTTGTCCTTTTCCTCTCCTTGGAGAGATTAGATGCAGCTACTGGGCCAAGAGACACGAGCCCAGACAGCGGAGAGATTCCATTTCAGAAGCCTCAGCACCAACCATGTACTATGAGTAAGTGGCCATCTCCTGAAGGCTGACTGTCGTGTCTGCCCAGCGCTGTCCTGGAGACTTTTGGAAAAAGTTCACTATTTCGAACCCACAGCTCCACCCTGCAGAGGGGAGGTTTCCTGATGCTCCCACCATCATTTCCTGCCTAGATTATTGGCGAAGTTGCCCAACTGGTCTCCCTGATTCCACAGCTTGGTCTGCCTGTAAATTGCACCCTACTCCTGCCTATGGACCAGGGAGACTGGGTTGTTCTTGCTCTCAGAGTGGACTGGGGTCACTGAGCCAGCAGGATGGGTGCAGAGAGGGTGCAGAGCCCCTTCCTATTCTCTAATTTGGGGGGTTAGGGGGAAGAGGCACAGAATTGTCATGGTCCAGCAGCCTATTGCTGGGAGGAAGGGTTGCGTGTGCTCGTTGAGATCACTCATGGCTGGCAGTGGTTCTAAGGGTCCCAAGGGGAGAGTGATGTAGGAGGATCCACTGATCATAGTCAAAGAAAATTTCATCTTTGGGTCATGCTTGGTGCTTGGGCCAAGAGTCACTGAACACCGGCTCACCCACCAGATGTGTCAATCCCTCTTGACATCATGTGATTCCCTGAATAACTGTGAGAGTCACCATTTGTTGAGTATCTTTTTCACCTGTTCAACAAATACCTGTGAGTGGGCACTGGGGCTACAGCAGGGAACCCTACAGAGCTGTTAAATGACAGAGATGGACCATCGAGACTCCCAGCTATGTCAACACGTCCTTGAGGCCTCCACCGCCCTGCAGGAGCTTCGCATTCACACTCTGTCCTCTCCTGCAATCAGTTTCAGGCTCTCTTTTCTCCCCCCAATCATCCATTGGCACTTGGTCTTTTCATATCCTTGGAGCTGGGGCTGGGGGTGGCAGGGGAGGGAAAGAAGTAGGCAGGTGGAGGAGGCGTCACAGAGCCAAGTGAGGATCCTCTTTCTTCCACTAAGAAATGAGCAGTTTTACGCATATTAATTTAAGCACGGTCCATAACTAAAGAAGAAAAATAAGCCAGTTGGATTCGTTTTCTCGGTCAGCTTCTCAAGCCTGGTATTAATCTATTCATCAGCTGAGCTCATCAGAAGCAAACACGTTTCTTCAGGAGTTTTCTAACAGGAAATAAATGCCTCATTAAGTTAAACATTAACCTGAGAACAGGACCGATGTCAGACAGACTAATGAACGTCATTATAGGGAATGCACCGCGGTCCTCAGAGGAGCTCCACCCAGCGTCGGGGGCTCCCACAGATTGGCTCAGCTACTGCAGGATGTGGGATCATCAGAGGAGGGAGGGAGACAGAAAAGGGGCTGTTGCTGGAGCCATGATCATGGTCAGCCCTGTGAGTGGTGCCCTGATTAATTCTGGCATCTTCGAATGCCTGCGAAGGGCATGTGGCCAAAGGAGGAGCCCTGTGTGCCTCACTGTTGGGTCCAAGGGGGTTGGGAGGAAGCTGAGTGCAGCCTCTGAAACAGGAGGGAGGGCAGGAAGGCCGAGTTGGGCATCAGAACCCCGAGTTCTGGTTCCAGGCCTTCTCCACCCAGTGCAGGAGGCTCAGTTCCAGTCCCTCTCCAGCAGGCTGAGCTCTGCGCTGAGCACTTCCACAAGCATCGAGCTCAGCTACCGTCGCAGAAACCCAGGCAGACAGGGGTTTATGGCCCAGGGTTGTAGACGAGGAAACTGAGGCTCAGAGGAGTTAAGTGACTTGCCAGAGACCACCCTGCCTGTGGGTGTGAGAGAGACAGGCCCAGGCTGGCCTACCCCGGTCCAGGTTTCCCCAACAGCCCCCGCCGCGTGCTTCCTGGAGTTCTGTCTTCCACTCCCTCCCAAACCCTCCTCCAGGTCTCTGGAGTGTCTTCATGGGGTCTGTGTGGGGAGTGGCTCTCTCTGCCACCACACAAGAGCCAGGGTGTAGACCCTGCAAGGCTGAGGAGCCAGAGGAACCCTGACTTACATATGGCTCAGGGAGTCCCAGCCGTCATAGAGTAGAATCTCTGCTCTACGTCTCGGTTTTCTCATCAACAAAGTGGGGCTGAGTCTCACCACCCCACAGGCTTGCTGTGAGGATCAAATGAGCCAACGAAGGCATAGTTCTCCACACAAAGCAGGCTCCCAGGACATGCTGGTCCCTCTCACTCTGCACTGTCTTCCTGGTCCATCTTCTGGGTTTGGTCCTTGGTGAAGAGCCAGGCTAGTGGAATGTGGAGGAGCACAGTGGTCCTTCTCAAAGTCCAGCCTCAAGTCCCACAGTGCATACACATTCCCTGAGACTCTGCAACTACCTGGTTTCTATGCAGAGATGATTATGACATGGTCTTCCACATCAGCAAGTTCATAGCCAAGTCAAGGAGAGGACCCCAGGGCACTGGAGAGAGTCCAGTCCCCAAAGCGGGGACAGAGAAGAGTGAGAAGGGCCTGGAGACAGAGGCAGAGCCACTGGGGTTGGCACAGAGTGAGCATGGAAGAGGTGCCTTCTAGGTGTGAGGGGCCAGCCAGCCTCCCCCGGGACAGAAGTAAATAGAGTTCTGCCAGGCGCTGTCCTGGAGACTTTTGAAAAAAATTCACTTTTTCTAACCCACAGCTCCACCCTGCAGAGGGGAGGTTTCCTGACACGTCCACCATCATTTCCTGCCTAGATTATTGGCAAAGTTGCACAAATGGTCTCCCTGATTCCACAGCTGGGTCTGCCACTCCTTTCTGTAGACACAAGGAAACTGGGCTGTTCTTGCTCTCAGAGTGGATTGTGGTCGCTGAGCCAGCAGGATGGATGCAGAGAAGGTGCAGAGACCCCTCCCTATTCTCTAATTTGGGGGGTTAAGGGGAACCATGGTCCAGCAGCCTATTGCTGGGAGGAAGCATTGCATGTAATATAAAGGGCCAGGCCAGCTAGAGGCCTAGTCCAAGGTTGAGAAGTAAGAGGGGGAGAAAAGTATAAATTCATATTTACAGCCATCCAAAATCCCAGACTACCCTCTGCATCTTCCTCAGCAGATCTAAGGGAATGCACATATGCCAGGCAGGCAGATGGGCAATCAAGTGGATGAGCTCATTCTATTTAAAAAGAAAACAGGGGTGGTTATTATTAGTCCTATGTGTCAGGTAAGGAAACTGAGGCTCAGAGCTGCCAAGGTCGCCGAGTTCATAAGAGCTGGGATTCACTCCCTGGTCTGTTGGACCCCAGGGGCCATGATTTCCCCACTGGCCATGGTACCTCTCATGTCAGCAGGCCCTGCTGGACAGTATTTGTTTTCCCTGAAAAGCATAAGCATCTGGAAAATGTCTACTGCTGGCCCTTTTCCCTCCTTGATGTGGGGAGGCATGAAAACCCATGACCTATTCCCAGCCTTGAGTGCGGAGAGGCAGGCCCCGGCATCGTGTGTTAGCACTAGCCAGAGGGGCGCAGCACAGCCTTGCGGGGACTCCTGTGATTCAGAGCTGGTGTTCCCGCCTCACAGGGTGAGCCCAGATGCTCATTTCTGGGCATAGCTTCCCTTCACTGTGAGCACCTGCTCCTTCATAAGGTGGGCGCTGAGCATTCTGGCTGAGTACGGAGGCTGCAACTTCATTGCAGGTTGGAGCACTTGATGTATTGAATGGTGCAATGTTGTGTTTAATTTCACTGCAATTATTTCGGCAATTATGTGTTGAGCACCATTCTCCCCTGTAAGTTCTTCCTTGGAGAACTGGATCCAGCTTTGTGAGACAATGTAAAAAGAGACAAAAAACTCAAGCTTGGTTAGGGGAGCCAGCTTCGTGAAGGATGTGTGATGAATAATGCTGAAAACAATGGGGCTGTCGAAACTGGAGAAGGCAAAACCCTATAGAGATGAGCTAGGAGAGTTGTCTTCAAATACAGTAGCCCCCTTATCTGTGGAGGATAGGTTCTAAGATCCCCAGTGGATGCCTGAAGCCCCAGGTAATACTGAACCCTATATATACTGTTGTTGTTTTTTTTCCCTTAAGTCAAGAACTTTCACGTTTTCCCTTAAAGGAAGCACTTTACAGCTTCTTTTTGTCTTATCTGAATGGTCAGCATCACTACTCTTATGCCTTGTGGACATTATTAAGTAAAATAAGGGTGGCTTGAACACAAGCCCTGCCGTCTCGATACAGTGACCGTTGATCTGACAACCTAGCCAACTACCCAGTGACTATGGGGTGAGTAGCCTATACAGTGTGAATATGCCTGAGGGAGGGTTCACCTCCCGGGTGGGACAGAGCTGCACAGCACAAGATGACATCATGCTACTGAGAGCGGTATGCAATTTAAAACTTAAACACTGTTTATTGCTGGAATTTTCCATTTAATATTTTGGGACTGCAGTTAACTGCAGGTAGCTGAATCTGTGCTATAAGACATTGAACCCTTGCCCCTCTTCAGCACTCAGAACCTTTGGAAATTACCCCAATTTTTCAGATGTCCCAGAATTAAAGGAACATCCCTCCTTGCCCTTGGTCCTCCTCCCCACCTCCCAGCCGTCTCCGGATCTCTGTAAATGGTCTCTGCTGGATTAGAATCGTGGTCTTGAGGCATTTCTGGTTCTCTTGCTCTCCGCTGCCCTGCACATGTGAAGAGCCCAAAGCCCAAACCATGGGGGCTGCGGGAGCCAGAGGCTGTTTCCCGACTATTTATGAGGTTTGAGGAACAGAGGCCCCTTTCTGGTGGGGGTGGACTGAAAGGGGCTTCTCAGTGCCCTGCATGAGGCTGAGTTGCCCGCTGATGAGGCTCCTTTGATCATTCTCTCTGGACTTGGAAATGAAGCTTAACTTCAGCCACTGGGAAAAAATAAAATAGCAAGAAGCATAAAGCCCCTGTGTAAATTCCACCCCAGCCCTCCCAAAACGGCCAGTCAGTTTTCACAGTAATTAGTCCAGAGGGTCTTAGTCAAAGACCCCTCCTTTAGCAACTGGCCACTTTTCACTTGTGAATAGATTTAATTTCCAGACTCTTGAGTGTTTTCTCGGAATTGACCTTCCCATGAAAAATATGCTTTGGAGACGTGAAATAACCAACAGAGAGCCTTAAATGAATTGCACTTCATCAAGCGGAAATAAACAATGCGCTTGAAATAGGCGCTACATGGGAAATGGAGGGCTGGGAGCTTCCCTGCGGACCAGGAGGGCGAGGTAAGGGACGCCACGCGGCTGAGCTTGTTCTTTCTACAGTGCCTTGGTTCACCAGGGAAATGTTACAAGCTAGATTATGTCTTCTGCTATGTGATGTGACATTTCCTGCTCTGTCCCTACCTTGGTTCTGTCTGAGTCATTCTCTTTCCCCCTGGGGAGTGATGGCTTTGCCTGGGAAGGGAGGTAGGGAGGGGCCCCACCCTCTGCCTCCTCCCTCCTGGGCCCCATCTGCTGAGGAATGAGCTCCAGAGGAGACATGGGGCAAAAGGGGGCCCAGGGATCCCAATTCCCCCTACCCAAACAAAATGTGTCAGGGTAGAGATAGATCACCAGAGACGAGAGAACTGAGAGGAAGCCCCTGCCCACCCATTCCTCGCACAAGGGGTCTGAGGAGGGGGCTCTGTTTCTCTAGATGCTCAGTTGCCAAGTGTTTGCCAAGGGCCAGCCTGTGCCCAGCTCTGAGCCAGGGCTGCAGATTTATGAAGAGCCAGAGCTCAGGAGACAAGGTTGGGGCACCCACAGCATCTGCTGCAATCTCTAGGAACATGGTTATGGACGGAGCATAACCATGGGCAGTGGGGGAGCCTCCACCCTTCAGCACCTCCTGCCTGGTGGCCAAGCCCCTCCTAGGTCTATAGCACACCCCACCATCTCCGCCTCTGAGCCCCAGGGCTGTTATTTCCTTAATGTGCCTGCTTTAATTATTATCTTCAAGGAGAGACTCAATCCGGAGATAAACACAAAAGACCTGCTGCTGACAGTGGAAGGCTCCTGCCTCCCTGGATGCAAACGGAGGGCCCGCTGCAGCCCAAGCATAACTTGGGCCTTAGAACCAGCAAACTCAGCTAAGTGCTGATACAGTGCAGTCCCGTGGAGACAAAAGTGTCCTCACACTGCTGCCAGGCCCTGCGTGTAGCTCTGGCACCCCCATGGCTGGGGAGTGGGCTGGGCTGGGCTTGGCTTTGCACTGTCCTGCCCATTGGCCCTCTGCTCTCTGCTCAGCTTTCCAGGCTCGGCTGCTGCTGTTGGTGGAATTGGGCATTTTATGTGCTTTGATAAGGCATCCCGGGCAGAGCTCTGGGAGGCTTGGCCTGGCTGTTCCTGCCTCTCTGGGGGAGCTCTGAGGAGGAGCTGGCTTTGAAGCAGCATGAGAAGCCTGCTAGTAAGATTTAACAGGCACGACCAGAATCCCAATACCACATCCCAGCAGGCACTAAGCAGGCCACAGATGTGTCACGGGCCCAGGTCAGCCACAATCTCAAGGGCTGTCATAAACTAAAGGCGCAGGGCTTGCTCAGCTGTGGAGGCCTGGGGTTGGGTTCCAAGAAAATACAGAGGCTTTGGAAATAACAGCCACTCTCACAGTCTGGACATGAGGGAACAGAGCAGGCTGGGCCCTGACAGGGTTTCCTGAACCCAAAGGAGAGCAGGCCATGGCCAGGGTCCAAGCTCTGTCACCTAAGAGCTCAGCTCTGCAACCACTGAGACCTGGCTTGCAATCCCAGCTCTTCCACCTCCTACCTGAAGGATCTTGGGAAAATGACCTGGCCTCTCTGAGACCCAGTTTCCGCAGCTGTATGATGGCTTCTGGGTACCTCCTATTTCAAGTTTATTTTCTCCATGTGAGGGCAGAGGTGAGGAAGCTCATGCCCTCATGGCATGGACTCTGGCTTCCCACGGGCATGGAGGACCCCCAAGCCCTGGACTGGGTGTCAGGAGGCCTTGGCTGGGGCACCTGCCCTGCCTGTGTCTGCTGTGTGGCACTAGACCTGAGGCACGGAACCCCTTGCCTGCTGCCCCCACAGACTTTTGAAGGGAAAAGGCCTGGCTCAGGGACGGAGGAGAATCGTGGCATCCTGGAGCTGGGGGAGACTTGAGGGCAATCCAGGCCCACCCACATCTCACAGGAGAGGAATCATCCAACACTCTCCCATCCTTAGGTGGTCCCCAGTCCCAGGGGTAACTAAGGGGCTGGGCAGGTTGGTCCAACCTGGTTCCCCCTGGCCGTTGAGACCCTCTGCTCCCTGCAACTGCTGCGACTCATCCTCTTCGCCTGCAGAGGCAGCTGGTGCTCTGTGAGGAAGACATTTTCTGGTACCAGAAAACTGTGGGAAAAAGCAGGAATCCTCCAGGGATGTTCCCCACATTGAATTATGCATGAAACAACCCAGCTTCCAGGTTTGCTGAGCTCACCCACCTTACTGCCCTGACCCTCTCCAGTCTCCACCACAATGAGATGACTTTTCCAATCAGCTTCGGCCCCTCTTGGGGTCACCTGAGTCAGATTGGCCGCTGCAGACATGGAAAGGGCCCTGCCAGGCTCCCCTGGCTGAACCGAGTGTTTCATGATCCTGGAGCACCAGAGGTAGTGGATGAGCCTTTGTCAACAGCTCACAGGGAATCTGGACAAGCAGGGTCCACCGGGAGAGATCCGAGCCCTGCTCGCTATCTTGGCCAGCAAGGCGAGGGCACAGCAGCAAGAAGGCAGGTGAACAGAACATTTATGCTCATCTTATGCTGGGTGCTGGCAACTGAGCAGCAAAAAGGCCATGTTGTAAACCAAAAAAAGCAACTGAGGCGCATCTCAATTTACATGTGTATTTTGCCAAGGTTGAGGGTGTGCTGGGGAAAATGAGACTCAAGCCACAGTAGGATCTGTGGTCTGAACTTTTTCCAAAGGGGATTTTAAGGGCTTCGATATTTAAGGGGAAAAAGCAAGCAGGAGGAGAAAGGAGGAAAGAACGAAAAAGAGGGACAGTGTGGTCACGTTCTTGCAGG
The DNA here is from genome assembly GCF_000001405.40 of Homo sapiens. Taxonomy (NCBI): domain Eukaryota; kingdom Metazoa; phylum Chordata; class Mammalia; order Primates; family Hominidae; genus Homo; species Homo sapiens. Next base: position 29,858,608 of record NC_000001.11, read on the forward strand.
GCCCTGATGAGCACTCACCAAATCCACACATTGCATGTGAAAAGGACAGGGTAGAGGAACAGTCCATTACGTATTTGTCTCTTGCTCAGAAAATCTGCACTTTCTATAAAATAAACATAGAATGGAGAAAGAAATCAAATATGTGTTCGTCTTGGGGTGGGTGGTGGCATGATTCCTAGTCTCCTCTTGGCTCACACCCATGAAAATAAGCTGTTATCATCATCAGGGAGAGGAAGGCCACCCGGGGAGACAAGTGGACTTCTATCTTGTAGCTATCTGTTTAGGAACACAGGAAACAGCCGTTTTTGCGTGACTCAGCTTCCAAGTTTAGCTTTTCCCTTTGGCATAGTGAGTTTGGGGTTCCGAGATTCTATTTTCCTTTCACAGTGTCCTTGTCTGGCTTCCAAAGAATTGAACTTAGTTCTCTGGTATTTTAAGGGGAAACATGAGTTCTAAAAGTATTATTTCTTATTTATAGGTGAGGAAACTGGGATTCACAGAGGTTGGGTAACCTGACTTAAGCCTGACATCTAGTAAGTGGCAGAGTGGGATGCAGAGCAAAGTGGGCTGTCTCCCGAGCTTATGCACCTCCCACTGTGAGATGCTGCCCAGGTCCCTGCACCTGCAGGATTAGGGAGATGTGCCTGTGAGGCACTGCCCGGGCCCCAGCACCTGCAAGACAGGGAGATGTACCTGTGAGACCCTGCCCAGGCCCCAGGACCTGCGCGATAGTGAGATGTACCTGTGAGGCACTGCCCGGGTCCCAGGACCTGCGTGATAGTGAGATGTACCTGGGAGGCACTGCCCGGGTCCCAGGACCTGCGGGACAGGGAGATGCACCCTGTGTGGGGAGCTGTTCGGCCCTGATGTAGGCTAAGGCATGTTATTGCAGAGGCTGCAGCAGCCCCTCCATTTACAACCGGGGAGGCAGGGGCCTTCCATTATCAGCAACAGGTCTTTTGTGTTTATCTCCTGATTGAGCCTCTCCTTGAAGATAATAATTAAAGCAGGCACATAAATGGGTTAAGGGGGTAACAGCCCTGGGGCTCAGAGCGGGAGAAGGCAGGGTATGGTGTAAACCTAGGATGAGCTTGGCCACCAGGCAGGAGATGCTGAGGGATGGAGGTTCCCCCACTGCCTAGGGCACTGCTTATGGGGAGGAGAGACCCCCAGTCTCATCCCTCAACTTTCCCTGGGGAGGATAGGAGGGGAGCAGGGGAGGGAGTCCTGGACGAGGAGTCAGGCCTACAGGGCTTCCCATCCTGGCCTCACCACTTCCCTGCTCTGTGACTTTGGACAAGTCACCTCTCCTCTCTGGGCTCTTTCCTCATCTGTAGGTGGGGATAGGGCTTTCATCAGCCCCTCCCTCTCAGGGTGGTTATGGGGATGAGCCCTACAGGCTGAACAAATGGACACTGGGAGGGGAGGGGCAGTGAGTGCAGTGGTCAGGGGCAGAGAGCTGGAGGCCATCACAGATCTGGGACTTAGAGCCAAACTGTGAGTTCATGCAAATTCTTCAATTTGGGCACAGTATTCTCACCACTGAGATCTTCATCCAAAGCTTTTAGCCTCCATAAATCATTTTTAATAACATACCACCTTGTAATTACTGCAGAGCCTCAAGAGAATAAGATGCACTTCAGACATCATGAACTAATTATTGTCAGGCAAGTCAGTCACAATCTGGGAGCAGGGCTGCATTTCATTCGGAGTCTTTGATTGCTCCTGGGCACTACCCTGGGGCTCTGGGTGACATTTACTCAGCAGAGCTCAGAGCTTATTACAGGTGTGTGTGTGAACAATGGCCAGGAAGGATTTATAGATGGGGAGGAGATTGCAGCTGGGGTTGTACCTGGAGGTTACACATCTCTGCAGACAAGGGCAGTGGGAGGGAGGGGACCTATGGCATCCCTTTGCTCTTTCCACAGGGGCCCGTAGGGTTCCTTAGGGTCATGTGGGTGACCTTGAGGTGGTGACTTAACCTTTCAGATCCTCAGTTCCTCTACCTGAAGAGGTAAGAAGAGGAAATAATAGCCCCAGGGCTCTTGGAGAAGAAGCAGCAGAGGGGTGTGGGCATGTGTAGACCTAGAAGGAAGGGCTTGGCTAACAAACCAATAAACTCTTCCTGACAGGGTAGTTGTGAGGGTCACAGGGTCAGGGTGATGGGAAGCTGTCAGCATGATGCCTGGTAGCAGGTGCTCAAATCTGTCAGTGCTGTTGACTTGAGTTGGGTTATTGAACTGGGGTGGGGCGTGATGTTGATGCAGGATTTTTCTTGGTCACTTTGCCAGCTGGGGACCTCTGGCTGGTGACGACCTTACTTGGGTCTTGCTTGGGCACACTACCTACTGCAGGAGGTGGTCCACCCATTTGGCCTGCCCTGGCCACACCTGGTTTGTGCATCAGCTCTGCCCACAGCTGGGCTGGGTGTGCCCCAGCCTGCCTGTGTTACAGCTCCTACCCACATTCAGTGGTTCCCAGATTCTTGTCCCCTGTCTAAGAAGAATGAGGATACACTGACAGTTGAAGGGTGAGGGGTGGAGAATAATTTTATTGAGTGACAGAACAGCTCTCAGGAGAGACAGGATGTGGGAGTGGTTCCCCACCTGAAGTTGGGTGGCTTCTTTCCCAGTGTGGCTGAGTCTGGGGCTTTTATGGACTCAGAATAGGGGAGTACATGCTGATTGCTTTGTGAGTACGCAAAAAAGGTTAAAACAAAAGCACTACTCAAAGGTGGGCATGACAGTGTAAAAAAACAATTAGGAAAGGACAGGTATATGTAAAATAGATGAAGGGTGGGGACCAATAAGAGGAAAGCATGCCAAATGGGAAGACAGGTTCTCAATCCAGTCTGTGGATTTGACTTGCAGGTTGGCTTTCAGGCTTTAAATTGTCTTTGGCTTGGGGTGAGGTTTCATCAGGGACCTGCCCCTATCTGCCTAGGCATTTGACTGCCTCCTGCCACTATCAGTGTGGCACCCCATGAGGGCTGCAATGGGGCAGTGGCAGAGGGATGGGTGGAGGTCAGGGTGCAGGTGAGGAACGACACATTGGAGAAAGAAGTGGAGGTTGGGATGGGTGGGTGCCTGGGAGTGTTTGGTGTGCCATGGACATTTCACAGCAGGATGTGAGATCTCTGCTTAGGGTCAACTCTTGCAAGAATCATGGAGGACACAAGGAGAAAGGGGTGGGGAGGAAACAGCTCATCTTTGGGGAAGAACATGCAGAATAGAAAAAGCAACTAGAATCAGAGTCAGGAGATGTGGGTTCTGGACCAGCCTCTATTGCTAAATTACTGTGTGACCTGGGGCAAGTCACTCACCCTCTCTGCAGTTGGTCTGCATATCTGAGAATGAGAAGATTTAACTATAGGATCTTTAAGACTCCTCTCAGCTCAGACCTTAACTCTATGATTCTGTATGATGCTTTCCTCACCCCCCTGCTAAAACCAGCCTCCTGACAGAGGAAGGCAAGTCATCAGTCACAGTGCTGGCTCAGCAGCTCCCCAGGTTACTGTGTGGTCTGTAACAGGGCTGCTTGGGTCATGTGAGTCTGGGGCTAATGTGCCCTTGTCTATGGAAATGACTTAATTGCTTGATCTTCCTTACAGGAGGAAGAAAAAGGGGACATGGGGCAGTGGGAGATGAACTTGATTTACATTCCTGGAGGAAAAGAGGAACAGGGCAGCCATCAGGCATTTTTATTGCCACGGGGCTTATTGATTTGTACTACTGAATAGCTCAGGAATGGGGTGGCTTTCAGGTGTAGCCTGACTCAGGTACTCAAATGATGCCATCAGGAGATGCTTCTTCCTTCTCTATATTTTGGCACCACTCCTCTATGCAAAGCCAGTCTTGGGCACCTTCTTCCTGGTTTTCAGATGGTTTCTAGCCCAACTTGAGTCCCACAGGGAACAGAGAGCCTCCCTGCCTCCTGACAAAGACTCTATCCTTGACAAGATTTTAGTCAATCTCCTCTGAGCCCTCTTCTCCACTAGGCCTCCACTTTGGCTTGTGTTTAGCAACAACCCCCCTACCCTTGATATCTAATCAAGTTCCTCTTAGTAATTTTGCACCCATTCCCTCACTCTGTCCATTGGCTATAAATCCCCAGCTGCCTTTGCTGTATTTGGAGTTGAGTTTAGTCTCTCTCCCCTAATGCAACAGCCTTGAATAAAAAGTCTTCCTTGTCATTTTTAACAAGTGTCAGAAGAATTTTTCTTTAACACCCATTTACTAATTAAAATTCCTGGGCCCAGCTCCCATTGGTTCCAAAGGCCATAGGCCCATCCCTGCACCAACTACAAAGGCCAAAGGCATGGAATGTACTCATTAGTTTAATTCAATCAGGGCCCAATACTGGAGCTGGTGGGGTTAACCCCACTCAAGTCATATGGGCTGAGAATAAAGGTTGGAAGTTTCACAAAGAAAATTCTGGATACTACTTTACAAGCAAAAGAGTACAAGGCAGTGGGTAGCAAAAGCCCACAGATGTCTTCTGCTGAGTAGGGGTGGGGAGGGAGGCGGCAAGAAAAACAAACACATTATCAGAAACCAAAGACAGGAGGGAAAAACACCTGATTAGTATTCATAGCAGATCTCATTTTATTCTCCACAAAAACTAATCACTTTTAGTTATTCTTATCCTAAGTCTAGAATCCTAAAGGTTTAGAGCTGGAAGTACCTTCAAAATTCCTTGGTCTAGCACCCAGATCTTGGTTTCTAATACTATTCTCCAATAAAAGGAATCCTAGATTCTTAGGGAAATGGCAGATTCTATGTCTGGGAAAGAGGAGATAAAAGATGAGCCTGGAGCGTCTTGTAACGGTGCCAGAAAGTAAAGAAGTGCTCAAAAAACAAAATGATGGGGGCCACAGCAAAGGGTCAGAGGAATCCGAGAGAGCTCCCAAAGATGGGACAATTTCCCAAAGATGGAACATAAATAATGCAGTACTGGATTAAAATATAAAGTATAAAATAAATATCCATGAATCCATACTGACATAAATAAATAATTGAATAAATAAATAAATGTGAGAAAAAGGACAAATCTTCCTTATAGAAGGCTTTCAAATAATTTATACTGCCCCCTCTAGGGGGTGGAGGTTAATTCTCTAACCTTTTGTGTGTGGGCCTTACTTAATGATTCGCTTGCAAATAATAAAGTGTGGGAAGGGAAGGGGTGGGGCACCCTATAGTGGAGAAATTCTGCAAACCTTAACCAAGTGATGGAGTTTCACATCGCCAATGATAAGTCGTGGATAGCATGCTCACCTGATACGATGTAATAAGAAAGGCACTTCATCTCTGTTGGATTCTTCCCTCAAACCCAGAACCCCAGTCTAATCATAAAGAAAACATCAGGCAACCCCAAATTAAGGAGATTTCTGCAAAATACCTTATCAGTAATCTTCAAGACTGCCAAGGTCATGAAAAGCAAGGCAAGACAGTCACAGTTAAGGGGGAGGTAAGGACATAAGACGACTAAATGTAATGCGGTATCCTGTTGGGAGTTGGGAACAGAAAAGAGATATATAAGGGGAAAAACTAGTAAAAATACAATAAAGTCAGGGGTTTAGTTAATAGATATCTTAGTTTTAACAAATGAGCCTTAGTTAACTAAGAGGTAAACATTAAGGAGAGCTGGAAAAGGAATACAAGGGACTTCTCTGTACCCTTCTTGTAAATTTCCCATAAATCTACACTCTCCTAAAATTAAAAAAAAAAATTATGTAAAAAACTCTTGGTTCAATACCCTCATTTAACATATGAACAAAGAGAAACCCAGAGAGGTTGCCTGATTGCAGAAAGGTCTCATGGTGCATCAGTGGAAGACCCAGGAATGACACTCAGCCCAGAATGATGGAAACCTGACCAACAGAGGCCTAATTAAATTAGGGGTTTATTTTTTTCACCTAAAGGGGCATCTGGTAGTGGCCGCTCCTGAAGGTCCAGCAGCTCCAAGATGCCATCTTGGACGAGGGCCAGCCTCCTCCCCTATTTCTTCTTGGTGGCCTCAGCATGTGTGGATGCATTGCAGTCACAGCGTGGTGGCTGCCCCTCCCCACTGGGCCTCGAGTCCACTGCCAGGACTGGCAGCCATGGGTCCACAACCAAGTCCAGCAGGTTCCCATCTCTTCCGGGGAGCTTTCCCAGAATGCCCTGTGGCAACCTCCACTCCCCTCTCATTGGTTGGAGGTGTGTCACATGACTGCCTAAAGTAGGGGTGGAGAAATGTAGTGTTTTCCCATTTCATTGGCCAGAGCTGTGTCACATGACTGCTGCAGCCAGGTGGGAAATGTAATGTTTTTAAGCAGAGGAAATTGTTCCCAATGAAACAGGGGTTCTGCTGGAAAAAAAGTAAAAGAAGGTTAATGTGAGTGCCACAGTCTCTGTCCTGATACTTGACATCTCATTTTCATGCTTGCTACCTCATTGGATCCACTCACAGTCTTGTTGGCTGTCCTGAGCAGGCAGTGAGAGGTTGAGTGCATGGCAGGGGCCCCACAGTGAAGTACTAGCTGAGCTAGTACTCTGGGGCTAGCCCCAGAGCACCCAATTGGTCTCCAAAATCTGTGCTGTTGCCTTCTTTGTCTGCCTCTCTCTTCTATTTTAATTCTCTGCCTTTCTGGCTTCTCTGACCAGACCAGGTCAGCACATTCCTGCAGCCTGGAGAGGAGGGGCAGTGGTTTATCACTTATATTGCTGACACCACTTTCAAGTTGAATTTCACTTCAAACAAACCTGCTGTTGAAAGTGTCACATTCCTACATTGCTAGTGGGGAGGTTTTGAAGTAGTCTTTTTGGAGGACGCTTGAGCAGCATCAATCACAATTCAAAATGCACCTATCTTTTAACCCAGCAATTTTATTCTAAACGTTGGTGATTCTGAAAAGCTTAAGGATATGCATTTATGCAAGGAGGTTCTCTACAGCGTTATTTGTAATAGCAAAAAGCAAAAAGAACATATCGGAGACTATCTAAATGTCCAACAGGAGATTCGTTAAATAAATAATGAAGCATCCATACTATTGAATACTAAACAGACATTAAAAAGATCGAATGTGTTCTCTATGCACTAACATGAGAGGATCTCCATGACATTTTTGAATAGAGAAAACGTTGCTGAAAAATATGAACAGCACGATGCGCAAAATTTCTATTCATTTTGGTTTGTGCACAAATAAATATCTGGAAGGATGTGCACCTTGTTAGGATACCCTTGGGAAAATCTATCATAGGTCTGAGACTCATTCATCTTTATCTGAGGCCATTTGTGTGTAAGATCCCATCCTTTCTTGTTTGCTCAAGAACATCACCCTAGCAACCCTCCCTTCCCTCTTGTACTATCAAAGTTCTCCTCTTCACTGGATGACTATCATCAGTGTGCAAACATGCCGCTATTTATTTCTACAACCACAAATAATAAAACATACAATACGATAATAAATAAAACCCTCTGCTACAAACACATTGCTTTGCTTTGCTTATCTTTACAGTCAAATCCCTTGAAAGCACTGTCTATAATCACCATCTCCTACTTCTTGCCTTCCATTTTCTATTAAAACACTCATATCAGGATTTCATCCTCTTCTCTCTATCCAAAACTGCTCTTGTGAAAGTGAAGAGCGACCTCTACACCGTCACATTCAGTGACCAGTTTCAGTTGTCATCTTACTCAACCCATCCCTCCCCTCTCCTTGAAACTCCCTCTCCCCTCTGCTCCCAGAATCCCCACCCCCACTCTTAGTTTTCCTCCTACCTCCCTAGCTGTCCCTCCTTGGTTTCCTTTGCTGGTTCCTCCTTGGCTCCACAACTTGTAAACCTTGTGCTATACACAGGCTCCATCCATGATCCTCTTCTTATCCTCCCTCACTTCCCTGGGGGCCTCACCAGACTCATGGCCTTGACAAGCTGTTCATATGCTGATGGATCCTAAATTTACATCTCAGCCTGCACCTTTTCCTAAAGTGCAGCCTTGTACCTTCAACTGCCTACTGAACATTTTCACCTGGGTGTCCAACAGGCATCTCAAGCTTCACATATCCCAACTGAAATTCCATTCTCTAGTCCTCTCGCTTCCCAACTTACTGCTCCTACCATCTCCCTCATCTCAGTTCAGGCAACTCCCTCATCCTCCCAGACTAGAAACCTGGGGGTGTGCTTGAATCCTCTCTTTCTCTCACACCATGTCACATCTATCAGCAAGCCTGTTATCTCTTTTTCGAAACATTTCCACAACTGACCACTTCTCATCACCTCCTCAGCTGCCTCCCTGGCTGCCCTCCCAGTCCCCATCCTCTCTCTCCTGAATGATTGCAGCAGCCTCCTAACTGCTCTTCCTACTGCCTCCATTTCCCCTAAGAGCCAGCTTCTCACAGTGTAGCCAGAGTAGCCCTGTGTGGTTCTAGTGAACTTGTCAGGTCTTTTCCATCATCTGCTCAGAAAATGTCAATCATCCCATCCCAATCAGGGAAGAATCCAGCATCCTTACAATCGACCAGCTGAGTCTCCCTCCCCCAACGCCACTTGCCAACCTCATTCCTGCTACTCTCCCCCTGCTTTCTTCACTCCAGCCATGCTGGTCTCATGCTTCTCCTTGAACATCCCAGGCCTGTCCTGCCCAAGGGCCTTCACACTTGCTGCTCCCCTGCCTGGGGCCCCCCTCCCCAGACATCCTTGGGGCTTGCTCCCTAGTCTTTAGTCTTTGCTCAAAAATTCTTCTCAAAGAAGTTTTCCTCACCAACGTTATTTCAGAGGCCTTATTCCAAGATCCCTACGGCCACTGCCTTTCCCCTTTCCTGGTTTGACTTTTCTTCCACTTGCCATCTTCTTACCTACTGTGTCACTGACTCATTGTTCTTTGTAAGTTCAGCGTGCACAGGGAATTTTGTGTGCTTTGTTCACTGATGTATCCCAAACACCAAGCACAATGCTTCAATATTTGTTGAGTGAATGGAAGAATGAAGGTTACCATTTTCTGTCTTCTGAGACACAGATGGGACAAGGCTGTGGACAAAGGCTCTGGTTATCTACAGCTGCCTACCAAGCCAGTCCAAAATTAGTGGGCTTAAAACAACAATAATGATTTTATTTTTTTCTCATGGTTTCTGTGTGTCAGCAATTCAGGAGAGGCTTAGCTGGGTGAATCTGGGTCGAGGCCCCTTGTGAGGATGCAGTCAGATGGTAGTTGGAGCTGGAATGTCAGCGGCATCTGGGAACTGGTCAGGCAGTCACAGGGCTTCTCCGTGTGGCTCCTCCATGTAGGCTACTATGGGCTTCCTCACAGAACAGTGGCTTCAGAGCCCTCAGAATCTTACACAGAAGCCTTGAGCTCCAGCTTGACTATTCCTGAGGACAAGAAGAACCTTTCTTATTTTTTTGTAGCTTAGTCCTGGAAGTCATACAGTGTTACTTCTGGTAGAGTCTATTGATTATCCAGTCACTAAGATCATCCCAAGTTCAAGAGAGGGGACAGAGACCCCCACCTCTTCATGAGAGAAGCATCAGAGAATGTGTGGGCCTGCTTTTAAATCACTATTATCCATCCCCTGGCCACAAATTATTTTTTCTTCTCACATACAAAATATAGACAGTCTTGCAAGTCTCATCGATTATGGCTTCAGGCTTAAGATGTAGGATCACATCATGTATAATAAATCAGGTCCAGGTCAGACTGGGAATCCTCAGATGCAGTTCCTCTGGGACAATCAATGTGAAGTCATGTGAGCTGAAGAGTCAAGCTACCTGTGCCCTCTTACATCCAACATGCAAGTGAGGGATTGGCATATGACAGCTCCTATAGACATTCTCATATAAAAGAGGGAAAATGAGAGCCACTTGTCTACACCAATTCAGAAATCAAGCTGAGTGCATGCGGGCAGTTCCCTGATAAGATCCTACTTCCTGGAATTTGTTTCTGATGGCTTTGCCTGCTGCATCTTCCTTCCATAGGAACTGGTGAAACTGAGGGGTTAATTTGATCAGGTCTGCCTGCCCCACTTGCTTTTGGTTGCTAGCTTACCCCTCCCGCCACCATTTTTCATGAAGCTGAGAGCTGCGGTGGCTGAAGTCCTTGCCGCTGAACACTGAATCTTCACCTGCATTTGCTACTTTATAGATAACATTCATTTGTCACCATGGTCATGGTCGCTTCAGTTGTTTTTCAAGTTCCAACCAGTTCAAACTGGCTGAAACCACCAACCCTTCAACTGGGCCTGCAATGTGTCCAAGAGTTGGCCTTTTGATGTTGGAGGGCCCAACACTCCACCCTCAGATCATGCTAATGCTGCTATTTTCTATACATATGTCCTATGAAATGCCATGAACCCCGAGTATGCATGAACAGAACGAACCTGTTGCTTCATTTTTCCCCAATGCCAATCACCTTTTCCCAAGCCTTAGACTACCCTACTTCCCTAAGCCATAAATATCTCTAAGGCTTATCTTCAGGGAGGTGGATTTGAGAGCTGTTCTTCCACCTCCTCGCTCTGCAGCCTTGTGAATAAATCTTTTGTCTTTCACAAAACCTATGTCACAGTGATTGATTTACTGCACACAGCCAGAATGAACCTGGACCTGGCCGATAACGCCAGCCCTTATTTGCAGCGAAGTATTTTTTTTAAAACTAACTTTCTGCTCGTAATAGTTCAGGGTTCCAATGATAAGCCACAATTACTTTAAAAACTTTGAGGGTTTCTTATGAATTAATCTAGAATTGACTCCATTAGGTGAAAGCTATACTCAGAAATCTCTTTGAGATAAGCCCTTCTCTATTCTGAGACTGTCACAGACAAATATTCTGAGACTCTTAGAAGCCCCATTAACAGAAAAAATCTGCAAGGTCCACCCTCCATATCCTTAGAAAGTCTTTTAGTTTTATAAGTTCTTTGAGGCACCACCTTAGACATTCTGAGGTCTTAGGAAAGAATTCAATCCTCTTGGCTTTTGTCCTTGGCCTGAGGATCTTATTGGAGAATCATTTGCCATTTGAATATGAGTGAGAGACTTTCATTTTCAAGCTCAACAAGTTCTAGCTCATTTACATAGTCATTCAATCTTTAGCTTATTTCTCTCCTCTTGCATTTTGTCATAGGCAGTGCAAGAAGCCATGTGGCAATTTCATAATTCTTCCTGGAAATCTCCTGAGGTAGATCATCTTGTTCATTAGAATATTTTTCTATGTTCCATGTTATATAAGGCCACACTGTTGCCAATCATTTCATCATTAATAACAAAATCTTCTCTTATCCTGCTTCAAAAACTACTTTCCTTACTTTGCTTTAAGTCATCACTGATGACCTGCTTTGGGCCCTTCAGATTTCTGCCTGTTGCCAGATCCAGAAGACAATGTCTAAAGCTTTGTCTTTTTGTTACAACAGCACCTCACTCCTTGTACTAAATTCTGGTCTTGTTATAGGTTGCTGAGAAACCAATCATTCCAAAAAGTACGGAGTTAAAGCAATAACTATTATTTTATTATTCTTCACCCTTTCTGTATGACTTTGACTAGGTCATGGCTGGGTGATTGTGGCTCAGCGTCCCTCATGAGGTTGCATTTGGACTGTGGCTACAGCCAGAATGGTTGTGGGATGGGAGCCTCTGTGGACCGACCAGGTAGCTCTCTTTTCCACACTGTAGTCTCAAAGCTTCTTCATGTGGTTTCTCTGAGTGAGAAGAGTTTGGACTTCCTCACCATGATGGTCTCACAGTAGTCAGAGTATTTATACGGCAGCTCAAGGCTCCAGCATGAGTATTCCCAGGACCAATAAAAGCCTCACTGTCTTTTATGACCTAGCCCTGGATGTTACATAGTGTCACTTGTGCTATAGTCTGTTAAATGACTAGTCACTGAGATCACTCCAGATTTGAGGAAAGGTGACAGAGGCCCTATCTCTCTGATGGATGAGTGTCAAAGAATTTGTAGACATGAATATTTTTTTCAGAAATTTTTTTTTGGAAATACCTGCCCTATTCTAGCCACACCAAAGGGAAAACCACACACTCCCATGATATCAACAGGGAAAGCAGGGAGATGATTTTCCACTACCCTCTAACCTGGAAGGAGGCAGTGGTGCTCAAATGTCCCTGGTGGTGGTGTCTGCAGTGCCCGGTGGTGAGCTGAGCCTCACCTCTACCCATCCAGCATCAATATGATTGAGCCAGGTAGTGTGAGGCAAGGCTAATCAGCCCTGCACATGCCCCCTCCCACCCTGGTCTCAGCAGGGAACAGCTGGGAGCTGGACCTCCACACACTGGGCAGCGATGAGATTGAGTGAGGGAGCATGAGGCAGAGCTTGTAAGCACTCTGGTCTCCCCCACCCACCCCGGTATCAGTGAGGCTCAGTGAAGAGCTGAGTCTCCAACCTCATCTGGCATCAATGACATGGAACAAGGTGGTGGGAAGCAAAACTGGTTGGCACGCTGCTTCCCTCTCTCCATTTCCCTCGTGTCAATAGGACCCAGTAGAAGGGACATTATGTGACTTCCAGGGCTGTGTCATAAAAGACAAGGAAGATTTTGCCTGGTTCTTGGGAACACTCACACTGCAACCTTGAGTTGACATCAATGAGGCAGAATGGGGTGGTGCTGGGAGGCAGGATTATTTGCCACCCCACTCTCCTTGCCCCGTTGTCTGTGAGGCTCAGCAGGGATCCGAGCCTACACCTGGCATCAACAAGGTGTAGTGAGATTAATTGGAGGAGAGACTGGCCCTTGCTTTCCCATCTCCTCTCCTCTGGTGTCAGCAGAGACCAGCAAGGATTTGAGCTTACATCCACACTTGGAGACAAGTCAGTGCAAGTTGGTGCCCCTCTTTCACTAACAAGGCATCAGATGTGCCAGTAGGGGAGCTGAGCTCCCCCACTACCCATCTAGAACAAACAGTGTTAGTAGGCATTCCACTTTTTTTTTTTTTTTAATGGAGTCTCACTCTGTCACCCAGGCTGGAGTGTAGTGGCAGAATCTAGGCTCACCGCAACCTCCGCCTCCCGGGTTCAAGTGATTCTCCTGCCTCAGCCTCCCAGGTAGCTGGGACTACAGGCACACATCAAGGCATGCGCCACTATGCCCAGCTAATTTTTGTATAAATGTTTTAGTAGAGACAGGGTTTCACCATGTTGGCCAGGCTGGTCTCAAACTCCTCAAGTGATCTGCTTGCCTTGGCCTCCCAAAGTGCTGGGATTACAGGCGTGAGCCACCATACCTGGCTGGCACTCCACTTTTGCCAACGTGGTGCTGAAGCACGGCAGGAGGCTGATCAGATGTCCCCGCCCAGCCCTTACACTGCATCTCAGTAAGGGACTGCTTGCTAGAAAAGAGGATCAAGTGGTATCCTGAGTTTCATAATATAATGTTCAAAATGTTCAGGATATAATAAACATTATTTGTTGTGCCCAGATCCAGGAAATTCACAACATGAATTAGAAGAAAGTCAGTGGTTGCCGACACTGAGATAAATCAGATGTTGGAATTTGGTGATGGGCTTTTGGAGCAGCCATTATATGGATGATTCAACAAGAAATTATGAGCTCTCAAGAAGCAAGTGAGGAAATAGATCATCATAGCGAGGAATAAAATGTATTTAAAAAGAACAATGGAAATTACAGAATTGAAAGATAATATAGTAACAAAGTAAAGATTTGTTGGATGGGCTTACCAGTAGAGTGAAGATGGCAAAACAGTGAAACAGTGAATTGGAGGACAGATCAATAGAATTTACCAATCTGAACAACAAAGAAAAAAGAGATGAATAAAATAAATAAACTCTCAGGGACCTGTGGGGTAATGGTTGAAAACATCCCAAATGATATAGATAGATTGACAGCAAGAGAATGGAAAAAGACATATAAGGCAAAAACTCATTGAAATAAAAGGCAGGGGTGGCTATAATAATATCAGGCAAAGGGGACTTCAGAGCAAATAAAATCACTGGAGACAAAGAGGGACATTTTACAATGGCAAAGGGTAATCCAGTGAGGGCCCCAAACAGTAGAGGCTTAAACACATGAAGTAAAAGTTGACAGAACTGAAAGAAAAAAAAATAAACAAATCTACAATTGAAGATGGAGAGATCAACACCCTACTCTCAGCAATTGACATAACTACTATAAAGAAAACAAACAAAAATATAAAAGAGCTCAACAATACCATCAACCAACAGGATCTAACTGACACATACAGAACATTATACCCAACAACAGTAGAATATATATTTTTTTCAGGCACTCATGAGATAGTCACCAATATAGACCATATCCTGGGCCATAAACCCAAACTCAAATCCTATGATTTCTGTGTGTTTTCTGACCTTAATTGAATCAAACTAGAATAACAATAACAGAAAGACAAGAGGAAAAGCTCCAAACACTTGGGAATTAAACAATATACATCCTAATAATGTATGAGTCAAAGAGAGTGTCCTACAGAAAAAATAATTAGAATTAAATAAAAATGAACATACAATATATCAAAATATGTTGGATGCAGCTAGAATAGTGTTGAAAGGGAAATTTATAGCACTAAATGCTCAAAGTAGGAAAGAGAAACTTCTTAAATATCAAAAAACTAAAAAGAAAAGGAAAAAATATACTGAGAGATTGAAAGCAAATGGACGGAAAAAGTATAACTAGTTCTATAACTGATCCTTTAAAAAATTAATTCATAATTTAAAAGCCCTCTCCAAAAGAAATCTCCAGTACTATATGGTTTGATTTGAGAATTCTACCAAATCATTCTACCAAATGTTTAAAGAATTAACACCAATTTCACACAATCTCTTGCGGAAAACAGAAGAGGAGAGGGCACATTTGAACTCATTTATGAGCTAATATTACCCTGATACCAAAACACATAAACACCCTACAAAAAGAAAGCTACAGACTAATATCTCTCTTGAACTTAGATGCAAAAATCCTCAATACAGTGTTCGCAAGTCGAATCCAGCAATGTATAAAAAATAATTATAAACTTTGACCATGTAGGATAAATTACAGGTGTGCAAGGCTGGTTCAATATTCAGAAATCAAACAATATAATCTACCATATTAACATGTTAAGGAAGAAACATTATATAATCATATCAATCGATGGAGTGAAAACATTTGCCAAGGTCAGCATGACAAAAATTCTCAGCACACTAGGAATGGAACGGAATTTCCTTAAGGTAATAAGAACATCTACCAAAAAAACAAAATCAACAACCACAACAACAACAACAACAAATTCCTTACATTATAACTAACATTGTATTGATGGTGAAAGACTTCACGTGTAATGGGACTTAATGTCGCATTACAAGCAGGAACAAGTCAAGGATGCGTGCTCTCACCACTCTTAGCTGACATGGTACTGGAAATTCTAGACAGTGCAGTAGTTCAGGTGTGATGGCTCACGCCTGTAATCCCAGCATTTTGGAAGGCCGAGGTGGGTGGATCACCTGAGGTCAGGAGTTCAAGACCAGCCTGGCCAACATGGTGAAACCCCATCTCTACTAAAAATACAAAAATTAGCTGGGTGTGGTGGCAAGTGCCTGTAATCCCAGCTACTTGGGAGGCTGAGGCAGGAGAATTGCTTGAACTGGTAGGTGAAGGTTGCAGTGAGCCAAGACCACGCCACTGCACTCCAACCTGGGTGACAGAGCGAGACTCTGTCTCAAAATAATAATAGTAATAATAATAATAATGATAGTAATGATAATAAAAAATAGCTCAATAAGGCAAGGCAAGGAAACAAAAGGCATACAGACTGAAAAGGAAGAAATAAAACCGTCCTTATTTGTGGAAGACACGATTATCTACGTTAAGAACCCCAAGGAATCTATAAAACAAAACGAAACAAAAAACCTCTATAAGTAATAAGTGGAGTTAAGCAAGTTCACAGTATACAAGACAAGATCAACACAGAAAACTCAATCACAGTTCTATATATTCATAATAAAGACATGGAAACCAAAATTAAAAACACAATGTCATTTACAACTGCCCAAAAGAAAATTAAATTCTCAGCTATAAATGTAACAAAGCATGTATATAATCTTGCATGTTGAAAATTACAAAATGCTGATGAAATAAATCAAGGAAGACCTAAATAAATGGAAAGACATACAATGCTTAGTTTGGAAGACTTGTCATAGTAAAGATGCTAACTAAGACAATGTTAAAAAAAGAATAAAGTGGGAAAATCACTATACTTGACATTAGGCTTACTGTATACCTAGGGTAATCAAGGCAGCATGGTGTCGGTGAACATATACACAAATATCAGTGAAACAAAATAGAGAACCCAGATATAGACCCATGCATATATATCCAACTGATTTCTGACAAAAGTACAAAAATAATTCAATAAGAAACATAGTTTTCTGGGTGAGGAGGCATGCACCTGTGGTCTCAGCTACTCCGAGTCAGCCATGATTGCACCACTGCACTCCAGCCTGGGCGACAGAGTGAGGCTGTGTCTCAAAAGAAGGAAGAAAGTTTTTTAAACAAATGGTGCTGGAGAAATTGGACATCAATAAGCCAAATAGGTAAACAAACCTCAACCTAAACCTCTAATGGATCCATTAACTCAAAATGGATCACAGACTTAAATGTGAAACATAAAACTATAAAAGTTTTAGGAAAAAAAATAGAAGAAAATCCTCTGGACCTAGGACCAGGTGAAAAGGTCAAAAAGATTTGACATCAAAAGAACAATCCATAAAAGGAAAATTTGATAAACTGGACATCATCAATTTAAAAACTTTTACTCTGCAAAAGATTGGTGGAAAGGATTAAAAGACAAACCTCTGACTGGGAGAAAGTATTTGCAAAGCACTCATCTGACAAAGGGCTTTTATCTAACCTGTAAATAGAATTCTCAAAACTCAAGAGTGTAAAAAAAAATAATAATAATCCAAATAAATCTAGTTTTAAAAAGGGTGAAGGGCATTGAGAGACTGAATATACAAATGGACAATGGCCAGGCCATATGTAAAAATAGAACTTTGGCCCACAACCTGCAGCAACCTGCCCAGGAAGCCTGCAACAAACAACTCAGGAAGCCAGCCGGCCATTAGTCAGACTTGCAGGAAGCCAAATTGCTATCTCTAGTGACAATCCAGGAAGCTAAACAATCACTTCTGCAACATTTGGCCCAAAAGGGCCAGGACTTGATTAGAAACTGACAGCTTCCCTAATTTTTGTCCCTGCCTCCATCATCATAGAACCTACCAGAGTGACTCAAATGTGCTCTCCTAACCAATCACATAGGATTCCTTGTTCCTAGTTTGCCTGTCTACAGCTTTCCCATGCCAGGAGCCTCCAATCAGGATAAACCTGAAGCCTTCCCATTTTCCACTACAAGCCTCTCCACTCCTCTGCCTGCCTTTGAGTCTCTGCCAAAATGCAAGTGATGGTGGCTGACTCCGTTGCTCTAGCAAGCTCAGAATAAATAGCCTTTGCTTTTCTCATTTGTTGATCTTTGTTTATTTTCACAACATGAAGAGACACATTTCACTGAGGAGTATATCAGAGCTGGTGCACTCCAGATGAAAAATAAGCACATGAAAAGATGTTCAACATCATCAGCCATTAAGAAAATATAAAGTAAAACCACAGTGAGATATTACTCCACATCTATCAGATTGGCTAAAATAAAAAAGTAGTGACAATAGGAAACGTTAGTGAGTTTGTGAAGAAGTGGATTACTTCATTCATTGCATTTAAAGTGAGGCAGTCTGGAAAAGTTTGTAAAATGATATAGTCACTCTGTCTATAAAATGATACAGTTACTCTGTCTGTAAAATGATACAGTCACTCTGGCAGTTTCTCACAAAAGTAAACCGATCAATGCATAACCTTGTTTTATGGTTATTTCTGTTGAAACACCACTTACTTAATATTATACAGTATTGATACGGACAGGAGGTGGTGAAATACTGGGTAGAAGAAGGCGGTTCCTTGGCAAAGGCCCCACCCTCAAGCATGGAAACTGAGGTCCTAAATGAGGACTGTTATCCCTGTTTTCCTGCCCAAATGTTACCTTTTTGGCCTGCCCCAGCCCCCTATCTTGTGCCCATATAAACCCCAGACCTCAGCTGGCGGAGAGACAGGCAGCCAAACATGGAGCAGAGAAGAAGCAACTGAGGTTTGGAGACTATCAATAGACACGGTTTAACTTCAGAAGGCACGACTTCAGAGAGGAGCCCGGCCAGAGATGGTGGGCTTCAGGGAAATATCACCTTCTTCCAGCACCATACCTTTTCCAGCTCCCCTTCTGCTGAGAGCCACTTCCACCTCTTAAAAAAATTCTTCACTTCCATCGCCCTTCAAACTGTTCACGTAACCTGATTCTTCCTGGATGCTGGCTGCCCTGGGTGCGGGAGCCCAAAAAGGCTGTCATACTGACTCTTGACTGAGCTGTTTAACATTTAAGCCATCTGCGGATGGCAAAGCTAAAAGAGTAGTAACTTGAACACACCCCTAGATGCTGCTGTGGGGCTGGAGCCCAAAAGTGTTGGCCCCGCCCTCAGCACCCACTCTCTGTGTACTCCTTCCCCTGAGGGGTTGAGCCCAGCGGGTTGGAGTGAGTTAAGTTTGTCCCTGCTGGCACCAAAGTGGCTGGCTGGACCCAGAGCCACTGTACTCCAGTTCCGGCCTGTGAAAGGGTCAGGGGACTATCCTGTCTTAGTATTGTCGATTTATTAACCTTGAACTCACCAACAACGCATCTCAACTCAGGCCTGAACAATGCTTCTTCAACTCAAGTATTTTCTCAGTGAGGCACATAGTAGCCTTCTTGTGCTCAGGAACGCTAGGCAGCGCGTCAGCACTGTTTGGGACCATTTTAAATAGCAACATCACGAGCAAAAAGCACAAAAATGCAACATGCATGGCCCTAAATAGACCTGGGAAAGGTGTTTGATTACCCACGAGAGCTGAGACAAGAAGGCAGAGTGTCACCTTGTTTGACCTTACCTGGGAGCATGTGCATCTGATGACTCAGATTTTTCACTGTTTTGCACCTGTTGGAAATGACAGTAAAAGTGCTGCAAATGTTGAATTTGGGGTTACAATAAATTTTAGCGATCAGGTGAGTTTTGAAATACAAATCTGTGAACAGTGAGATTGACTCATAACATACACACACTCACTCACCCCCCCCAACACACACACACACACACACACACACACACACACACACACAGGTGAACCCAGCTTTGGATTAAGGGCTATTGACAGTAGAAAGAAATTTTACACTTTACCAAAGGATTTGCCAAAGTCTTTCTTTAAATGCTGTGCTCTCCGGAGACCACAGAAAAGGATTTTGATTTACAGTTTTCTTCCATGCTCAGATGCAAACTTTGAGGGCGCGTTCAATTTCTGTTTCAAGGTCTGTGCAATTCAACCAGCATTTCCCCAAGTTCTCACTAAGCACTGGCACTGTGCTTGGCACTGTGGGGGAACAAAAGTGAAGACAAGGTCTGTGTTCGAAGGGAGCTGGCAATGCCAACTCTCGCAGAGGAGGCTTTTAAAGATGAGCTGTTCAAAAGCTGTGGCCAGGGGCAATTTAGCAAGACCCCTCCTGATTTTCCAAATCCACCCAGAAGCTCAGATTAAAAAGGCAACTCTGCTCTCACAGACTCCTAGCGGGGGCATACAGAGAGTTGCAGCTGCAGGGAGAGGGGTATCTAGGGATGTAGGCACAGCTCCTCTGCCTCCCTTCCCACCATCATTGTGCATATTCCACTAAAGGGGCATCTTATGAACAATTTTTTAGGTTATGTGTTGACAAGATGGTCTCTGAAGCTATGATAAAAAGAAGTTGGGGGAAGTGTGTGAATTCATGCCTAGTTTATGCCCAGAGAAGACCGGTGAGGCAGGTGGTGCTTTTCCAGAACCTTGGTCCCCCACCAACCAGGCATGGACCCAGCAGGCTCAGCAAGTCACAAGGGAGAGCAAGGTCCTGGGGAGGTCTTGGGCAGTTGGAAAGAACCAGTTCATTTGAGTGGACTGTTTTTCTCTGGGTCATTGCCAGCAAATCAGTACTCAGCTGTGCCACCAGTGTGGTGCCCGCCTCCCCACTCAGGGATGCCATGAAAAGCAGTGATCTTGGCAAGATCTAAATAGAGGTGTGCCGAGAGTAACGCGGACGGAGATCACATGCAGGTGGCTCTCGAGGAGTCCATAAATCTACACTGATGAATTACCTGGGCAGGTGGCTCTGCCACCAGCCTTCCAGCTCAGTACAGGAGCGGCGTAATTACCTGTCTGGCAGTGGTTGTCTGGAGAGAGCCGGTCCATTTTTCTCTTTTATTATTGTTGAATTTCAGGAAAGTGTCCTCTGCAGGCCCCTTTCTAAATGTTGGATTTATTTGATGACTCCACTAGTGACAAGGGCCAGGGTGTGTCCTGTGGTGAGGAGGACTCGGCCCCTGGGCCCCCTGCCCAGAGGTTTCTCTCAGAGGGTGTGATGGGCGGGGTCCCCATAGCCACCACTGTCCTCCTCATCAGTGGCCTCATAGATGTCCCTTCCCTCCCCCTTCCCCTGCTCTGTGGACTGGACCTGCCCTAACCTGAGGCAGCTAGGAACCCCTGAGGTGGGGAAGTCTTTGGGATGTTTCTGGGAGGGGCGTCTCCAAAGGAGACAAAGGAAACCCCAGTCCCCTGAGCGGTGACAGTTTCCCATCTGCCCAGTGAGGACTCCTGGCTGGCCAAGGACATGTGGGTGCTGTGTCCTTGTGACACCAGTGAAAATGGACAGGGATGGCCCTCCCCGCTCCCAGGCCCAGTGCCGGGTGCTTCACCCCTCCCCCCACTCACTCCTCATGAGAGCCCATTTTGCAGTCCAGAGAGTGAGGCACAGAGCAGTGGTCACAGACAGGAAGTAGCCTCGCTGGAGTTCCAGCTCAGGCAGTGGGGACTCCACACACCTTTGCCAAATGCCATTCCGTGGTCTCCAGTCCCCACAAGGGTCATCTGACCTTTTGCGGACTCACTGCAGCTATGGCTGGTTAACCGGCTGCTGGTGTTGCAGGCCATGTTCTCACCTGCCTGTGTGCATCTTGTATGAGGGACCACACCCCGTCCTCTCCCCACTGTTTCTAGCAGAGGGGCTGGTGCATAGTAGGAGTTTAAAAAATGCAGGAGAGTGGAAGAATACATATATGAGAGGAAGTTTCTGAGCATCAGTGCACAAAGCCCATTATTTATGTCCACAGTGGGGAAGGTGTGGCCGGCCACCTGTTCCATTTGTTCATTCATTTGCAAGCTTCTCTTGAGTGCCTGTTGTAAGTCCAGCTCTGCGGGCAAGTGTCTGGAGAGACCAAGCATAGGAAAACAAGAGTTCTGCCTTCATGAAGGCAGAAAGAAAGTCAGGACACTGAAGAAGTAATGATGGCAAAATGTAAAGTTGTCCACAGAGGGGCTGTCCAAGGAGCTCTGAAACATAACAGAAGAATTAAGTTGCATTATGAAAGGTCTCTCAAAAAAGTGATGTTTAAGCTGAGATTGAGAGAATAAGCCTAAAAGGTTCTGGCAGATGTAAATTTAGCACAAATCACAGTATTATGCACCAATAAGCCCTTAGGCTAAATTAATGAAGAGCTGATATCTAGAATGTAGGGGGTGAGAGGCTGTCTCTCTCTATTCTGGGCTGCTCAGAGGTTGCCTGAAATGTTGAATTCACAAGAGAGAGGCTCTTACTGTCCTCCCGCTTTTATGAACAAGGGCACTGAGGCTCAGAGAGGTGAAGTAACTGATAGAGGGTCACTCAGCCAGTGAGTGGCAAAGCCCAAGCTGTGGAAGGCATGGTCTTTTACTTTAAAGGCACAATCCAGAGGTTGCACATGTGTGCATCCATGTACACAAAGACACACACATGTACACACACACACACACACACACACACACGCAACTTCTGCTCCAGCATCATTGGCAGAACTGGGCCATGTGAAAGGAAAAAAAATCTCGGGACCCCAAAATCACTAAGCCAAAGGGAAAAAATCAAGCTGGGAACTGTGCAGGTGCAAACCTGTGTCCCATTTTATTCTGTTGCATTTCACCCTGACAATGTAAATTGATAGCTCATCTTCACAGGTGCAGGATAAAGAACAGAACTCTAAGTCATCCCTCTGCTCACCTGAGACAAACGCATATCTGATTGCTCCCTCTGATGGAAAAATGCAGATTCACTGAGCAGACAAAGGCATAAGTGACTATTCCTCTACCCACCTCCCATGTAAATTGTGTATTCAGTTAAAGGTTGATCAGACTCAAAAGAATGCAACCATTTGTGTCTTATCTACCAACAACTTTTATTTATTTTTTATTTTAGTTTTTTGAGATGGGGTCTTACTCTGTTGCCCAGGCTGGAGTACAGTGGTATTGTCTTAGCTCATTGCAGCCTCCACTTCCTGGGTTCAAGTGATTCTTCTGCCTCAACCTCCCAGGTAGCTAAGATTACAGGTGCCCACAACCGCACCTGGCTAATTTTTGTATTTTTAATAGAGACAGATTTTCATCATGTTGGCCAGGCTGGTCTCAAACTCCTGACCTTAAGTGATCCACCCACCTTGGCCTCCCAAAGTGCTGGAATTACAGGCGTGAGCCACTGTGCCCGGCTTACCAACACCTTTTAAAAAATTTTCCTCTTTCTGCAATATTCACCCTTTCCCCTTTAAATATTGAAGCCCTCAAAATCATCGTTGGACAAAGGCACAGACTTGCCTTTTGGGCAGGCATCCTTAACCTTGGCAAAACAAAAGTCTAAATTGATTGGGACCTGTCTCAGATGCTTTTTGGTTTATGGCCACATGACCACATCTTGTTGCAGGGGATGCTGGGAAATTGTAGTATTAGTAATTGTTCTGGGCAGTCATATAAACACTTGAACCAAAGGTTCTATTAGCAAAAGAAATGTAGAAGAATGTGTTGGGAGGTGACTGGTGGACTCTGCGCAGTGCCAAATATGCATTGGAGGAATGCTTCTGTGGACTGGGGTGGGCTGGCAGTGGGAGGGAGGAGATGGGTTCATTCTGACATCTCCATCTTCCCGCCCCCTCAGAGACTCTTTTGTGCTTTCTTGATCTTGACACTCATGTGTCGTTCTTTGCTTGCCTTAATTTGGATTTCCCAAACTGCCCTCTAAGCACATTGCAGCTCTGGGATTCCCCGAGCTGGTGAGACTACCAGAAAGCAAGTTAACGAAGGTGGCACATTCCCCCAATGCAGCCTTATCCGTTTCCAGTGACCACTGTTGAAACTCATGGTGCATTCATGAATTCGCCCATCTTTACTGGGTACCCGCTCTGTGCTGACACTGTGCCAAGCGCTGGGGATACAACAGTGAGTAAAAACAGATGTGATTCTTTCCTCCCAAAGACTAGACTACAATGGAAGAGAGGCATTCTACCACAACAAATTCATACAAACATATGTGAAACTGCATCTTAGTGCAGAGGTGGTAGGGAGGTTTGAGAAGGCTTCACCAAAAAGATGATATTTAAGTTGATTACTGAAAGATAAACAGGAGTTTTCCAGGTGAAAAGGGAGAGGGGAGAGCGATCCAGGTGTAGGGAACTGTGTGTACAAAGGCCCTGGGGTGGGAGGTCAGCATGATCAGGAGGCACCTGTGGGTGGATAGGATGACAGGTGAGCAGTGGAGTAAGGTGAGCCTGGGGCAGAGGCTGTGACCAGGATGGGAAGGGCCTTGTAGGCCAGGCTGAAAGTTCCACATCTCCAGTAAGGGCCCAGGATTATATTAAGAGATCTGAGTAGGGAAGCTTGGTTTCCACAGTCAGACAGGTCTCCTTGGATTCTCCTCCAAATGTAGACAGAGCCAAGACCCCCATTGAAAAGATGCCTGTGTCCCATGTGGCTTTGGCTTCTGGGCCATCTTTTCTCTGAATGCTTGACTTAGGGAGGCTGTGGCAGATTCAGAGCATCCTGTGGGGTATGGAGAAGAAACCAGAGCAGGGCAGGAGTTGCATTAGAGATTTCACATCTACCCCTCTGCATGGAGACCTGGAACACCTATGGGCTTCACTGTCAAAGGCTTGCTATGGGCACCTACTGAATACTTTCAGGAGATGGAACACAGTCCCCATTAGCCCTTGCTGACCTCACTCTTGTCTAAGAACCAAATGTAAAACCTTCTCTGGATTAAACTTAGCCCTCTGAACCTTGACTTCAAAAATAAGAAAGATCAATTCTTTGAGGACATAGAGTCAGAAGTGTTTTCTCCATTGGGCATCTGCTGCTCCCCACCCCTTCCAGCTTCTGGGTAAGTCTCGGGGGAAGGGTTCTTCCAGGGCAGAACAAAACACTCAGCACCCCTCACTTTCTCCCTCACATTCTTTAGTGGGGCAGAGGGAAGTTGCAGCTGGTTGAGGGGCTGCACATAACCTCAGTCCACCTCATCTGTACCATGACCTAGTTTATAGGTCCAGGGGTGAAATGAACACTGCAACCCACCATGCTTGGCTGGAAAGATCAGCAGAGGTAGGGACCAGGACCCTAGACTGGGACACTATAGATCAAAAGCTTTATCTGCTGAGCAGGGTGTCAGAACAGCCAGGAGCTGGTGGCTGAGGCCACTGGGGTTGGCAGCTGAACCAAGGGTCAGAGTAATGGACCCAATGGAGCAACAGCAAGAGAGGAGAGGACCCAGATGGAGCAGCTGGGAGCTTCTAAGAACCCTGTTCAGGTCCACAGCTCATAGGCAAGGCACAGAGAAATTAAGTAACTTACTGAAGGTCACACAGTTAGTAAGCCCCAGGGACAGGATTCAAATGCATACTTCCCTGGAAGCAGAAGTGGGCTCCTACTCTACACCCTCCACCCACTTGGAGCCCAGGGAGCAAACAGCCTGTTTCCGACATTGCAAGTCCTCTCCTCTGCACTAGCTGTCCCAGTGAGGTAGGAGGCAGAACTACATTCCAGAGGAGGGGCCTGGACACTGGAGCAAATTGATGACTAGCTAAAACAGGGCCATGATGGAAGCAGCTTTCCATCAGACACGCCCATCAGTGTGCCATGTCAATTTACCATTGCCATGGCAACATCCAGGAGTTACCGCCTGTTTCCATGGCAATGATACAATGACCCAAAAGTTACTACCCCTTTCCTAGAAATTTCTGCATAAACCATCCCTTAATCTGCATGCAGTTAAAAGTGGGCATAAATATGACTGCAAAGCTGCCCTGAGCTGCTACTCTTCGCCTACAGGGTAGCTCTGCTCTGCAGGAGCAGTCACTGGAGTTGTGACACTGCCTCTTCAATAAAGCTGTTTTCTTCTATCCCTGGCTTGCCTTTGAATTCTTTCCTGGGCAAAGCCAAGAACACTTGCAGGCTAAGCCCCACGTTGGGGCTCACCTGCCCTGCATCAGCTTGGTGCCCAGTGTGGAGCAAAGGAAGAAGATGGCATGAGAGATGGCAAGGCGGTCGGTGAGGCAGCAGCCAGCAGGATGATGAACCGAGAGGTGGTGAAGCAGAGCTGCAGCACCTGAGCGCCAACATTAGCCAAAGCTCTTTTCACAGCCACCATTTTCCCTGGTAGGCAGCAGAGCCGAGCAGATGGGTAAGTGGCCATAGTGCCAAGGCCTTGCTTGACACCCGTCACTCCGCCCAGCTGGCTGGTGAGTTACCAACCCCGTGCAGGCCCCTCCCATCGGCAGCAGCTGAGCCCACCCATGCTGAGGGATTCTGGAGAGATTTTCACCCGGGTCGCACATGGGAGATCAGTTGGCAACATTTCTGCTCTGGTGGCTGCGTGAATGTCCCTTCTGCCCCCACTCCCATCGTATCGGGAGAACTAGGGAATAAAATAAAAGCCTTTGGCTAGGTGATTGGTTAGAAGTCCCTCACTGTTTGAGAGTCTCAAAGCACACCCCTGTCACCCCTTTCCCCAGCCCTTTTCTCTCCTGACTCCATTGTACTGTTCCACCAGTCATTTTATTTTCAGTCCTTAAACATGTGCAATATTATGTTTGCTTTTAATTTTCTGCTAATTGTGTGTGGGCAGTTGTTTAAGGCAGGCCACATGGTTGTGAGAGGTCCCCTGTTGTGTTGACTCTGGGGCACCAGAGTCATGTTGTTATGTGACCCCAACGTGGTCTTGGGTTCACTGCTAGCTGCCTCCTGGGTGCCCCAGGATTTTCAGCCTTGGTGAGGGGACCCTCATTGGCTGAAACTCAAACATTCCAAGTTTTCAGCATTGGTATTCTGGCCACCCCTGGATGCTCTGGGGTCTTTAGCATTGACAATCCCTCTAGGATTATGGGTGAGACCCTCCCTTTAGGGTCTTTCCTTTTTCTGCCCTAAGGTTAGAAATAGTATTAGGTTGGTGCAAAAGTAATTGCGGGTTTTGCCATTACTTTCAATGGCAAAAACTGCAATTATTTTTGTACTAACCTATATTTTCATAGTAGCCAGTTGTTAGCCCCTTCCTGTGTGCTGTCTTACAACTGCCTTTCACAAGCCCCTCTTGGCCAAAATAACTGGGAGTTCCCAGGCCCCCGGCCTGATGGACAGCCCCCCCATGGCAGTAGACAAGTGGCCACCCAAATATTTTTTTCGATGTTTCCACTACCGGGTAGGTTCTCCAACAGGTCAGGGCCTCTGAGGTCTCCCTTTGGGCAATGCTCTTTAACCCTTCTCTTCCTCCCTTCCGCAGTCAGTATTCGTTTAGTCCATCTCTCTGTCCAACCCTCACTTTCTGTGAAATTTAGGCTCAACATCCAACTGCCCATTTGTAGCTCATAATCTGCTTTGGTAACACCTTGCTCTCTATATTTTGTAGATAGTGGAAAATTAAAAGCGAAAAGTGCCTAGGCACTTAGTTAGCTTAGTTAGCTAAGCTTAGGCTAACTGAAATCCCCTGTAGAGATCCTTATTAGAAATGAGGACCACAGCAAGCATCCCAAAAGACTCACCATGGGGGTGACTTTTAGATAATTGGAATAAGTTCAAATTATTAGACAAGTGGAAAAAGAAAAGAAAATCTCATTTACTATTTCAATAATGTTTGAGTTCAATACAAATTGGCAAACCAACAGATTTGGCCTAAACATGATTCTTTACATTATAATGATATGGTACAATTAGACTTGTTTTGTAAAAAGGAAAGAAAACGGGAAGAAGTTCCCTACATGCAGGCTTTTGTGGCCCTCTACCAGGATCCTAACTTAGGGGCTAGCTGTACAGTCTAGCTCGTGATACTCCCAGGCACCCAGAAGCCACACCTGATATCCTGGATGACCCCCTCCTAGCTGCTCCTCTTAGGAGGCCCAGAGGCGCCCACTAGGAGACCTGTGTCCCCTCCTTTGGAGTCTTCTCAGTCCCCTTGTTCTGAGGTGGGCCCTACCAGTTCTCCAGTGCAGGATTTCACCTCAAGGTCATCAGGCACCCCTCCTCCTTATCCAACAAGCCCTGGCCCACATCCCCCACTGCCTGAGGAAGTAAGCCCAACCAGTACCACCAGGAGTCAGACCCCATATCAGACCCCCAAATCAAACCTGTGTCCATAGGGGGAGGTAGCTGACAGGCATGGAGGAACAATCAGAGCATATGTGCCTTTTCCATGTCTGATTTGGCTTTATGCAAGGAGAAATTTGGTCTATTTTTGGAGGATCCAAGGAAGTTTGTAGAGGAGTTTGTTAAGTTGACTATGTCTTTTGATTTCCTTTGGCATGACATGCAGATATTATTATCCACTTGTATTAGAGAGGCAAAATACAAATTCTAGGTACTGCTCGGGAACATGCAGATGGGGTGGCTGCATGTAAGCCAGGCCATGCCATTTATCGTGTGGGAGGAGATGCAGTTCTGGACCCTCAGTCGAATGACCAGAGAGGATCTCAAGATCTTGAATGCAGAAATCATATGCTAACTTGTTTCATAGACAGCATGAAACAGTATGTGATTAAGCCAGTTAAAGTGAGAAAAATAACTCAGGAGGAAGATGAAAATCTCATTCTAATTCAGGGTTGTTTAGTTGAGGCACTCAGGAAGTAATCTAATACAGACCCCGACCTCCCGGAAGGGAAAGTTCTCCTAGGTGTGCATTTTATTACTCAGTCTGCCCCTGACATTAGGAGAAAGTTACAAAAAGTAGCAATGGGACCTCTCGGGAAGCACCTCTTTTGTCTTCATTGGGTGTAGAGGCCACTCTAAGGCCTGACCAGACCCCGTGCTGTCACTGTCAATCCTGTTTGCTCTCCCAATTACAATCATCCAGTGTGGGTGGAAATATAACTCTATAGTAAATATTTCAACAATTATAGCATCGAGGAATCATCTTCATGGTTGCTGGATTTGTCATTAACATCCCCAGGATAGAGAGTTCTATCTTCTGGCTAAGACATTGCTTTTGGGATTTACAGTAATAGGGACAGGGCAGAACAAGAGGCAAAAACCAAAAGAATTGGCCAGAAAACAATTGTTAGCTGCTAAATTAGGGCCCCAGCTGCCTCAGGGTTACCCACCTCAAGGAAATGTGCTGAGATTGGCATCTGGGGTGCTCAGTTGACAGTACCCCACTCAAGAGCCTCCAGGCCAAAATCAGTGTGCCGTTTGTAAGTAAGAAGGCCACTGGAAGAAATTAAAAAGGACATCCCACAAAGGAAATCGTTAGCTCCCCCTATTCCATCAGGAGACTTGGCCTTGCTAAAAACTTGGAAAGAAGGATCCTCTGAAGATTAATTACAACCAAAATGAAAAGGCCCATATTGGGTGTTGTTGAGTACCCCCACTGCTGTTAAACTTCAGGGAATAACTATTTGGGTACACTTGTGCAGGATTAAACCTGTTTCTTATGAGTCACAGGCACAAAAGGAGGACACCACGACCTACATCTGTGAGCCTTTGGAGGACCTCCGCTGCCTGTTTAAAATAAGTGTAGTGATTCCTCAAGGATCTAGAACTAGAAATACCATTTGACCCAGCAATCCCACTACTGGGTATATACCCAAAGGATTATAAATCATTCTACTATAAAGACATATGCACACGTATGTTTATTGTGGCACTGTTCACAATAGCAAAGACTTGGAACCAACCCAAATTCCCATCAATGATAACTGGATAAAGAAAATGTGGCACATATACACCAAGGAATACTATGCAGCCATAAAAAGGATGAGTTCATGTCCTTTGCAGGGACATGGATGAAGCTGGAAACCATTATTCTCAGCAAACTAACACAAGAACAGAAAATCAAACACCACATGTTCTCACTCATAAGTAGGAATTGAACAATGAGAACACATGGACACAGGGAGGGGAACATCACACACTGGGGCCTGTCAGGGGGTTGGGGGGTAGGGGAGGGATAGCATTAGGAGAAATACCTAATGTAGATGACGGGTTGATGGGTGCAGCAAACCACCATGACACTTGTATACCTATGTAACAAACCTGCATGTTCTGCACATGTACCCCAGAACTTAAAGTATGTAAAAAAAAAAAAAAAAGAATCAAGACCCAGCCAGAGGTGGTAACATGATGCTGTGGGTCAGAATAGGAGCTTTAATTTTTCTTTTCTTCCTGATTGTAATACTTCATTTCTGTCACTTTAGCCAACCTCTCAGGAAGCGCCTCTTTTGTCCTTGTTGGGTGTAGAGGCCACTCTAATTCCTGACAACCATATTGTCACTGTCATTCCTGTTTGCTCTCCCAATTACCCTGATTCAGTGTGGGTAGAAATATAACTGTATAGTAAATATTTCAACAAGTATAGCATCGAGGAATCATCTTCATGGTTGCTGGATTTGTCATCAACATACCCAGGATAGAGAGTTCTATCTTCTGGCTTATCTGGAAAATCTCACCACTATTCCCCCAGACCTCCTAAATAACCATAGTGCTCCTGAAATACTCCAACCCCTACTAGTTAAGTGGAACTCTACCCCCAATTAACGGCTTCCCACTGAACTCCCCACCGCTATTACCAGGACCTGGGAATTTGGGTCTGTCCATCTTCAGTGCACTTATGATTCTGTCTTTTGCGCCCACGGTTGTGTTAATGACACTAAAGCAGAAGCTTCCCTGTGATGCTCTGATCCAACTCTACTTGACAAGTTCCCAAGGCCACAGTGAGGTAAATGGGATTCCACGTGTAAGCAAGGAGAGCATATACGATGCCTTCTCATGGATCAGAACATACAACGGAAAAACAACTGCCTAGTCTGGGAAGGTGGGAGTACTCCCCGCTCCGCTCTGGAAAACAAGGATTGTCCAACCACCCTCACTAGAACCAGGGTGTGGCAAGGGGAGAGAATATCTCTGCAGACCCAACTTGGCAGCAAAGTATAAAATATCACACCCTGTAGAGCCTCTATTTGTGGCCCAACTGGGCTCATTTTTGTTTGTGGCCATAAACAGGAAAAAATCACACCCCATAACTGCTCCCAACTCCCTAGGGAGTCACTTGTTTTTTAGGGGCAGTTTTCCCTTGTATATTGAAAACTTGGAAAAGAGATGAATGTACGTTGGCCATTCTTGACCCTCCAGGGGCCACTGTGTCTAATCCCATAAGACCCAAGAATACCAGGAGTAAGTGAGTAGTAGAATTAATGCTGGCAGGAATCGGGATAGTGATGGGACTAGCAGCACCCTGGGGTGGCTTTGCTTACCATGAGTCAACCCTAAGGAACTTGATCAAACCCTTAGCCACCAACACAGGTCAGGCATTAAAGGGAATTTAAGAGTCTTAAACTCTTTGGCAAATGTAGTTTTCCATAACAGACTGTCGTTGGATTGTTTACTAGCTGAACAAGGTAGAGTCTGTGAAGTTATTAATAAAACCTGCTGCACACATATTAACAACTCTAGACAAGCTGGGATTAACATTCAAAACGTCTATGAGCAAGCTACCTTGTTACATAGATATAATTAGGGCACAGACCCCAGCTATATCTGGTCAACTATCAAAAGTGCCTTCTGAAGTCTCACCTGGTTTTTACCTCTCCTAGGACCTTTAATAGATGTCTTGCTGCTAATCTTTGGCCCTTGATTGTTTAACCTCTTAATAAAGTTTGAGTCTTCTAGATTACAACAGTTTCAGGTAAAGGCAAAGCTGGCACCAGGCTTCCAACTCATCTCACCTACTAACCCAGAGAATGAAAGCATCCTGCCTCTAGACACCTTAGATCAGGTATCCAGCGATTTTTACTCCTCCAGTGCTAGGCAGGGCCTATGCCCATAAACTCAGCGGGAAACAGGTGCAGAAAATGGACTTCCACCCTTCTGCAGCCCCCTTAAGATTAAGGAGCAGGAGAAATGGGAAGGAGGCAGGAGATGGGACTCAACTCCAGAGGCAGGGCTCAGACACCAAACCAAACTGAGGACTAGCTAAAGCAGAGCCAGGGTGGAAGCGGCTTTCAATCAGCTAAGCCCACCTGTGTGCCATGTCAGTTTACCATTGCCATGGTAACACCCGGGAGTTACCGCCCCTTTCCATGTTAATGACATAATGACCCAAAAGTTACTACCCCTTCCCTAGATCTTTCTGCATAAACCTCCCCTTAATCTGCATGTCATTAAAAGTGGGTATAAATGTGACTGCAAAACTGCCCTGAGCTGCTACTCTCTGCCTATGGGGTAGCCCTGCTCTGCAGCAGCAGTCACAGAGCTGTGACACTGCCTCCTTAACAAAGCTGTTCCCTTCTACCTCTGGCTTGCCCTTGAATTCTTTCCTGGGCAAAGCCAAGAACCCAGCGGGCTAAGCCCCACTTTAGAGCTTGCCTGCCCTGCATCACCAGCACGGCTTTCCCTTTGAGTCTCCACATGAGGCAAGCCAGTGTTGTTACTGGGGTCGGTGTTAACTGAAGGCTCTTAGGTAATGATTCCACTCCTCCTGTGAGGCTGCTGAGCTCAGAGCTGGGACCCACAGGGACTGTGGAAATGGAAGAGCTGCTCAGCTCCCAGCCATGGTAGGTGCTTTGGCCCAGGAATGTCTCACCCATGGCGAAGATGGAGATATCATGGCCCAGGGTGAGGAAGAGGTAACTGGCTGAGCCTAGAGCCACTTTACAACTGTATCATCTTGGGCAAGTCACTCATTCTCTCGGGTAATAATACCTCTCTGTGAGTTTGCTTAGAGGGAAAAGTGAGTGTCCTATGTGAGGGATCTGGCAGACAGCCTGGCACAAAATCGTTCCTCCAGAACTGCAAGTCTCCTGCCCACTGAATGGCCACCACAGACTTCCACCCTTTGACATACACGTGGACCTGTGGCTCCTAGAGGTGGAAAGGGCAGCCCACATCCTTGAGCCTCTGATACCTTACATAGGGTCCAGCTTTCAGAAGTGCTTGGTGCACAGTGGTTGCCTAATAATTGCTGGTTGACACAGTCAGGGCTGGGCTGACATACCCTGGTTTTACCCCTGGCACTTCATTTCCAGAGGGGTAGGAGGAAGGCCAGGGAAGTCTTACCCAGGAACCTCACTCTGGGAAGGAGATGTAGAAAATATTCTAATTCCAAAGAGTAAATGTCAGTGGCTTGGGAAGGAGTCAGGGTTCTGAAAACAAACACTAGGCATTTGCACCAAAAGGAAGGAGTGAAGGAGAGAGAGAGGAGGGTGTGGAGGTGGAGGGCTGTGGGGAAGGGCAGAGGGTGTGAGAGCAGGGTCAGGGATGTTCTGCAAGGCATCTTGTCAGGGGACCTTGTGCAGGAGGTTCAGGCAACCCCTGATCATTCTTGTGGGAGGTGCCCCTGATTAGGGGACCCTGGTGCCACTGAGCAGTATGTGGGGATGAGGAATCATCTTCAAATCTCTCATCAAAACTCAATGCTGTGAGCACATAGGACTGCAGATGCTGTCCGTGTGGGTCACAAACACTGCAAAACTGTAGGTCTCCAATCCAGATCCTTCTTGCAGCTTTGGCCAGGCCCTGGGCCCACTAATGGCTGTTCCTTGAAGTTCTCTCTGGGTCCCCTGCTCTCTATCTTGTCTTCTCTTCTCTAAATGTTTCTAAGTTCATTCAACCAACTCTAAATGACCTGGCTCATTCCTGACTTCTCCAGGTTTCTGCTCAAATGCCACCTTGCCAGTGGGATCTTTTCCCAACCCCTACATCTAACCTAGCAGCCCCAAATCACTCTCTGTCCCTCTTACCCCATTTCATTTCCCTTCATGCCACTTACCACCTGACATAGTTCCTAATTTTATTTGGATATTGTTTGTCACCCCTACAGACAACCCAAAATGTGCATTCACCAGGGCTCAGTTAGCCTTGTTCTCTGCTGTGTTCCCTGGTATGGAGGGCAGGTGACAGATTTGGGATATCCACTTCTTACATGATCTAGTTGAAGGGCAGATTTGACCACACCATGTTCTACTAAAAACCATCTCATTCCTGATTGCTCTGGGGATAAATGCAGCCAGCCTGGCTATGGCTGCAAGCCCTGGCCCTTCCTACCCTCACCATGCTTCCCCCTGACTCTGTGCTCCAGCCCCTCTGGCTGGTTTCCATCTCTGTCCTTGCCCTGATCTGCTTCCCCAGAACCTTTGCACATGTCCCCTCTTGGCCCCAGATGCTCCTTCTCAGCCCTCTGTTAGTCAGAACCTACTCCTCCTGCAGGTCTTCATCCCATCATGTCATCCCTTGAGGAGCTCTTCCTGACTTTTCGTCTATCTCATCTTCCCACGTCTATGGAGGGAGGTGTCTTATGGCTTCACAGAACTCTCCTGAGTATTACGTGTTGTATTGAAACTGCACAAAGGGTAGTGCAACTCTGTAAGGCTTGTTTCCTTTGCTTAGCTGTAGGCAACATGAATGCAGGAGCTGAATTTCCTCACTGCCCTATCCCTGTGCTGAGCATGGTGCCTGGCCAACACCTACACATGGAATGAATAACTGAGTGAATGAATGAATAATGTCCCTACAGCAAGGCCACACACATGCAGCAATGCCTAGGTCAGCACCCAGGGGAAGAAGGGAATGGCAGAGTGGTGTCAAAAGTGGAGCTGGCTGAGGACAGGGACAATCATGGGGTGACTGCTACCCTCTTCAGCCCAGATGGACAAACCCTATCCCTTCACTCAGGAAAAAGCACCAGGGACTTACCAATACTATTGGCAGAAAGAACCCTGGAAGAGCAGGCAGGAGATGTGACCTCTTTCCTGACACTGCCTCCTCCTCCCAGAAGCCTCCCTTGATCATCCCCACCTACAAAGACTTTATCCTTTCCTCCTCTGCATTGTGTCTGCACCTTCTGCACACTTCCCTTCTTATTCATTTCATGGTGGATATTGAAGAATAATTTATATTAGAACCCTTCTCCCCCCATTAGACTGGGAGCTGCTTTAGGCTAGGGGTTGTGTCTGATTCACTTCTGTGTCCCCAGTCTCTGGTGATGGCTTGGCTCTCATGAAGTGTTTCATTAATGGACAGTTCACTCTGGGTAAGTTTCTGCTCTTTTCTCGATCTGTTTCTTTTCCTATAAAATGGAGTGGTAATAACACCCAACACCCACCTCAACGGGGGCTGTGGGGAGACAGTACAAAGATAAATGTGATATGCCCAGCTCAGTGCCTGCACTCAAGAGGCACTACTGCTATGATGGGCAGGGCTGCTGCTGTGATGTAAGGGGCTGCTGCTATGATGGGAGGGGCTGCTGTTATGTGGGTGGGGCTGCTGCTATGATGGGCAGTACTGCTGCCATGATGGGCGGGACCACTGCTATGATGAGAGGGGCTGCTGCTATGATGGGCAGGACCACTGCTATAATGGGAGGGGCTGCTGCTGTGATGGGTGAGGCCATTGCTCTGAGGGGCAGGGCTGCAGGGCATCTGTCTGGAGCCTCTGGTCCACTTCTTACTCCACCCACCTCCACCCAGAAAACGTTTGCTGCCATTTTCTGGAAGCTGCTTGGAGCCATCACTGGTCTAAGCTTTTCAGCAGCATTTTACTCTTTTGTCCCTACAACCCACGGTGGGGCCGAGATAAAGGTCCTGGGTGATCTGTTTGAGATGCAAACCCCTCCTGTCCTCCCGCTATTTGAAGCCCTTCAGAGGCTCCCCCTGCTCTTAAAGCAAAGACCCAGACCTGCAAGGCCCAGCTCCTGCCCTGCTCCCTCCTACCCCACGCACACCAATCCAGGTATGGAAACTGAGGCTCTGAGAGGTGATGAGACTCACCCGAGTCCACTCCATCTGGGGATGGCAGAGCCAGACTCAAACCCAGGCCTGTTGGGATCCATTCCTGGGTCCTGGCCAGCCCTGGCAATGGGTGCCCACCCAGTGGGTCTCTTAACAGCTGGCAAAGATGCTTCTTCCCCATATCTGAGTCACCCATGGCCACATGGTGCTCATGGTGGTAAAATTTGCCCAGCAAAGAGCACTTATTGACCTGAGTTCCACAGCGAGCAGCCTCATCCCCAAGACCATCCACCCTCCATCTGCCTCTTGCAGGCCCGCCCAGCGCTCTGGCCCACCTGGTTGGCTCCCCTGATTTCTCATCTGTTGATTTAGAAAGGAGCCCATGGGGGATGCAGGAGGCTCTGATCTGTGGCTCTGTGTTTGCCGAGGACGCTGGAGCCTTGGAAGGGGATTAGAAATTCATAACCAGTGTGATTTGGGTCCCCTCCTGAGTCCTGTGTGTGCATGCCCTGGGCTCCTCATTGAAGAGTGAATAGGTTGGTTTTGGAGGGTCTGAGGACAGTGAAGCCAGTGTGGCTCTTCTGCCTGTTGCTGGGTCTTTAGGGGCATCTAGTCGTGAGAATGCTGGTGCTACTGAGCATCAGGGTCTGAGGACCCCTGGCTGGGTAGCTTTGCTGGTGTAGATGCCCCCCAGAGTCCAGCTTACCCTGTGACAACATTGGCCCATCGACAAAAGCTGAGGGCAGAGGGGAGCTCCCTGTCTTCCTGACATCTCCTGGGGTCCTTCCTGCAGCAACAGCCTACACACCATCGGGATTCCGGACCAGCCAAGCACCGGTGAGCTGGAACTCCAGGCACATCCTCCTTCTCGCCTCCCTTATTAACCAAGGATGGTTAGGAAGCCCTGAGGCCCAGAACTGGGGGCATGTGGGCTTAAAAATCAGGGTGCCTACCCTCAGGGGCTCCAGCCTGATGGGGAAGGACAAGCATGATGCAGACCATTATGCTCTGTGGTGGGGGTCAGTGTGGGTTTGTATTTCGGCAGCATAGAAATGACGCAGTTAAATGTCAGAGGCTCTTGGGCTCTGAGACCCGGCTGTGCCACTGACTGGCTGTGGGATTCTGGGTAAGTGACTTACGGTGCTGAGCCTCAGCTTTCTTTTTTTTTTGAGACAGAGTTTTGCTCTGTCACCCAGGCTGGAGTGCAGTGATCTTGGCTCACTGCAACTTCCACCTCCCAAGTGATCTGAGCCTCAGTTCAAGTGGTTCAAGTGATCTGATCAGTTTTCTACTCTATGTAATGAAGATTATGTTAGGATTTGGGAGGAACAAACCAGTTGATGCAATTAAGTGTTCAGCACAATGTCTGGCACATAGTAGGTGCTTACTGAGCAGTAGCTCTTATTTATGCATTCAGTAAGCAGATGTTTAGTGAGCACCTGCTGCGTGCCAGACCCTGCTCAGGGGAGTGAGAACTTGGTGGTGAAGAAAAGCTGGATGCTTTGTCCTTAGACATCTTAGAGTCTGGATCGAAGGACTGAGTGTGAATCACTCACAATCGGCTCTGAAGGGGAGAGTGGGGTCCTAGTAGTGTCTGTAACAAAGGATCCTACTGCAAAGATGGAGAGGAGAGGATGGGCTCAGAGGCATTAGGGGTCAATGGACAGGCTTGGCTGCCAGGTTCAGTGAGGGAGGAGAGGAGGTGCCTAGGACAGCACCCAGGCTCCTGGCCGGGGCCACTGCATGGACAGATGGAGGTGTTATTTACAGGGTGAGGAGACTGGAGAAGAGCTGGGTTTGGAGGATGCAGAGAGTTTATGATCTTGGGCTTGTACGTGTTGGGTTTGCAATGCTTTTGAGACTCTGCACCTGATGCATAGTTGGGGGCTGGATCTTACTTTGCAGACCCCTGGCGGAGCACTGCTCTCAGAGGCTCATACATGGGGGGACCCACGAACCATCACAGGTAAAGGTTGTTGTTGAGGAGAGGGGACACTCCTACCCTGATGGGGGTGTGGAGCAGGGGTCAAGGTCACCTCTCAAGGTCACCTCTGAGCTGAGTCCTAAAGGAGAAGTGCAACTCACCAGACAGAGAAGGGGGAGGACACTGAGGGCTGAGGGGTCCTGCAGAGGCCCAGGTACTGAGGAGGGAGAGCCGCGTGGTCATGGAGCTGGAGGTGTTCAGGACAGCTGTGTGGCAGCGGGGAGGAGGAAGCTGTACAGGAGGCCAGGAGCCACAGGAATCAGAGCAGGAGGGGACTGGAATGCCGGTTGTAGGTTTTGCATTTAACCTGTGGGTCGTAGGGACTCATCAGCCCATTCCATTACAGCAGGAGGATGTGCTCAGGGTTGTCATGTTTGAGGAAGGAATTTGGGTGCAGGTGAACAGGGACTGAGGCTCTGGCTGCAAAGAGATCAGCTAAGAGGCCAGCGATGGTGCAGGTGACAGAAAAGGGCAAGGCAGCTACATGGGGACAGCAATAAGCGAGGGCATGGGAGGAGCCTCAGGGAGACAGAGCGGACTCGGGCCATTGAGGGGCACAGTGTGGATTATGGTCAGAGGGCTTGGGCGCAGTGGAAGAGTGGGTAACACTGGATGTTCTGTGAGCCACCAGCAGGAACGACAGACACACTCTGAAGGGCCATCCTGCAGGGAATTAAGTCACACAATGTGAGTTTAGGACAGGACATTATTATATGGACACATGTAATAATCCTCTCGGCAATCCTGGGAGGTAGGTGCTGCTGTCACCCCTATTTTATAGATGAGCAAACAGAGACACAGAGAGGTTTAGTAACTTGCCTAAGGTCACACAGCTAATTAGCAGCAAAGCTGGGGCTTAAACCCAGGAAGTGGCCCCCAAGTCCATGCTCTTAACTGTGATCCTGCCTGGGCTGTAGGAGATGACTCTGCTGTGCTGCTGCCCTCAGGAGCTCCAGTGCACAGATGGAACCACGGGCAAAGTGAGTGAAGTGGACCAATACCTCTAGCTGTGGGAATCAGAGAAGACTCCCAGGAGGAGGCATCATTTTAACTTGGTCCTTAGGGTAGGGAGTGTTTGAACAGAGTGGTGGCGTGTCAGTCAGGGTGGTTATTGCAAGCCACAGAAAATGATTGTGGATGACGAAAGCAAAATAAGTTGTTATTAAGTCAATAAGAGGTTATTTCAAAAATCACTGAGACAGTTAGAAAGTCAGGCTTGGGGCTGTGGCATCAGGACAAGTGCTGCAAATCAACCGATGGATGACAGCGTCTCAACCTCCTCCACCAAGTCCTGGAGCCTACAGCTTGCCCCGCCTCCACTATCACTACCTGACACTGCAGGCTACAGCTGAACCCCTGCTGTCTCTTTTCCCATGGAGCCTCCGGCCTCTGCTGCTACCCTTGCCACCATCACCAGAATAGGCTCAGCAAGGAGAACCCTTGCTGTTGGGCTTCTGGCCCGAAGTCTAGACTGGGAGGTGGGGAGACCTGATTGCAGAAGCCTCATCATGTGACTTCACTCAAGTTGTAAAGGAGACCAGGAAAGAGCCTCTTCCGCATTTTCAGGCTCTGTCTCCTAAGTGGGAAATTCCCCAATCAGTAGGAAGACATTTTTCAATAATGTAACAAACACACTGGACAGGGCTATGGCCATCGTGTCAGGTGACAAGGTTGGCACATGTGAAGGTGAAGAGGAGGGAACGGCATAGACCACACAGAGGATGGTTAAGGTGCAGCAGAAAGATTAGAACACAAGCTCTGTCCTTAGAATGTGCTTCTCGGCTACTACACATCAAGACAACTGAAAACAGCAGTGACTGAGCAGTGTGAATATGAGCGTGCTTGTGAGCAGCTGTATCCTGACAGGGCTGACACCGGCTCTCCCTGTGTTGTTGCCTCTGTGGACTCTGCTGGCTGAGGCTGAGTGATAGTGGCTGGGAATGCTGCTTCCTGGCAGCCTGTGTGTCCCTGCTTGGCCTCCCCAGGTGCTGATGGTTGGCTGCCTACTTGCTCCCCATGCAGCATCCCTGCTGAGAGCAGAACTGTGACCTGTCCTGCACATCTATTTCTGGGACATCACAGCCCTAAGCTCCCACTCATTCATGCCTTCACTTACTAATGCACTCTGAGCACCTATGTTGAGCAGATGGCCCTGCTCTCCCAACCCCTATCTGCGTCTTGATATTTGTCACCCATAGAAGCAGCTATGGTGGGAAAGATGCTGACCAGGAGATCAAGTTCATTCTGGCTCTAGTGAATTACTCTGGACACTTGGGCAGGACACTTGACCTCTGTATGCCCAATTTTCCTGTCTATGAGACATGTCCCAGTAACCCATCTGTGTGGTTTTTCACTCCTGCCCTGCATCTGCCTGAGCCAAGACCACTCGCCATTTTGTGTTCTGTGTCTCACCATGAACTCTTGCCTCTTCTGGATACTCAGATGTCTCTTCTTCGTCACATAGCCTGTGACTCACTCTCAGACTCCCTGTGCCCTGCTGGAGAAACCCAGGGCTGGAGAGGGAGCTGTCTGGCTCTTCCTAAACCTGCAGGACCCAGTGGGTGCGTGGATACACCATTTAGCGAAGATGCTCTCTCCACTACCACGTGCATTGCATGGCCCCGCCAGGCTGGCGGACCAACGCCCTAGCACTTTGCAGGCCCCATTTTAAGCGCCCATGGTGGTTGGGGATGTGAGCCCTCCCCACAGTGGTGAGAGAACATCTCTGGAGAGGAAAGAAGGGGGAAATAGGAGAAGAGGGAAGAATGGGAAGTTGTGGAAGGAAGAGGAGGAGAAGAGAAAGAGCAGAAACAGGGAAGAGAGAAGAGGAAGAAATGAGTGAAGAAGATGGAGGGTGAGGGGGTAAGGAGGGCAAAGGAGGAGAGACATAAAAGGACAAGCAGGGGCTGGGCACGGTGGCTCATGCCTGTAATCCCAGCACTTTGGGAGGCTGAGGCAGGTGGATCGCCTGAGGTCAGGAGTTCAAGACCGGCCTAGCCAACAGGGTAAATCCCTGTCTCTACTAAAAAATACAAAAATTAGCTGGGCATGGTGGTGCGTTGCCTGTAATCCCACCTATTCAGGAGGCTGAGGCAGGAGAATTGCTTGAACCCTGGAGGCGGAGGTTGCAGTGAGCCAAGATCATGCCACTGCACTCCAGCCTGGGTGATAGAACGAGGCTCTGTCTCAAAATAGATAAATAAATAAATAAATAAATAGGACAAGCAAGGGCAAGGGGAGAAGAAGGGAGGAAAACGGTACAGTAAGGAGGAGGGCAGAGAGGAGAAGGGAGGGCAAAGGCAGGGTTGGAAGAAGGGGTTATAGAGGCAGGGGAATGGGCAAGAAGGGACAGCAGAGACAGCAAAGGGGAGTAGAGCGAGGGGGGGGCAGGGGCAGAGATGGTTGCAGAAAAATGGGGGAGGGAAGGAAAAGAAACAAAAACAAGGAGGAAGCAACTGTCTTAGAGGGTGGAGAAAGGGATGGAGTAGAATGGAACGGAGAGGGATTAGAGGAAGGAAGAAGTGGGGGGAAAGAAAGAGGAGGAGGAAGGCAGAAGTTACCCCCGGAGCCAGCTTGCAAGGGCTCTGCCCACCTGGGCTTCCCCAGAGTAGAGGGGCTTTGGTCTCTGAGATGACTCCCTGAAAGCTTTCCATCCTTGCTCGCCGGCAGGTCTGGCAAATGGGGGACAAGTAGGCCTTATGCACAGTGACTGCTTGTTAAAGGGCCCCAGCAGAAACAACTCCAACAGGTCTCTCTCTACCCGCCAACAGCTCAGCCTGTCTCAGAGCCTAGCAGGCCAGGAGGGTCTGGGGGGCAGGGCCAGGATCCACATCTAAAGATGCCATGTGGCATGGCCAGGCACAGTGGCTCACACCTGTAATCCCAGAACTTTGGAAGGCTGAGGCGGGTGGACCACTTGAGGTCAGGAGTTCGAGACCAGCCTAGCCAACATGGTGAAACCCCGTCTCCACTAAAAATACAAAAATTAGCTGGGCATGGTGGCGGGCATGTCTAATCACAGTTACTCGGGAGGCTGAGGCAGGAGAATGGCTTGAACCCAGGAGGCAGAGGTTGCAGTGAGCTGAGATTGTGCCACTGCACTCCAGCACTCCAGCTTGAGCAACAGAGAAAGACTGCCTAAAAAAAACAAAAAACAAAAAACAAAAAACAAAAAAAAAAAACCTGTGGCAGGACAAGAACTTGGCTGGGCTTTAGGACAGTTGGGTTCTAGGCACAAGTTAACCAAAAATTTGCTGAGCAACCATGGTCAAGTCATTTAACCTCCCCGGGCTTCGGTTTTCTTCTCTGCAAAAAGAAGAGCTGGCATTGTGTTCCCTTTCACTTCAGGGTTCTGTGGCTTATGAATAAGAATAACTCAGAAATATATTGATTACTTACTATATGCCAGATCCTAAAGGCTTTATATCATTTAAACTTGTATATATATGCATATAGATAAATCATGTATATAAATATCTCGGAAAGAACTCTAGCTGTCATTGCTCCAAGTTGCTCACAGGAACTTGGAAAC
Organism: Homo sapiens; assembly: GCF_000001405.40. NCBI lineage: Eukaryota > Metazoa > Chordata > Mammalia > Primates > Hominidae > Homo > Homo sapiens. The sequence goes on from NC_000001.11 coordinate 29,900,202, forward strand.
TGCATAATATGCCAAAGGCCATGCAGCCAGTGAGTGACAGAGCAGGCTTTCCCCAGCCCACACTCGGGCAAATCCCGAGCCTGCCCCCAAATAGCTCCATTTTCCGAGAGAGGGAGCCACTTCATTACAAAGGTCCCTCTCTACAAAGACAGAACACGGAGGCCGATTAAAGCCCGTCAGCCCGGCATCATTTTTGTAATCGATGCTCCGTGATTGTGAACTGGGTGTCTGTCGGCAGCTGCCTAATTTTAGCTGGGTCTTTGCAGGCTTCTCACCAGGCTCACCCTCCCCCATGGATGAGCAGAGAGGTTCCAAGAAGCATCATCGATCTTTTGACTAAAGTGTCCTCATGAAATACAAATCTGTCGTTTCTCAGCGAGCCGTCTGTCGTGGTGGCACAGAAGAGATGCCACCGGGAGAGTGAGAACCATAATTTCATGTAAAACCGGACGTCTTACATGGTCCCCCGCAACCCACCTCTTCCCTGCTTTCACCTTGGCCTCCCAGCTCAGTCATGGGAAATCGATACCTTTTACTGTTTCAACTTTGGCACAGAGCGATGGGGGAAGAGCTGTCAATAGGTGTTGAAGACATTCCCAGTTGTGGGCAAGCTCCCTGTTAGGGGGGCCCTGGCCTCTGGCAGTGAGTTGGCACCGAGTTACTTGAATGAGGAGGATTTAGTGCTCCTGTCCTTGGGCACTCTGCCCAGTATAAGTGGCTAAGGAGGCATCAGGGGAGGGCCTGGGTCCAGAGAATGAAAACACCTTCCTTAAATAGCAACAGCTTCTCATGGGCATAATGGCCCTACACACATAGCAGGAAAGGTGACTTATTCTAAGGCCACACAGCAAGCTTAAGTATAATCACAACTCCACCACTTACTATGTGACAACAAGCAAGTAACTGGACCTCTCCAAGACTCAGTTTCCTCAGTTGTGAAATGGAGTTATGCTTGCACCCACCTCATAGGGTTATTGGAAGGGTTAGCTGAGTAAAAGCACGTTGAGTATTTAACACGGTGCTAGAAAGACAGAAATCAACTAAAATAATAGTTATTAATACTAGTAATATTTTTCGATGTTAACCTGTTTGCTTTGCTCTAAGATGATATCTATCAGAAGATACACCATCAATTTAATAACAGCTTCGAGAGGGAAGAAAACAAAAAAGAAACAGAAAATGAAATGTCTGCCCATTGAAGGATGTGTCTTATTTTAGAACGTTTAAAATATATGTCCCAGAATCGAAGAAATACAATATTGACAACAGAGGGCTCTTTTTAGATCTCAGATTCCTGGAACCCTCCCACGAGCCCTCAAAGCGTGAGAATGGAAGTAGTGTTGTCCAGGAGAGAAGACCAGAGTTTACTCTGCTACCAACCGGCCGAGTGACCCCAGGAAAGTCCCTCTCCTTTTTTGGCCTCAGTGTTCTGCCTAGACAGTGCACAGGTGGCATGAGATGATCCCTCAGGCCCTTCTAGCCCTGGGTCTGGCAGGACAGGCGTGAATTCTTCTCTCTGTCGTCCTGCTCACCGGGTGGGGCCACTTCCCCTGCCGTGCTAGACTCACCAGCCTGCAGGATTTCTGGAAGGCAGGCACCAGCAAGAGCTCTAGCTGATTAATCCTCCCCCTACTTAGGGGCTCCCAGGGCTGCCTTTGAGGGGGTGGGAAGGAAGAACAGGTGGGTGGGGCCAGGAAAGGGAAGGGAGATGAGCCACAGATTCCATTTGGGTCTGTTTACTCCCATTCGCTCCTGGTTACCTTTAAACAGGATAAAATTACACTCGAATCCCCTTCATCTCCATGCGATACTTCTGAAAAAAGAGCAACTTGACCTCTTAGGAGTTAAAAAAAAAATGGAAAACGTGAGAGCTACGTAATATCCAGTGGATGCTGAGGGTGGGGCATTTTCAGGGAGCTCATATGTAAACCTCCTTGATGTCTTGAAAAATAAAACCAGACCAGCGTTCAGTGGCAGGAGGGGAGGAGAGTATTCCAGGAGGAAAGCCAGCTCCCTCTGAGGCAGAAAGAAGGCTGGGTGGGGAAGAATTGGGGACAGGCAGGGCTCTGAGATACTCAGGGGAGGATTTGGGGGCTGATGAAGAGCTCTGGCATCGGCGCTCCCCAGGAATCTGCACTTCTTTTTTTTTTTTTTCTTTTTGAGATGGAGAAACACTCTTGTTGCCCAAGCTAGAGTGCAATGGCAGGATCTTGGCTCACTGCAACCTCCACTTCCTGGGTTCAAGTGATTCTCCTGCTTCAGCCTCCCTAGTAGCTGGGATTACAGGTGTGCGAATCCATGCCCGGCTAATTTTTTGTATTTTTAGTAGAGACAGGGTTTCACCATGTTAGCTAGGCTGGTCTCGAACTCCTGAATCTGCACTTCTTAATCAACCCAGTAAACTACTCCCCAGCCCTTTACAAATAGGCTCCTGACCCACTTTGCTATGTCTCCATGACAACTCCTCATCAGTAAATCCCTGCCTTGGCCCTCAGCTCCTGACGGCTTCCCACCCTAGCTCTCTTCCTGTTCATCTGTGACCGTGGTTCCCCCAGCTCTCACTTCTGTTTACTCTGTTTCTGCTCCTTCGTCCCCTTCACTGCTTCCTTTCCGAAGATGCCCCCAAACTTTGTTCGGGAGACTTAGGAACCTGCAGTTCAGCATTAGAGGCAACAGGCACAGAGCACTAGAAGCAGGCAAGAGTCTGATGTTGCTAAAAGATAAATGCTATTTTTTTTTTTTTTGCTGTTTTTAAAAAATAATACAAAGCCTTAGAGAAATATCCTAGGCAAACTCCCAGGGGCTCAGTGCTGGGCTTGGAGCACTATTGGATATTATATTTGCACAGCCACTCGGCAGCTCCAACACAAGCATCCTCATGTCATTCTACATTCGGGCCTTAAGGCTGCAATAGATGGCCTGAGCAAGGCGGGGCCAAACCCCTTAGGCCAACTTAAAGCAAAGGCAAGTAACTGGCATTTCCCTTTTTTTCAACAGAGGATGGCGTTCAAAATGCTCTTTCTTTAGTAAACTTGTTTTCCCCCTTTTTCTGAGCCACTTGACCCCTCTCCTGGTCACTCCCATTGTCCTGTGGTTCTAAATTCTTAGCACATCTTGGACACCAGCCTGTAGCTTGAAGGATGCTCCATTTTTCATCTTGCAAACACCCTTTGCCTTGGAGCATGGCTTTGCTTGATGAATGTGCTTGCTGTTTTTCTTATAAAAGCCCCTTCTGGCTGGGTAGGAAATCACCCCTAAACGAAACCTTCAAAGCCTGTGCACATCCCACAGGTACACCGTCATGTCCCCCTAGTAGAACAACCAAACCCCTCATAATTAACCCTTCTGAAAAATATCCGGGATTTATAGTCACTGGTGCTTTCACTTACAGAGGTGATGGATGTTTTCAAGCTGATGTAAGACTGGAGGTAGCATGTTCAAAGATAAAGAGAATGAACTTGGAAGCAGATGCATCTGGTTTCAAAATCTGGTTCCATCATTTGTTGATCATGTGACCTTGAACCAGCAGCTCTCTACCCTCGGTCACACATTTCCCCATAGCAATGACCTTACAGGGTTACTGAGAGGCTGAGCACAATGTCTGTCACCTGACACAATGAATCATGGTCCACGGTCCTAACCTTTCTTCTAGTATTTCTCCAGTTGTGTTTTAATCATCAACATATTTGCCTGTAGTCCTCACAGGCTCCAGAGTTCCTTGAGGACAGGAACCACATCTTACTTGTACTCTTGGCATAGAGCCAGTGCCTGTTATGCAGTAGGTGCCTAATGAATGCAGCCTGATTTAGTGGAACACAATGGCGTCCTTTGAATCCTCCTTTGCTCCAGTCATTGTGTTCTCTTCTTCAGTAGCTCTATGTATGTGTCAGATTTTCCTAATCTGTCTTCGGTGTCTATCATTCTCTCTGTATTCATTATTTTACTTAGAGTCAACAACAAGTTTTATTATATATCTTAGATTTACACATTTCATTTTTGATTCTTTTCTTTCTTTTTTTTTTGAGGCTGAGTCTCACTCTGTTGGCCAGGATGGAGTGCAATGGCACGATCTCGGCTCACTGCAATCTCTGCCTCCAAGGTTCAAGCGATTCTCCTGCCTCAGCCTCCTGAGTAGCTCAGACTACAGGCATGCACCACCAAGCCAGGCTAATTTTTTGTATTTTTAATAGAGATGGGGTTTCACCATGTCAGCCAGGCTGGTCTCAAACTCCTGACCTCAGGTGTTCTGCCTTCCTTGGCCTCCCAAAGTGCTGAGATTACAGGTGTGAGCCACTGCACCTAGCCCATTTAATGAAAAAATTACACACACACACACATGCACACACCACACACACACACACACACACACACACACAGAGCTTTTTCCCTAGTATGTAGTTAACACTATGAACCATGATAGTGGAATAACTTCTTTTGACCTAGATAGCTGCGTTTCTGGTTGCATTTCATTACATTGAACAACTTCAGTAGATACAATATCGCTAAATGGAAAAAATGAGAATGACTTTAGAACCTGTATTTTCTTGATGTGTTTAAGACCTAAGGACCCTTTTTATCCTAACAGGGCTCCAAAGGTCATCTAAAGAAAATGAGGTTATTTATAAACTATCTGGAGCACCTGCCTAAGGACCACTGCCCATAGTTATTCAGTATCTTCAGGCCTCCCAGAATGAGGTAATGGTATCACAGATTTCTGTGAAAATGCTTTCCTCTTATCACAAGCATCTTCATTTGCAAGTTGAGTACTTGATGATGGTAAGACGATCTTGTACATGAAGTTTGCCCAACTGTATGTACATGTTGACTGAAACATGACTGGATGCTCTTATTGAGAGATCCATTTCAAAATCACCCTTTCTTTTGGAATTCTCCTCCATTAGTTCAGCGGCCAAACCAAGGCATGGAAATTCCAGGACAACAGAGAAGGCTGTGACATGCCTGGGAAATTCTTCCCTAGCTACGAGAGAAACATTTATTTTACCCATCATGTGACCCATAAGCTCTCCAAGCACCTCTGTAGCTATCAAATACTCTGGCCAGTGGGTGAGGTTCTGTAAGTACAAAGTTTCTGTAAGTGGACCCATGTTGGTGTTGTCTGAGTGGGACAGGTCATCACAGATGGGGGTCCTGAGTGTGGCCCTCATGCCACTGCTGCAGCCCACCTTGAGGGGGTCCTGAGCATGGCCCACTGGAAGCCATGCTGTGCCTGGGTTGCAGGGCAGGGCTGGTGAGGATCTTTCTCTCTTTCTTTCTTTTTTCTTTCTTTCTTTCTTTTCTTTCTTTCTTTCTTTCTTTCTTTCTTTCTTTCTTTCTTTCTTTCTTTCTTTCTTTCTTTTTCTTTCTTTCTTCCTTCCTTCCTTCCTTTCTTTCTTTTTCTTTCTCTCTCTTTCTTCCTTTCTTTCTTGCCTGCCTGCTTGCTTGCTTTCTTTTTCTTTCTTTCTTTCCTTTCTTTCTTTCTTTCTTTCTTTCTTTCTTTCTTTCTTTCTTTCTTTCCTTCTTTCTTTCTCTCTCTCTCTTTCTCTCTTTCTTTCTTTTTTTGAGACGGAGTCTTGCTCTGTCACCTAGGCTGGAGGGCAGTGGCATGATCTCGGCCCACTGCAACCTCCACTTCCTGGGTTCAAGTGATTCTCCTGCCTCAGCCTCCCGAATAGCTGCGATTACAGGCATGTGCCACCATGCCTGGCTAATTTTTGTATTTTTAGAGATGGAGTTTTGCCATGTTGGCCAGGCTGGTCTCGAACTCCTGACCTCAAGCGATCCCTCTGCCTCGGCCTCCCAAAGTGCTGGGATTATGGGGGCATGAGCCACCATGCCCGGTCAGGAGCTTTCATATTCATTTCTCTGGCTTTGCTCTTTTTTGTTTGGAGCTGAATGATTTTCTGAAGCTGATTTTCTTCTGCTTCGCTGATGGAATTTCCATTCATGCTTACTCACTGTTACTGATTTTATGGCATTCACCTCTGTAATATTTTCATTATAGTTTCTTTCATTTCTTTCTTAAGATATGCCACTCCATTTTCATCTCTCTCTCTGTAATTTTCATCAATAACTCTTCTTTGAGCCCTTTGGCTCTGAGTTTTTTGTTTTGTTTTGTGTTCAGTTTTCATGCTAGCTTCTCTGAACTTTTGTTCTGATTCTTGGGCAATTTCTTGTATAAAGTAAGTCCCTCGTCTACCTTTTGATTCTATGCATTTTCTCTCATTTCTCTTTCCTTTGGGAGGCCTGGCTCTGTGTGCTAGCTCCTGCATTTGTTTCTTGCTGGCCATTATTTATTTCTGAATAGAGCTGGCCATTTGTTGGAGTAGAAGAGGCAGCGAGCAGGACAGTCCTTTGCTTGCATTTGGATTTGTCACCCCAAATGTGTCATTTTCTTTGTCAAAGGGAGGGAAGTAAGGGCCCCTCCATTTTTAGTTGTCAAGCAAGAGTTTAGCATGGCTCTAGGAAAATCACATAAGGCCACAGGTTCTCTGTGTGCTGTGACCTGGGGATCCACCCTGCCCGGCTCCTTCCACAGGCCTCTTCATCTCAGTGGTATCTGGGAGACCAGGCGTGGACCATGGTAACGGCTTGCCAGCCTGAGGTCTCCTCGGCCCCTCTCCCTCTGCCATGCTGAATCAGGGCACTGGGTCCCTTGCAGCCAGTCTGCCGACACCTCCCCTCACACCAGTTAAAAGGTTACTGCCAGGCCTTTCAAGGAGTTTGACGCATAGCATTTGGCCTCCACGTCTCATGTAATAACAGTCTAATCCTTCCAGTACTCAGAAGTCAACCCTGATTCCTGTGTTTCTCTCATATCCCACAATGAACCCATCCACAGAGCTTGTCGGCTCCATTTCAACCTGTGTCCAGAATTTATTCCCGTCTCACCCCCTGCATTTTGACCACCCTGGGCCGTGCCATACCTGGGCCACCACCTCGTGCCTGGACAGCTGCAGTAGCCTCCTGAGTGGTCTCCCTGCTCCCTCCTTTGTCCATGAGTCTCATCATGTCACGTCATTCCACTGCATGGGAACCCTTCCAGGGCTCTCTATGTTAGTCAGGCTTATGGAGCCCTGTCCTCTCTGGAGCTTCAGTGTGACTTTGCTCTGCCCCTCCTCCTCTCCCCTTCATCTCCCCCTGCCTCCCCTCCCCTGCATCGACACCAGCCTCCTTGCTCTTCCTCGACGCTCCAGGAGCACTCCTGTCTTGCCTTGGCACAGTGGCCTCTGCTGCCTGGAAGGTGCCTCTCCCATCTGCATGGCCAACTTCCTTACCTTTTTTCAGTTGTCCTTAAATGTCATCTTCTCAGCCAGGCCTGCTGTGGCCATGTTCTGCAGTGCTTCATCTTGCCCGCACTCTCTGTGTTCTCAACTCCCTTGAACCTGCTTTAGTTTTCCTTTTGCCTTAGTTCTTACATCACATTTACTTCTTTATTATATTTGTTATCTGTTCCTCCCTTTTAACGTGTAAGCTGCATAAAGGCAGGAAAATTCTCTTGTCTACTGCAATATCACTAGGGCTGGGGGCCGAGCCTGTCACACGGTTGGCCTTAATACACATTTGTGAATGGAGGGAGGAGTGAATGAAGGAATGCATAAATGCAGAGACACGCAGGTCCTGCTCGAGGTCGAGCCTGTCCTCAGAGCCCAGCCCTGTATTTACTTCATGATATTTCAGACCTTCAGCAGAAAGAGGAGGTTGGTGCTGTGGCCTTTTCCTTGCCTGATGGAAAGGGAGACCACTTGTTTCCAGTTTTTCATCTTTTTTTTTTTCCTGTTTGTGGTGCGTTTCCACCCTTCATTGTTAGCAGACCAAAGTTAACATTAACTGGACAGCTCAGGAAAATTGTGCCCAGCCCAGAGCCCCTCTTGTCACAGGGCCTGGGCCTGTCTTGGTTCCACTTGGCTGGCATGGCCCCTGCACGTGGACACAGGAACCAGGTGCACCCGATTGAGGACCTAAGGCAGGAGGAGCAGCACAATTAAAGCCGGCGGAGTCCTTCACCAGAAGCTGCCACCCCTGACTATAGTCCCAGCTCTGAGACACCCCCAGCACATCTACTTAGTCAACTTTACGAAGTTCATTTTCCTTCTCTAGACGATGGGATCGATCAACCTAATGGACATGTTTTTATTCCCTGGTGCAGCAAGAGATATAATTTCTCTGCTACCACCAAGTCCATTTCCAACTCACTTAGGCCCCCAGCTGCCAATCTGCGGTGGAATGAGTGATGACCAATGGCTGGGGTTTGCTCATCACTCCTGACCCTCTGGGGTAGCTGCTGTCTCTCTTCTCTTCTGGATGGAATGAGCTGATCTCTTCTGAAGCCACCCAAGCCTGCCTCTCTCCTTGGATTCTCACTGGAGCCTATTAGGAAAACCAATCTGCCATCAGATGCTGGGCGTCTAATTAAGTCCCTTGGCATTCAGAGAGTGAGACTGTAGAGCCTGTTACTCTTCCATCAGTTCTCACTTGGCTGTGCTTGAGGGTGAGCCTCTAGTTCCAGTATGTGTAAAAAGCCCAGATAGCAAAGGGAGGAGACTGGGGCGAGCAGGCCAGGCCCTGGACCGCAAAATACAAGGAAGAAAGAGAATAGTCAAGCAACAAGTCTAATCTGGGCTCTGGTGGCCCAGACAGTCCAACCTTGGGTCATCCTCGAGGCCTCTTTTCCCCACCTACCCCAACGCCAGCACATCTCAAAGATTCCTGGAATCTGCTCATCTCTCCCAGTTCTATTGTCCTGTGTTACCATTTCTCCTGGACAGCCCAGCTGTTGTCCAGCTGCCCCCGCTGCCCCATTGTCTATTCTCTGCACAGCGGCCAGGATAGTCAGATCCTTCCTCTCCTTAGTGGAATCCCATTCAGTTAGAGGCGGCTTTACATGTGGCTTTAGCTTTAGGGCCCGCCATTCCCCTGACCCTTTTAAGACCCTGGGAAGGGCCCTAGCAATGTGCTTAGTGAGAATTATCAATTCAAGAATTACTTGGGGTTCACGGTTGCTCAAGAAGTTTTAAAAAGCCCTGAAATCTCATGGCTGCTATATGAAAAAACCTGGATAGTGATTTTCCCAGATTTGGCAATAGTACTAATGATATATGGGACGTCATCAATAATCAATTGCAACGATGAAAATAAAATGTTCCTAAACCATCAGTAACAAAAAATCAATTTCTATCAAACTCAGCCAGAGGAAACACTAAATAATCTTTCTTCTCTCTATGAAAAACGGTATTATGAAGTCTTTGCCACAGAAGATGTAATCCAGGAGAATGTGGCCCAAAAATGTAAGGAAAAAAAGGACTCTGGAGATGTGTCAGGAGCTAATTAAAAAACACTGTTATTTTTGTTGATTCTGTAATGTTTTTGGTAATTTTTAGCTTTTTAAAATCTGTAATGTATTGTGAATTCTTTTCTCACTCTAAATAAATGTTCAATTACATAGCTCATTTTGATTCCTAATTCTGGAATCTGGCTCTTCTTTTCTAAAAAGGATGCTCCAAATTGTATGTTTCAGGTCCCACAACATGTGAACCCGCTGTCCCTGAGGGCTTCCCACTTCACTTGGAATTAAATGTCGCATCCTCCTGTAGTCCTGCCCTGCTCACCTCCCACCCTACCTCGCTGCCCCCTCCTCTTTCTCACCGGGCTGCAGACTCCCAGGGTTTCTCCCTGGCCCTCTAACTAGTGAGCTCAGTCCTACCTTGGCAACTATGCATTTGTCCTATATCCTGCCTGGAACCTCCTCCTCCAATCTTCCCTTTCGGTCACCTGGGGTCCAGCCCAAGGCTACCTCCTCTGAGAATCCCTGCCGAATATCCCTACTTAAAGTGGAGCCTCCTGCCCACCCTGCCCCACCCTCGTCACTGCTCTATCCCTCTGTTTTGTCCACTTCACAGTGCACACTTCTATCTCCCTGAGACTAGCGTGTTTTCTCTTCAGTGCTTGTCACCTCTCTCTGCCCCAGGAAGCTGTGGTCACATGAGCCCCAGGAGTGGGTCGGGGAGGGGGGGTGGGGTGGTCATGTCTGTCTTGTCTATCATGGACTTTTTCCACATAGAATGGTGCCTGGCTCACGGTAAACACCCTGTGGATAATTGCTGAGTAGACTGTTGTTTACAGTTTGAATCGGCAACTTCTTTTTGGAAGATGTGTTGGCAATATGCTCCCAAAGCATGAAAATGTGCAAACCCTTTCACCCATGACTCCTACTTCTAGAAATTAATCCCAAGGCAATTATCAGGAAGATACACAAAAAGTGGGGATAGCCACCTGATAAAAATCATGGGAGTCAATCAAGTTGGGGTTTTAGTCTTGACTTCACCAATTAAATAGCTGCTGTGTGACCCTGAGCACGTTGCTGACATCTCTGAGTCCTGGTTTCTCATCTATAAAAGGGGATGGTAATAGGAACACAGCTCAGTGCTGACTAGTACTGTATTCCATGATGCTCACTATGGTGTTGTTTATAGTGGGATAAAATCTGAAAGAGCCTAAATATCTAACCACAGAGGAGTCCAGATCAGTGCCACCCAGTTGAAGTATAACACAACACAAACCGCAAATATAAACACATATGTAATTTTTAATTTTTCTGTATGCACATTAAAAAGTAAAAAGGAACAGGTGGAATTTATTTTAATCATATATTTTGTTTAACCCAATATATCCAAAATAGTATTTCAACTTATAATCAATATAAAAATTATTAGTGAGATATTGTACCTTCTTTTTTGTGCCAAGTCTTCAAAATCTGATTTGTATTTTATGCTTACATTTATTTCAGACTATAGAAATGACCCCGAAAGTATAGTCTTTTGTTGAGTCTCACTCCATTGCCCAGGCTAGAGGGCAGTGTGATCTCCGCTCACTGCAACCGCCGCCTCCTGGGTTCAAGTGATTCTCCTGCCTCAGCCTCCCGAGTAGCAGGGATTGCAGGCATGTGCCACCATGCCTGGCTAATTTTTGTATTTTTAATAGAGATGAGGTTTTGCTATGTGGGCCACGCTAGTTTTGAACTCCTGACCTCAGGTGATCCACCTGCCTCAGCATCCCAAAGTGTTGGGATAATAGGCGTAAGCCACAGCGCCCGGCCTGAATGTACAGTTTTTATGCTTATGTTTATTTCAATTCAGACCAGCCACATTTCCAGTGCTAAACAGCCACATGTGACTAGCAGCTACCACATTGGAGTGTGCAGGTCTAGGTAATTTATAGTGCAACTTTAAAATACAGTACAGCCATGAAAAAGCCTGGTTTCAAAAGAATATCTAATCATGCAAGAAAAAGCTCAAAAAATGAGATTCAGTGAAAAATGTAGTGTACAAAACCAGATAAAGTATGCTCCCACTTTTGTTAACGTAAATATATGCTTATGTTTATTTGAGTATGTAAATTGATGTGCATATTGCAAGGACATGCAGCAAAATCCTAACAGGGGTCGTCTGAGGAAATGGAATTATGGCAATACTCATGTTCTCCTTTACACTTTTTCACTATACTTCTGTATTGCTTTAGAATCAGGAGGAATATTGTCATTTTTAAAGTGTCCAAAGTGAGTTTAGCTATCTTGCACCATGACCTGACTGCAGTGGCCATTTGTGGATATGAGACGCTGTATTAGAGAACTGGTCCTAATTTTTCACCTTTCTCTGGACCCAAGCACTCTGCCACATGACTGCAGCTACTCCTACAGAAGGCAGAGTAAACCTCCTAGCCTCTTGACTTTGGGTTCAGCCCATGACTTCTTTCAGACAATGGTATGTGGGCAAAGGTGATCATTGTCAGTTCAGAATCTAGGCTTTAAGGTGCACTGCATGTTCCTGTGTGCCATCCTGTGCCCCTGCCATTTTCATGAGAAGAAGATGCCCTGTCTATCTCTCTGGTTCTAGGAGGGTAAGGAGTACATGGGGGCAGATTTGCATCTGATCTGAGTCTCAGAGCCACCAACCTGTGGATGTGTGAGAAATACATACTGATTGTAGCATGTTGCACCAGTGTTCGTGGTTGTTTGTTATAAAGCAATAGCTGACTAATACAGTGTTTTTGAACTCTTTTGCATATACTCAATCTAATCAAGAAGGTAAAAGTTCATTGGAATTATAAGTTAGAAAGCTGAAATCAAGATGATATTTGATGTGCTTAAATGTGTCCCAAAAAGTTCACATGTTGCAACTTAACTCCCAATGCAATAGTGTTGGGAGGTGAATCCTAATAAGAGGTGATAGAATCATAAGGGCAGAGATCTCATAAGTGGATTAATGTTGTTATCATGGAAATGGGTTTGTTATTTTGAGGGTAGGTTGTTGCAAAAGTGAGCCTGGCCCGTCATGCTCTTTCTCTCTCTCTTGCATGTATTCTTTTGTTCTTCTGCTTTCTGTTATGGGATGACACAGCATGAAGGCCCTCACCAGATGGTGGCACTATGCTCTTGGACTTTCCAGCCTCCAGCACCATAAGTAAAATACATTTCTGTTTATTATAAATTACCCAGTCTTAGGTATTATATCATAGGAATGGAAAATGGACTAAGACACAAGAACACTTTGAAAAATTCAAAAAATACAATTACCAATGATCTCCAAGGCAAAAGAAGCCCAGGCCTTACCTATGTAGCCTTGGCTCTGTTTCAGACACTCTTGATTACTAAACCTAAAGTCAAAGAAGGACAGAATTTCCTTGTTCTGAGGTATTACCCAGTCCTGAGGATGCCAATGAAAGCTCCCAAACCTCTTGATTTGAGAATATATTTTTTCCTCCTTGAAAAATTATTCATGTTCATCATAGAAAATAAAAACAAACCAAAAAAGAAAGAAAGAAAAAGACAAAAGAAAAATCACTCACAATCCCATTACCCACAGATAACTTCTATCAAACATTGGTGTGTGTGTGTGTGTGTGTGTGTGTTTGTATAATTACATTTTTCCTACAAAAAGGATAACATACTGTATAGAACACACTGTTCTATAATCTTCTGTTTACATTTACTATGGCATAAAAATCTTGCTTTGCCACTTAACATCTTCCACAGGATAATTTTGAAATGTGGAATTATTGCCTAGTTTTCATTTGAGTGGATGTAACATAAATAACTCTACCTAACTCTTGAGGTGTATAGATTATTTCCAGATTATTAGATTATTGTGTGTTGCTCTTTAGCTATTATCAGCAATATCCTATACATTAGAGCTCTGTGTGCATCCCTGATTGTTTCTAAGGATTAAATTCCTAGAGGTGGGATGTCTGGGTTGGGACACATATTTATAAAGCATCCCCTATCAGAGTGTCACATCCTCACCTGTCTGATGAGAGGGACTCGACTTCTGCATGACTGCCTTCCCCTTTCCCCAGCTTCCTATTGTATTCAAACATCCCTGGGAAGGAGAGGTCCCTGGAACTAACATTGTTCAAAGTCCTTAGCTTGACTACATCAGAACTGCCCTTCAGAAAGTAGGGCCCTGAAAGAAGCCCTGAAAGCAGGGCTGGAAAAGGTGAGCAATGAGGGTGTCAAATCTCCCTTCACCCTCACACAATCCTATACAGTGGGTCCTCTCCCTGCAGCCTTGTGGGGCAGGAGAGGAAACTGTTCCCAACGGCTGCCTGAGGTCAACTCTGCATCTGGACCCATTTCACAGCCCAGAGCCCTGGAGCTGTGGCTCTCTGTCCCTTACCTGTCATTCCTCCAGGCAACAGAGACAATAGGTTGACCACCTGTGTGCCTCCTTCCCCCTACTCAGGTGAACCCATGTCTGAGGTTCCACTGGCCACCCGTGACTCTGCCTCACTCTGGAGCACAACATGTGGAGGGAAGAGCCTGGGACCCAGGTGCACACAGGAAACCTGGGCTCGAAACTGAGCTCAGCTATTGACCCGCTGGATTTCCTCGGACATAATTTCACTTCTCCAGGTGTGACATAGACTGTTCAGCTGTTCACCAAGTATGTTTTTTTTTCCTTCCTGTGCACACAGCAAGACTATGTCCACCAGCCTCCTCTGTAGGTAGGTGGGACCGTGTGACTGTATTCCAGCCAATTGCATGCGAGCAGAAGTGACAGGTCTTGCTTCCACCTTGGGCCCTTGAGAACCTCACAGGAGGAGCTCCTTCCCTTTCTGCCAGCCCCATACAGATGAGCCAGATGACCTTGACCTCAGAAACCAGGTGTTGAAGACGGCAGAGCTGCAAGTTGGAAGGGGCATGGGTCAAAGTTTCCCCCTGCAGAGAGCCACCTACCCATCAATAAGACCTACCCTCAACTTTACATGGGAGAGAAATCAGCTTTTATCATGGCAGACCCTTAAATATTAGGGCGAAGTTTTTAGAGCTGCTAATATCATCTTTAGTATTCTGATGATATTATAACTGAGGGCTTTATTTCCTCATCTATAAATGGGAGAAAGAAAGAAGGGAGTCAGCACCCATCGAGGATCTATTCTGTGCAAAACCCCATGCTCCACACATTATACACATTTGCCCTTTAACCCCCTGCAAAATGCTACGATCTTAGGACTATTATCCCAATTTTCTGAAGCACTGACTGAGCTGGAATTCAAATGCAGGACTTCTGGACCCTGATCCCATGACAGACACAGCTTTGAGGTTCTGGAGGACCTAACACTGCGGGCTCCTGCTTCCTGCCTAGTGAGCAGAGTGGTAAAGAGCGTGCTGGCTGGAGTCCATCAGGCCAGGACCTAGGCACTCACCAGAGGAGGGCGTGGCTTATCTATGCCTCAGTATCCTCATCTGCCCAGTAGGGCTGCTGTGACAGCATCCACCACATGTGGTCATTTGAGGACGCTTTTCCTGATTAGGTTCAGGAAAAGCCTTTTTACTTCACCTCCACTGGAGATCTCCAAAGCTCTGCCTTGCTGGGGGAATTGGGAGCCCATCATCATTATTCCTTGTTACCTAGGAAGCCAAACTGCCTTTGATGTTTTATTGGCCTGACATTTTCCTTCAAAGGGTCTCTATTCACTGCTGTGAGAGTTGCTGGCTTCTACCAATTTGATGAGATGGGCATCTATCACCTCCCAAGGGGAAGTCTGACTCTAAAGGCTCTAAAATAAAAGGGGAAAAGGTTTGATTTCACTGGGGCTGGTCTTGGAGGGACTGGTCTTGGGGGCTGCTCCTGAAGTCTGTATGTAAATTCCCAGCAGAAGCAGTGGGAGGTCTGGGCTCTGCAGCCACATCTGGTGGGTGACGAAAGCTGGATGGGGAGGCTGTTCCTAGGAAGACTAATCCCGGTGCTTGGCTGTGTGTTTCTATGTGACACCACACAAGGAAGCCTAGGTTACTATGGCCCTGATCTCCCCCACCAGCTCTGGTCTCTGTGATCTGCCCCCAGCTTCCTCCCAGGATTTCATGAAACCTCAAATCTATTTGTGCAACCTCAATTCAAACAAGTCTATTAACTTTCACCCAGTGAAAGTCATTAGTTGTTGCTGGCTTTGCTGGCTCACAGCATTTTCAAGCCGGAAAAGATCTTGGATGTTTTAGGACCCTACCTCCTTCAAAGACTAAATGGCTCCTTCACTGCTTCAAGACTTCTAAAGGGCCCCCTGGCATTTAGATGGAGTCCGATCCCCTTAGCATGGCATTTGATTACTTGCTGATCCAAGGGCACACCCAGCCTTGCCTCTGTCCTGGCTCCGCCTCTGCCCTGCATGGCTCCTCACCTCTGGCTATGATAGAAATTGTCTCAGTATATTAGGCACCTCCTCAGGTCTGGGCGTTTGTACCTGTGTCTTCTCTGTCTGGAATACTCTTCCTCTCTCCCACCTGGTGAAATTTTCGGCACCCACCAGAGACTAGCTCAGGTGTCACCTCCTGCTTGAAGCTTTCCCTGATCCTACCAGGAGGAAGTAGCTGCTCTGCCTTCCATGCCGTAGACACCTCTGCCAGAATAGTGACTCCTGGTGCTTCGTTGGCTGCTTGTCTTCGTCAGCGTAGACAGCCAGAACAAAATCCCATAGCAGAACAAAATCCCACAGCCTGTGTGGTTTAAACCACAGAAACTTATTTTCTCACAGTTCTGGAAGCTGGAAGTCCAAGATCAAGGTGCCAGCAGGATCAGTGTGTGGTGAGGGCTATCTGCTTGGGTTGCAGACACCTGCCTATTTGCTATGTCCTCACAAGGCCTTTCCCAGGTGTCTACACGTGTAGACAGAGGGGGAGATCTCACTCTTTTCTCCTCCTATAAGGCCACCAATCCAATAGGGATTAGGGCCCTGCCCTTGTGACCTCATTTCACCCTAATTACCTCCTAAAAGCCCTAACTCCAAATACAGTCACACTGGGGGTTAGGACTTCAATACATGAATTTTGGGAGGACACAATTTAGCCCACAGAAATAGCGCGCCCTTTAAATTGGGGGCTGCTTTTTAGTTTTGTGTTCCTAGGAGAAGCTTCTATCCTAGGACAAGTAGAAGAGCCCAGCACAGGGAAGCATTGAGTAACCAAGTCATCAGACAACTGAGCTGAGTACAGAACAACAGACTGAAGACTTTTGAAGACAGAAACTTCTATGAAAAGGAAGCTTTTCAGTTTCTAGAAACAGAAAACAAAACACAAACTCCCCAAAACAATAGAGGGAGTTTACTGACCAACGGAACTAAAAAGTTCCAGATGTGGGCTTCAGGAGTGGTTTGATCAGGGTGTCAGGTTCACTTCTTGATAGTTTTCTCTACTATACCCACCTTCATGTATTGATTTTGGTCTCAGGCTGGCTTTATTCATGGTGATAAAGTGGCTGCATTAAGTTTCAGTTCAAGATCCTTATCCCAACCATTCAGAAAGACAGAGACATCTACGTCACAGAATTCTCAGCAAAAATCCTAGAGTTTGTACTGATTGAACCAGTTACTGTGGCAAGAGGAATGTGATTCCCTGAGTATCTTAGACAAATCATGTCCCACCTAGTTTTTTGGATGGTCACTCTCAATGAATTCTCAAGGCTGTACATAATGGAGTACTGAAAAACATGAATTTTAGTATTCTTCTCTCCCTCCCTTCCTTCCTTTCCTTCCCTTCCTTCCCTTCTTTCCTCCCTCTCCTCCCCTCCACTTCCCCTTCCCCTTCCTTCCTTCCTTCTCCTTTTCCCTTCCCCTTCCTTCTTCCTCCCCTTCCGCTTCCCCTTCCCCCTCCCCTTCCTCTCCCCTTCCCTCCCCTTCCCCTTCCTTTCTTCCTTCTCCCTTTCCCTTCTCCTTCCTTCTTTCTCCCCTTCCCCTTCCCCTTCCCCCTCCCCTCCCCTCCCCTTCCCTTCCTTCTTTCCTCTCTTCCTTTCACAAATTATATACAGTTATTATTATTATTATAATTTTTGAGACAGAGTCTTGCTCTGTCACCCAGGCTGGAGTGCAGTGGTGCGATCTCAGCTCACTGCAAGCTGTGCCTCCCAGGTTCACGCCGTTCTCCTGCCTCAGCCTCCCGAGTAGCCAGGACTACAGGCGCCTGCCACCACGCCTGGCTAATTTTTTGTATTTTTAGTAGCAGACGAGGTTTCACCGTGTTAACCAGGATGGTCTTGATCTCCTGACCTCGTGATCCGCCTCAGACTCCCAAAGTGCTGGGATTACAGGCGTGAGCCACCTCGCCCAGCCTGTATACAGTTATTATAAGTCAGACTCTGTACTAGGTGTTGAGTGCATATATGAGATTAGGACAAGATTGCAATCTCAAGCTGTTGAGAATCCTACTTAAAAGGATTTTGAAAATTATCCAGAAGGCAATGAGGAACCATAATGGGATTGTAAGAAGGTGAATGACTATGTTAATTATCTATTGCCGCGTAACACACAACCTCAGAATTTAACATCTTAAAACAACAAACATTATCTCACAGTCTCTGTGGTGCAGGGATCTGGGCAGAGCTTACCTGGGTGCCTGAAGCTCCAGGTCTCTCACGTGGCTGCAACAGAGGCAGTAGCCAGGACTGTGGTCATCTCAGGGCTGACTCTGGGAGCATCTACTTTGCAGTCTACACAGGTGGTCTCTCCACAGTGCTGTCTTGCAACATGGCACCTGGCTGATCCGATGATGAGCAATCCAAGAGCTTGAGAAAGAGCACGTGAACGGAAGCCACAGTCTTTTATAATCTAGTATTGGAAGGAAATCCCATCTTTTCTGGAATGTTCTATTTGACACAAGGGAGGCAATATGTCCAGCCTGCACTCAAGGAGAGGAAATTATACAGAAGTATGCAAGCAGGAGGTGAGCATTGTTGGGACCATCAGAAAGTCTGCTTGAAAATAAAATAAAGCAACGATTTACCTGCAGCTCAACATTGCAGAGTGATGCCAGCACCAATGTCATAGCCTGCAATGGCATAATAAGGGCAATGATTAGTAAGGGAGGGTTTAGGGGTTGAAAGGAGAAAATCTTGTTGGACTGGACGGACTCATTTATTCATTCAACAAACATTTGCTGAGCTCCCACTGTGGACCGGGACTGTGCTAGGTGCTGGGGATGCTGCCACAACTGAGACAGATCCCCCGTGTCTCCTCTTGTGAACATCAGTGTGTGGGAAGAAAGGTTGAATGAGTGGTCATGTACTCCTTGAATGTCAAAGAAAAGGGCAAGGGTTAAGTCTGTGAATAACACACCTCTATCCTTCCAAATGGGTCTGGGGGATTCAGGGAAGGCTTCCTGGAAGAAGGCACATTTCAACTGAGCCCTGATGGATGAGGAGGAGTCAGGGGAAGGGTTGGACGGAGAGCATTCCAGGGGGAGTGTCAGTTTAGGCCCCCTTGGGGGTGGGTCTCCCTCCTCCACTTATCCACACCCCTTTCTCCATCTCTGTTTCTTCTCCTGGCTCAATCTTGGCCCCACCACTGCCCATGTTTGGCCTGTGTATTAGTCCATTTTCACACTACTGATAAAGACACACTTGAGACTGGGAAATTTACAAAAGAAAGAGGCTTAATAAACTTACAGTTCCACGTGGCTGAGGAGGCCTCACAATCATGATGAAAGATGAAAGATGAAAAGCACATCTCACATGGTGGCAGACAAGGGAAGAGAGCTTCGGCCGGGCACAGTGGCTCATGCCTGTAATCCCAGCACTTTGGGAGGATGAGGTGGGTGGATCACTTGGGGTCAGGAGTTCAAGACCACCCTGACCAACATGGTGAAACCCCGTCTCTACCAAAAATACAAAATATTAGCCGGGTGTGCTGGTGGGCACCTGTAATCCCAGATACTTGGGAGGCTGAGGGTGGAGAATTGCTTGAACCTGGGAGGCGGCGGTTGCCCTGAGCTGAGATCACACCACTGCCCTCCAGCCTGGATGACAGAGCAAGACTCCGTCTCAAAAAAAAAAAAAAGAAAGAAAGAAAAAAGAGCTTGTCAGGGAAACTCCACTTTTTAAAGCCATCAGATCTTGTAAGACTTATTCACTATCATGAGAACAGCACAGGAAAAACCTGCCACCATGATTTAATTACCTCCCACTGGGTCCCTCCCACAACATGTAGGAATTCAAGATGAGATTTGGGTAGGGACACAGCCAAACAATATCATCCTGCCATGCCATCTGTCATTCAAATGCCTGTTCCTCTTTGTCCTTCAGGTCTCAGCTTGAAGGTCACTTCTCAGAGAGAATTTCCCTGTCCCCACATTCTAAGGTGGTGTCTGTCTAACCCCCACTGTGAGTCAATCCCCATAGTGTCACCTAGTTTTCCTTTCTTCCCTGCACCTGTCTCTACCGGGAACAGTCTTGTTGATGCATTGTTTACCTGTGTCTTCCTCTCCACTCCATAATGTCTGCTCCTGAGGGCAAGAACCTTGTCTGTTCATTGCTGCACCCCTAGGCCTGCACACAGTAGGGCCTCAGTGAACCTTGGTGGAATGAATGAGCCTTCCTGAAGATCCCAGCTTCTCTCTTTGAGGCCTCTGACAGGAGAGACACTTGGGCGTGCCATGAATTCAATGCTTGTGTTCCCCCAAAATTCTTATGTTGAAACCTCATCCCCAAGGAGATGGTATTTGGATGTGGGACATTTGGAAGTGACCCAAAGGTTGAATCCTCATGGAAGGGATTAGTGTCCTTATAACAGTGGCTCCCAAGAGCTCTCTGGGCCCTTCTGCCATGTGAGGACACAGGGAGAAGGGCCACCTCTGAACCAGAAGCAGGTCATTACCAAACCCTAAGTCCCAACTGGCACTTTTCAGCCCCAAGAACTGTGAGAAGTGCATGTTTGTCGTTTAAGCCCCAGTCTATGGTATTTTGCTATGGCAGCCCAAACAGGCTATGACAGATGGCTACCCCAGGGTGACCGGCGTCCTGAGCAGTGTTAAGCCCCCAGCAGGGTGACTCCACCCCACCCAGACCCTCCCCTTGGCTGCCCACGCTGGCCTTCCCTACGGGGCAGCACGAGGAGCTCAGAGCTCCAGGCTGGACCCAGCCAGGCCGCTCCCGTGTGAGGCTTTATGGCTCCTCTCCGGGTTCCTGATATCAGACACATTTTGAGAGTTTGGAGAAGGAGCATTAAAGCCAGTCAAGTGGATAATTCATATTTTTTAAAAATGGGCCAAACATGGGTTTACACAATGGCCTATGACAAACGCAGCTTCAGGGGATGATCTCGCAGGAAACGTCCATTTTTCCAAAGGGCACCACCGCCCTGGGAGAAATAATGAGTGCTTTTTTGGGATTCTGATCATTCCCAGGTGCTGACAGGCCAAAGCGCCGAGAACGGCTGAGGCTCAGTGCTCACGCGTGCACCCAGCAGAGTCTATTCTTGGGTGTCTCGGCTAAGCATCCAGCTCCCGGGTTGGCCTGTCCTGTCCAGGGTACAACCTGGCAGTTCCTGCCTCCCTCCTGCTGACATGTGCCCCATCTCCACTGAGGTCTCTGTGACAGCTCCTAGGCGATCCCACCTCTTGTCACCCCTGGACGCTCAGCACCTGGTCTGCTGCCAGCTCAGAGAAGACAACAGAGGCTATGGAGCCAGACAGACCAGGGTGTGAGACCTTGTTCAGGAAGAGGTGACGAAGGACCAGCTGCATTGCTGCTCGGCTCTGCAGGGATGCTACCAGGGGCATGTGTACGTGTGAAGCAATTGGATGGCTGCTGTTTTAGATACAGGCTTCATGGCTGGGGACTGTATGGCTTCCCAAAGTCCCCACTAAAGCAATAGTGCTCAGTCTTTTTGGCACCAGGGACCGGTTTGTGGAAGACAATTTTTCCACAGACGGGGGTGGGGAGTTTGGTTCTGGGATGATTCAAGTGCATTACATTTATTGTGCACTTTATTTCTTCTATTAGTACATTATAATATATAATGAAATAATTATATAACTCACCATAATGTAGAATCAGTGGGAGCCCTGAGCTTGTTTTCCTACAACTAGATGGCCCCATCTGGGGGTGATGGGAGACAGTGGCAGATCATCAGGCACTAGATTCTCATAAGAAGTGCACAACCTAGATCCCTCACTCCTGTAGTTCACAGTAGGGTTTGCACTCCTATGAGAATCTAATGCCACCATTGATCTAACAGGAGGTGGAGCTCAGGCAGTAATGTGAACAATGGGGAGCAGCTGTAAATACAGATGGAGCCTCTCTCACTCATGCTTGCCCACCACTCACCTCCTGCTATGTGGCTGTTACTAATGTGGCCTGGGGTTTGGGGGCCCCTGCACTAAAGGACATCACAAGAGGCTCATGGCTCTCATTCATGCCCCTGCGCTGGTCCTGCCTTCCCAGTCCCTGGCAGGCCCAGTGCCCAGGGCTCCCTCTCCAGCATCCTGGCATGCTAGTCTCCTGGCATCCCATCACTAGCTCAGAGCTTGGATCCTGGCCCTACAGCCTCCCTGGTCTGGGGCCACAGGATCCTACGCAAGCTCAATTGTTCTGGCTGTTGGTCCTGCCTGACCTGGGCCCCATCCTTCTGCACTGCCTCCATCTTAAACCAAATCCCATCAAACTCTATGGAACCCTGCAGTAGCCCCAATATGTTCCCCATTAATTCTCACCCCATTTCCTGTCCCTCCTCCATGGCAGGCAGGGACATCTTAGCAAACTTTGGAT
Source organism: Homo sapiens (assembly GCF_000001405.40). Taxonomy (NCBI): domain Eukaryota; kingdom Metazoa; phylum Chordata; class Mammalia; order Primates; family Hominidae; genus Homo; species Homo sapiens. The sequence goes on from NC_000001.11 coordinate 29,922,224, forward strand.
CCAAACTAAGCCCTGCTCCTGTTTTAAATTCCTAGTGTTTTAAAACAAAATCTGAATTCCTCATCATGGAGTGAAAACCACGGCACTGGCAGGGAGCAGATGGCCCACGTGGGAAGAACTGAAAGGAGTGGAATGGAGGGAGGGTTCTCCAAGGTGTGGCAGGCATACAGGAAGCCAGCAGGGATGGTGAGACCCCTGGGGCCAGCAACAGTGGGAGGCTGTTTTAATCTTAGTACTGAAGGGACCAAAGGAGGAAGCTGTCACCAGACCCCAGAGAGAACTGCAGCCTTGGGAAAGGAGCCATGTGATGGAGCTGGGGCCATGGGAGAGAAATGCAGCCATTGCTGCTGTGGCTCAGAGGGAGGGAGCCGGGAAATAAGCACTCGTCCTCTCTCTACTCCCGTACCTTGGTCTCCTCTGGTGCTTCCAGAACGCACAGAAGCTGGGGCACAGGAGGGCACAAGAGCCCTGTTGATGCCGTCCATGCAAGTCAGTCTTCTGGCAGGAGGCTGAGGATGGGTCTGGAGGGCACTCAGAGGATGGCAGCACATGTAGCCCCAAGGCCCACCGGATCTGTCCCTGCCTGCCCCTCTGACCTTATCTCCTGCCCTCTGCCTTTCTTACTGTTTCCACTACACTGACCTCTGCTCAGTAATATGGTTTGGGTGTGTGACCCCACCCAAATCTCCTGTTGAATTGTAATCCCCAGTGTTGGAAGTGGTGCCTGGTGGGAGGTGATTGGATCATGAGGGTAGTTCTCATGAATGGTTTAGTACCACCCCCCTTGGTACTGTATAGTGAGTGAGTTCTCAGGAGATCTGGTTGTTTGAAAGTGTGTAGCAACTCCCGCCTTGCCCTCTCCTCCTCCAGCTCTGGCCATGTAAGATGCGCCCGCTTCCCCTTTGCCTTCTGCCATGATTGTAAGTTTCCTGAGGCCTCCCCAGAAGCAGAAGCCTCCATGCTTCCTGTACAGCCTGTGGAACCGTGAGCCAATTAAACCTTTTTTCTTTATAAATTACCCAGCCTCAAGTATTTCTTTATAGCAATGTAAGAACAGGCTAACACACTCAGTTTCTCAAATGCATGGAATCCATTCCTGCCGCAGGGCCTTTGCACCTGCCTTTTCCTCTCCCTGGGAGGCTCTTCTTCCTCATCCTCTCACGGCATTGAGATCTCAGCACAAATGTCACTTCCTCCTAGTGGCTCTGCAGACACCCATCCAGCTGTGTCCCCACATCCCCCACTATCACTTCTGTCACATTGTGCTCCTTTATTTGCATGTAGCATGGATCTCCATCTGATATTTGTGATTTACTTCTTTGTCCAGGTTACAATGTCAGCCTCCCCCTGTCCCCAAGGCAGGGGCCGTGCCTTGATTATTCCCCTCTACATTCCTCAGCACCAACAGGACACACCAGCTGCTTAAAGATTGCTTGTAGAGTGACTCTGTGATCACAGGCAGTAGGTCAGTGTTATGAGCCCAGCCTCTGAAGCAACACTGAGTTTGAAACCTGGCTTTGACATTGGGCAAATAACTCAACTCCTGTGGGTCTCAGCTTCCTCCTCTTTGAAATGGGGACAATAACTATGGAATTAAATGAGTAAACGTGGGAAACATTTCCACACCTGGCTCCTAGCAGGTGCTAATGAAGCACTTACTATTATTCTTGTTGTTGATGTTGGGGAGCATCAAGCCCCCAGGAAGGGCTCCCTCCTTTAATTCCATGGGGGCTGAGCTGCTGCTTCTCTCCTGAGACTCTAGTCTGTGTCTCCTTCAGCCCCTCAAGCATGCTCTGACCACCCACCATTCCCACTCAATGCTTTCCCTTCCTCTCCCCTCCTCCACAAATGCCTCCTCAGTTCAACCGTCACCTCCTCAGGGAAGCCTCCCAGGATCTCACCTGGGACCAGATCAAACCAAGTTATCCATCTCCTCCCTGGCTGCCTGCTGGGGTAATTCATTTCACTGTAATTAACAAGACAGTGTCTGAGTCCCCCTGCCAGGATCCGTTTGTCTGGTTTCCTGCTGTAGTCCCAATGCCTGGCTCTTTTTGGCATTCAATCAATATTGCAACTTCCTGGCCTCTGAGTCCTTCCAGGTCCCCACTCCCCCACTCCAGCCAGGTGTTCAGCTCCTTTTGTGGGTCAGGCTTATCTATGATGGAGGTGGAGGAGTTCCTGAGCAGGAGGGCTAGCAGGCTTTTGGCTCAGGGTCAAGATGCCTCCTCACAGCTGGTAACACAGCCTGGGCCTGCCTGGCCCTGCCTAGTTACTGGCCTGGCTTCCATCCCCTGGTTACGCTGACCTTTTTGTCCAAGCCTCAGTTTCCCCCTCCCTCCTTCCCTCCTTCCCTCCCTCCCTCCCTCCTTCCCTCCCTCCCTCCCTCCTTCCCTCAGCATTTACTGAGCCCCTCCTCTGGACTGGACACTGAGGCTGTAATTTGCTACTCTTGACCTCAGGGCCTCTCAGCCTCCTAGAGGTGGGAAGTGCTGTGAGAGTATTGAGAAGGGGACACAGAAGGAAAGCCAGGGAGGCCCTAACCCAGCCTCCTGGGTTTCTGGGGAGTGGTCAGGGAAGGCTTCCCAGGAGAGGCATCCCCTGAGCTGAGTTTTGAAGGATACAAAAGAGCTGGCCAGGGGAATTTGAGGGAGAAGCATTCCTGGTGGAGAACAGTGCACACCTGTGTATCCCGTGGTGAGAGAAAGGTGGGTACCTTCTGGGAGCCCCATAGCAGACAGGTGGGGAGATGTGGAGGGAGGTGAAACTAGAGACTCAGTGTGGCAGATTGCAACAGGGCCACAAATTCCTCCTACCTCTGAAGCCATGCCCTTTGCTCTAGGACGTTGCTGTTTCTCCACACCTTGAATCTGGACTTGGCCTGGCTGACTTGCTTTTGCAAAAAGGGGCATCAATAAACACAAACAGCAGGTTGAAAAGCCCTAGCCCTTTCCAGTACTGGGAACGCTGCAGGCACCACCACGTGGATAAGTCTGAGCTGGTCTCTTGGAGGATGAGAGACCATGTGGAGTGAGGCCTCAGCCATCAAGTCCTCCCCGCTGTCCCAGCTGAGACCCAGACAGGTGAATGAGGCCACCTGAGACCATCCAGCCCCAGTAGAGCCTGTCGAGACAGGAAGAACTGCCCAACCAACCCATGGAATCATGAGACATAATAAACGTTTGCTGGTGGAAGCCACTGTATTTTGGGATGGTCTGTTATGCAGCAGAAGCTAACTGATACGTGGGAGGATGGACTCCATCAGTGAGGGGTCTTTTGTGCTTGGCTGGGGAGTCTGAAGTTTATCACTGTGACTATGAGAATAGACTGTGGGACACAGGATGAAATCCTGGCTCTGCCACTTATTCACTGCGGGACCTTGGGAAGTTCACTTTACCTTTCTGTATCTCTCATTTTTCATAAGCTACAGAGGGACAAAAATACCTCGAAGGACACTAAGAGTAGTGCATGTGTAAACAAACACGAAGTGCTGAGAGTATTACCTGGCACATGGTAACAGCCCAGGAAATCTGCCTTTGTATCATCAAATTCATGTTGTGACATCCCCCCTCGAGCTTGGCTTGCATCGGCTGACTCAGCACGCCGCTCTTGACTGACATGACACCTGACCTGGGCTTTTGTCTCTGCCGATAGGGTGTCCAACCACCCCAGTGTGCCCAGGACTGTCCTGGTTTTAGCACTCATAGTCCCCTGCCCCAGGAAGTCCCCTGGTAGTCCCAGGTACTTGGTCACTCTACCTGCCAGGCAACCCCTAGGTCTAAAGAAATTTCCAGTCCCAGCCCACCCAACTGCCCTAAGACGGCAGAGTCTCCTCTCCCTCACATGGCTGAGACCCTCTTGGTTTTAAAATAAGAAACACGTGCAACATGCACAGGGCTCTGAAGGAACAGCATTCTGCATGCACGTGAGGCAGTAGCCATATTGTTAGGTTGTTCTCAAAACACCTGGGGGCCTTTGGGTAATGACTGTGTCTAAATGGGGCATTGGAGCAATTGTCAATGACACCAGTGTTTCTACGACAGGCTGTTTGGCTTTATGAGAAGTTAATAAAGCATTGAGCCGACTCCTGCAATGAACACCTCCTGGTCTGTTCTCAGACAGAGGCATCAAGACCCTTTGTTTTTGCCTCCCCCACGCCAGCTTCAGAGCTTGGGGATTCCAAGGCCTGGGGGCTGGTCCCTCTTGGGGACTTGAGAAAGGGGAATGTAGGGGTTACTAGTGCCCCTGGGAGGAGTGAGGTGAGTGATGTGAGAAACAGGGGATGTGATTATGTCACGTCTTTATAAAGGATTCCCCACATCTCTCTAGTATTTGTGTTTAAAGGGGGTTAGAGACAGACCTGTTCTGACAGCCCAAAGGAAGTCTCCCCCCTGGAGGTTCAGGGGAGAGCACAGAATAGGCTGCAGAGCCTGCTCTGGTCTGAACTAAAAGGTAAAAGGGACTGAGAGGCTCAGAATGGACATGGCCCCCTTTTCCAGGGCAGGAGGCCCACCAGGCCACCTGGCTGGCCCCTGTGACCTCCTAGAAGATGAGCCTGGAATGACCCGTGTGTGCAGATGTCCTGAGGAGGCACACAGGCCAAAAGCTGGGATGATAATAGCAGACCAGGAGCACTAACAGCCAGACCCCTTCATTAGATGCCAGCCACGAGGGTGTGCCACACAGAGCAGGCCACACTGGCAGTCTTCCCCTTCATCAGGTGCCCTTTGCCCGAAGCCCTGGGGGAGGGGCAACACTGCTCCCTAGGTGGCATCTTGCTGCCCCCAGCCCACCACCTGCACCAGGGCCAAGGGGGCACCATCTCTGCCTACGTGTGACCCATCCACAGCACCAGGGCTGGGCAGTGCTGGGGGCAGGGAGGTGAAGAGGATAGGCAGGCCACACGGCAGCCTGGCTGGGTGTGAATCCTAGTAATTTCCTGACCAGCTGTGTGGCCTCGGGGAAGTAACTCCGTTTCTTGTTCGTCAGTTTCCTCATCTGTGAAATGGGAACAATCACGGTCCCACTCATCAGAGGATACTGTGAGGATAAAATGTATTGACACCAGTAAGGAGCTATGAGCAGGTGAGTCCCCCTTAACCCTTCAGATAAGAGGCTGGGAAGGAAAACGATCTGACAAACTCATTCTTGCTGACAGACAGTGCAATAATAAACTTCATCTGTTGGTGTAAAGAGCTGGAAAGCCCTGTGTCCATTTTTGCCATGTGGCACTATCCTCCCTCTGGCCATAATCATTACATTACTTTCACATGCAAATATCCTCAGGATCTCCCAAATCTCACCCAATTACAGCATAAGCCAGGATGTCCTGGATCTCATGATCAAATCAGGTCCTTAGGTGGCTGAGGATCCCTGAGCATGACTCTCTCAATCAAGAGATCCAGAAACTAAAATGACAAGAGAATGGTCCATATCATCTTGGAACCCTGGTGGGCAAATATTGCCAGGTTCTGCCACTGCAGAGACAGGGATGCCCGTGACTGGGGCCCAGGTCTGCCTTCTGGGAGTACATTGTTCTCCATGGTCTTGTCCCCCTCCTTGGGCTCTTGGCTCCACTTCCCCTCCCCACCCTCTGTAAATATAATAAAATTTCTTATAAGGAATTAGCTCAGGCCAGGCACAGTGGCTCATGCCTGTAATCCCAGCACTTTGAGAGGCAGAGGCGGGTGGATCACTTGAGGTCAGGAGTTTGAGACCAGCTTGGCCAACATGGTGAAACCCTGTCTCTACAAAAAATACAAAAATCAGCTGGACGTGGTGGTGCATGCCTGTAATCCCAGCTACTTGGGAGGCTGAGGCAGGAAGATAGTTTGAACCTGGGAGGCGGAAGTTGCAGTAAGCCAAGATCGTTTCACTGCACTCCAGCCTGGGTGACAGAGCAAGCCTCCATCTCAAAAATAAATAAATAATAAAGTAATTAGCTCAGATGATGATGATGATGAAGGCTGAGAAGTCCCCAAATTTGCTATCTACAAACTGGAGACCCAAGAAAGCTGATGGCATAGTGTAAAGGCCTGAGAGCTAAAGTGGTAACAGTGTAGACTCTAGTCCAAGTCTGAAGCCCTGAGAACTAGAAATGCTAAGGGCAAGAGATTGATGTCCCATCGCAGGCAGTCAGGCAGAGAGTGAATTCAACCTTCCTCTGCCTTTTTATTCTGTTCAGGCCCTAAAGGGATTAGACAATGCCCACCTACATCAAGGAGGGCCATCTGCCCTACTCAGTTCACCAATTCAAATAGCAATCTCTCCCAGAAACACCCTCACGGACACACGCGAATATAATGTTTAAGCAGACACCTGGGCATCCCCTGGCCAGTCAAGCTGACACATAAAATTAACTATCACAGACATTTTGACCATTCTTTCTGAAAATCGTTTTGCCAAGGTCTGCGGGTTCATTCCACATACTTTCCATCTTCCAAAGTACTGTCCATTGCTCTGCAACTACATCACATGAGTCTTTATTTTTCAAACTTGCTGTAGGAGCTTCCTCTCTGCCTTTCCCACCTCCCCTAACAGTTTTCTTACCATTTTTTCTCTAGGCTTTGCTCACAGATTTCTTGCCATGTTTCTATCTGTGCGCAGTGCCAATTTTCCTTCATTCTATTGATCAACCGAGTCACAAGGTCAGCCTGTGTTTCAGGTGAGTGGCGGCTGCCACCTGAGGAGAAGAGTCACCAATGACTATGGCTGGATCTGCCCTTTTCATACCCAAGGAATCCATGGTCAACACTGCTCAGCGCATTTTAAAAAAATTTGATGCATCAAGCGCTGATTGCCATCAATGTGTCTTGCAGCTCCTGAAACCACTGGAGGGTTTTGTTTGTTTTGCTTTGTTTTTTGTTTTTTTTTTTTTGTTGTTTTTTTGGGACAGAGTCTTGCTCCATCACCCAGGCTGGAGTGCAGTGGTGCGATCTCGGCTCACTGAAACCTCTGCCTCCCAGGTTCAAGCAATTCTCCAGTCTCAGCCTCCCGAGTAGCTGGTACTATAGGCGTGCACCACCATGCCTGGCTAACTTTTGTATTTTCAGTAGAGGCGGGGTTTCACCATATTGATTAGGCTGGTCTTGAACTTCTGACCTTGTGATCCGCCCGTCTCAGCCTCCCAAAGCACTGGGATTACAGGCATGAGCCACCGCACCCGGCCTGGAGGTTGTTTTTAGCCATGCGAGGCTAAAAATCACTGAGCTGCAGAGACCTGGACACCAGGTTCCAGACCCCAGTCTCCTAGTGGGTTGAGGGGTATTCCAACGGGAGTCACTGCTTCTCCCTTCTTCACCTTTGAGCATGCACTCATTGAGTACTTGGAGCCAGGAATCCTGTTAGTCATAGGTGGAAAGAAAAACTAAGTTGTGGTTCCGACTTGCCAAAGATTGTGGCAGAAAGTGGTAGTTTCAATTCAATTGTAGCCTCAGGGACACAACCTATTTTTCCTCCCGTGCCTGTTTTACTTTTAATTTTTAAATACAACTGCTATCCATTATCCTACTCACTGAAATTAACAATAAGTCCTGAGTATCTGCAAGTATGCAGACAATATTCAATTTTCCTATGGTTTCATAGACGTTTTGTTTTTGTCTTTGTTTCATAATTTGTTTGACTAAGGATTCAAATGGATTTGACACATGTGATTGGTTGATAAATCTATGTCTCTTTAAATTGAGAGTTTCTCCTTCACGCTTTATGTGCTCTTACAATTTATTTGCAGAAGAAACTGGGTCGTTTGTTCTATAATTTTCAGAACAACCCTTTGAAGCAGCTACTTAAGGTTCACAATCCCTACCCTAACCCAGGGCAAACCCTAGCAATGGAACCCAGCAATACTTCTTCAGCATTGAGTGGTTTAAATATAGACTATAAATAGCCTCAGATCAGCGTTGGTCAGTTTTTGCCATCAAAGTAGTTCTAAAGCCAAATTAAAGGAAAAACAAAACCCAACTTTCTCTTGGGGGACTTTGGGGATTTGGGAGTTGCAGGTAAAGGACTGGGAACCCAAATTACCCAAATGTGCAGTTGAGGAGACTGAGGCACCAAGAGGAGAAGGGTTCTCTGAGGCTGAGGTCACCTGGCTAGCAAGGGCAAGATGTGGGATTCACAGCCAAGGATTCCAGTGCACATCCAGGTTCTAAACTCCTGTGCTGAACTGCCTCCCTGCCACCTGCTAGGTCCTGGGTATAGACAGATGGGGCTCTGATCCTGCCTGGGCCTCTTGTCAGCTGAATGTGATCTAGGCTGGGGATCCTGTTGAGCCCCCACTTTCCTTGTCTACAAGGTGGGAGTAGGGCTGCCTGTCCCTGGACTGCTGTCAGGGAGGATGCTGTCTTGGAAGCAGTGGGAAAGGCGGATGCATGGTAGAAATCCTCCAGTTGGGCCCAATCCTACCACTTGTAGGGCAAGAGTGTGTGTGGTCCTCCTTGTCCCCCTCCTCTGCCCACCCCCAGCTCTGTCCTCAACCACTGGAGCCTGGCTCCCATGGGATGACACAACCTGCAGGTCTAAGAACTATCCATCCATTCCACCCTCTCCCTACAGCTGTCCCTGGACCCACCTTGTGGCCTAGGGCTGCTCACGTAGGCAGTGCGGGTTGTTCTTGGGAGAAGGAACATGACAGAGGCTTGCACAGGATCTGAAGTGGGCTTGGAGCATCCAAGAATCCCAAGGCCCTGGGCAGGCAGAGCAGGGCATAGGAAGGGAGATGCAGGTTCCAAGCACTGTGTCCTCTGTGGAGTCCTCAGGTCAAGGGGCTGTAGGCAGCCAGAGGGTGGCTGGAGTGGGTCCCTCTAAGGTGGGAATTCAGGGCAGGGGCCCTTTTTAGAGGGAGTGGGGCTAAAGGCAGGGCCGCTGTACATGCTTTTCCCCCTCTATCCCCCTCCCCTCCCCTCGGGACATCCAGAGCTGCCCATCTTCTCTCCCTCACCCCACTGCCCAACTCAGCTCAACCCCACCCCAGTCCTTACCTGCCTGCCCCTGCCCCTCTCAGCCCCCAGGCCACTTGGCTCTGCTCAGTGGGTGCACGGCTGGGGGAGCTTTATAGAAACCTCTAAAAATGAATTTTCCCTGCGTGTCAATCCTTCATCTTCTCACTGCACTACTCTCTGAGCATTTTATAGCACAGAAAAAGAGAAAGAAAAAGTCACCCTGGCATTTATTGAGATAAATAGCAAGAGTCTGTGAGGCTGAATTGTTAAAAATGCATCTTCACCTGTGCCAATGACAAGAATGCAGCTGATAAGTCCTGTCTCCTTTGTCTTCCCGAAGTGTCTCTGCACAGAGAGGGGGCTTTGTTCCCACCTCCTCCGACAATCTGGCATTCAGGCTGTGGGAATCTCTGAGACGCAGCAGTTCCACAGGAACCAACCTCGAAACACCTTTCCCATTTGGCTCTGCGCAGTGCACTGGAACCCTTCTGATTGATTTCTCATTGTTGTCTCTCCTGGGAGAGAGTGGAGGCGGTGATGCTTGCTGGCAGCCTGCTGCATTTCAGCATTTGCCTGTTCAGTGAGTTTGCTGCTATGGGGTCACACCTCCCCAATGCAGATTAGCCTAAAACAAGAAGCACTGATTTCACTTTCAAGTCTGGGAGCCCGGGACCGCCTTGCTCATGTATCTGCAGATGCTTAGTGGGTAGGCTTAGCTGGTTTGACTGGGCTTTTTCCTGAGTCTGGGGCCTTGGCTGTTACGGGGTTGACCGGTATGGCTCTGGTCCTCATGGCCTGCCCTAGGCTGGCCATATTTGCATGAGATTACAAAGTGCTTGGAGGGTGAGGGGAAGGTACATAGCTTCTTGAGCTCTAGGTGCAGAACTGGCATGACGTCGCTTTTGACACATTCTTTTGGCCAGAGCAAGCTACAAGACCAGCCCAGATTTAAGGAATAGAGAAGAAGACTCCAAATTCCAATGTGGGAGATGCGAAGTCACATTGTGAAGGGCCAGACAAGGGGGGTGGGTAATTACAGACATTTTTACAAACAATATACCTCATTTGCTTTATTTCACTGAATCCTTGAAGCCACCCTGTGAGGGAGGAGTTATTAACACCATTTTTTCAGATGAGGAAACTGAGGCTGAGAGAATTGCATTTGCTCATTCCTTTGTTTCTTCCCTCTTGATTGGGCATCTCAGGCACTGGGTACTGCTGGCACCGGGGACGTGGCTGTGACCCAGCTATGGTCAGCCTCACACTGGGGAAGATATAGGAAGGGGCAGACATGTGAACGGATGAGGACTATATGGGAAGATTCTTGCTAAAGGGGCACGGGGCTGGGGAGACTCAACATACACGAGGGTGAGGTGGGAGAGTCAGAGAAGTTTTCCCAGAGGAAGTTCTAAGCTGACCTCAGAGGAGTAGCTGGAATTAGGTAGGCAAAGAAAGGTGGGAAAAGTTTTACAGGTAGAGCAAACAGCAAGAAAAGTCAGAATTGTTCAGTGGACAGAAGGTCACAGGGCTAGAAGCGCGAAGCTGGGATCCTAGCCCAGAAGCAGCGGCTGCTAGCGTGGGACTCTCAGGACAGTGTGGATGGGTCAGCAGAAGGGTTCTCAGAAGGGCTGGCTGAGAAGGGTTCCTGGAAGTCCAGAGACACCGTGGGTGGTCAGGGAGTCCCCACCAAGCCTCCCTTCCCAGAGCCTGGAGGCCACATAAGAAGGTGGCAGCATCTCAGGTAGAGAGAACCTGGATCCTTCATCTCGGCTGGAGGCGTTGTCTACCCACAGGGAGCCCCAGCCAGGACCTCCGCTTGGGCTTTGCTCAAGAGAAACAAACATCCATTGAGTAAAGCCACTGGGATTTGGGGGCTCTTTGTCACTTCACCCACTCTGGCTGATGTAACCCAGTCCCACTCCTCATCAACCTTCATCAGCAAGTGTTCATTGAGCTCCTCCGTGGGCCAGGCTCTGTGTCACCAGGGCACGGCCATGGATGAGAACAACAGGAAGTCTCAGATGCATTTGGGGAAGCAGCCAAAAAAAATGACTAAATGAACAAATAAATAAAATCATCACCTAGACTGAAACTTGCTGTGAAAGAAATAAATAGGGTGTTAAGATAGCAAATGCTAGATGCAGGGAGGGTGTGTGGGAAGGGGAGGGGACTTCGGGAGGATGGTTGGGAAGTGCCCGAGGGAAGGAGGGAGCCACAGGGCAAGAGGAAGTTCCTGGAGAGAGGAGAGATGCCAGCTGCTCCCAGCTTTATGCAAATTACTTCTCTCCATCCTCCCAACAACCCTGGAAGGGGCTATTATTGGCCCTGTTTTACAGGGGAGGGAAACGTGGCTCCAGAGAGGTGGAGTGAAGGGGCCAGGTAGAGTTCAATCCCACTCTCAGGGAGCAGGGATGGGTCAGGGCAGGTGGGGTGGGGGTAGGGGAGAGAAGAACTTGACAGACTTACTGGGCCAAGTACTGAGATCCTATGGGTGGCCCTGGGAGTCCCTGGGACCCCAGGGATATGACCCCAAGGGATGGAAAGGTGCCTTTGGAGCCAGAAATTCAACTGGGGGGGTCATGAGAAGAGCACAGGGCCGGGATCTGACCTACACTGTCCTGGTCTGTGTGCCCTTGGTCAATGTGTTTAACCTCTCTGAGCCTCCTGTACTCATCTCTAACATGGGGAGAAACACCAGCTCTTAGGGCTGGGGTGGGAGTGAGGGAGAGGAGGTAAGTCAGTGCCTCCAACCTCAGAGCCCAGGGCCTGGTTCTCTGCTGCTGTCTTTCATCCCAAGGGGGTTTACTGAGCTCTGAGGACACACAGGCTCTGTGTCTATGCCCATCATCCAGATCCTCTCGGGCACGGGACACAGGAGGATTGTTCACTAGATGGAGCGCCATGGGAGCAGGGGCCCTGTCTGTCCACACTGCTCTATCCCTGGTACCTAGGACAGTGCTTGGCACACTCCAGGTACCTGATACATATTTGTCGAATGAATGGAATATTCCCATTTTGTAGATGAGAAAACAGAGGCCTGCAGAGTTAAAGGGAAGCGCTCCAGTCACGCAGCTGGTGGTCAGGGCAGCCAAGACTGATCCAGGTGTGGAGAGTCCCAGAGCCATGAGGACGCCCCAGTGAGTGTTTCTCTGGTGCTTGGGAAGTGAACCCACAGGCTGGGCTTGAGTGTGATGTGCTCAGGAAACCACCAGGAAGCCGGTCCTGGTACTTCTCAGGGATCTGGGGCCCAGCCGGTCCCGGCTCAGCCCACACCCTTAGACAGGCGATGCAGATCTTGGGGGGACAAGTAGGGATCAGCCCCAGCTGGGCCCAGAGACAGCCTGTGGGCAGGGCTGGGAGGAGGGGGTGGCTGAGGGCCCCTCTGCTTCCTGGGGCCTGGGCAGGATTTTGAATAATCCTGACTCATTGCTGCAGTAGGAGTGGACCAGACATCCAGCCCAGGGCCTCTGTTCTCTACGATGCTGTGCTAGGATTTTCTCCTGTCTGTGGCATCTCTGATGTGTCCAGCTGAGCATGAAATGATCCTTATAAAGCTTGTTTCATTTCAAAAAGCTCTTCTGAGATGCAAACTCTGGCCAGTTCTCATATCCACCGAAGGTGAAGAGCAATTTGTCCTTGATTAAGTAAAATGTTATAGATCACAGTGTGACCATTTTAAAATCTTTCATCTCTTCTGCTTTTTCCACCTCACAAACCATTAATTTTCACTTGTCTTCTCTGCTTCCTATCCTCACTCTGTGCCTATGAAACAAGGCCCTTTCTGTCTTTCTCCCTCTCTTTCTCCCTCCCTCCCTTCCTTCCATCCAGTATTTTTGATCCTGCGGTGTGTCCCACAGTGTTCCAGGCCCCAGGAAAACAACAGTGCATGAGATGCTGCTCTCGTGCAGCTTCCAGTCTAAAAGGAGGACAACAGAGGAAGGAGATTAAAGCTAGACACCACCCCTGCCCTCCTGAGTCTCCTTCATGGGATGTGGCGAAGGCTGCTGGGGACCTGGGACCTCGTGATAGTTGATTTTGTGTCACTTAACTGAGCTAAGGGATGCGCAGGAAGCTGGTAAAACGTTATTTGTGGGTGTGTCGGTGAGGGTGTTTCCTTTCCAGAAGAGAATGTGAGCGTGTTTCCAGAAAAGACCAGCATTTGAATGGGTAGACTGAGTCAAGAAAATCAACCTCACTGTTGTGAGAAAGGCACCGTACAATCTATTGAAGGCCTAAATAGAATGAAAAGGCGGAGGAACGGTGAATTCATTTTCTCTGTTGGAGGTGAACTGCCCATCTTCTCCTGCCCTCAGATATTCAATACTTCTGGTTTTTCGGCCTTTGAATTTGGGGACTGAATGGGACTGAATTATACCAGAGGCTTTCCTGGTTTTCCAGCTTGCAGACAGTGAATCGTGGGACCTCTCAGGTGAGAGGCAAGTCAATTCAAGACTTGTGTGAGCCAATTCCTATCTATCTATCATCTATCTATCTATCTATCTATCTATCTATCTATCTATCTATCTATCTATCTAATCTATCTATCTATCTATCTATCTATCTATCTATCTATCTATCTATCTATCATCTATCATCTGTCTATCTATCTATCTATCAATCAATCTATCATCGATCTATCTTGTCTCCTAGTGGTTCTGTTACTCTGGAGAATGCTAACTAATGCATGCTTAAATCAGCGATGTTCCCAGGGTTCTATGGAAGTAAAAAATGGGAGGTAACTAATTGTGAGGATCAGGTAAGCTGTCACTGCAGGGCGTCCCCTGATTAGCGCACTTCTCTCCCAAGACGACCTTCCCCCAAGGGCTAGAATTTGTCTCAATCATCCCCATAGTCTGGGGCCCCACTTCAGAGCCTATACCTAATAGGCAACAATAAATATCTATTGAAAGACTGCAGGGAGAGTGGGCAGGAGAGAAAGGGGATTTGAGATTTTAAAGAATTGCAGACTCAGCTTCCTCAGCTTCTGTCTGAAAAGCTGATCTGTGCAGAGAATCGATGTGTCTCCCACCCATGCAGGCAGCTGGCTCCCAAAATAGTAGCGATTTTGCCGGCCCCACCCGCACGTCAAGAATATCCTCCAGCAGCTGAGCTGATGTGTATTTTCCTGCCTGCCTGATGTTGTTTAGCGTCTGTGGCCTCATTATGGGAAAATAGACTGTCAACATGGGCTTCAGAGGCAGAACAGGGAAGAGAAATGGACTAATTTTCCCAACTGTGGACATAATGGGAAGATTCTTACCTTCGAAGGATGCTACTGGCATGGGGAATTTGCAAGGGAAATCACAGGGCTCATTGGCTGTGCATTTCTCTGCTGATGAAACACTTTTCAGGGTTGGTCTGCATGGCTGCTGGGGCTGACTGGCTGATGGAATGTGATCTAATAGCCTTATCAAAGACATTTGAGAGACCGTAGTCCCCCGCGCAGCAGATGGTCAAGGATGCTACTTTCATTCAGGCACACCTGGGTCCAAAACCAAGTGAACAGGACATTCCCAGCAGCTCCTATTTCACTCTGCCACCACCTTCTACCTGGGGACTGCCTCCCACCTGGGCCCAGGTGCAGCTCCATCTGCTCTGGGAGAGGGTCCTGGGCAGACCTGCCCCAGGAAATACTTGAGCCTCTTCATGGAGAATTCCAGACACAGAGGCCTAAAGATCTGAGAGCAGCAAACTGCAGGCTTCACCGCCCTCCCTGCATGCTCATCCCCTTCACTGTGTCCCTTAGGGCCCAGCTTGAGCTCCCCTTCCTCCAAGAATCCCTCCTTGATGCCTCCAGATCATGCTGGCCTCGTAATTCCAGTAGGGTAGTGTGGGGTTGGGGAAAGAGCACGGGACTTAGTGGCAGAGCTGGAGTTTGAGCCTCCTCTGCCATCCTGGAATGTGTGAGCTTGGGCAAATCACTTGGCTTCTCTGGGACTGCATTTCCTTCATTAAAATGTGGGCAGTAATAGGAGGGACAGCTGCCATGCTGCTTCCTCTTTGTTTTCAGGTCAGCCTCCTTCATGGGATGGTGACGTTCTCCTCGGGAGGTACCATATTTCCTTGGTCCAGCACTTTCTCATTCCAACACGTTCTCATTCTAGAGAATTTTCTACCTTTTCTTTGTTCAGCTTCACTTAGTGGTATCTCAAGAGCTGGCCTGAAACATCAGAAATATGAGGAAATGCCATTTCAAAAGATCAAAAATAGACATCACTGGTAGCCACTGAATTAATCAGTCCAGCCAGCGTGGACACTTACTGTTGCTAGGCCCTGGGCTTTACAAAGAGCTAGGAGAAGGAGACTGGTGCATAGTAAGCTCATGATAATTCTTAGCTGTTATTCTAATCATGATGATGATGATGATGATGATGATTATGATGATGATGATGAATAATGGTGATGGTGACACTTGTTCCTCATTTCCACAACCACTTTCCAGTCATCAGTCTCAGCCCCTCCTCACTGGTGCATGTCCCCCAAGGCTCTGACATCAAAAAGGGGCTTCATTCCTTCTCACTGGCTTAGGTAATTCTATGACCCACATATAAGAGGAGGGGGCATGTTTATTTTGGCTCAGGTCTTCATCTTGCTCAGGTCACACTGGGCATTAAAGCTCCCTGCAGCCAGGCCAGTGTTGACCAGGATGGCACTATGATTTTTGATTTCTGGTCATGGTGTTGGTGACTTGTCATCAGGCTGATGTTTTTCCTCTGTCTCACTTCTCATAAAAGAGACCATCATAATAGAACTAATGCCTTTTTTTTCTATGAACATCTGGTCAAGATTTTCTTGTATAGGATAATAGAAGAAATATATGGTCCATTTCTTGAACCACCAAATCGAGAATGCTACTAGATCATCTGATCCAACTGTCTTATGGTACAATTGGGGAAACTTAGGCCCAGAGTGGGCCCAAAGGTCACACAGTAAGAGTTCACACATCATTTTCCTGACTTTGTTTAGTTGCCTATCTATGTTGTCTCATAGCACATTGAGCTTAAGAAAATTATTTTTGAGCCGGGCACGATGGCTCACACCTGTAATCCCAGCACTTTGGGAGGCCAAGGCGGGTGGATCCCCTGAGGTCAGGAGTTCGAGACCAACCTGACCAACATGGTGAAACCCCGTCTCTACTAAAAATACAAAAAAAAATTAGCAGGGTGTGGTTGTGGATGCCTGTAATCCAGCTACTTGGGAGCTGAGACAGGAGAATTGCTTGAACCTGGGAGGTGGAGGTTGTGGTAAGCTGAGATTGTACCATTGCACTCCAGTCTGGGTGACAAGAGCAAAACTCTATCTCAAAAAAATTAAAAAAAAAAAGAAAAAGAAAATTGTTTTTAATTCTTCATTAGTTAATTAATAGATCTCCATTTCTTCAGGGTTGGTTTCTAAAGGTTTATTATTATTGGGTCATGTTTCTCTGTTTCTTTGTATGTCTTGTTATTTTTGTTGTTGTTGTTGTTGAGATTTTTGCATTTGAAAAAACAGTCACCTCTAGTAGTTTTTATTGACTGGTTTTATACAGGAAAATCTTCATCAATCAGTTTGGCTAGAGATTCTGCGGGTCTCTTAAACTGATAACGACTTCAATTGCCTACAAAAGCTCTACCCCTTTACATATCCCTGCTTTTATGTTATTGATGTTACAAATTACACATTTCTACATTTTGAATACATTAGCATAGTTTTATATTTATAGTCTTATGATTTTATTTTTTTAAATTCTGTACCTAAGTTAAAAATGATTTATATACCACCACTATAATATTACAGAATTCTGTACTTGCCTATATATTTTGCTTTACCAGAGATCTTTACATTTTTATATGCTTTCATATTGCTGTCTAGCATCCTTTTGACAAAGACCTGTCTTGAAGTTGTCTGTGGACCCCAACACCACCCCTCAGTGGCCCCTTTCTCTCCCTCTCTACCCCCAGTCACCCCTGAGCAAGTGGACATTTAGAAATGGAGCTAATGTGGACCTCAAACACAGGCCTAGCCTTTCATCTGCATTACCTCATGAACCCACACTGCAGTTCTAAAAGGCAGGTGCTGTCATACTCTTTATGTTGTACATGAGGGAAATGAAGCACAGAGAGGCTGAGTCACTGATCTGAGATCACCTTATGAGTGAGGAGCAGAAATGGAGCTTGAACCAAGATGTGTTTGACTCAAGCCCATGCTTGTGACTCCCCACATCACCAGGAGGAGGGAGCATGAGGGTACCAATGTGGGACGGGGGTGAGGCAGGCACAGGCAGCCCCGTCTCTAGGGTCCAGCCTTTTGCACTTTTGCACCTCTCTTCTCAATCCTGCCTGGTTCTTCTGTCTGACTCTCTCTTCCAGGCCAGGCCACATCCTCTCTTGGTCTCTGGTCTCTGAAAGTGAAAGACAGAGACCCCCAGTGATGATGGCGCTATCATTATCCCCACCCACGAATGAGGAAACTGAGGCACAGAGAGATTAAGTAACTTGTCCAACATCAGGCAATTGACTCCAAAAATCTGTAAACAAGTTCACAGTTTTTCTAAAACCCCTCCTATCTGGGTTCCTAAGAATTGGCCACTTTTCAGCTCCACTGCCCTAGAATCCGGCTCTCGATCTTCTGCTGTGACTGAAGTTCTGGGTTTGGTCAACCCTCAATGAAGGCAGTTCCTGCCTCCAGGCCTTTGCTTATGCTGTGCCCTCTCCCTCTCCCTGGAACACCCTTCTCCCTGCCTGTCCATCACTCTTACTTATACTGGGTCTATTCAAGACCCAGACCAGACATCATGTTCTGCGGACTGCCGCCACCCCACCTCCATGCATCCCTGCACCCAGCACATCCTTCATCACAGCACTTAGTGGGTGGGGCAGAGGGGACACGATTCTGTCCTCAAGACCTGCCTGTCCACTGGGTTCACTCGTCCCTTCCTTCCAACAAGATTCATAAAATGTTACTTCTGTCCTAAGACCTGCATTTCTAGAAGGATGACCAACCCCATGGTGATGGTATCATTACTTCCATTTTAGAAAATCCCCCACTCAGGTTTTGTAATTCCTGAGACCAGAGGCCCCACTAGAAGGGAGTAGTCTGAGAACTCTGACCCTGCTCCAGGCTGCCAAGGTCACCTTGGAGTTAATGAAGGAGCATGGAGGACATAAGAGCCCCCACTTTCTTCATCCATGTCAACTCCTTCTTCCTGCAGCTTTGAGCGCAGGAACTGTTCCTCCTTTGTGTCACCGGGCTGGGTGAGGACTGAACCCCTGTGCAGTGCTTCCAGCAACACAATTGCCATACAATCAGCAGTGCCATTAATTAAACATGAGTTGATTGTAAGAGCAGTGCTTGAGATGTAAAAGTGATACACTTAGGCACCAGGTAATTAACTGAAAACAACAAGCAATAAGCATGGAGCCAGGTTACTACAACAACCTGGCAGACATCATTTAGATTCTTTTTACCCCTTGACTTTTTTTGCCCAACACTAGTGTTTCCCTCCAATCCTCAGAACCAATAGGCAAGTGGGTGGATAGGAACATGGGTTGCACTGAAGAAGCTGAATCCCAGGGAGGTGAAGTGGCTTTTTCAAGGTCACACAGGAAGGTGCCAAGATCTGCCCCCATCTGACATTGGAGCCCAATCAGTGCCCAGCACAGTGTCTGACTGCTGGTGGGGGCTGCCTTGCTCCCTCCAACCCTCTTGGGGAGGTGCCCATAGCCCCAGTCCTGACTGAGCCAGACAAGGTGGTTCACACACAGACCTCCAGCCTGTCAGCTGAGAATAGCCCCATCCATGCATACAGCCAGCCGGGACTTTCTAGAGTGCTTTCACTCCCATCCCTCCATCTCAGCCCCCCAGCTCTGCACACAAAGGCCCCTTCTCAGGAGATGGGGGCCTCCTCCCTTCTCTGAGCTTTCTGTGAATGCAGGAATAGTGCCTGTGTTAAAATCCATGTCTGAATGTGCCCCTGTTGGAGGACTTAGCTCATGTATACACAGAAAATCTCTGCAGACTTGTCTTCTAATATTTATTCTGGAAACTGGAACATGCAGATAAGACGAACACCTGATGCTAAAACTGCAGAATAAATTTACATTCTCTCAGCCACAGAGAGCTGCATCATATACACCCACTTCATGAGCCAGGAAGAGGGAGGAACCCACTCCTGGTGATGGAGGGCTTTGGCAGGTTGTTCTCCAGCAGCAAAGGCCACCACTGTGGAATCCTGGTCTCTCAGGACCTAACAGTCCTCAAATCCCAGAGTTTTAAATTTCCAAGTCTTAGAATCCTTACTTAATAGAATCTTAAAACTATAATTTCTTGAGGTGGAACCCAGGATCTTAGATTCTCAAGCCGTAAGCTTTTGGCTTAATGGAATCTTAAAAACTGTAAAACATTGGGTCACAATCTTAGAACCCGAGGACATGGCAATTCTCAGAATTTCCAGATCTTTAACTATCAGCTTGCCAGTTGCTCAACCCACAGCCAAGTTCCTTCCACACTGTACCAACAAGTAGCCTCCTGGCCTCAGAGTTTCCTCCGGTGCCCCCTCCTTCAGGAAGCCTTCCCTGATCTCTAACTAGATCAAATTCCCCATTACAGGTCCCATGGCTTCATCTGCATTGCCTTGTTAGATCCCCTACAGGTTCCAGGTTACATTTATTTTCACGATTGTGTCATTGATTTTGTCTCTTCCCATCTCCTGGACTGGGAGCCCCTTGGGCTTGGGTTTGGTTTCCTTTGCTCGTGCTGCATCCCTAGCACAGGAACTGGCACGTAGCAGGTGCTCAATCAGTATTTGTCAAATGAGTAGCCAAAGTAATGAATGATTTCAATGAATGAGTGGATGACTGGCTACCAAAGCCTATACTCTTCCTACAAGGCTATAGGGAAACCTCCAATTGCCACATATCTGCCCCAAAAGGCTGGGTTAGTGTCAGCAGCAACCTTGGGTAACTGGGACCCTACTGAGCTCACATGGGTGAGGGTGTGAGGTCAGTGATTAACCCTCCCCCAGGCCTATGCTCATCCACAGAGAAACTTCTGGTATCCGGTGTTGAGAGTGGCCGCGTGGTCACTGTGGCTAAGAGCGTAGGCCATGGTGTGAGAAGCTTGCATTCAAACCCAGCTCCTCCATCTAACAGTGAAGTAGCCTCAGACAAGTTACTTGACCACCCGTGCCTCAGTTTCCCCAGCTATAAAACTGGGATTGTGCAAGTTCCTATCTCTTTTTAAATGAACTCATTAAGCTCCTGGCACAGCACTGAGTGCACAGTTGACACTCGGTGTGACTCTGCACATGCAGCCATGTGGGAACACCCAGCAGATTTGGAGGTAGAAGCTGCTTCACACGGGGCCCACATGGCAGGACCCCAGGGAGAGAGAAGCCATCCTCAGGGAGTCAAAGAGACAGACTCAGTCACAGGGTCTGGGGGGCAGAGGGAGGCCTAGATCCCAACAGTATGGAGGTGGAGCCTGAACCGAGGCTTGCCCACCCCAGCAGAGCCTGTGTCTGCCCTTGGAAACCGGCCGCATAGGCTCACAGAGGCTGGGCCTTTAGAACCCAAGCTGCCCTGCTCTGGAACACATAAGGGACCTCGCAGTGAGGAAATACATTGAACCAGGGGTCAGGGAAGGCCTGTCTGAGGAGGGGAAATTTGAGCAAGGACCTGAGTGAGTGAAGAAGGAGTAAATCATTCCAAAAAGCCTTCCAGACAGAGAACAGAATGTGCAAAGGCCCTGAGGCAGGAATGTACTTGGTGTATTCAAACAACAGCAAGACGTGGTTTGACCTCCCTGGGCTGGGAAGACCCCAAGACTTTGGGGCACATCAAGAATAAGGGAGAGGACTCTTCCCTCAGCACAGTTGACTTTAGGATGGATTCTGTGCACACAGTGGATGCTTAAGAAAAGTATAAATGTGTTCAGGTCAGGACCCTACATGGCCAGGGAGATCCTGACACCAGGTGTGTTGAGAGGGCTGGGGTGTGAGGAGTCTGGAGCCCCTTTAAAAGACCTACCTCACTCAGTCCTCCAAACCATGTATTTGTGAGAAAGTCCTCATATGAACCCATTTTACAGCTGAGAAAACTGAGGCCCAGAGAGGGGAGTAACTTGCTTTTATCACACAGCTAGAAAACAGCAGAGTCAGGATTCAAGCCTGTAACCAGGAGACACAACAGACTGGCTGATCAGCCCCACCTCACGCCTCTCCCTAAGGACAAAGTGTTCTCAGTGGGTGATGGGAACCCGCCATCCTCTATGGGGACAACAGAGCAGGTGTGTCCATGTCCAGAGGAGGCTTCAGAGTCAGGGAACCTGGGTCTGAATTCTGCCTCCTTCACTTGCTTTCTGTGTGATTCTGAGTGTGTTTACTGTACTTCCCTGTGTCTCTGTTTCCTCCTCTGTAAAATGGGAATGACAGCCTCGACCTTGGCTGGCTGCTGCAGTGATTAACTAAGAGAAAAATGTAAGGTGGACCTAGTCAGTGTTAAAAATGCTCTTCAGAGACTGGGTGCAATGGCTTATGCCTGTAATCGCGGCACTTTGGGAGGCTGAGGCAGGTGAATCACTTGAGCTCAGGAGTTTGAGACCAGCCTGGCCAACATGGTGAAACCACGTCTCTACTAAAAATACAAAAATTAGCCGGGTGTGGTGGCACTTGCCTGTAATCCAAGCTGCTTGGGAGGCTGAAGCAGGAATCGCTTGAACCCAGGAGGCCGAGGTTGCAGTGAGATGAGATCGCGCCACTGCACTCCAGCCTGGGCAACAGAGCGAGACTTTGTCTCAAAGGAAAAAAAAAAACAAAAAACAAAACACTTCAGGCACAAAGTAGGTGTTAAAAAGTTTGTCCCTCTTTTTAGGGACCAAGAGCTTCAATATTCTCCTATCTCTCATTGATTTCAGAAGATGTTCCTTAACCACACATACAGGGTGAGAAACACACTGGCCAGAAGCCGCAAGATGCTGAGGCTCTAGTCCCCCAGTTGTGTGGGCTCCGTCAGGCCACTGCTCTTCTCTGACCCTCGGTTTCCTTTTTGATGAAACTGGAACATGATACCCCCTGCAAGGCTGTTGTAGGTTGAATGCGGTGATGTAAATTGAGGGCCAAGCTTGGAGCTGGCACAGAGTGGACACTAACATATGCCAGGCTGCTTCCTTTGGTGAGAGGAGCTCCATTCTCTCTTCGAGCTGAGAGACTTTTCTGGCTTGAATGTGTAGCGGAACCGGAAGGGCAGTGAGGCCGGAAGTGGGAGGAGCCTGAGATGGACTCCTCTGCCCCAGCCTCACTGTGTACCCTAGGAGGCCACCACACCTCACTGACTCTGCATTTTCTTCTCTTTAAAACAGAGAAAATTATACTTGCCCCTAAACTTGAGCCAGGGGGCCAGGTTTCAGCGATGCCTCGAGGTCCTTCCTGGACCCAGCAAACCGCATCAGAATCTGGAAAATGAGGCAGACGAGGATTGCCTCTGTCAAGCTGCGCGAGGGGCCCAGATTGATATACTGAGAGGCACCCCATTTGGAAGCAAACACTTCATTACTGAACAAGTTTTCATAGAAGTGATCGCATCGCCTGTTCTCTGCGTTTTTAAATTGCAAAACCAATTAGCTTTCTGGCAAGGGGAAGGGAAGGCAGAGCCCCGAATGGCTTTGCCAGCTCTGCCTTTTACGATGGCCCAAGCAGGAAGCCAAGGACATGGCCATGGAGGGTGGCTGTGGCACAGAGCTGCTCACCACAGTATCAGCAGCCCCTTTCACAGGACGAGAAGACCCTCTGAGACTCTGGGGGGGCCCAAGGCTGGGGGAGATCCCTCAGAGCAGGCCGGTGGAGACTGGCTGGAGCTGCCTGGGGCAGGTGAGCTGAGCAGCCACAGATCAGATAAAAGAGTGTACACTCCCCAGTCGTGGTCAAAAGTGGCCCCAGGCGGGACGCAGTGGCTCACACCTGTAATCCCAACACTTTGGGAGGCTAAGGTGGGTGGATCACGAGGTCAGGAGTTTGAGACCAGCCTGGCCAACATGATGAAACCCCATCTCTACTAAAAATACAAAAATTAGCCAGGCATGGTGGTGCGCATCTATAATCCCAGCTACTCAGGAGGCTGAGGCAGGAGAATGGCTTGAACCTGGGAGGTGGAGGTTGCAGTGAGCCAAGATCATGCCACTGCACTCCAGCCTCGGTGACAGGGCAAGACTCTGTTTGCAAAAAAAAAAAAGTGGCTCCACATCAACCCCCTCTCCGCCAGGGCCTCTGGCTTTTTCCTCATCTGCCTCCATGTATCTTTCTTTGAACACACGCAGCTCCGTGCCTGTTCCCTGCTGTATCTCTGGCACCCAGAACCTGGCACGTAATAGGTGTCAATATGAGTGATGGCTACACGAAGGAATGAAGGAAGAGACTGCGGCTTATTGGAAGAGAGGGGTTATGTAATCAGAGCTGGTCTTGGTCGCGGGAGTCCTCGGGATGGGGAGTTTGCTCTGTCACTGGGAGTGTTGGGAGTGAGCTGGGAGGTTCAGTGAAGAAGATCAGACGGAGGCAATTCCAGCACTGACCAAAGGATATGTTTGCACTTAGGATCCTTAGCCTGCCCAGCTCAGGACCCTCTCCTCCACCCTTTTGCAGAGATTTTGGATTCCTTTCTCTGCGGGAGGCAGTAATTTGTTGTGAATCAAACATGAGTTTCATCCCAGCTGCCACAGCTAGCTAGGTGGAAACTCTGTAAGAAAGCAGTGTGTTTCAGTTGTCTCATCTGTAAAATGGGACTCATAGTTCATCCAGCCTCTCTGGTTTGTGGAGAATGGATAGAAAAAAAGTGTTTTGTAAAAGATTCAATGCGTGCACGTGCACACACACACACAGGGTGAATTAAAGTGAATTAAAACCCTTCCAACTCCTCCCAGTGAATGCACACAGTACAGGATGCAGCAGAGATTCCACTAAGAAGGAGCCTGAACAGCCTGACTCCAGTGGCCAAGGCACAGCAAAGCCCGCATTAAACCTCAAGTCCAAATACCCCAGGAGAGGGAGTGGGAAGCAGAGAGATGGGGAGGGAATGGGTAAGGAGTAGGGAAATGTTAAGTTCCCTCCTCCTCTGCAGAAGCCTCCCTGTCCTGCTGGAGCTGCTGCAGCATGTTTTAGAGCAGGCATCAGATTCATCGGCACAGCAGGGGATAAGAGGAGGAGGAGAGGATCAAGCCCCCAGGGCAGCTGGGAGGATGGGCAGGGTGGGGTTAGGTGTGCCAGTCCTCCTAGGTGTGCCAGTCAACAGACAGGCCTGAGAGGTAGAGTTCTTGTTCCCGGGTTTCTTGAGAGCCTCTGACCAGGCAGGGAGAGGAGCTGGCGGTGGAAGAGGGGAGAGGGTGAGAAGACATGGCGCTAGGAAAAGTCATTCATTGGTGAGGCAGGGAAGGCTTCTGCTTTTGAGGGTACCTTGAGTAATAGTCTCTCCTGCCTCTTGTTTGCTTTTTGCAGAAGATGTTGGATGCAGAAGCAGCTCATGTGAGTCACAGGTTGGTTACCAGGCAGCCCTTAGGTTGTCCATCCCTAAGCTAAGCAGCCCCAGCTTTGAGAAGACGCATGGATTAACTCAGAGGACCTTGAGGCTGACCCATTTGAATGGAGTCATATGGGGGTACCTGCAGGTGGACCCTGGGCTGGCTCAAGTGGAGAACACTTCTCTCCTCCCCACAAGCAGGCATGCAGAATCCCCACAGGCCTTGGGTAAGGACATTGCCAGGGGATATACCAATAGCCTATGTCCCTGTCTGCATCTCTCCCCAGCCCCAGACCAGCCACTCAGAGTAGAGGTAAGAGGGTGGGGAAGAGAATTGGTGCACCTGCGTCCACCTCCACTATTATCTTGAAGAGACACTGCCAACCTCCTCCTCCTTCTCTTTCTCCTTCTTCTTCTTTTTGAGACAGGGTCTTGCTCCATTGCTCAGGCTAGAGTGCGGTGATGTAATCATGGTTCACTTCAGCCTCAGTCTCCTGGGCTCAAGTCATTCTTGCACCTCAGCCTCCTGAATAGCTGGGACCACAGCCATTTGCCACCCTGCCCGGCTAATTTTTAAATTTTTTAGTAGAGCGCGGTCTTGCTATGCTACCAGGTTCATCTTGAACTCCTGGGCTCAAGAGATCCTCCTGCCTCAGCCTCTAAGAGTATTGGGATACAGGCATGAGCCCCTGTGTCCAGCCTCAGTCTTCTTATCTATAAAATGGGATTGATGATGACACCATCCTCATAGAGGTAACGTGATCTGCAACCACCACACGTCCTGTAAGGCTCATGGGATTCCTTTTACAACCTGCCAAATCACCCTGAATCTGGAGGTTAAATGCCCACACTCAGCCCTGCCTCAGTTTCCCCAACTTAGTAAATATAAAAAGTTGGGGTCGGCCAGACCTGGGTTCACACTGTGGCTCAGTGGCTCAGCCCTGTGACACTGGACATGTCACTTAACCTCTTTGTGCTTCATTTTCCTCATCTGTGGAATGAAGACAATGGAACCTCCCCAGGGGTTGGGGTGAATCACAGTATGGGGTAGTACGGAGCACGCAGTAAATGCTCAGTACAAAGGCACCATCTCCTTCCTCCTCTTCTTTTCCTTGTCCATCATCTTCATCTCCTCCTCCTTCCTCTTCCCCTTTTCTCATCCTCTTCCATCTCCTCCTTGTTTCTCTCCCTCTTGCGGTTCTTTCCCTCTCCTCCTTTCCCTCCTCCTTCCCATCTTCTTATCTCTCACTACACATATTGAATTTTATGTAATTGGGATCATACAATTTATTCAGCTATTCAGAGTTTTAAAAAAACTCACTATATATCATCAGCATTTTCCCACATCATTGAAAATTCCTCAAAAGCATGATGTTAATAGCTTTGTAATTGTACCTCATTTTGATGCACCATCATTTACCTCACCATCCTCGACTGTCAGATGCTTGGAGGCTTCCGGGGCTGTTCTCAAACACATCAGGCTGCCATGAACGTTTTGGGCACCTTTTGCCTGGCCCCCTGAACACTTCCTCAGGACAGATTCCTGCAGGTGGGATTTGGACATCCAGAAATGGGACACTTCCCAGGCTGGGGGGCTTTATCGCCCAGTCGCTTTCCTGAAGTCACCCTGACTGGCACCTCCAGCAGCCCATGAGGGGTGCCTGTCCCCACTGCCAGAGCCTTGGCCTGGGGTGCTTGGCTCCCAGTGACATGATCATCATATCAGATCCCCACGTGCCCAGGAAGCCTTATGACAAAGACAAGAACTAGGCTGGGGTTGACCGCCCTGGCAGGGAGTCAGGGCAGCTGGTCCTACCCCTACCCTCACCTGCTATGTGCCTGGGCATGTCCTTTATCCTTCCTGGGTCTCTGTGTAGCCACCTGTGCAAAGCCCCCTGCTGCTATCCCTCCCTCCAGCCCATCTGGTACCAAGAACACTACTTGGCACACAGTAGGTGTTCAGTAAATATTTGTTGAAGCCTGAACTGCCAAGTGCTCTTTAAACACACACACACACACACACACACACACACACGCGCGCGCGCACACACCTCTGCCTGTGCACACACACACACGTACACCCCTGCCTCTGCACACACACACACGGCCACCACATCCTCCCCTTTTCCTTTGCCTGAACTCCCATGACTTGCATTTCCTTCTTCCTCCCTGTGCTCTGCTGAAGACAGCGTAGGATGGTGGTTGACAAGGCAGATTTTGGAGCCACATGGCCTGGGCTTGAAAGTTACATAATCATTCTCTGTCTCAGTTTCCCCTCCATAAAACTAGTCCTGTAATGCTTACTGCATAGAGTTATGGTAAGAATGAACTAAAGTGTCATGGAGGAAATTTTAGAATGATACTTGCAGATAGAAGCCCTAGGTAAGTGAATTTGAGATGCTGCTTCCTGTATCAGGGTTACAGACTTAAAGTCTATAGGCACAGAGTAAAGATGTCTCCTGCCCACTCATATGTGGTTTTCCATGCCTACTTGGAGCAAGGAGGAGCCCACCTTTCTGATCCCCTTACATTATTTGGGTTCATGTGACCAGATCTCCATAATGAGTTGTAAGCAGAAGAGGCTTAGGATGCCTCCAGGCTGAAGTACTTAATTTCTAGCGTAAGACCCTTCAATGCTCTCTTTCTTTGGCCTGGGCATCTTGGAGGAAGACTTATGCTCTGGTGGTGGAACTGCAGAGGCAGCCCGAATTGCCAAATCTCCTGGACCTACAGTATGAGCTGTGTGAAGACAGTGAGATTTGGAATTGTCACTGCAGCAGAGCCTCACTTATCCTATTTACAAGGAGCCAAGCAGGGACATTCGTGTGTGGTGGCTTCCTCGTAGGTGGTTGCAATGTGGAGAGCACCTGTCACCACTTCACCTCAACTCCTGCAATAGGAAATAGGGTCCCAAATGGTCACATATTCTCATTTTTCAGGAGAGACCAGAAATGAAGATTTTTATTTCAAATCTGAAAGTTTTTCTTGGGAATTAAATCAAATGTTTTTAAAACTTTGAATGAGCTAAACAAATCCTGCTTGCAGACTAGATATGCCCAGAGGCCACCTCTGGCCTACATGATCAAATCTAACCCCTCTATCCTGGCATTTAGAGCCTATCATGATTTGACTCTGACTGGCTCCTCCCACAGCTTCCAAACCCTGACCCTGAGCCCTGGCCATACTGGGCCAATGACGGGCCACTTACCTGGACCTCTGTCCATGGTGCTCTCAGGGCCAGTGTGGTGCCATGGACAAGGCATGGACTTTGCCATCAGTCCACTGGCTAGCAGCCCTGGCTCACTGCCATATGATAACCAGGTGGCCCCTCTGGGCATCAGCTTCCTCCTCAGTAAAATAAGGGCAATGTAACCACCTTACAAGGTGCCCTAGAGAGCTATATAAACACTGATATATAGGGCCTGGCTCAGAGTGGGTGTTTGGTAAATGTGAGCTCTTTTTTTACCCTCTCCATGAAGAAGAAACTTTCTAAAAGCTGCTCACCTCATTCCCTTCACTACCATCTATGATACTCCACCCAACCTTCCCTTCCTTCTTTCTCCTTCACAAGGATCAGACCTGAATTGCAGCCTGATGGCTGTTTTAGGCTTCTTGGAATCCCTTTGCATTTGCTCCTCACAGCGTTTGCCAGACTTAATCTTGTTTGTGTATAATTCCATTTTGCTGTCTGCTTCTTGGAAAACTCAGACCCACAAAAGTTAGTGGTCTGAGGGAAAAAGTGGTCCAAGAAAATAAATGACGAGAAGGGGTTAAGAACTGGCTCACCCACCCTAGGCAAAGAACTCCAACATGGTGGAAATTTGGACACAGATACTACTTGGCATAAAGTGGTGGCTTAACTGCTCAAGATTTTTATCTGTGGTTACCTGGGAAAATGTGCCAGTGGAGGGCCACCCTGTGGCAGGTGCAATGATTCGGGCATTCAAAAGATGTGAGGTGGCAGGGACAATGCCCATAAAGGCAGCAGAGTTGGCCGGTTGCTTCCTCTACCTACCATCTGCTAAGACAATTCAAACATTTTTACTTTGTTGAGAATTGAGTCTAAGTTGTATTCATACCCTGTGGAAGGGTAATGAGAGATAGGAGGCTCTTAATAAGCCCTTAATGGCTAGGAGTGAGAGCCAGCCATTATGGCAGCTCACTAAGAGGCCCTTATCCGTTGCAGTGGAATGGCAGACTCTGCTGAAAATCAGATCAAGGATCTAATTGTCAGAGTCATAGCCTTCTAGACATATTTGAATGCTGCTCAGCAAAGGAAGGTCTGTTATACAAAGGTCAGGGCCTTGATGGGAAACATCTGAAACTTTGAAATATGGGACTAGGATAGCAGAAGATATTAACCTTGTAACCCTCCTCAAAACCCTCTGGGCTCTCAGATATGGCTACCATTCCCTATAAAGGTCCAGAACTTCTACTGTGCTGAAAGATGCTGTAGAGGCCTCTCCTCCATAAGGTAGCAGGAGCCTCCTTCAGCACCTGACTCACCCCCTCTTCTGCCTGCCAGGATGTTATATAGGGATTCAGTTCTAGCATAATCTAGCTTGGGAGCATTCTGAGCCTGATAAGAGAAGAAAGAAACTGTCCACCAAGGGTAGCAAGAATTAGCTAACATGTACTATTGGAAGCAGGGGAGTAGATTTAATGTATGTTGATCAAGGAGCCATCATATAAGACTGCATGAAGAGAACTTATTGACTTGAGGGCATGTTGGGTGTAGAGACAAAGTGACTCCATCTTGGATGCTAATCTGCCACACTGACTTCTGATTAGCCCCAGTCCCGTGAATGTTTTCTGATCCCTACTTTATTTACTGTCCCCAGTGTAAGAGCACGTCAACCTTGTTGATGTTATCAAGTATAGGCTATGATGCACACAGCATTGTTGCCTGTTCTAGAGGGCTGCCTTTAATTGTCTTGACAGAGCACTTACCCTTTCCCTATGGCATATAAGCCCTAGATCTGGGGAGTAACAGCACAGAGATCTACTTGTCTTGTGGCTACCCAAGACCATGCTTCTGTCTGTAAGTTCCCCCAATAAAACCGAATCTGCCTGCCTTGTTCTTTGGTTTCTTGGCACCTTCAGCATTTGGGAGTCGTATTGCATATATGGCCCTTTCATGGAACATTAGGGGACACAGGATTTAATAATCCAGCGAGGCCCCCAGAGTATGCCCTGGAAAAAAGCGATTGCTGATTCTCAATGATGTGAAAATGCCTGAGTTGCCTTGGCAGGTGGTAGAGGAAGGAATAGAGGCTGAGTGG
The DNA here is from genome assembly GCF_000001405.40 of Homo sapiens. NCBI lineage: Eukaryota > Metazoa > Chordata > Mammalia > Primates > Hominidae > Homo > Homo sapiens. Next base: position 29,951,924 of record NC_000001.11, read on the forward strand.
AAAGAGGAGGCTGGAATGCCCACAGGGGGGCCCTGAGGACACGTCATTCACCAAAGCTATCAGGAATACACTGGGGAGAGGGGCATCCGTGTCCCTGAGAAGTGCAGTGGTGGCTCTCCTCTCATCTGGGATGAGGGGGCCCTGAGTAACAGAGGCTGGGTACCCTGAGTAATGGAGGCCGGCTGGTGGCTCTTACCACTGGAAGCAAGGGGGCTGCAATTACTAAAATGAATGGTAAGATCAGTGGGAAAGCCACAGGAGCTGGACCTGTGGGAAAGTGTAGAGAAAGATGGCCACAAGTGTGTCACCTAGCATTGATGGCCAATAATAGACAAAGACAGACACTTGTACCACACAATACCACTCAGCAATAGAAAGGAGCACACTACTGATACCGGAAACAACTTGGGTGGATTTCAAAGACACTATATCAAATAGAAAAAAATGTCAGTCCTGAAAGGTTACATACTGCATGATTCCATTTATGTAAGTCTTAAACTGACAAAATGATAGAAATGGAGAACAGATTAGTAGTTGCTGGGGTTAGAAATGGTGGGAGTGGGAGGATGGTGGGTGTGACTTCAGAGGGGTAAATTGAGGAAGATCTTTGTGGTGATGAGATAGTTGATGTTGATTGGGTGTGGTTACAAAAATCTACACATATGATAAGATGGATGTATAGAACTATACATACAAATCGCACCCATGTCAATTTCCTGATTTTGATATTGTACTAGAGGTACATGAGTTGTAACTATTGGGGGAAACTGGGTGAAAGGTATGTGGGACCTCTCTGCCATTTTTGAAACTTCATGTGAATATGTAATCCTCACAAAATAAAAGCTTAATAAAAGACAAGAATGGTGAAGGGCTTACAGAAGCCACTCCATTAAAACATAATAATCAGTTGCTCAGTTATCAGACCATAGTCAATTTTCAGATCTGGAACCAATTGAAGTTGTGGCCAGGTTCTCTTTAATATGGTAAGTATAGACCATGATGATTCCCCTAGTCCTTCCCCAAAGGGACTGACAGTGAGTGAGGCCGGTGACTGTACGCTGGGGAAAGGAGAATAACCAGACATTTTGAGGACTATTGGGCACAGAGTCTGAGATGGCATTGATTCCTGGAGACTCAGTGTCATCATGACTCCCTTGTTCGAGTAGGGGCATATAGGAGCTGGGTATTAAATAGAATCCTGGCTAAAGTCTATTTTACACTGGGCCCACTGGTTCTACAGAACCACCCAGTGGCCCATTCCCCAGTCTTACAGTGCATAATTGGAATTAATACACTTGGCAGTTTGGTTAACCCCACATTTGGGCTCCTGGCTTGTGAGGTAAGAACTATCACAGTGAAGAAGTGAAAGCCTCTGAAATTATCCCCTTCCTGGCCAAGATTACCATGAACACAATATCACATCTCAGGTAGGGGTAGAGGATAGTGAAGATTAGTAACATCATTAAAAATCTAACAGAGACAGTGTTCTTATCACGTCTCCATTTGATCTGCAAGTCTGGCCCCTGCAGAAATAGAAAGAGCCTGGAAAATGACCTTAGACCACTGCAGGCTCCATCAGGTAGCAGCCTTGACTGGAGGCGACATACGGAACACAGTATCATCGCTGGAACAGATTAAAGAGTTCTCAGGAAGAAAGTACACAACCGCAGACTTAGGAAATGTGTTCCTTTCCATTTCTATTAGGAAACGGAATAAGAAACAGCTCACATTCACATGGAACAGACAGCGATACTTATTTACAGCTCTGCCACTCTTAGCTCTACAACTTTGGAGATCCTGGTCCCCAAAGACACATACTCTTGCTAGGACACACAGCAAGGGTCCCATTGAAACTACAAGTTTTGGCTGCCCCAAAGGCAATCTCCAAAAAAATGGAGTTACAATAGTGGCTGAGGGGATGAATGTTGGTCTGTAGGAAGAGGTAGGGCTACCTTTTTACAAGGGGGCAGGGGAGAAGGCTTGTGAACCCGGGTAATCCCTTGGGTGTCTGCTGGTACTCCCTGGCCCCATGGGCACTGTGAAGCAGTGTGCGCAGCACTCCTGGCTCAAGAAGGGTATGAATAGCAAGGGTTCATCAGCCTCCCTTCCCAGGAATACAGGTTTATTCTATGACATACTGGGCGAGAAGTGCTATCTGAGACTCAAGGCATTTCAGAAAGCAGAGGAGGAAGGTGGGAGGATGAGGTGGGGTGAGGTCAATACGGGAGCTGGAGCTGTGCTTCCTGTGCTGAGCTGCCCTTCAGGAAGAGAGGCCATGGGGGCTCTGGAGGCATGCAGAGGTAAAGCAGTGCAGCATGCTGGGGAGCGGGGGGAATGGAGGGAGACTGGGCTGTACCGACGAAGGAGGAAGAGGGGGAGGGGAAACAAGAACTCACAAGAGGAGGAGACGGGACCAGAATCCATTTGAGGCCCATGTGGGCTGGATAGCAATGGTGTTTTCTCATCCGTCTCCAGTGACCTGCTGTGTAGCCTTGTTCACTTCTGCTCTCCAGGGCCTCAGTTTCTCTATCTGTTGGTTGGTCCTAAGTGTGTTGTGAGAGATTGTCAGGCTAATATATGCAAAGCATCTAGAATAAGACAATGAGAGCTCAAAATACAGCAGTGATCATAGGGATTCTGAGCCCTGTGGGCCTGGCTGAGCCTGGAGGTAGGGAAGCTCTCCATCCTGGAAAGCCCACCCTGGCCAGGAGTGAACTGCGGTTCCCACTGGATCTCCTCCCTGGGGGCTGCAGTGGCTCCACCTGCTCCTCCCCTTCCCACCCTGTCTCTGTTCTTCTCCCACTTAACAAACAGCTTCACTTAAAAAGCCATCTGGGAGGATGGATGGCACAAGGCACATTTTACAGAATAAGTTTCCAGGGAGAAAAGCCAAGAAATTAAAGGCATAGCACTTCCGATTCCAATCTCATTAGGCCCCATAACTCTGACTGCTGGAGAATTGTATTTCTGAATTATGAATGCATGCCTCACCCCCCGCATGGCCCAGTGTTCTAGGTTTTGTCCCATTAGTCTTCCAGGGGGCCTGCTCCCCATGCCTCTAGTTGCTTCCCTCCTTCAGGGTAAACTCCCTCATCTTTCACCAGGTTGGGCTGCATCTGGGCTTTCCTCATCTGAGTTTCTTCTCCTGTGTAGTTGCTGCCCCACCTCCAGTAGATGCTCCCTCTCCCTACAAGAGTCCTGAGTGAAGGTTTGTCTTCTGTGGGGTTTCCCAAGGGAGGTTTGGGTCCAATGAGTGGATGCTCTGAAAAGGAGAAAGGTGTTTAAAATTGGGATGGATGGACAACCCTGGGAAGGGGTAATGAGCTCCCCATCCCTGGAGGTGTGCACAGAGGATGGGTGAGCACTCAGCAGAGGGGCTTTGCAGGAGGCAAACAGCAGAGAGGCTGAGTGCATGGGCTTCAGAGACTGAGAGGTCTGGGCTGAACCCTGTCCATGTTGCCTACAAGGTATCTGACCTTCTGCAACCCACTTACCCTCACTGAGCCACGGTTTCTTCATCCGGAAAATCAGGCAGAATAATAGTTCCTGCTTCCTAAGGTTGTCATGGAGACGAAAGGACAGACTGTGTGCAAAGCGCTGAGCACAGAGTACATATTATCATACCTAGGAGGAGGAGGGGCTGGGTGTGACACCCTTGAGTGATCTAACATACAATATTTCTGTTGTTTTAAAAACCGAAGACTCCGAGATCCAATGATTCAACTATCCTAAGATTACAAGTCTTTAAAATTCTAAGGCTTTAAGAAATGATTTTGTATTCTACTAATTCTACTCACCTAAGGCCTATTAGTAATCTGAAGCTGTGTGCTTCGAAGAAACCTGCTCTGAACCTTCAGCCCACTGGCGGTGCTCATCTCAGTCCTGCACTGTACGATGTCTGGGGAATGTTTATCTCTGACCCTCTGTGACTTTAAGTCTTCCATCTTTATTCCCACCAGCTCTTCTGTTCTGCTGGAAACCACTTTTCCTAACCCCAGCCTTACCTATGGGATCCTTCGTCCTCAGCCACACCTGACTCCTCAGTGTTTCTGAACCTTCTATACTCCTGCTTGATATGGTTTGGCTGTGTCCCCGCCCAAATCTCATCTTGAAATGTAGCTCCCATCATCCCCATATGTCATGGGAGGGATCAGGTGCGAGGTAATTGGATCATGAGGGCAGGTTTTTCCCATGTTGTTCTTGTGATGGTGATTAAGCCTCATGAGATCTGATGGTTTTATAAAGGGCAGTTCCCCTGCACACACTCTCTTGCCTGCTGCCATGTAAGGCATGCCTTTGCTTCTTCTTTGCCTTCCACCATGATTGTGAGGCCTCCACAGCCATGTGGAACCGTGAGTCCATTAAACCTCTTTTTCCTTATAAATTACCCAGTCTCGGGTATTTCTTCATAGCAGTATGAAAATAGACTAATACAAGCTCCTTCTGCCCCCATCCCTCAACACTGAATCCATAGCTGCCCACTGAAATCACACCTCCAAGATCTAGGTTGAAAGCAGAACTTCTCAGAGTCTTAGTTCACCTCCCAGCTGAAATGAACAATAATTGATGTCCTGCTTGGTGTTTCCAGTAATCACTAACATAGCAACAACTATCACAGTGTGACTCATTATTATTGCTGGGGAGGAAACTTCTGACTTTCATTCTGTACCAGACCCACATGTGGTGCCCTTTTAAGACCTCGTTCTACTCCCCAAGGAAGAAAGAGATTGGTCAGAAGTGGACACTGATTGGGCCACCACCATAAGCAGGCAGGGTCAATGCATGGAAGGTGATGGCGGCCAACCCAGCTCTCTCCCTTTCACAGCTCCTTGTCCACCACCTGCAACTAGGAGGCAAGTCAGCTCTGCAGACCCAGCCATGGTGAAGCCAGGATGGGAGGAAGCAGGAAGTCTCACTCAAGTCTCACTTGGACCTCCAGTCATGGTGCAGTCAGCAACAGAAAAACCACACTAGAGATTCAGCGAAGGGTCTGACGCAGGAAACTGGTTATAGGTAGAAGAGGGATGAGCTGAAGAGCCAGAAAGATGATGAGGCCACCCAAAACACAGCAGTAGTGAAAAGCAGCTGTCATTCCTAGGACTGAAAGGACACAGAAACAAGGTGGCATGCCTGGAGCCCAGAAGCTGGGATTATCAGGTGGAAGCCAGAGCCATGGTGGAGGGAGAATGTCAAGAGAGCTTGGAGCCATGGAAACAGGGGCTGTCCGATGGGAGCTGGAATCACAAAGGAGAGGCAGCTGCTGCTGAAAATGCCACCTGAAGCAGAAAAGCAGCATACTACTCCAGTATCTCTTCCAGCTTAATCTATCAGGAGGCCAGAAGGCCAAGGGCCCTGGAACACCTAGATTCCTGAGACACAGGGCATGGAAAGGGGGGGAAATGAACAAATGAACCGGAGAGCAGATGGGCCATTGGTGGGTACAAGGTTTGAGCTGGGACCTACCAGAGGCCCCCAAATGGGGGTTGTGGCAGCCACATCAGGCATTTACATAGCTATTAATAAGACTTCTTAAAAATCAGTCAAGGATCAATCAGAGAAGCAGAAATGCTCTAAGTGCTGTAGAAGAATAGGTGATCTTGCACAGATGGCCCTTGCTTTGGTTGGGTGCCACTGAACGAAAACCGTGAGAATGTGCAACAGGGGAAGAAAGAAGAACCAAAATTCCCAGGCCCTGTTTTTTCTCGTAAAACTACTTTAAAAATGAGATTCATTTATATTTTTAATTTACATTTTATGTTTTTGTATAGATTGTTAGGGTCAGCCATTTCTAATGATCTGGAATGAACAAACCAGCCTTCAGAGCATTCTCTGTCCTGCTTCTGACTTTACTTGTGGTATGACCATGTTCATTATAATATCAAAGGTGGAAAAAAACTTGTAAAAAAGTAGCAACAATAAAAACCCAAACTTATTTTGAGCATTCCAGTAACTGCTTTTGTGAATGTCCTTAGCCGTACCACAAGTAGTTGGCTTGTATGAGATGGTGAAAAAGGTCAAAGATAAAAACAAGTAGTTAGTTTGTATGAGGTGGTTACAAAGTCATTTTTTGTCTATACAGTTGCTGTTCATTTATGTATTTATTTTGGCCTGTTTGATGTATGTGTGAAACAATGTTGTTCACAACATTAATAATAAACTGGAATTTTATTTTGCTGAGTTGCTCTCACAGAAAAAGAAAAGAAAAAGGTGGGTTTGTTTTTGTTTTAAGAGGGGCTAGATCTTATGCAATTGTGGGGCTGGAGAAGCAGCCTGTGGAGGCTCTTTGCTGCCTCTCACTCTAGCGCTGAGGCTGAAGTGCCTTTATGTCAGCTGGTCAGGGAGGCACAGAGGACTTGGATGTGGATGAAAGTGAGGACAAAGTGAAATCTAAGGATAAAATAGAACCCATGAGCTGGGACCCACACAGACACCTTGGAACCTTTGTTTGTCCCTCACTCCTTCTACCATGACCCGTGACCTGCAGGGAGGTTGACACCGCTCACCACGGAGCTCCACGTGTTCTTGGTCCAGGACCTGGGGAGGCTGGAGGAAGAGATCCGGTGGGAGCTGGAGAAACCACACACCAGATGGTGCCCATGCCAACATGGTGGACCAGCAGACAAAGCTGCCCCATGCCTGTTGCCCAGCTATGACCTTCAGAGGCCAACAGGCACAGATGCTGCCTGTCTCCTGCCTTCCAAACATGTGCATAGTATTTCTTGTGGACAGGGGACAGGGCCAACTGGAAACCATGTGGGGAAGATAATTTGGGAAACATGGTCCTGATGAGCTTAGCTGATGCAGCCTGAAGCCACCAGAGTGATCCCCTGTGTCCACTCTGCTTTTTCTCCTTTGAGTAGAGCTGCTTCCCTGTGAAACCCTGAAAGCGAGGGGAGGGCTGGGAGTGTGGATTGTCAAGTGGGATCCAGACATTGCTGAGATCCGGCTGGAATCCCCCACAATACCATGGAAAACCAGTTGTTTACAGTGATGCTCAGCGTTCCAGCATTTGGACCATCTGGGGAGGTGCCTGGCATTGCTCAAGATGAATTAAGCTAACACCTGGCATGGGGAGGGGCACATGCTGGTCAGTCTTCCTGGCTCCCCTGGTGATTCCGATCCAAGGTGGAGAACCACGGGTCTAAAGACACCCATATTTCACCCAAGTGCCCTGATGGTTTATGGTTTATGGGGGAGTCTGATTATTTCACACTGAGATATGAGGAAAGATCAAGTATGGGCATGCTTATACACTGAAAATGTGTTTTAAGATGGCAAGAGTCAATAGATCTTCATTTCTCAGGCAGCTACATGTATTTTGCAGTAACAAGAAGCATGAGCTAATGAGCCATATGACCTCCTTGTGCTGCAACAGCCTTGCCTGTGCTACGACATCCTCAGAAGCTGTGGGGCCCTGGCTCTGAGGACAGGGCAGGAGGAAAACATCCTGAGGAGCCCATAGGTGCTGAGTGGAGAGGGTGGGGGTGCAGTAGAGGCTGCCTGTGGCATCACAGGAGGCTTCGAGATCCCCTCTGGCCCCTCGGCATCCCCTAACGGAACTGCAAAGGAGGACCAGCAGCAGGCAGGCATCCAGGACCCATTTCCACCAGCCTCAGGTGGGCACCTAGGTCTACCCCTTCTGGGAGCTGAGGCCAGCAGAGCAGGAGGGCCAGGCCCTGGGTCCACTGCCCTTGCTTCCCTCTGACCACAACACCCCATAATGGCCCTGCTTCTAGTGCAGTGATAGGGCTGGGCCAGGCCTGCAAGGTGCCGTCTCAAAGCTCCTGGGTGCTCCTAGTGTGCCACCTGCTGAGGACACTGCTCTAAAGCCAGGGTTTGGGCTGTGTAAAGTGGAGACCAGGGGTAGAGTGGTCCCCAGTATCCTCTCCCCTCCATGCCTCCAGGGGGTTAGTGGCTCTGCTGGAAACTCACTGTTGAATCCCCTACTGCTCCCAGCAGAATGTGCTCTTCAATGTGTTAGGGAGTGTTTGCTGAGCACCTACTATGTGCTGGGCTATGCATAAGGGGGCTGTGCGTGTGTGTCTCTGTGTTTGCATCTGTGTGTGTGTGTGTGTGTGTGTGTGTGTATGTGTGTATAAGAGAGATCCAGGTTCTTACCTGATTCCACAAGGACTCAGATGCCCAACACCTCCCTGTGGGGTCCTCCAAGCCTCATCCCAACCACTCCATCTGCCCCAGAAGACCTAGAGGGCCTCCTTCCTCACCACCATAGCAGAAATCCCAGCAATGGGTTTCCCTGACTCAGCTCAGGTTGCCTGCCTGTCACGGATCCACTCACTGCATGGGGGATAGAAGGAAGACCCCGCCTGGCTGTGCCCGGACCTGCCCCACAGAATCACATGAACTGAGCAGGGATGGGAGGGACCATTCCCAAAGAAAGATGGGGTCCTAACACCACAGAGGAAAGGGGGCTGCTGGGCAGAAGGACAGCTGGGCCCTGGCAGGGCATTCAGGGTGGCCAGTGCTTCCAGGGAGCAGACAGGGCCAGGGAAGGCTGGCTGGGCTCAAGTGCTGCAAGGGCGGCTTGGACACAGGGTGGGAGCTGGCAGCTGTGGGTTTCAGGATCCAGGACCAGCCTTGGCCATGTGGGCAGATGGTCCGGAAACTGGGGCCAAGCCCTGCTGTGGTCTGCAGGCCAACGGGACACACAAGGGCATGAAAAGCCTGGCTGGGGTTGGAGCTTTGTATGTCAGGGAAAGGCATCTGCAGGGAAGTTGGGGCTGAGCACGACGACCGTGGGTCTGCGCTGCCCACCCCTCAGAGCCTCAGCTGCTCCAAGAAAAGGAGCAGAGGGAGCTGAAGGCCTCTGGGCCATCACAAGCTCAGTCCTGGTTCTTTCCAGGCTTGTTCCAGTGGCCTCTGTTTTCAGCCCCAGCAGCTGAGGTCTCTAAACCTGAAGGTGCCCAGCTGAACCTGGGCTCTGCTCATCTCCGTGGGCGGGACCTTGGTAGTGAACGAAGGCTGCTCTAGAAGGAGCCTGAGTCCTCTGCCCTGGGGGGTCTGAAGGGACGGGTGGCTTCCACCTGCACAAGGGGAACAAGGGTCAGAGAACCCAGGGGCCAATGCTCTACCCAGGCTCAGATCAACCAGGCTCCGGACACTGGAGCCTGGCTGAGGGGCCTCTGCTTAGGGCCAGCCTTCCCCAGCCACCCGTTTCCATGGCAACCAGAGCCCTCTGGCTGTGGCTGAGCCCCACGCCCACCCTGGCCCCGCCACTGAAAAGGGACAGCCCGAGGGCTGGCTTTCCTGCCCAAGGCACGTACCTTGTCATAGGCCATGATAGGTGGGGGGGGGACCAGGTCATTACAGCCAGGCCTGAGCAGATCAGATAGGCTGTGAGATCTGTAACCAGGTGATGTGTTGGGGCTCATTACAAATCCAAGCGTCCCTCCTCTCCCCTGCTTGTTTTTAACGAAAATCAGGGAGGCGTTAGCACAGGGAGATGTGGGTGCATTTTCTCAGCCTGTGGAGCCGAACGCACTGCCCTCCTCCAAGATGTCAGAACAGGGCTCAGGACAGTGCCAGGTGAGGCCTGTGCACTGGAGTCGGTGGGCTCTAAAGGCTGCTGGGGGGCCAGGGCCTGAAAGGGGAGCACTTCTGGGTGGGAGGGAGTCCCAGCATCAGAGGCATGGCTGCTCCCTGGCTCACCCCTGCTTCTGTTCTGGAGGCCGAACAGAGCCCTGCCCTGGCTCCTCCCCAACTGTGCCCTATTGATCCCTCCATAGGGTGGGTGGTCCCTGAGAGAGCATCATGTAAGGCTCAGGCTTTGGGGGCAGCAGACCTGGGGTTGCTGCTGCCTCTCCCCACTCCTCATGCTCTCCCCTCTCCTCATGCTCTCCCCTCACCACACACTGCCCCAGGGCCTTCTTTATTCCTCCCAGCACACTCCTTCTCACCCCAGGGCCTTTGCACATGCTGTCCTGCTCCCTAGATCACTCTGTCATGCCCCTACTCTTCACCTAGCTCTTCTTCAGTTCTCAACTTAAATATCTGCTCCTAACATCACCCCTATCTGAGTTAGTCTCCCTCATCTTCCCACAGCCTCTTGTATGTGGCATACTTGGAGACATCCAAGGTCTAATTACACACTTGCCCGTGTGCCTCTTCCTTGAAAGACCATGCCCCTCCTGACTGTGAGCCCCAGAAGGGCGGCCCCTTGTCTGAGTTGTTTATTTCTCACTCCTGCCCCCAGCACATACCTGGCACATAGTAGGTGGGAGCTCAGCAAATGCCCTGGGTGAATATGTGGAACTTTCAGAATGGAAAGAGTAAACCACACAAATGCCCGCATCTCTTTAAGTCGGGCAGAAATAACAGAGAGTGTTGTTAATTGTTTTTATTTGGGGGATGTTGGTTTTCATTTTATTTTCTCTTTTAATAACTCACACTGCATAATCAGCTGGTAATTACAGCTTCCATCTCTGGTTTCTGCCTCCCTGACTCGGGCTCCGAGGATGGGAAGCGTTTCATATCTAATCAGTATTTGAGCTGGAATGCTCTCAGGGGAGCCAGCTCATGGGGTGTGGAGTTTGATTCTCAGTCATGTTCATTAGAACAGGAAAACAACTTGAGCTCAGAGCGGAGCTTCTGTGGGCCCCGGTGACAAGATGAGAGGACACACTCCTGCTCACCACACCCCCTTAGCCCATCCCTGCCCAGGGCTGGGGCAGAACCAGCTGTCCCTCCTGCTCCTGGGGTGCCTCTGCCAGCATGCCCAGGGAGGCAGGATGGCCACTGATGGCCAGAGGGGGAATCAGCTGCCTCACCTGCAAGTCCTCCTCAGGAGCTTTCTGGAAAGACCCAGGTGGTGAGAGGAGCAGGCGGAATTTTAGGGAGAGACTAGGGGCATTTCTAGACAGTTGGCCCTATCTCCTCTCCAAGGGGGACAGAATTTTCCTTAATCAGCCACCACTGTCTGCTCTCATCTGCCTGCCAGCGTTGGCTCCAGCCACTGTCCTCCAGCCACTCCCAGGAAGGGAGCCCTGTCCACCAGCCGCTCCCAGGAAGGGAGCCCTGTCCTCTTGCCACTCCCTGGAAGGGATCCCTGTCCTCCAGCCACTCCCAGGAAGGGAGCCCTGTCCTCTTGCCACTCCCTGGAAGGGATCCCTGTCCACCACCCACTCCCTGGAAGGGATCCCTGTCCACCACCCACTCCCAGGAAGGGATCCCTGTCCTCCAGCCACTCCCAGGGAAGGAGCCCTGTCCTCCAGCCTCTCCCAGGGAGGGAGCCATGTCCTCCGGCCACTCCCAGGGAGGGAGCCCTGACCTCCTGCCACTCCCAGGGAGGGAGCCCTCTCCTCCAGCCACTCCCAGGGAGGGAGCCCTGTCCTCCAGCCACTCCCAGGGAGGGAGCCCTGTCCTCCAGCCACTCCCAGGGAGGGAGCCCTGTCCTCCAGCCACTCCCAGGGAGGGAGCCCTGTCCTCCACCCACTCCCAGGAAGGGATCCCTGTCCTCCAGCCACTCCCAGGGAGGGATCCCTGCCCTCCTGCCACTCCCAGGGAGGCAGCATGTCCTCTAGCCATGTCCTAAAGAGTGCTTTGAGTTCAAAGCATCTGCACTGGGACCAGAGGAGCACAAGAGCTTGCTACAGAGCAGAGGTTAGAGCCTCATCTTCATTTGCGGACCAGCGATCCCTCCCCATCCCTGACTGGAGTTCCAAGGCTTCCTTTTAATAATAATTCTAAATTTATTCAAGGGAAGAGCAGGAATGATGACCTCAAATGGCTCCTGGGGACTTGGGCTGTGGTGCTTACCGGCTTGTCCTTCCAGAGAGGAGAAAGGCCCTTCTTTCTGGGGATTGGAGGCTGGACCCTGGTGCACGCTTGTCAGCTTTTCAACAATAGAGCCATGGTTGGGTGCACACAGGTTGGGGGCACGCAGGGATGGTCATGGGCAGAGGGAACAGCTGTACAAAGTGGGTCAGTGTGACCAAGGCAGGTAGTAGGGGAGGGGTGACTGCTGAGGGACCTTGGGGGCCACATGGAGAAGTTTTGGCTTGACCCTGAGTGCCGTGGGGAGCCCTGGAGGGCAGCAGGCCTTGGGGAGACTGGACGAACCATGCTTATTAGAAAGATCAGAGCTGCTGCATGGACGGTGGGCTGCAGCAGGAAAGATGGAGCAGGACCAGTCGCAGGAGGCTGTTGCCTCATCCAGGCCAGACACGATGGTCCCTGGAGCAAGGCAGGGACAGCTGGGATGCAGAGAGGGCCTTGTGAGCAGAGAGAATGGGGTTGGGAGGAGGGAGAGGCTGAGGAGACAGGATGTGGCCATCACTAGATGTGGATATGAGAGGGAGCGTGGCAGGGGGTGTGATGACCAGATCTCCTGCCGGGGGAGACAGCAAGGTCATCAGCTGGGGCCACTTGGAGGCCTCTTAACTATCAACCCATTCATCTCCTAAAAGGCCCAGTCTAGGGCCCGGGAAACAAGAGTACCCTGAGGAATCACACCGATTCTCATTACCCTTGGTGGGGGTATCCTAAGGTCCCTGCAAAACCTCCATGGCAGCCTGGAAACTGCTTAGGGGCACCTGGGCTCCCTCCCTCCTCCCACCCACATATGGCAAAGAAAAAACTCCTCTGAACATAAGAGTTTGGCTGGAAGTAAACAGATTAGTGATGGTGATGTGCTAGCACTTTATTAATTACTTGTCCTAAATACGTTTAAACCCAGGCCTTTAATTTAGATTTATTAGGATAATTCAGATTTATAAGACTAGCTATTATGCATTAAGTACATAAAATGCCAATTGGTTTTCATAGGAGATATTTATTGAAGTATAAAAAGGAAAATATGTAAAATCTAATTGCCCTTGAGTTTTTGCTTCAGAATTGATGGAGAAGTACAGGAGTGGGGCAAATTCACCTCACCTCACGAGACGCTCTCATCTCCATGGACTGTAATTTGACCTCCCCTTGCTGTTCATTTAAATAAAAACCAGACGTCACACCATGAATGAGACGCGCACCTGACCACAATGGAAGCTGCTGTCTGGGGCTGTGTCTAAACCAGCATGAGGGTGAAAGGACAAGTGGGGTCAGGGAAGCGTGGTGGGGCGAACACTGGATCGGGGGTCTGGAGCCCTGGGCTGTGGTCTTTGCTCTGATTCTGGCTCCTCTGGGCAGATCCATGAACTGGGAAGGGCTGCGACTCGGTGGTCTGGACGTCGTCTCCAGCTCTGGAGTGTGAAGGATCTGGAAAGGTGGTCCTACCCCTAATGGTGGATGGTCACTCATCCTCACCAGCTGTTGCATGACACGGCCAGAGCAGCTCAGGGGGCACTGTGCCAGGCAGGCCTCCCTCCAGTGGGATCAGCCACCAGCCACAGGACTGTGTGGATGAAGAGAATGAAAGCTTGAAGGCCAGGCTCTGGGCTGGGGCTCATGGTCTGGTTGGTGAGACATGGTGCCCAACCAATTAGGATCTGGCTCCCAAATCCAGGAACTGGATTTGGAAGAGGCTGGCAGTCTATGAAAATGTCTGGGAACCGCCATTAGGTGGCCGCGTTGGTGGCCATTACTCCAACCTCCCTCTTTTCCAGGGGGCTTTTGCACAAGTCCCCACGGCCGGGTAGTGACAGGTGGAGAAACCTGGGATCTCTGGCCAGCTCTGCTGTCAGCCAGCAGTTTGACAAACTATTTCAGGATGAATGTTGGCCTCTGCCAGCAGCTTCTCCCCAGGCTCTTTCCTGGAGCCCAGAACAGTTACCTACACCCACCCCTGGCCCTTCTTTCTTTCGTCTCCAGGAACTGGCTCTGCTAAACCAGCCACTTCTCAGGACTCATGAACAGGAGCAGCCCCAGCAGGGTGGGGCTGCAGAGAGTGCCTGGGAGCTGGGAGAGGATGAGGAGGAGGAGGTCTGCCTCCCAGGACTGCTTCCATGATGACAGCAACAATGACAGTCACGGCCGTTTTTGATATTCACTAAGAACCACTTTCCATACATCGTCTCCTCTAATCCTCCTGATAGCTGTCTGAGCAGGGTGCTATGGCCCCACCCAGCTGCCAAGGAGGGCTCAGAGAGGTAAGTGCCCTGGCCAAGGTCACACAGCTAGAAAGAGGTAGAGTGTGGCTGTGTTCCTGATCTGCTGGCCCCAGCTCTTTCCCCAGCCCAGGCTGCCTCTCTAACTAGTCTGCCTGCAATATCTCTCTGCTACCCGCAAGAATGAGTCTTACCCCTACCTGTGGGTACTAATCACCTTTCCCATTCTGGCTCTGACCCTTTCAGCCTCTTCACCTGCCTTCCTCTTCCGTCACTCCCACACTCAATGACAAACCCTTCCCCAGACAAGCCCTGGGGTTTCAGTAAAGGAGTCATCAACACCACCATAATAGTTCAATGAGCAGCCACATGGTCCACCTGAAATGTTGCCTTTAGTTGGCATTTCATCCCAGACAGCCACAGGCACTAATTTAAGTAACGTTGGTGCCACTGCATCTCAGGCACTACCAGACTCCCATTTTCCACTGGTAATGAGATCCTCACTGCACGCCAGACAACCGACATCCAAATCCCATCCTTGATGGTTTGTTTCCTGGGATCACTCCTAGTGGCAAGTGCTGTAGCCATCAGGGTTCATTTAGGGAAAGCCTGAGAAAAATAAAGACTTTGAACTTGGGAGATTTGATTGAGGGAACTCCCTACAACTGTCTTAAAAGAGCTGAAAGAGGAAAGAAGGTGTGACAACCCCAAGATCAGTGACTTGGGAGGCACTGCCACCCCTAGGGCTGGAGGCACAAATAGCAGGAGGTGGTGCCACGGGCTCAGGACTGCATGTCCTGCTGACTCTGGTCAGGCTTGTGCCATGCTGCTGCTGCTGGTGTAATCCATCACTGGGGCCACTACTGCCAGAGCCACCCACCTCCTGGCCAGCTGCAGTTGGCCCCTGTAGCTGCTGCCACAGCCACCAAAGAAGCAGGAACTTCTTTCCTTTGCATATGCCAGGAAAAAAGAGAGAAGGAACAGCCAATGGCACCTCCTCTGCTCCTGCCTTCCTCTGGAAGCACCTACTGGCCAAAGTGAACTGCAAAGCAGGGGCCAGGGAGCCTGGGGAAAAGGCTGCAAGAAATGGCAAGTAGAATAATGAGGTGCACCGTGACTCGGGGTTTGGGTATTTACAACAAAAAGGCATGTGTTTGAAACTCAGCTCTGTGACTTACTAGCTGTGTGACCTTCAGCAAGCACTTGACCTCTCCAAGTCACGGTTTCTCCATAAGTAAACTGGGAGGTAATAGCATCCACTTCACAGGGTTCATATGAGGATGAGATGAGATCAGCTCTGCAGAAGTGCCTACCACAGAGCCTGGCATATAATATGCTCATATTTTACTCCATGCCCTTGAACAAGTGCCTGGGCCTCTCTGGGCTGTGTTTTCTCATCTGTTAAATGAACGAGGTTGGACTACAGGCTCCCTAAGGTTTGTCCGGATTTGATGGCTATGAATCATCCCTAGGTGAAATGGACAAGGTCGGACTGCCAGGAGAGCCAGAAGGAGGGTCTGGCTGCCTCAAAGTAGCCTGGGGGAAGAATCGAGAGGCAGCAAGCAATGGTCTGACTGTGTCTGGGTGTTGTGAGCTGGGCATTTTGCTGGAGAGTGTGTCCAAATGACAAACAGATCATACTTCAGTGCCCTCAATGCTTGTTCTAACTCTTGGCTAATGCTGCCCCTGGCAAGGGCACCTGTGGTCTCCAATCCCCTTGAGATGCTCACTGCCCAGACAGCAGGAACTTGCCTGGAGCAGCATGTTCCACACACTATGCAAGGGGAAGAAAAGCAGCCTCCTCTAAAATCCCTCGTGTAGATTCGGTTTGTAAACTCACACCTTCCAGGGGCCTGGGCTCCTGAGCGTTGAGAGTCTGAGTCGTGACTTGAGGCTCAGGTTTAGGGGCTGGTTGAGTGGTTAGGAGCCTCATGCCAAGGAGTATGGGGTTTTTTGAGTCAGGCAGAGATGGGTTTGAGGTTCTTCTGACTATCATCATTTATTAACTTCTCTGAGACTCAGCTTTCTTATTTGTTAAATTGGAGGCTGGCCGTGGCAGCTCACACCTGTAACTGCAGCATTTTGGGAGGCTGAGGTGGGAGCATCCCTTGAGGCCAGGAGTTTAAAACTAGCCTGGGCAACATAGTGAGACTGTCTCTACAAAAGATACAAAAATCAGTCAGGCGTGGTGGCTCATGCTTGTAGTCTCAGCTACTGGGGAGGCTAAGGCGGGAGGATTGCTCAAGCCCAGGAGTTGGAGATGGCAGTGAGCCATGATCTCATCACTGCACTCCAGCCTGGGCAACACAGCAAGACTCAGTTTCAATAAATTAATAAATAGGAATAATAATATCTACAGTGTGTGTCCTCTTAGTATCTTCTTCATCCTTTTGATGCCTGGATACCCCGCTCCCTCCATGCCATTCTCTCTTTAGGGAAGCACTCACCACCTGCTCTTCAGACCACACAGTTCTGGCAGGATCACCAGTCACAGACCTGCCTTATCTCCTGAGATGGGAGTAAAGGGCCCAGGTTGGACCAGTCACAGTGTCTGTGCCCCACACTGTGATAGGTCTAAATGGCCAGCATGTGACTAGCCTGATTCCTTTCTGGGATTATAGAGAGGAATATTGGGAAAGAATAACCCTGTCTTCCTTCTAGAGTCACTAAGTGAGATGATGTGAATTTGAAGTTGCCAATTGTTGTGATTCTCATTTCTCTCCATGCCTCCTCTTGAAGAAGTTCAGGAAAAAATGGAGAGAAAGTGCCTCCCACCAGAAGTCCAACAAGCAGAGGCAGCAGGAGGTGGGGAGGGGAGAAAGAGCAATCCAATGACCGAATTGGAGTTCCTGAATCCAGCTCTGTTTGAAGCTATTTGTCTCTATCTTTTCCAGTTCTATAAGCCATTACCTTTCCTATTTAGTGAAGCCAGTTTGAGTTGGATCTTTGCATTTTCAACCAAGTACGCTCTAACTAATACATGTAATTCTTTATTATGTGATCAAGATTAAGTGAGATAATTTAAGTAAAGGGCTTAAAATAGCTCATAGTCCTTGTCCAGTAAACATTAGCTTCTACTATGGTTGCTCTTATAGTTCCTTGTCCATTCTATCCATCTCTGGCCTGTGAGTTTCTGTGACACATGACCTTTGCACCTGCTGTTGCCTCTGCCCAAAACACTCTTCTCAGCTCTTCACACAACTTCTCATCATTCAGGTCTTAGCACATCTGTTCCCTTTTTTGAGGGGCTCTTCCTGACCACCTACCTTTGACCTCCTCATCAATCACTCCCTGGGGCATGACCCAATATATTTCCCTCATCACAGGTTTCATACTCACTCATTGGTGGTTTGTTCATTGTCTGTCTCCTCCAACCAGGCTGTGAGCTCCAAGAGGGCAGGAGATATGTAGATGCTGTCACCTGCATGCCCCTGTGCTAAACACAATGTCTGACATCTGCTAGGCATTTGTATCAGTCAGCTATTGCTGTGTAACAAACCAGCCCAAAACCTGGTGTTTAAAACAATGACAATGTACTCTCACTCATGTAGCATATGGCTTGGTTGTGGTCAGTGGCTGTAGGGGCTGGGTTTGGCTGGATGGATCTTCAAGGTGCAGATTTGCCTGAGCTTGTCTCTTTGCTGTGTGCTGGGCTCACGCCTCCCATGTATGTTGCTGAGCCAGTGCTCCTGTAAAGTGCACAGCAGCACTAGCAAATCTAAGCCTGAATGACCTTAGCTACTTGAACCGCCTCTCGACCCTGAGCCAGGCTGCCTTCCCCATCCAGACTCTAGCCAGGCTCTAGGCTGGCCAGGCCCCACCATCAACAGCCTCTCCATGCCCAGGGCTGGCATGAAACACTGCCTGATCATCCCAGTCTGCTGAATTCTCACAGTGAGGGTGGCCTGAGTCAGCAGGAGCCCAGGAGCTGAGAACTTGTTTTAAGAGAAAGGAAACTTGTCTAAGCTCACCTCCTACTCTCTCCCTGGGGTGAGAAAAGGGAGCCTGCCCAGAAATGTCATTTTCTGCTAATTTCAAAGTGTACATTGCACTTTGCTGGGCTGTTTATTCTCTTAATGCATTCTGTCTGAAAATAGCAGTCCCTTCCCTGAGACCCCAGTCCATGCCCAGTCCTGGGCAGTTAGAGAAACCCTGCTGCTCCAGCCTCTCCCTTGCAGAGTCTTTTGCTGTTCTCCATCCTCCCCAGCCCTCCCTGTCTGTGGTGCTGTCTCTTCTGCCTCTCCTCCCATCTCAGTCCTCAGCTTCCTCTAGTTCCTCTCATCTTTTTGCCTCCTCCTCTTTCAGATCTATCTTGAGAATGATCTGATTGCTGTGCAAAGATAAGAAATTTTCTGAGAACTTGACCAAAACGAGGCACTGAAGAACCCCTGCTTTGATTCAACCAACCCCTCCTGGGGTGCTTTGTGAACTGATGGCTTGGAAGCAGCCTGCGGTATCTGGGATCTATGACTCCCTCATTTTACAGATTAAAACCACTAACATCTGAGCTTCTCTAATCAGCTTCCAAAAAGTTTTTCCACCCATTAGTACCCAGTATTTCATGGGATCCTTTGAGAAGCCTGTGAGTTTGGTTGGACAAATTTACCATCATTCTAATCAGTGGAGGCCCAGAGAGGGGAATTAACTAGCCCAGAATCAAGGAGAAAGTGAGAGGGAGAATTGCAACAAGAGCCCCTTAACTATGGCCCACACTTCCCATGATCTAATGGATGGAGAGAAGGTGGGAAGCTAGCGGGGTCCTGTCCCATTAGCCGACATTCTCCTCGTGCAACCCCTGAGCTTGAAGCAGCTATAGGGATAACCATATGTGTTGAGGACTGGTCCCTGTGTGTTGAGCAGTTTTCAGCACACAGTAGGGCTGCAGAAAACACTACTAAATGAATCAGTGCCTGACGAATCTACAAATGGTAGGGGTGGCCTGGGCTAGCAGAAGCTCAGGAGCTCAGAAAGCTTTGTCATGAAAAATAAAATGCATTGAAACTCTCCTCCCACCTCGCCCTCTCTCTGGAGTGGGAAGAGGAACCTTCCCAGAAATGTCATTTTCTGCTCTTCTGTAAACTGAACAGCCTCAGCTAGTACCGTATCACCCATCCCTCCCGTGTCTTTCCTATGGTCTCCCTCACCCTCAAGGATGATTCCCGGCCGCTACCCTTCTCAAGCCTCACCCCAACTTCCTGGGCTCTCCTTTGCTGCCAGTCATCTGCCTCCTCTGATATTGGGGCAACGAGGCCATGAGGAATACACTCCTTTTCCCCTCTTGTGCTTCTTCCCCCATCCCAGGGTCAGGGGTGCCTGTCCTGGTGGAAATTCATCCCTCCAGCCAGTCTCTGGAGCCTCTCCCCTTCCTCCTCTGCAGGGTCAGCTCTCTCCAGCATCCTACCTCTCTCCCTCTCTGACCCTTTTCTTCTGTTCCTCCACCTCAGTTGCCCGAGGCTTCTGTCATCTAAGCTGCCCAAATCTCTCCCTTCCTCGGCCTTAAAACAAATCCTCCAGAGCTCTCCTGGCCCTCAAGATATTTCTTTCCTTCCTGTCATTGGCAATATCCTGCCTCCCATCCCCAGGTGACTCCAGCTGCCTGGATATGACACTCCCACGCCTGCTTCAGCTGAAAACTCTTACTTATCCTTAGGTCCACTGAAAAGTCACCTGTTGGAGGAAACACTGCAGCAGATGCCGGTGCTACCCCACCATGTCCCTTTGACCATCCTCAGTTGTCCTGCAGCAGTGGGATGTTTCTTGTACACTGACGGCCATTTTCTTCAAACGCTCCCTTCTCTCTTCTCCTTTGCCTTTGGGCTTGCTCTGGCACCACAACATCCAAGTGCAGGGCACTAAATGCATCCCGGGGACAACTCCTGAAATGTGGGGGATGAGATTCAGTGGACAAAGGCCCCAGCCTCCCCAGCCTCCAGGAGGACAGTCCTGAGGTGTGCTCCAGGGGGTTCCTCAGGGGCCCCCCATGGGAGGGAGGAGCCCAGCTGTCCACACAGCTAGCCAATTATGAAGACACCCTCTGTTGGCTTTTCTCCTTTCCCTGCACTCCTTTACTTGTGCTTCCTGGAGTCACAAAATCCCTCCCCAAACCTGCAAACCCAAGTCCTTGTGTCAGGTCTGTTTTGGGGCACTCACTCTAAGATAGATGTCTTTCTCATCTACCCCTGCCCAAGGGAGTTAAGGGTTCCAATGTCTATTTGAGCACATGTCATGACAGTTTCCCTCCTGAGCAAGACTGGTCTCCTCAAGAATAAGGGAGAGTTCCTATTTCTCTGTGTCCCCATCATCCAGCAAATAGATAGTGCATAAATGTTTCTTGAGTGAGTGAGAAAGTGAATGCATAAACGAATGAGTGAATAACGAGTTGTGTCTCTGGGGTACCTAAGCCCAGGTGAACAAGTCCTGCAAAACAATTATGGATTTATGCCAATGTGCCTGGCCCTTTCAAAGCCAGCCTTCTCCTCCACATCAAAATGTCTATAAACTGTACACTCCATTCAACCCCAGCGGCCCTTCTCTTTGCCTTCCCATTCTACTATCCATAATGCAATCATCTGCATACTGCCAGGACAGCCTCCTGTTAGAAAAACTTTTCAGGCTCAGCAGGAGGTCCTGACTCTAGTTAAATAAAGGTTAAAGAACAGAGGGAATTTCTATGATAATATGACATAAGTCAACGTGGCCTCCCAGAGAATGCCACTCCAGAGAGAGAGATTTTTCCTAGCTGGACTCCAGGGCTTATTCAGAAGTGCTCAGACAACTGCCTGTTCAGAGCTGATGAGAGCAGCCTGTGGAAATAGTCATTGAGACACATGAATTTATTGAGCCCATATATGTGCACTAGGGTTTCCAGCAAAAGGAATCAAATCATCGTAGAGGAATTAAAGTGGCTGCTGCCTGGCTGACATCACCTGAGTTGCGCAGACCATAGAGGGCTTGGATCTCCTTGGGGAGATGAGATACTCTAAGCACATGTGGCATACGCTGGGAACTCTAATTCAATACCTGGTCCAGCAAAAATCATTCATCAAATGAGAAAACTGAGGCTACATACACTGAGTCAGTGGCAGTCCTGGGACTCTAAGCCTGAATCCAGACAGCTTCTGTTCCACCCATGGCTTCTCTAAAGAACAAGCAGGGTGGGAATCATGCTGCAAAGACAAACAAACAAAACCTCGGACCTATTCACAGGCAATGTTCCCCATGGGGAACTAGAAATGCAGAGACCTGAGATCTAACACTGGCCACCTTGCCAAGTTGCTTCCCTTCTCTTGGTCTCCTTCCTCATCTGTACAAGAAGAAGGTTCGTAATCTCTAAGGTTTCTTCTACCTGCAAAAAAAAAAAAAGTTACTCTGGGCCTCAGTTTCCCGTCTTTCAGGTGAGCATAATATTCAACTTCCCCAAATGCTGTGAAGATCATATGAGGTCCAGAAGCTCCTTGGCAGAGATGTGTGAAATAAACCCTGGAACAGTATTATCATGGCTCACCATGTACAGCAAGGTGATGCTTGGAGCACAGCCAGGGTCATGTCTGAACCGCTGGAAAGAGCCAAGGGGGAAACTGATATTAGTTTTCAGACAAGCAGTTCTAGAATCAGGGGAGAGGTTTCAGGCAGCGCTCTAGTGATTGGAATCCCTGGAATGCTCCTTGTAGAATGAAGGGAGGCATCTTCAAGGCAAAATTTCCTTCACTGTCATGGCAATTTAGTTGGAATCACAGATCTCAGGCTGCCTGTCCAAGGGAGAGTTGGAAGCTCTGAGCTGTGGGCAGAGAACTGGTGGGAGTTGGGGGAATGAGAAGGAAAAATAAAGGAATATAAAGCAGGAGGCGCAGAAAGAGAATAGTACCCTCTCCATAGTACAAAATGCCAAAAGTATATTTCCTAGGGTCAGAAACACCTGAAATCAAATACCCCCATCATTCATGAGTTAAATGATTGAGGAAAACTCACGCAAGCTTTCTAGACTTCAATTTTCATATCTGTAAAATAGGGAGAAAAAATGGTACCTCTCTCATAGGAATAATGCTGGGAAATTACTTAGCATTATGTCTGGCCCAAGAAATTTCTAGCAGTGGTAGCAACAGAAGCAGGAATGGTTGCTTCAAATCTACAAAGCGATGTGTTTTTTAAAGAGGGGAGGAAGAATCCATATCACTGATAGTGGGGACAGGAGAAGAAAGGGCCATGTTTTGGGGGAGAGGCAGATGGGTTGGCTCAAATGAATAAAACCTGAAGAGGCACAGATATCCAGGCCTTACAAGTGAAAGAATGCAGCTAACAGCTTTTTATTCTGTTAATGAGAGCAAAGATTATTCATGTCAGTCTAACAGCAATTATATTAGTGGGAGAACAGTTAAGAATCCATGTTCTAATGGTGGCTGTAATGAGTATTGTAATAAGAAACTCAAGGCAAATTTTATCTAGTAGATCAATCAAGAAGAAATTTAAATTGAGCATTATGAGTGAGTCATTGTCTTGTATGCAAAACAATGAGTGCAAATGTTAGAGCAACAGGAGAGGGGAATTCACATGACTCAGCCTGACTGTGAATGACTTCCCAATGAGGTAAGCATTCAATCTCAAACAATGCTTCGAAGATGAATGACATTTCTAAAATTCCACAGAGAGTGAGTAGTGGAGCCTGGGCCCAAATTAGGTTCTGTCTGATACCAAAGCCCCACACACTTTTCAAAGTTGACTGACTTTGAGCCTTTGTCTATGACTGTCCCTGGCCTCCCTTGCCCAGCAAGACTGGGTACCAGAATGGCTCAGAACAAAGGAGTGTGGGCAACCATGACAGGGAAGGTCTCCTTCAATGATGATGGGCTATACAGAACAAATAACCAGGAGCTATAGTTTGCAAAGTGTACCAGGATTATATTTAAGATGGAGGGGAAAACCCACACACACTGTAATATGGAAGTTGTAAAATCTTTGTATTAAAGAGATTGTTCCTGGAAAGGCCCTTAGAGATCATCTGGTGCGGGCTCTCATTTAAAGATGAAGAAAATGAGGCCCAGATGATGAAGTGACTTGTCCAAGGTCATGGCATGAGTAGTTGATAGGAGTCAAGGACCAGACCCGGATTTTTCTGATCTGTCCCTTGTGCCTTCCCCACCATGGCCATGATGACAGTCTCTGGATGTTTGTAAATATGTGGCTGTCTAGACAACACGCTATGCAGAATAAATTAACTGGACCAGGTGACCTGTCATAACCTGTCATGACCTGGGTTCCCCACGTGTCTTGACACCCATAGCCAGAAGACACCAGGTTCTTTCCTGGGCTTAAACAACGCAGACATCTCCCAACCCTTCTTCCCTGGGGGAGGCCTCTGTCCATGGTACTGAAACAGGATTCTTGCTGATGCGTTCTTGTGGTAAGTTCTGTATTCGGTTCCCACCCTTTGAGAGATGAATGAAGACTAGATGGACCGAGTACTACTGAGGGCTGGGGAGTACATTTTTTAAATCAATCTTATTATATTGTAATTTACAGGCAACAAAAAATTGACACATTTCTAATGTGTAGGTCAAGTACTTTTGACAAATTTATACTTGTGTAGATATTATTCCAATCAAGATATGGAAAGTTCCTTCATGCCTCTTAGCCATCAACTTCTCTCCACCGTTCTCTGTTCAGTATTGTAAGATATTATGGTATAGAACAAGCACAGTGGATGGTGAAACCATGGGAAGAAAACATGAGTGTCAGAGAAGTCTTCCCAGGGAGAATGAGCTTTAAGTTGAGACCAGATTGAATAGATGTCAGTCAGGCAAACAAGTGGTATAGAAGAGACTCTAGGTCTGTATTTTGGGTTGATGCCACTTATGCATCTAGGTGTTTTTAGCCTTGCTGCTTTGGAGAATAAGAATACCTCTTTACCTCTCTGGAATCACATCTCACTCAGATGCTATATTTTCAAGTCATCCAAACTCACAACTATGTCTGGGAAATATCAGCCAACACTTCTTCCCAAGGACCATGGTTTTATTCTTAACTGGCTACTCCAAATGAGAAAGGGGCAAAAGCAGCCCCATCCACCCTCCACCCTGGGACACAGGGCATTGAGTTGGTCTGCTGAGAAGTGGAGAAAATCACATCTGTCACCATAGACACAAAAAGTCTTTTGGAAGAAAAGACCCAAAGTGGTTGCTGAGAAATTTAGAAGAAAGGTTGTAGATATATAATAACAAAATGTATGCATACACCAGAACATGCACATAGAAGCACATTGACATGGCTACCCATATGCAGGTATGCATTACCACATACACACATGTGTGTACACCCTTTGTCTCACACCAAGTGAATAAACAGACTAAACATTTCATGATGCAATCCAGCTCTCTAAACTCCATAAACTCAGCTCCAGGTACAAGTAAACCACAGAGACTCAATAAAGCCATAAATTGTGAGTCAAGGCAGCCACTTGTATTTTGGGGTCCTCAGGTTCCTCAGTTATAAAATAGGAGCTGGAGTGGGTGAGGATAGGGATTGAATTGGATTGATTCCCTAAGGCCTTTACTAGTATCACTATAGAGGTTGGGACTTCCTCACCAGTAAAAAGTGAGTAACAATAGAATCTTTCTTGACAAGTTGCTGGAGGATTATATGTGAAATGTTTAGTGTCAGGCATGACAACTAAAAGGTGTTCAGCATGGGGAAGTTTATCATCATCAGCTAGGAAGCAGTTCTACCCTTCAACGGATGTGGTGATAGGGAGGAGACCAAGCTGCTGATACCAGTTCTGTTCTGATATGCTGTGTAGTTTAGAGAAAGTCCCTTCCCCTCTCTGAACCTCAGTTTTCTCATCTGTAAGATGAAAGTGATTGGATAGGGTGATGGAAGGCCTATCCAATACTGACAGTTTTTTTTTTTTAACTCAAAGCTCAGCTTGTACTCTTAAACCTGTACCTCTTTTTGCCTTGTGTAAATCTCACCTCCTTTTCTCTCTTTCCTCCCTATTTGCTTTATCCCAAACTAATAGTGCCATTCAGGGCTTCTGTCATCTGTGCTGGGAACAGGCCCCTTATCCCTGATGAGCTCTGGCTACTGCCTTGCCAGAGGCATCAGTGAAGGCTCCCAGGGCAACCAATTAAATGGTTGTTGTCAAGGAAACCCTTGCAACTCTCCAGATATTTTTCCCCTCAACAACTTTGTTGAGGAATAATTGTTATACAAGCAACTGTGCATATTTAAGTGTAAAACTTAATAATAAAATAAGCACCTTAGACAAGTTAGTGAGCATATCTATCATCCACAACAATTATAGATGTATCCCTTTTTAATCACCCCCTCTCAACTACTCCCCTCTCCCTCACTATCATCCCAAGTCAACCACTGATCTACTTTCTGTCACAAGAGATTAGTTTGCATTTTCTAGAATTGGAATCATATAGTATGGCATTCTTTATCTGGCTTCATTCATTCAGCATAATACTTTTGAAATGTATCCATATTGTTGAACATATCAATCCTTGATTATTTTTTATTGCTGAATAGTAATTCATTGTATGAATATATCACAATTTGTTTGCCCATTTACCTGTGGAGTTGATGGATGTTTGTGGTTTTCCAAGTTTTTTTGTTTGTCGTTTTTATTATTGTAAATGAAGCTGCTATGAACATTTGTGTGTGAGTGTTCGTGTGAACATATGCTTTAATTTCCCTCGAGTAAATACGTAGGAGTGAAATAGCTGGATCACATAGTACGTGTATGTTTAACCACAAAAGAGCTGTATCACCTTATATTCCCACCAGAAGTGTAGAAGAATTCTAATTTTTCCATATTCTCACCAACACTTAGTGTGATCAGTCTTTTAAATTTTAACCATTAAAATAGGTGAATTTTAGCAGCTCACTGCAGTTTTAATATGCATTTTCCTAATGACTATAGTTGTTGAGCATATTTTCATGGGCTTATTTGCCATCCATATATCACTTTGATGATATTTGTTGAAAGCTTTTGCCTTTAAATTGTCTGTTTTCTTATATCAGGTTTTGATTTATATATATGAATACATGTCTTTTAGCAGACATGTGATTTACAAACGTTTTCTTTCAGTCTGTGGCTTATCTTTCCATTCTCTTTAAAAGTATCTTTCAAAGAGCAGACATTTTTATTTTGATGATCTGTTTTATCAGTTTGTTCCTTTATGAATTGTGTTTTTGATGTTATATCTAAGAAATCTTTGCTTAAACCAATCTCATAAAAGTTTTTCTACTGTGCTTTCCTCAGATGCTTTATGGTTTTAGGTTTTACATTTAGTGTGGAACAAAGTCCATCTTTGTTTGTTGGAATATGGATATCCAATGGTCCCAGAGCCAGTTGTTGAAAAAAAGCCCTATCTCTTTTGAACAGAATTATTTTTACTTCATTGTAAAAAATCAGGTGTCTGTATATGTGTGGGTCTCTTTCTGGACTCTATTCTATTTCACTGGTCTATTTGTCATTCTTGATGCCAATAGCACATTGTCTTGATAATGCAGTTTTAGAATAAATCTTGAAATTAAGTACTGTTAGTCTTTCAACTTTGTTCTTGTGTTTAAAATTGTCTTAGCTATTCTAGGTCTTACATTTACATATAGATATTAGAACAGTTTTTCTCAATTTCTGCAAAGCAGACTGCTGGGTTTCTGATTGAGATTGAAGTGAATCTATAGAACAATTAGGGGGAAACTGACAGTGTTCTGTAATTTCCAGTGTGTAGAATTTCTGTGATATTTTATGTTATTGTAAATGGTATTGTTTTTTAATTGTTATTTCTGATCATTTATTGCTAACATATAGAAATACACCTGATATTTGTATATTGTTTTATATCCTGCAGCTTACTAATCTCTTTCTGTAATTCTAGTAGCTTTGTTTGTATTATACATTCCATCAGATTTTCCACCTAGGTGTTCATGTTGTATGTGAATAAAGAGTATTATTTCTTTCTTTCTATACTGAATGACTTTAGTTTTATTCCTTGTCTGATAGGACTGGTCAGAACTTCTAGTACAATGATGAATAAAAGTGATAAGAACAGACATCTTGTCTTTTTCCTGATTTTAGGGCAAAGCAGTTACTCTTTCACCATAAATAAATATAATGTAAGCTATAGTTTTTGTAAATAACCTTTATTAGGTTGAGAAAATTCACTTCTATTTCTAGCTTACAGATAGTTTTCATTAAGAATGAATGTTGGATTTTGTCAAATTCTTTTCCTGTAGATATACTGTAGGGTTTTTTTCTTTTTGAGTTTGTTAATATGATAAATCACATTGATCTTCAAATGTTAAACCAACCTTTTATTCCTGGCACAAGTTTCATTTAATTATGATGTATTACACACTTCATATATTGCTGTATTTGATTTGTTATAATTTTGTTTAGAATATTGTCATTTATTTTCATGATGAATATTTGTTATAATTTTCTTTTCTTGTTATGGCTTTGTCAAGTTTTGGTATAAGAGAAATACTGGCCACAAACAAAGAGTTGGAAAGTATTTACTCATCTTTATTCTGGGGAAGATTTTTTAGTAGAATTGGTATTATTTATTCCTTAAATTCCTTTTATTCCTGGCCAACATGGTGAAACCCCGTCTCTACTAAGAATACAACAATTAGCTGGGAGTGACGGTGTGTGCCTGTAATCCCAGCTACTAGAGGGGCTGAGGCAAGAGAATCGCTTGAACCCAGGAGGTGGAGGTTGCAGTGAGCCAAGATCACGCCACTGCACTCCAGCCTGGCAACAGAGTGAGACTCCATCTCAAAAAAAAAAAAAAAAAAAAAAAAAAAAAAAAAGTCGTTTTAGTAGATTTACTAAAGATTACTTTAGATTTAGATTTGCCAAATTTACTTGGGTTTTTAGCAGATTTACAACTATTCAAGTTATATATTTATTCCTGAGTGAGCTTCAGTAGTTTATATTTTTCAATGAATTAGTCCATTTCTTCTAACTTGTCAACCATATTGGCATAATGTTGTACATAATATTCTCATATTATCATTTTAATATCCGTAGAATTTGTGCTAATGTCACTCCTCTCATTTCTGATATTTGTTCTTTGTGTCTTTTCTCTTTTTTTTCTTGATGGTCTGGCTAGAGGTTTATCAATTTTATTATCTCCTCAAAGAACCGGCTTCTGGTTTTATTGGTTGTCTTTATTATTTTTCCTTTTTTATAGCATTGATTTCACTCTGATCTTTAATGGTCCCTCCCTTCCTTTATTCTGCATTTCATTTGCTCTTTCTTCACAAGTTTCATAAGGTTGAATCTGACATCATTGATTTGAGATTTTTCTTTTCTATTATAAGTCATTAATACTAAAATAAAGGCTCTAAGTACTGATTTAGTGGCATCTCACAATTTTTGATATGTTGTTTTTAATTTTCATTCAGTTCAAAACACTTTCCATTTCCCATTTTTATTTTATTTTTGACCTATGGGTTATTTAAAAATGCGTTATTTAGTTTTCAAATAGTTGGTGATTTTCCAGAGAGATCTTTCCATTATTAATTTCTAATTCAATTCCATTATGGTCAAAGAACATACTTGTATTGCTTGGATCCTTATATATTAATTGGGACATCTTTATGGCCTAGAATGTGATCTATCCTGGTAGGAGATCAATGTGCATTTGAAAAGAATGTGTATTCTGTTATTGTTTGTAGCATTTTATAATTGTCAATTTGGTCAAGTTGATTGATTGTGTTGTTTAAAACTTCCTAATCCTTACTAATTTTGGTTGTTCTGAATTCTTTGTGAGTTTATCTGCTTCTTCTTGTTGCTCGATCAGTATTTTTTTTTTCATGTATTTTAGAATTCTGTTATGAGGTGCATACACATTTGGGATTGTATGTCCTCCTAATGAGTTGACTTCTTCATCATTAAGAAATTGCCTTCTTTATCCCTGGTAATATTATTTTCCCCAAAATATATTTTGTCCGATATTAATATAATCATTGATATGGTTAGGCTGTGTCCCCACCCAAATCTCATCTCGAATTATAATCCCTACATGTCAAGGGAGGGACTTGTAATCCCCAGGTGTTGAGGGGGGGAAGTGATTGGATCATGGGGGTGGTTTCCCCCGTGCTGTTCTCGTGATAGTGAGTGAATTCTCGTGAGATCTGAGGGTTTTAAAACTGGCAGTTTCTTCCTGAGCTCTCATTATTTCTCCCTTGCCACCTTGTGAAGAAGGTGCCTGCTTCTCCTTTGCCTTCTGCCATGATTTTAAGTTTCCTGAGGTCTCCTCAGCTATGTGGAACTGTAAGTCAATTAAACCTCTTCCTTTATAAATTACCCAGTCTAGGATATTTCTTTATAGCAGTGTGAAAATGGACTAATACAGTCACTCTGACTTTCTTTTGATTAATGCTTGTGTGGTATATGTTTTCTTAACCTTTTATTTTTAACCTATATGTGGCTTTATATTTAAAGTGTGTTTCTCGTGCAGATGGTATACAGTTGGGTCTTTTTTCTTATCCAATCTGATAATCTCTGCCTTTTAATTGACACGTTGGGTTATTATGAGGGTTAAGATATATGCAAAGATAAACATCAACTAACTCTTCCCCCTACCTCCTCACCCTCTCTGTTGTACATCTTTTAATCATTTACAATTGACTTCTCATCATGTCTCCTGTTGTGGCCCTTATTACAATACATATGTATATGTTTCCGTGTAATCCTCTGTTCATTGCCCATTTTCCATACTAGCAACTTGAAGTCCCAGGCTGGAAGATGCTAGTAAATGTATTAATGACTGAGCCTCCCTGCATGGTGCCTCATCATTGTCTGCATGAGACTGAGGAGCGAATTCCTGACCTTGACTGCCCAGGTCAGCTGCAGCTAGAGAGTAAATGGTAGAGCTTTTTGGGGATTTCCCTCACTCTATAGCCTCACTGTGGTTCAGTGAGTCTTCAACAAAGATAGAGATTGTGTGCAAGCTAAAGCCTCTGCCATGCAGCCTGCATACAAAATCTAGTCCTGTGAGACTTCCTCCTGCTGTAGCATTGGGTCAGGGGCTCCAGGTGGCTCTCAGGGTGGACAAATGGAACTATAGCTGTCCCTGTCAGCATCACGCATGGCCCTCGTCCTGAGCGGTTAGAGCAGGAATGTGCAGATCCCACAGTGATCAGTTAACAGCCCCACTGACACATGCTCTGTGCCAGGCCTGTCCTGGGCTCAAGGGCCATAGGGATGGGTTAGACATCACCCTTTCCCTTTGGGAGATCACAGTTTAGGGGCTGATGGATGAATCACAGTCTAGACCCAGAGAGTGAGTGTAACTCAGCACAGGCTCCATAGCCAGGCAGTGGGTGGGGTTGGGACAGAGCCCAGGGCTCCTGAAACCTGGGCTGCCCCACCAGGACTTGCTATGCAGGTGCCAGGCTAGCATTAAGGGCCAGGCAATGTTTTCTGTGGAAAGATCCCGACTTACAATTGTGTCTGGAGTTGGTTCCTTCCGGTGGGTTTGCGGTCTAGCAGACTTCAAGAATGGAGCCGCCGACCTTTGCGATGAGTGTTACAGCTCTTAAAGATGGCACGGACCTAAAGAGTGAGCAGTAGCAAGGTTTATTGTGAAGAGCGAAAGAACAAAGCTTCCACAGCGTGGAAGGGGACCCCAGTGGGTTGCCCTGCTGGTTAGGGTGGCCAGCTGTTATTTCCTTATTTGTCTCCTCCCATGTTCCGTTTCTGTCCTATCAGAGTGCCCTTTTTTCAATCCTCCCTGCAATTAGCTACTTTTAGGATCCTGCTGATGGGTGCAATTTACAGAGCTTTGATTGGTGCGTTTTATAGAGCGCTGATTGGTGTGTTTTACAATCCTCTTGCTAGCTATGGAACACTGATTCGTGCATTTTTACAGAGCACTGATTGGTGCATTTTACAATCCCCTTGCTAGCTACAGAACCCTCTTTGGTGTGTTTTACAATCCTCTTGCTAGCTATGGAACACTGATTCGTGCATTTTTACAGAGCACTGATTGGTGCATTTTACAATCCCCTTGCTAGCTACAGAACCCTCATTGGTGTGTTTTACAATCCTCTGGAAAGACAGAAAAGTTCTCCAAGTCCCCACTTAACCCAGGAAGTCCAGCTGGCTTCACCTCTCACAATGACAATTGTGAATGGAGATGAGATCAGGATAAAACAGACTTGACCAATAGCCATCCCCCACCAGGTTCTAGGCACCCGGTAGCTGTTCTCTTTGTCCAATGTTATCAAGTTTTGTCCTCAAGAAACGCCCTGGACCAATCAGGAATTTTTGAGTTGAAAGTAACAGAATACAAAACAAAACAAAAACCAACCAAACAAAACCAGCTTAAACAAACGTGGGAAGTCAGTGGCGCAGCTGACCAAGAACTACAGAGCTTTGACCCTGGGTTCAGGCCTGGGATCCAACTCTTTGGCATTCTCTCCTCTCTCCATGTGCTGCCGTCCTTGCTGGTCCGTCACACCCTCACTCTGCAATGACCATAACAGAGAGTCTATTCTGGGAGCTCCTTCTGAAGACAGGGGTGGCTCCTTTTTCCCAGAAACCCCAGCGAACATCTCCTCCTTTTACATTGATCTGAACTGGGTCATGTGCCATTCCCTTAACCAATCACTGTACAGCAGGATAAGATAGAATGACGGCTTAGGCCAATCAGAATCCAGCCCTGGAGCTGAGGGTGGGTCGTTCAGGCCACAGAGGGAAAGCACAGGGTTGGTCTGGAGGACTTAGTGGAAAGCGGTGAAATGGAGGCTGGAGAGACAGCAAAGCCCTAAGACAGACGCCATCGCCTGAGATCATGAATATGATCCAGTCAATCAGAACCTCCCCCACCCCCACTGTTCCAGCCCTGTCTCCATGTCCTGCCTTATGGCAAGGCCTGCTGCTTAGTGGTGTGGAGTTACCCTCCCCAGTGCTGGCTCATGACTCCATTCATTTGCCCTTGCTGTACCCTCCATTTGGTATTTCTCTCTTCCCTGACATATTAGATCCGTGGTATGATGTCAAGTCACACATAATTGGGTCCTTGTTGGGGGTTCCCAAGACTTCTTGTACCCACCACCATCATGTCACTTGCAACAGTTACAGTTATGTTTCTAGGTCATGTCTGCCCTCTCCAGCCCCCAAATAAGCACACAGAAACACACACACATGCAGCTGGTGAGTTCCTTGAAACTATGGGCCAAGTCTTAATCTCTTTACTGCCAGCCTCTAGCTACTATCTGGTTTACCGAAGAGACTCAGTAAATATTTGTGGAATGAATGAACATAAGTTATTTTTGTTGAATACATGGTTGTTGTGAGGTATTTGCATTTTTATGAAGGACAAAGCCGCAAGCCAAAGCTCCAGCGGAGGGATTTCAGGCACCAGTGAGCTAGGCCTGGAAGTCTATTCTATTGTTTAGTGCCTGGGGAAGGATATGACTGTCACAGCAGGTGGAGTCTTCCATTCATTGCTTTCCAGTGCAAAAGTGGGAAAACAATCACATTGCCTCCTGAAAACAAAAGTGTGTCATGGAAACAAACGTTTCTGTTTGTTTTCTTGCGGGGAGGAAAGTTCTCTAGTCTTATCAGGTTTTGCTGCCATAATTTGTGGACAGAACGCTCCTTCCTGACACCTCTGTGGGGTGTGAAGGCAATGAATGCCCTGGCTGACTCTCCACCATCTCAGCTCTCCAACCTCTCATCCACTGAGCCCCGTCTGCAAGCAGAGCCCTGCCTAGGTGGGAGGAGTCTGACGTTAGCTAGAGGTTGAAAGAGCCACACTCAGTAGCCAGGACATTTCAGCATCACAGCCACAAACTTGGCTGCGTCTCCTGAGCTGATCGTGGCCTAACTTGATCACCGGGCCCCTTCCTGGTCCTCCAGCTGAGCCCTCCTGGCACCAAAAGCTCCATGAACCGACCAGCCTCTCTATCCTCAAGCTTGTCTCTTCCAGCCTGCCCTCTGTTTGGCCCAAGAGTGCTCCTCAGCAGCACAAAGGGGCCCTCTCAGCTGGAAATCCTTACCAAGACCCATGGTGCTCCTTGAGTCACAGTTCATGCCGAGGCACAAACATCAGCCAGGTACACAGCAGGCAAGCACCCACCCCTGCTTTTGCACCTGCCCTTCTCTCCTCATTAGACTGGTGAGCCCTTACATCTCAGAACCCAGCCCCCGTGGAACTGTCCCTGTAAACTTTATGAAATTAATCAGGAAAAAGGGGAAGAGGAGAGATAAAAATAAACCAAGCTTGCAGCACATTCAGCATTAATCATTAGGTCAATGTCCTCTCTGACCTACTTCCTCCTAGTTGTTTGCTGCCTATTGCCCAGAATCCCATAGAACCTAGATTATAGTTCCCCTTAACTGCTCTGTACATAACAACTTGAGCATTTTGAAACGTTAAGTTTACCATTTGAGATATTCTTTCAGGACCTGCTTGCTGATGAAACTACTGACATCAGCTGGTCTAAAGAACCCCACAAGGAGCTGACTGTGGAGAAAAAGTTAAATATTAAATTTGAACTCAACTGAACATGGACACAAGCAATGGTCACCAAGTGCCGGAACAGGTTGTGTGAGCTCCTTGAGGCGTTCATCCAGCGCTGTTTCAGAGAAATCTCTATTTCAATCTATTCCTATACGTTAGTTATTAAAAAACAATAGACAGTCACAAAAACAAGTTGACCTTTTTGTGTTCCTTGAGCCCGGTCGGGAAGGACCCTTGTGACTGGGCCTCATGCCAAACAAGTCATTACAGAAAGAGCTAGGGTCCCAGACTGCCCTGAAGCTTCATGAGACCTCTCCTCGTGTGTGCACAGATGAGTGGCCAACTCTGGAGCCAAGGCTGTTGCTTCCCAATCTGGTGGTGAATCCTCCATACACTGGTGAGTTCGGTATCTGACCCTGGAGCCTGGGCTGTTGCTTCACAGTCTGGTGGTAAATCCTCCATAGTCTGGTGAATGCGGTGTTTGACTTTGGAACCCAGGCTGTTGCTTCCCAGTCTGGTGGTGAATCCTCCATAGTCTGGTGAGTGTAAATATACATATATATATATATATCTTTTCCCTTCTCCCCTTCCCATTACAATTTGTTATTATATCATGCGCTTATTATATCGATTTGCTTATTTATATTAATTTTCTTATTATATCCTTTGCTTATTAGATTTTCATTGCCATTTACGTGGCATAAAGTGTGTTTACCCTTAAAGATATTATGTGTGTGGCTTTTCTTCTCCCCTTGCGTGTCTCCTGTACAGAACCCTGACTGACCAAAGAATGCAGTTTTTGCATCCTGATGAATTCATCCCTCTTACCTCCTCCAATCAATGACCCCAATTTTCTAGCCCCTCGCCCTCTATGGTCCCCTTAAAAACCTCAGCCCAGAACACCTTGAGGACATGGATTTTAGGGTTCCTCTCATCTCCCTTCATGGCCCAGTGATCATGAAACTCTTTCTCTGCTGAAAACCATGCTCTCTCAGTGTATTGGTCTGTTACTGTGCAGTGAGCAAAAAAAACTGTTGGTCTTGTAACACCGACATTTTCTCTGCATAATCAAATAAAATAATTGCACCAAGCCCCTTCCCTACTACCATTATAATAATAGTAGTAGCAGCAGTAATTATATCTGTCATTTCTAAAGTATATTCTATGTGCCAGGACCCACTCTTGGCACTTTGCCTGCCTCAGTTCTTGACCACTTCACAACCCCTTTGTGAGTTTGACATGATTAGTAGGTCTGTTTCACAGATGAGACACATTGCGCTCAAAGAGGTCAAGGATCTAATCCAAGGTCGCACCATGAGGGTAAAAAGCAGCTGGGGTTTAACTCAGAAGTGCCTGGCTCCAATCTCTTCATTTGCTACTACTGTGGATCTATGATGTGCCAAATGTTGTCCAATGGCCTTCAGATAGAGCAGGAAGGAGAATAGCCAAACCCCTGCCCTTGTGGAGCTCACAATCTAGTATATGGTGTGAAGATGGTACAAATAATAAACAAATATATATGTAAACAATGTCAGGGGTAATAACGGCTATAAAGAAAAATAAAACAGCATCAAGAGTGCAAGAAAGTGATGAGCTGGGATAGGTGATACTTCAGGGATATCTGAGACCTAAATGAAGTGAAGGAACAGCCCTGGTTACAGCTGAGGGAAGCACGTTCCTGGCAGAGGGAACTGCAAGTGCAAAGGCCTGAGGTCAGAATAGGCCTAGTTTGAAGATTGACAGGAGGTCAGTGTGGCTGGAGCACAGTGAGCAGATGAGAGGAGAAGGGAACAAGGTCACAGGGAGGCCTCTAGGGGGAAGGGAGTAGATCTGGGTGTGGGGGAGGGACTTGTGAGCTATGCCTGGGACTCTGGTTTTTCCTCTGAGTGTGAAGGGGAGCCACGGAGGGCTGAGAGCTAAGGGGGCTCAAAGGTGGAATAGATACTTATACCTATTTCTGTCTGCCACTTCCATGGACTATAAGCTCTGTGAGAACAGAGAGCATCCTGTTGTATTCCCTGTTTCTAACACATAATAGATGCTAAGTAAATATCTTATACAAGAGTGTGGGAATTAATGAATAAAGATTAAAAAAATTTGAAGATCTTAAATAGGGCAAAAACTACAAAAGAAAAAAATCAATAAATTGGATTTCATCAAAATTAAAAACTTTGTGTTATAAAGACATTTACAAAAATGGAAAGGTGGCCCATAGACTGTGCAAAACATATTTTGTTTGGCAAAATACATGCAAAACATATATCCAGTGAAGAATTTTTATCCAGAATATATAACAAACTCTTAAAACTTGACAATATAGAGGTAAACATCTCAAAAAATGAGCAAGAGATCTGAACAGACTCTTTATTAAAGAAGATATGTAAGAGGTCTTCAAAAAGTTCATGGAAAGAACTATGCATGGATTTCTATTTCTTTTCGCACCAAAAAAAAACTTGTTTTAACTTGTTATAACATGCCTGCACAAGATCTAGTGTAAGGCACAAAATCAGTTTGAAAGAGCCCCTATCAGAATTAAAGCAAGAACAAGCATTACATTTATAGTGAAGTTTTGGTGGAAGAATGGTGAAATTGTTGATGCTTTATGAAAAGTTTGTGGAGACAATGCCCCAAAGAAATTGGAGTTTACAAATGGATAGCTTGTTTTAAGAAGAACAAAACTACGTTGAAGATGAACCTAAGGTGGCAGACCATCCATGTACCTTTGCAAGGAAATAAATAATCTTCTTCATGCCCTAATTGAATAGGACTGATTATTAATAACGACAGCCAACATTATAGACATCTCAATTGTGTTCGATGTACATAACTCTGACTGAAAAATTAAAGTTGAGCACACTTTCCACTCAATGGATGCCAAAACTGTTACAGCCAGATCAGCTGCAGACAACAGCAGTGTTTTCAATGCATATTTTAAATAAGTGGGATCAAGATTCTGAATCATTTCCTCAAAAAATTATAACAAGTGATAAAACATGTCTTCACCAGTATGATCCTAAAAACAAGGGCAAAATCAAGGCAATGGCTACCAAGGGGTGGAGGTGGTATCGTCAAAGCAAAAGTGGACTGGTTAAGAGAAGGTCAGCATTTGACCGGGAGGGAATACTCAGGCATTTTGCTTGTTAACTTTCTGGAGGGCCAAAGAACGATAACATCTGCTTATTATGAGAGCGTTTGAGAAAGTTAGCCAAAGCCTTAGCAGAAAAACAGCCAGGAAAGCTTTATCAGAGAGTCCTTCCTCACTATGACAATGCTCCCACTCATTCCTTTCATCAAACAGGTAATTTTGCAAGAGTGCTGATTTGGCTCCTTTTTACTTCTTTTTGTTTCTTCATGTTAAAAAAATCAGGGCATTAATTTTGTCTTCAGTTAGTAATGTAAAAAAGACCGCATTGACATGATTAAATTCCCAGGACTCTTAAAGGATGGACTAGATGGTTGATATTATCACTTCAAAACTGTCTTGACTTTGATGGAGCTTATGTTGAGAGATAGAGTTTATGTTTTTATTTTTATCTTTTAATTAAAATCTTCCATGAACTTTTTGAAGTCCTCTTGTATGAATAGCAAATTAGCACGTAACAGTTTCTCAATATCAGGAGTCTTAGGCAAATAGAAATTAAAGTCACAAACCCACTAAAATGGTTAAAACTAAAAAGGCTGATAATGCCACATTTTGGCAAAGATTTTGAGGAATAGGCACTGCTGTAGGCTGCTGGTGGAATGTAAAGCTGTACAATTATTTTAAAAAATGCTTGGACAGTTTCTTTAAAAGTCGAACATACACCTACCATATGACAGGGCCTTTCCCCTCCTCTGTATATACCTGAGATAAAAGAAAGCACATGCTTAAGCAAAGCCTTGTATATTACATGTTTCATTACATTTCGTTCATTACATTTTTATTTGTAATAGTCCCACATGTCCACTAATGTGTGGATGGATAAATTAATTGGGGCATATCTATACTATGGAATATTACTCAGGAATAAAAAGGAACAAACTATTGATAAACATATCAACATGAATAAACTTTAAAATTATTATGCTGAGTGACTCTATAATTCCACTTATAATTCTAAAAAATGCACATTGACATGCAGTGACAGAAAACAGTTTAGTTGAGGGAAGGGTAGGAGGCTGACAAAGGGGTACAAAGAAAACAGGAAATGGGAGGAGATGAATACGATCATTATCTTGATTATGGTGATGGTTTCTTGGGTGTAGACATATGTCAAAATTATCAAACTTTAAATATGTGCAGATTTGTGTCCATAAATTTTACTGCAGTAAAACTGTTTTTTAAGCCCTCAGAGCCCTTGAATGACACTGACACTTGGGGCAGGGTCCCTAGGAGTGCCTGATGCTTTCCTCAACCTGTGTGTGACCCACTGATGATCCCATGGAGAGGGTAGGAATGACTCTACGTGATATACTGAGGAACAGGAGAAATATTTAATCCACTCGATTCCATTCATCACTTCTTTCAGGAAGATCTTAACATTTTGACAACTCTGATGAACTTGATGACTGAAGTATCTATCAAAGTGCCACTAAAACGTCAGGCAGGACCCCACCTGTGTGCCTTGAGGTGGGGGTGCCCATAGGAGCACATTTTGTCCTGAGCTTGTCAGAAATGCTGTTTTCCAAGGTGAGGGAGATGGGGAGGCCTGCGGAGGCTCAGGGTCATTGAGAAGCTAGAGACGCCCCAATTCTAGCTAACTATCTCCTAATAGGAGTGCCTATCAGTGCTCACTGTGTGATTGGTTGAACAAATGAATTCACCTGATTGGTCCATCTGACTGGGGCCTGCTTCTGATTGGTTCCTCTTGTGATTTGCCTGCTGCAATTACAGACAGCTATCTGATTGGTTGGCAGTGATAAATGCCTCATGCCCAACCTTGGGTTATTATAAGGCACCCACTTTCCTATTGTTTATTCATTCTGTCTGCACCCCTCAGGCAGCCTAGCAGAGGCTGAGCGCCTGAAAGCTCTTGGGTTATCACTTCTTGCAGGGGATAGGGGAGAGTGGCGGGGGTCGAGTCCTGCCTCCAGTCTTACCAGTAATCCTTTCTCTTCCTGTCACCACGCAGACAGCCCAGGGGCTGATGAGGCACAGTCGCGTTTTTCCCCCTCCTATCAATGCCTGTCTCCACCTCCTTAATCTGGTTGTATATCTGTCTTTGCCCACGGTGCTTGGACAGAGTAGCCGGGGCACCAATCCCCTGGACTCACTCTCACCTTGTGTGAGCTTGGGTGGGGGTGCTCCAGGCATGCAGGGAGACCCTCGTTTTCTCCACACCATGTGGAAGAGATGTGAGCGTTTCACTCCCTAGCTCTGCCGCGGCCACCACTGAGATTTGACATGTGGGCACTTGGAGAGAAACGGTCCCTCCTCTAGAACTCCAACCTGTAAGGCCTTTTCTGATGCATCTTTTCCACAGTGAGGAGAAAGCCTTCCTAAGGAGGAAGCAAAGCTAAGAGAAGAGAGGAAGGAGACATAGCCCCAGGGAAGCGGTTTGAGCCCTTGACTTCAGCTGTCCCAGAAGCCAGTCCACTCCCCTCCACGTATTTTCCAATTATGTGGGCCAATAAATCAGTCTAGCTTTCCTTAAAGTTACTTGTTTTCTGCCACTTGCAACAAGAAGTTCTGCCTAAAACAAGCCACAATAAAGGGTCAGAGCCCAACTCCAGAAGGGTAGCAAAGTCTGGAGTGAGATGCCTGGAGCTGTGGGAAGGTGCGCGAGGGCGGGCGGGGACGTGGGCGGAGCTAGAGGCAGGTCCGGCGGTGCCGATCAAGGGTGCCGGCCAATGGGAGCCCTGCCACACCCACTGAGGGACTGTGCATTTGCGCTTTGCCTGTCCGGTTTCACTCATACAAGTTCCCCGCCTGGCCCCTGTCCCTGTCGGCATTCGGAGCTGGTATCCTTGGTGAACAGTAATAACAATTTAGAATTCTTGAATCACAGGCATAGACTCTTAGAATCACAGGCATAAACACTTAGAATTATAGAATGTTAGAATTCATTACTTCATTCACTAGCTATTTTCTGAATGCTCCATTTGTGCCCTGCGCTGTGACGGGACTAGAGGATTGAAGAAGGCAAGTGTGATTTCCACCCCCGTGGGCAGTCCATTCCAGAATCATGGAAACTCAAGAGTTGAGGGGCCCGGGAAGGGCTTCTCAGCTTTATCTTTTCATTTTCCCAGAGGAAGAGGGAAGGGCAGGCTTGTGGAGGGCCTGGCATGGGAGGGGAGGTCAGGAGCATGAATTGGGAAGATTCTTCTGATTCAGGGAGAAAATCAGTAAGAAAGCATGGCTAGAGAGTGGGTCCTCGTCCCCGTCCCATGGAGCTCAGTCCCCACAGCGTCCTAATTGCCTTAAAGTAGCTGCTCTTGCCCCAGGAGATCCACCCGGCTATGAGTTGGTGCCAGGAAGGCCATTGCAGAGAAAGGCAGGCGTGGAGTGTCCTCTGCCAGAGGCTGCCTGAGCTCCATGGAAGGAGGCCAGTGTGGCAGTGAGGTGCCTGGCTGCCCGCCCCTCCCCTCACTCCTCTAATAACCACCATTTCTGTCTCCACCAATTCTGGGACACCCACCTGCAGGTTCAAGACCACTCACACTTGGGCACTGATGGGCCTCTATGGGGTCATGGAAGGAGCCCTCAGGCAGTGGAATGTCTCAGGTGACCCCTGCCAAGGGGCCAAGCCCAGCTTTTGTTGCTTAGCCTCCTCCAAGGAAAACCCTCCCTGGGAAAGTTCTGATGATCACCACCTCTGACCAAGCCATACTTCCTGTAAGCACCAGAAAGAAAGTGATTCCAGGTTCTATTATTGAACTTTACACTATCGTTTCAACAAAATAAAGTATATGGCTTTTAATGTTCAACTTTCTTAGTTATGAGATTTTATTTTTAAAGTAAATGTGCTCTTTCAGCTGAGTCAACTTAAGGAACTGAAATTACATTGTGTGCCAACCTTATTGTTATATATTTCATGCATATATGGTTCATGCATATGGTTTTAAAAATATTAGGAATAAAAAGTAGTGGCTCCTTGAACCTCTCACCCTGACTTCTGCTCCTCAGAGGTAACCAATTTTCATTTGTTTAGCTGTGTCTCCTACTCATTCCCTCATAAAGCTAAATAATATGTTTGTACCACTATCTCCTAACTTCCTGCTGTGATGCTTATTTCTATACTAATCCATCTCCCCTTCTTCAGATATTATTATATTTGTAGTTCTTCTTTTGGTTGCCTTGGACACTTTACTTAATGTAATCATACACTTATTTCTGTAAAAGTAATGCTACATGTTTTCAGATACAGGGAATTACATTTGCTGGCTCATGTAACTGGAAAGTATGGGGAGTAGAGCTCACTTGGTTTCTGGCTGGACCTGAGGCTCTGTCTCCTTCCTTGCATTTCTTATCTCCACTTTCCTCTGTGCTGATCTCATTCTCAGGCAAGCTTTCTCCATGTTGCAGGAAAGATGCTTAAGCTACTTGGGTTCTATCCCTTCCAATGAGAGGGACTGCCTAAAATAAGCCAAATTCAAGGGACCAACCCAAATACCTAAAGGGAAATGAGGCCTGGAACTGAGACATGGGTCACATTTGCTGAGGCCAAGCCCCTGACTGCCCAAGGCCCTGGGGATTTCCATGTGAGCCAAGACCAACACAGTCTCTGATCTCATGGGGTAGATAGGTCTAGTATGACAGACAGACAGATGCCACAGAATATCATAAATTAGCATGAATTTCCAACTGTCATAACTACTATGAAAGAGAGGGCTGAGGTGCTATAAAGGCATGTCAATATGGGGAATTGTCTTGTCACAGGAGGTCAGATAGGACATCCCTGAGGGGAGGACGACTGAGCTGAGATTAAAGAGTGAGAAGTGGACTGAGGAATTGGGGTCAGGGGAACATTGCAGCAGAGAGAACAGCCATGCAAAGGCCCTGTGGCAGAAAGAAGGGTGTCACTCAAAGGAGACTAAAGATACATGAAGATCTGGAGATTGGTGGGGAGGGAGATGGACATGTTAGGTATTAATTATCCCAGAAAGGGAAGGAGAATGGATGTGATAGTGCAGGGCTGTGCAGATCAACATACTAGGTCTATTTCGTATCCTGAGAGAAAAGGAGTCATAGAGCAAGGCAAGAAAGACCAGGGAAAGGGAAGAAGTAACCAGTTATGTGTTTTAGGAATATTCCTGGGCTGCCATATTGGCCACAAATTGCAATGTGGAAGTAGTGGAAGCTGAGAACTCGGCTAGGAAGTGGCTACTTCTGGACAGGCCCCTAAGCTAAGGAAGGGTCTCCTGTTGCCCCGGCTCATGCACCTGCCCCCTGAGCCAGCAGACAGGAATCATCCTCTTTTGAAAGAATCCAACATCTTTATAAAAGCAAATAAACAAAAACCTTTCACGATGTCCAGGATAAAGTCGAAAATTATCAGAAATATGAATAATATAAAAATGTGAACCAAAATTAGGAAACTGATAATCAATGAAGAACAATCTTAAAATAATCCAGATGTTAGAATTACCAGACACAGATTTTAAAGCAGGTATTATAATTAACTGAAGGTTGTAAAATATATATATTCTCAGAATAACAAATGAAAAGATAGGAAATCCCAACAGTGAAATAAAAACTATAAAAATGAACCAAATGAAAATTATAGAACTGAGAAATATAATATTCTAAAAATTTCTAGATGATGTAATCAAAAATTGAAGGTAGAAGAAAGAACAAGGAAATTCCAGATTTGGTGAAAGACAGATATTTACAGATTGAAGAAACTCAGCAAACCCAAACTGGGATGAATGCAAAGAAAATTATACCAAGGCATGTCATAGTCAAACTGCTAAAAACCAAAAAAAGATTTTAAAAAATTGAAAGCAGTTAGAGAAAAATGACACATTACATAGATGGAAGAAGCATGTTGATTGGTTGCTGACTTCCAATAAGAAGCAGTGGAGGCCAGAAGATAGTGGAATGACATATTTAAATCATGAACAACACAGAATTCTATACCCAGCAAAAATATCACTCAAAAGCAATAGTGAGATGAAAACATTTCAGATAAAAGAAAACTAAGATAATTTATTAGCAGTAGATCTTAACTGCTGTAGAACAGAACTGCTATACAACTGTCAAGAACTTAACTGTTAGTTAACTCAATGTATAAGAAATGCTAAAGAAGGTTTTTTAGGCTGAAGGAAAATGTTAACAGAAATTCAAATATTCAAGGAAGTAATAAAAAAAGAGAAATTATAAATGTATGGATAAATATTAATATAAAATTCTATTTCTCATTTTATTTTCTTTAAGATACATTATATTATTTAAAGCAAAGCAATACAGTATTGCATTGTGGAGTTTTTTTTCTTTTTTTTTTGCCCAGTCTCTTCTGTACGTGTATATACATTTAATTATACTTTAAGTTCTAGGGTACATGTGCACAACGTGCAGGTTTGATACACAGGTATACATGTGCCATGTTGGTTTGCTGCACCCATCAACTCATCACTTACATTAGATATTTCTCCTAATGCTATTGCTCCCCCAGCCCCCCACTCCCCGACAGGCCCTGGCGTGTAATGTTTCCCGCTCTGTGTCCAAGTGATCTAATTGTTCAATTCCCACCTATGAGTGAGAACATGTGGTGTTTGGTTTCCTGTCCTTGTGATCATTTGCTGAGAATGATGGTTTCCAGCTTCATCCATGTCCCTGCAAAGGACATGTACTCATCCTTTTTTATGGCTACATAGTATTCCATGGTGTATATGTGTCACATTTTCTTAATCCAATCTATCATTGATGGACATTTGGATTGGTTCCAAGTCTTTGCTATTGTGAGTAGTGCATCAATAAACATATGTGTGCATGTGTCTTTATAGTAGCATGATTTATAATCCTTTGGGTATACACCCAGTAATGGGATTGCTGGGTCAAGTGGGCAGGGCATAGCTGAACAAAAGGCAGCAGACAACTTCTGCAGACTTAAATGTCTCTGTCTGACAGCTCTGAAGAGAGCAGTGGTTCTCCCAGCACAGCGTTTGAGCTCTGAGAATGGACAGACTGCCTCCTCAAGTGGGTCCCTGACCCCCGTGTAGCCTAACTGGGAGACACCTCCTAGTAGGGGCCAACAGACACCTCATATAGGCGGCTGCCTCTCTGGGATGAAGCTTCCAGAGGAAGGATCAGGCAGCAATATTTGCTGTTCTGCAGCCTCCACTAGTGATACCCAGGCAAACAGGGTCTGGAGTGGAACTCCAGCAAACTACAACAGACCTGCAGCTGAGGGACCTGACTGTTAGAAGGAAAGCTAACAAACAGAAAGGAATAGCATCAACATCAACAAAAAGTTCATCTACACCAAAACCCCATCTGTAGGTCATCAACATCAAAGAATGAAGGTAGATAAAACCACAAAGATTGGAAGAAACCAGAGCAGAAAAGCTGAAAATTCTAAAAATCAGAGGGCCTCTTCTCCTCCAAAGGATTGTAGCTCCTTGCCAGCAACGGAACAAAGCTGGATGGAGAATGACTTTGACGAATTGACAGACGTAGGCTTCAGAAGGTCGGTAATAACAAAATTCTCTGAGCTAAAGGAGGATGTTTGAACCCATCACAAGGAAGCTAAAAACCTTGAAAAAAAGATTAGATGAATGGCTAACTAGAATAAACAATGT
The DNA here is from genome assembly GCF_000001405.40 of Homo sapiens. NCBI lineage: Eukaryota > Metazoa > Chordata > Mammalia > Primates > Hominidae > Homo > Homo sapiens. The sequence goes on from NC_000001.11 coordinate 29,996,124, forward strand.
AGAGAAGACCTTAAATGACCTGATGGAGCTGAAAACCATGGCATAAGAACTTCATGACACACGCACAAGCTTCAATAGCTGATCCGGTCAAGTGGAAGAAAGGGTATCAGTGATTGGAGATCAAATTAATGAAATAAAGCGAGAAGACAAGGTTAGAGAAAAAAGAGTAAAAAGAAACGAACAAAGCCTCCAAGAAATATGGGACTATGTGAAAAGACCAAATCTATGTTTGATTGGTTTACCTGAAAGTGATGCAGAGAATGGAACCAAGTTGGAAAACACTCTTCAGGATATTATCCAGGAGAACTTCCCCAACCTAGAAAGGCAGGCCAGCATTCAAATTCAGGAAATACAGAGAACACCACAAAGATACTCCTCGAGAAGAACAACCCCAAGACACATAGTTGTCAGATTCACAAAGGTTGAAATGAAGGAAAAAGTGTTAAGGGCAGCCAGAGAGAAAGGTTGAGTTACCCACAAAGGGAGGCCCAGCAGACTAACAATGGATCTGTTAGCAGAAACCTTACAAGCATTGAATGGGCAAAAACTGGAAGCATTCCCTTTGAAAACTGGCACAAGACAGGGATGCCCTCTCTCACCACTCCTATTCAACATAGTGTTGGAAGTTCTGGCCAGGGCAATCAGGCAGGAGAAAGAAATAAAGGGTATTCAATTAGGAAAAGAGGAAGTCAAATTGTCCCTGTTTGCAGATGACGTGATTGTATATCTAGAAAACCCCATTGTCTCAGCCCAAAATCTCCTTAAGCTGATAAGCAACTTCAGCAAAGTCTCAGGATACAAAATCAATGTGCAAAAATCACAAGCATTCTTATACACCAATAACAGACAAACAGAGAGCCAAATCATGAGTGAACTCCCATTCACAATTGCTTCAAAGAGAATAAAATACCTAGGAATCCAACTTACAAGGGATGTGAAGGACCTCTTCAAGGAGAACTACAAACCACTGCTCAATTAAATAAAAGAGGATACAAACAAATGGAAGGACATTCCATGCTCATGGATAGGAAGAATCAATATCGTGAAAATGGCCATACTGCCCAAGGTAATTTATAGATTCAATGCCATCCCCACCAAGCTACCAATGACTTTCTTCACAGAATTGGAAAAAGCTACTTTAAAGTTCATATGGAACCAAAAAAAGAGCCCACATTGCCAAGTCAATCCTAAGCCAAAAGAACAAAGCTGGAGGCATCATGCTACCTGACTTCAAACTATACTACAAGGTTACAGTAACCAAAACAGCATGGTACTGGTACCAAAACAGAGATATAGACCACTGGAACAGAACAGAGCCCTCAGAAATAATGCCACATACCTAAAACTATCTGATCTTTGACAAACCTGACAAAAACAAGAAATGGGGAAAGGATTCCCTATTTAATAAATGGTGCTGGGAAAACTGGCTAGCCATATGTAGAAAGCTGAAACTGGATCCCTTCCTTACACCTTATACTAAAATTAATTCAGGATGGATTAAAGATTTAAATGTTAGACCTAAAAACCATAAAAACCCTAGAAGAAAACCTAGGCAATACCATTCAGGATATAGGCATGGGCAAGGACTTCATGTCTAAAACACCAAAAGCAATGGCAACAAAAGCCAAAATTGACAAATGGGATCTAATTAAACTAAAGAGCTTCTGCACAGCAAAAGAAACTACCATCAGAGTGAACAGGCAACCTACAGAATGGGAGAAAATTTTTGCAATCTACTCATTTGACAAAGGGCTAATATCCAGAATCTACAAAGAACTCAAACAAATTTACAAGAAAAAAACAAACAACCCCATCAACAAGTGGACGAAGGATATGAACAGACACTTCTCAAAAGAAGACATTTATGCAGACACATGAAAAAATGCTCATCATCACTGGCCATCAGAGAAATGCAAATCAAAACCACAATGAGATATCATCTCACACCAGTTAGAATGGCGATCATTAAAAAGTCAGGAAACAACAGGTGCTGGAGAGGATGTGGAGAAATAGGAACACTTTTACACTGTTGGTGGGACTGTAAACTAGTTCAACCATTGTGGAAGACAGTGTGGCGATTCCTCAGGGATCTAGAACTAGAAATATCATTTGACCCAGCCATCCCATTACTGGGTATATACCCAAAGGATTATAAAACATGCTGCTATAAAGACACATGCACACATATGTTTACTGCGGCACTATTCACAATAGCAAAGACTTGGAACCAACCCAAATGTCCAACAATGATAGACTGGATTAAGAAAATGTGGCACATATACACCATGGAATACTATGCAGCCATAAAAAATGATGAATTCATGCCCTTTGTAGGGACATAGATGAAGCTGGAAACCATCATTCTCAGCAAACTATTGCAAGGACAGCAAATGCTGTAGGTCTGAGGAGGTAAAAGGGCCTAGCAGAGTCATCCTCAATAAAGACCCACAGCCAATATCATGCCAATCTCCAGAAACACCCTCAGAGGCACACCTGGGGCAGCCCAATCATTCCAATCAAATGCCAAACCACCTGCAGTTCCCTTTCAGCAGAAGAGGCACAGGCTGTGTCTACTGAAGCACTGAGAATAATTAGTGCTTTCCCAGCTCTCCAGGTATCCCTTAACCCAGTCACACTGACGTGCAAATCAACCAGCACAGGTAGTGACGATCATTCTGTGCAGAGGCCACAGGGACCCTGGGATCCAGGATAAACAAACCCTCTTCAAACACAGCTCTCATGGGCTGAGGTCCCAGATTTCCATTCTGACTCTCCACTAGCCTAGGGTGCAGCCCTGGGCAAGTCACTTCCCTTCCCTGGGTCTTAGTCAGAGGACAGAGGGGCATTTGCTGACCCTGTGGCCTGGGGCAGGTGCCCTCACCTGAATGTGGGAAGGCTGGTAGGACCAGGGTGGTTGTAAGTAACAGAGAAGACAGGAGTTCCTAAACCCAGCGCCGCCTTCTCCAGCCCCACCTCCTTAAAGGGCCCTCTCTCTCCAGAGCACACCAGTGAACTCGCACTTAGGCAGAGCGTGCCCCTCTTGCATGGTGCAAAAACTGCTCCCTCAAAGGCAGTGCAGGTACTTCGGTGGGTGCTGCAGGGGGAGCATTGTGTAGATGAGGACCCCACCCACCCTTCAACCAGATTAGGCCAGGGGAGGCCACTCTGACTCCCCCACTCCTAATCATGTAAGGGGGAGGTGGCTGATGTTGCCTGTAGCTCTGACTCCTAGGATCAAGCACAATGTGCACAGTGGATGCTCTGGCTATCCCTGACATTTAGGGGATCCAGGGCAAGAGCACAAATGGACATCCACATTCCCAAATACTTAAAATGATAAACCAAATGAACAAATTGGTGAACGAAAGATGTCCTACCCTTTTCCCTTAGCAAATGCAACTTTATAACAACCTAGGAGGCCAGTTTTCAATTTAAAGTTCTCAGGCCCCCTGGGACCCCAGCTGTGGAGGTCCCAGGTCCCACCCCAGCTGTGGAGGTGCAGGGAGAACCAGCCTTGGCCCCTCCTTGACCCACTCCCTTCTTTTCCTACCCCAGGTCCCTCCCACACCATGAGGGGCTCACATGCACGTAGACACCAGTGCAAGTGTTCAAACTCCTTTCATAACCCCCCAAAACAGCTGGCCACTCCTCAGGCCTGGGTGTGCACTGACAGAGCAGGCCACCCTCAGGAGGATGGACCCAGGAATGAGGCCCACCTGGGCTCAGGAAGTGGGCTTTGGGATATCTGGGCAGGGAATGCTGCAGTCCCAGGTATCAGGCAGTGATCTGGAAGGGTGGGAGGTGTCAGGTAGACTCCAAGTGAGCACAGCATCCCTTTGGCTCCATGGATTCCTTGTCCCTTGAGGAGATGCATGGCCAGAGTAGGGTCCTCTGAAGTGTGGGACCCAGGGAGCAGGCCTCTTGCCCAGGTCTGAGGATGGTGTGAAATCAGCCCTGCTCCACTAGCCAGGCTGTCTCCCCAGCTCTACAGTGGGATGGACCCAAGAGGCTGTTTCAAGCCACTAGGGAGAGCAAGACTCAAAGACCCCATTCCAAAGGCCATGGGCAAGGGTCCAGGGACAGGACCCGAGTTAGGGCATGGAGGCCTAAGAATAGAGTCAGATAGAAAACGGGCCTGGGCTCCAGGAAGCCGTACAGGTGAGAGGGTACTGATGACCTGGCTGCTTTACCTGGCGACGCAGGGCTGACAGACCCACATACACTGCATCGCTTCCCCAGGTGTCACAGTTTAAAGTGGAAGCCGTGAGCACCAGTTAGGAGCAGGTCATTACAGACAGCTCTGCAGCAAAACAATTCAGCCCTGCACTGTAATGGCCCCATGAAACTGCCTGGGTTTACACACTCACAGAGACATATTTCATGCCGCAAATGAGTATGTCTTTAGGAGCCACAAATTTCTAGGAGTTCATGTATTCCTAGAATCATCACTCTTTTGATAGCTTCCATGAGACAGAAGAATAAGTAAGGATGTTGACATTTAAAGAAAACAGAAGGGGGTAAAATGGAAAGACTCACATTGCGGAAGTTCTGCTTTTTACATAATATATCTTCAGAGTACTGGCTGCATTTTCCCAAATTGTCAAAGATGAGTCCCTCTCTCGTGAGGGCGGCCTGGAGAGGGTGATGCCGCCTCAATTGCTCATGGAGACAGAAAGCAAGCCCCTGACACGTCTGCGCTCTTGTCATTCACCAGGTAGAGGAAAATAGCAGTTTCAGTTGGATTCACAAGGTCGTGAGCACAGAGAATCCATTTCTGCACACCAAGCTCAGACCAGACCCACACTGTCAACCTGGGTAGGGAGTGAGAAAGAAGGTATTGGGGGCAGAGAGAAACAGCTGTCATGTGGGATTCTGGAAGGGACAGCCAGAACGAATGATAGCTGTGGGAATGACAACCCCCTCCTTCACTGTCTAAAAGGTCCAGACTTCACTGTCTAAAAGGCCCCAGCAGATCCCCCAGCTCGGGGTGATACCCACTGCCTTTGATCAGGCGTGTTCTGTACCAGGCCCTGTGCGAGGCACTTGATGAGGATTATCACCCTGAGTCCTCCCCGCAAGTTGGAGGAAGGTGCTATTAGCATCCCCGTTTTGAGAAGAAACTGAGGCTCAGGGAAGGAGAGGGACTTGTCCCAGGTCACATAGCCAGCAGGCAGTGGAGCAGGACACAAATCCCAGATGTGCAACTGCGGAGCCCACAGTCCTGACCCCTGGGTAGTCCTGGCCGGGGGATGGGGAGGGAGCCCGTCTATCAGGCGCTGGGCTGAGCATGTTACCCATTTATGCCTAGTGATCCATTATTGGAATGCTAAGCTCGTGGGCGTTATTTATATCCTACTGCTCAAGGTCATTGCCAAAGTCTGATTTTTCACACAAAAGACTTGCAACCTCTGGCGTAAATGGGTTGTTATCTCACTCCCCACTGCAGTCCTGGGAGAGGGTATTCTTATCCCCAGCCCTGGCTCAGAGCAGTGAGGTCACTGGCCGCCTGGGGCCACGGAGCCTGTGCATGGAGCAGGGTCCAATTCCCTCCACTCACTCCACACCCAGGGGCTCTTCTCTGCAGAGAGTGGCCCCTGGGACACAGTATTTCCTGGGCACCCTGCCCCTCTCTCCCTCCTGTGCCTGCCAGCATTGGGGCTCCCACCCCTTACCCTGGTGCTGCTGCCCAGCCCCCTCCTGGGCTTGCTCTGCTCCTGGGCCACCTGCTGAGCTCACTCACCATCTCCAGAGCATCTCTGCCTGGTCTGAGAGGAGTCTCTGCTGCTGGGCTGATGGGAGAGGGGCCGGCTCACCCCTTGCAGGCAGCGTGAGCTTTAACAGGTGCCTCCCGGAGACAGCGCACTCGGCTGCAGTGGCCACACACAACTTCTTAAGAGTTGGACCTGGGCTACCATGTTGTCCAGAGGCGCAATGCCCTGGTCAGGGGACAGAGGTGGTGGGAGAGAGAAAGAGTCTCTCGTCTGTGGTAAGGGTCTCTGACTGTGTGAGCTTGGAAAGGTCACTCTCCCCCACCAGCACCTGATGCCCTCCCCAACTGCCCAGACCTCAGTATCTCTGACTGTAAGTTTGTGCAGCTGGGTTAGCTCAAGGGGCCTTCCTAACCCCAATTCTCTTTGAGTCCTTGAGCCCCAGATGAGGGGTTCCATTACATTCTCACAATCCAGGATGGCCTGGGCCCCTGGGAGTTCAGGGAGCACACGAGAGAGGCTGAGAGAGGCCTGAGGTCCAGGCTCTTATGCCTTGGAGCTGCCAGCATCCCTCACCTGCTCACAGGTGGCACATCATACCTGTGGCCCACTATTTACTATCTTATTCTCTGAAGCTTCAGGCCCTGCTTAGACCAACCTGCTCCTCTGAAGCTCCTGAGTCCTCTCCCATTCACTGCCATACTCCACCCCTCAAACCTGACACTGGGCGCATCAGCTCCAGCCCCTCCCACCTTTGGGGGCAACTCAACTCCATTTTCTTCCTTATTCCCCAGAAAATAGGCCCTCCCTGGCTGACTGGGATCCCAGGACACCCCCTAACCCCCACCCAACCCTCTTTCTAGCCCTGAAGCACCAGGTCCCACAGAAAGATGCAGTTGTCCTCATTGCAGACTGCACAAGGGGATTTGAAAACCAGAGCCATGATGTGAGGTTCAGCCCTTGAATTGAGAGCCTCGAGACCTGCTTTTCTTCCTCCCCCATCCGGCAACGCATCTGGAGGGGTTGTTGATTTCACATGACTAGAAACCCAGATGTGTTTGTGCTTTGGCTGGGTTTCTGTGGCTCTTCCCACAGCCAATCTCTTCTATTTTCTTTCCGGCCCCCAGCCTCCCATTGTGGTGCCCACAGGCTTTCTCTTCCTAATGCATCCTTTCACATTCCTGCAATTGCTTTTGGTCCCAGCAACGCAGGCTTCCAGCTTTGCAAAAGTGCCTATGCTCCACCCTTGGAGGGTAGATCCACACCTACCTTCAGCCTCCTCCCACCCAGACAGACTCCCTGATTTCCTAAGCCCCAGTCAAGATGAAATAGCATGTTTTCTGTGAGAGAAAGGTCTTTTCCATCATCATTCATGTGGCTCTTGCTGAAGTCCATGAACCAGCCCAGGGGGCCCACTTGCCATGTCTACTAGTAAACACACTCCCAACAGAGAGATGCAGGCAAGGAGACATGATGACCATCATAGTGACATTGGCAGGAGCCAACAACTACACCATGGCAATCACCGGGCAGGCCGCTGAACTGGGATCCCTTGGACGTGGCCTGTTTCCTCTCAACAATGCTAGGAGGGTGCTGGCGTTGGCTGCACCAACTCGGCTAGGCACAGCTCCATTCTCTCTTCTCCTGTGTTTCTCATTATGAGGGGTGCACTCACAAGAGTTGGTGGCAGAATAACAACACCCATGTTTTAGTAGCCACGTTGTTGCTGATCTGCCGACCCGCCGAGCACAAGGAGTTGGGCCTGCAATTGCTCTCCATTCTCTCCAGATCCTGCCCCACTTCTTTCCAATCTCCTATTGGCTCTGCTCCTCTGGTTGAGCCCTGACTGATACATACAAAGTGGGAACTATTAATATCTCTATTCTACAGTTTAAAAGTGGAAAGGAATTTTGCCCCAGAATGGGCCATATGAGGAGTCTCACTAGATACCTGTTTTAGATGATTTTGATGATGAGATTTGGGGCTTTTGAGCTGAAGAGATTTAGATGAGATTTTGCACTTTGAGTTGATGCTGTAATGGGTGGAGATTTCAGGAGATGTTGGGACAAATTGAATGCATTTTGCATTTGGAATGGATGGGAATCTTTGGAGGGCAGAGGGCAGACTGCGGTAGGCAGAATAATGGCCCTCAAAAGATATCCACACCCTATATCCCTGGAACCTGTATAAATGTCGCCTTACATATCAAAAGGGACTTTGTGGCTGTGATTAAATTAAGGATCTGGAGATGGAGAGATTATCCTAGATTTTCCAGATGGGCCCCATGTAATCACAAAGGCCTTATAAGGGAAAGAGGGAGGCAGGAGAGTCAGAAAAAGAGATGTGATGACAGAATCAGATCAAATGATGTGGGGCCATGAGCCAAGGCATGTGTGCAGCCTTGAGAAGATGGAGATGGAAAAGACAACAGAGGAAAATCAAGGGGAAAAAAGGCAAGTTCTCCTAGAAACTCCAGAAGGAGTGGAACTCTACTGACCCATTTGAGATTCCTGATCTCCAGTACTTGAGGATGATAAATGTGTGTCATTTCAAGCCATTAAAATTGTGGTGGTGATTTATTATAGCAGCAGAGGAAACTAATAAAGATCTGAGTACTGTCGAGCTCGCTTAATCACATCACATACGTTGATATGCCAGTGGGGGTTCATGTCTAACCAGATGCTCATTCAAACACCAAAGAGAATACCCACTCCCCGGGACCTGCAGACACACTCCTGCTGCACTAACCAGCACACATCCCTGTGTGCACTGATGAAAGACCTGCATTTGTGCACGGATGGGTGTGCCCTGTGTATACCAAGGATGCCCTCCCCTGTACACAGCTGACCCTGGTCCCTAGGCACTCTGGATCCTGCCTGGCACTGGGCTCTGGGGCGAGCCCATTTTCTGTACACCTGTAAAACCTCCATCTAGGAGTCCCATTCCAAGCTCAAGGGTGCTGTTGTGGAAATGCTAAGAAATGCATTCTTTCTGTCTCTTTCCTCAACAGTAAAGCTCTACAGACACTGGAGGGACTTCACAAGTTTTGCCTCTTCCTCTTGTTAATTTGATTTGCCCTTTGACGAAGACCCTAATACAGTGAGTGGAGTGCTGGCAAAAAAAAAAAAAAAAAAAGCCCTGATGTGCCAGTTTCTGTGGTGTAGATATTTCCACCATGGTCAATTTCAAGCTGTCAATGGTTTAACAACTGGCTCGGAAAATTTAATATTTGGCTCTCAGTTGGGTTTTGTGAACTCCAATGCATGCCCACTGCCCAGCCTGAGAAGTCAGCCTCACTCCAGCAGCAGAAAAAGACAAAAAACTGCAATTGTTTGGGCTTAATCAACTCCAAACACAGAAAGACAGTCATGAGGAAAGGAGGCCCAGGTTTGAGAGAATGTGAATTATATGCTCCTGGAGCTTTATTGCCCTCAGTTACTGGTCTTATTTGTGTTATCTTTATTCATTCTTGCAAATTAAATCAGCACTGTCTTTCCAATCTCATTCTCCCAGCAGAATTAAACCACAGCAGTAGAGTGAATTGGTCATAATGAAGGTGTTTAGCACACTTTTGGCCTCTGCTCCCCGCATCTTAAAGTTCCATAACCCTGAAAAATACCAGACAGGCACACCTCCTAGGGAAAGTGGTTTGGGGCATTGGGTGAGATGCTTGCCTCTTCCTTATCAAGAGGGGAGAGGGGTCTGCAATGCCAGATCCAGGGGTACTTCTCCAGCTACAGGAGCATTCTGTGCCTCATTTGTCCCAGCAATGAAAACCTGGTATCAGTATAAAAAACACAGGCCCCCAGGGGCTAGAATTTTAAATACGCACTGGCCTCAAACATGTTGCTAGGTGAACTCACAAACTGGCAGCAGGGAAGATGAAGAGCAAGAAGGAGAGTTTAGCTGGAGTGGCCTCTTTTTAAAGCTGGAATGATCTTTGAGGCATTTTACAGCCCTCTGATCTGGCAACCCTCCACTCCAGAGGTTGCCAAATCTGCCTGCCCACTCACCTGTGAGACAGGTTAAAATACAGATTCCTGGAGCACAGAATATAACTCTCCGGGACTGGCCTGGGTACCTTTATTTTCCACCAAGTCTCCTAATGGTGCTGATGCAGCTGGTCTACAAATATAGATTTAGAATCTGCTGCTTTGACCCAAAGCTTCTTGACTTGGGCCATCCAAGTCTTGTGGCAGACAAGACCCATGCTCTCCCCTATCAGGGTCTCCTCTCCTCTCCTTTCTGAGTGCATGAAAACTACACTTCCCAGTTTTCCCTGCAGGTAGGCAGGCCACGAACCACTTCCAGCCCGTCAGAAAGAGACATGTATTACTTCTGGGCCAAGGAAGGGAAAGGTCCCTGCAGGCCTCCTGGCTCTCTCTTCCCTGTTGTGGAAAAGTATGGAGGCTTTGTATTAAGGTGGGCAAGACACAACATTACAGCAGCCTGGATCCCTGGGTCACCCAGGACAGCAGCCTCTGAGTGTCACCTGACATACAGTAGAGTTTATCACAGAAGAAAGTAAACTGCAGGTGTTAAATTACTGAGATTCCAAGGTTGTTTGTTACCGCAGCATGAGCCTAGCCTAGGATCATTAGATCCCTATCCCTTTGAGAATCTGGTAATTCTGCCCAGGAAAGTGCTTAGATACCTGTAAACATTATTGCCTGGTGAGGTGTCAGAGCCCTGGCATCAGAAAGTGGGTGACTCACAGGTTGGTTAGAAGAATTTACCGACAACAGTATAGGTTTAAAAGGAACGTTTTCTGTTTTTGTTTTTTCCATGCAAATATATACAGCTGTATTTTCATGGCATCTGCTTACTTGATGACATTCTGACATTCTAGAATGACATTCTGACATTCTAGCAACATTCCTTGCATCTTTTAAAAAAAATATTATTTTATTTTAAGTTCCAGGATACATGTGCAGGATGTGCAGGTTTGTTACACAGGCAAACGTGTGCCATGGTGGTTTCCTGCACCTATCAAACCATCACCTAGGTATTAAGCCCTGCATGCATTAGCTATTTATCCTGATGCTCTCCCTCCCCCAGCCCTCACCCCCTAGACAAGCGCCAGTGTGGAAAGGAAAGTTCTATTAGAAAGAAAGAACAGTGCAGAAGAGTGCAGCAGGGCATCTCAGCAAGAGAGGACTGAGTGCACCCTGGTGGATTTTTCCTTAGGGGTATTTATGGACCTTAAATTGGGAGCTTAAGGGTAATCTGGACCATATTAGCCACATAGATCAGGATAAATGATTTCATTTGTAGACATTTTGGTCCCTTAATGTCAGCAAGGGTTGCACAATGAATTTTGACATGCATGCATTCAGAGATGTATAGAAATTTTAGTTACTTACGTATATTTTTAAAAGCCTGGTACCAGATGCCTGCTTTTCTCCCTGTTTTCTTTTTTTTTTTTTTGAGATGGAGACTTGCTCTGTTGCCAGGCTGGAGTGCAGTGGCACGATCTTGGCTCACTGAAACCTCCGCCTCCCAGGTTCAAGTGATTCTCCTGCCTCAGCCTCCCGAGTAGCTGGGACTACAGGTGCGCACCACCACGACCGGCTAATTTTTGTATTTTTAGTAGAGACAGGGTTTCACCATGTTGGCCAGGATGGTCTTGATCTCTTGACCACGTGATCTGCCCGACTCAGCCTCCCAAAGTGCTGGGATTACAGGTGTGAGCCACCTGGCCTGGCCCAGATACCTGCTTTATATAAGAGGGAAGTATAATTACTTCTGAATTCCTCAGATAAGGAGTTTTGCCTCTGGACAGTCTGCTTGATGGCCACCGGGTGATCTTTGCTTTCCTTGATTACATTTGGGGTTCCCTGGGTATCTGCTCTGGTCCCCTTGCCTCCCTAAAATCTAGGCACTATTGGCTTAAACCCTGCTGGTTTTACTCTCTTTTGGTCAGATTTATGGCAAAGGTGACATTTGCTCCCACCGTTGCTCCTCCTCCCAGCACTGCCTCACCTTCAGTGGTGGCCTCCGGAGCTCCGCCCCTGCAGAACACCCCTGCCCTCTGTGCCACCCTACCTGGGATGGGCATCAACTCACACACCAACAGAATGTGTAATCACTGTTACATTTATACAAGTGTAGGGGCTCAGGGGGTTTGGATGTCCCTAAAGCTCATTCACAGACCTTTTGGTGAAGAACTTCAGCTCCCGGGGGTCCATGGGGAAATTCTCCAGGACCTATGCCTGTCCAGTGCAGAACGCTGAGAAGATTTTGCAGTTAGAGACTGAGCCCAAATTTTGAAACCTCAGGCCTGATGAGGACAAGCCCTACCCCACCCAGTGGCACCGGCAGCTGAAGCTTGGGCCCCAGGTTCTAGTCACAGAGGGGTCCCACTGCCTCCTTGGCCTGCTTCCTGCTGACTGAGCAGCCAGTGGGAGACTCCCCTAAGGCCAGTGGTTATTACGCTACATCCCACGGGGCTGATGGAAACACAGATTGGCGTCATGGTCTCAGGCTCCCCCTGAGCAAACCTGTGTGCTCCCCTTTTATCACAAGTCGTCCCTATAAATAAACTCTTGCTTTCCAAATTCCCTCTTAGTGTCTGCTTCCCAGAGAACCTGGGCTGACAGGCATGAGGTGGCTGCTCCATAAAATGTTTATCTGAGCTTCAAAGTCATAACGATGCCTCCTGCACAAGGCTTATCTCCAGGGTTTCAGCTGCTGGAAAGCACCAACGCTATATAGACCTCCTACCTGAGTTTTTGCCTCCCCTGGAGCCTGGCAAAGGGGTGACTCCCTGAGTCACCAGAACCTAAATTCAAATGCTGGGTCTGCCTCTTGCCAGCTGCGTGAGCCGGCTGGCCTCTGCTGTGTGGTCCGTGTGTGTGTGTGTGTGTGTGTGTGAGACAGAGAGACAGAGAGAGTGTGTGTGTGTATGTGCACACCTGCCAGCCTTTGCCATGTGATCCACTTGTGTATGAGTGTGAGAGTGTATGTGTGTGTGTATGAGTGGGAGGCTGTGTGTGTGTGTGTGTCTGTGTGGGCAGGTGTATGTCCTTCTCTGGGTGTGCATGAAGCCTACCTCAGTGTCTCTTCTCTATTTCTCAATGAATCAATGAATCTCTCCCTCTCTTACTCGCTTGCTCCCCAATCCTATATTTTGCTGCTGGTACCAACATGGAAATCTGTGAGACTCAGATGGGGTCCTTGAGTTCCAAGGGAGGAGGAATCTGCTTTTGTGCAGGCAGGCAGCTGTCAGCTGGGCATCAGAAAGGAAGGAACATGTTGCAAATCCAGTGGCCGGGGGAGGGGGGCGGCCCTGAGTCACCTCATCTAGAGGCAGCAGGAAAAACACCGGACTTTGAGCCAGAGAATCAGAGGAGGAGCCTGCTTCTTCCACTTCCTGTGTGACCTTGGGCAAGTTACTGAACCTCTCTGACCTCAGTGTCCTCATAATTAAAATGGGGCTATTGTAAAGATTAAGCGAGTTCATTGTTATAGAACTGGAAGCCCAGTGCACAGCACAGTGGGTGCAATAAATAGATGGACGAGTCTGGACTCAAAGGCTGCCCCCGCGCAGATGCAGGCCCAGAGGAGGATGACAGACAGAGGAACTGCTAGAGGTCAAGGAAGGAGATGAGGATGCGTCCTGGAGATGGATGCAGAGGACAGGCTGTGGGGACACTGCACACTGTGGGGTTCTTTCTCTTTGGCCCAGCCTTGGGCCTCTCCCTCCCCTGACGTCATGCACTCACAGTTCTCCCCACAGAAGGGTCGCTCCCAGGGCTCCACGGAGGTAGAAAGCTCATGGCTCACTGACCCCACACAAGCAAGCTGTGAAGGATACTGCTGTTACGGGATCTTTGGGGTGTCACTTTTCCAGCCAGAAACCTCTGTGGCCGGTGGCACATTTGCCTGAGTTCTTGTCCTGCATCCAGGAAGAATGATGTAAGCAGAAAAGTGGAGGGTGAGCAAGATGAAAAGGAGCTTTATTGAGTGTTGGAACAGCTCAGAGAAGACCCACAGTGGGTAGCTCCTCTCTGTAGGCAGGTCTTCCCATCGAGTGTTCAGCTCTCAGCAGAGGAGGCCCTGGAGATGGTAGCTCCCCTCTGCAGCTGGTCATCCCATTGTCTCTCCATTCTCTGCCCTGCTCTGGCTGAGCCGGGGTTTTTATGCACCTCAGAGGGGAGGAAGTGTGTGCTGATTGGTCCATGGGCAGCCATGGGTGGGCCCAGAAAATGCACCACAAGTCCCCACTCAGGTCAGAAGTTCTGGCAGTCTGGCCTCCAGCCTTCAGGCCCTCTCTGGCCTGAAGGTGGGGCTTTACCAGGGACCTGCCGCCTTCCACCCAGGAATCTGTTTGCCTCCTGCTGCTGTTCGTGGCATCTAGGCTAGGCTCTGACTTTGCTCGAAGATGGAGCCAGTGCCAACAGCAGGGAGAAACAAGGCAGAAGGAGCAGGAACTTCAGAGCCTGCAAGGGCAGGGGGGCCTTCCTGGGCCCCCAAGAGTGCAGGGATGCCTAAGGCTGCAGCTACTGGTTTGGGCGGCCGCAGGTGTGCCTCGGGGGGCAGGACTCCTGCCTGCTCCGTGGAGCAGGAGGCCTCTATCTGCAGCCACTGTTTGGATGGCTGCAGCAGCACCCAGGAGGGCTGGGCTCCTGCCTGCTCCCAGCTCTCCAAGGGCACACAGAGGCCCAGGTCTACTAACCGAACTTAGGCGGCTACAGCCATTAGGGGTGGTGGGCAGGTGTCCAGGGCAGGGACAACATCACCAGGAGCTCCCCCATTGCCCTGGCACTCAGGGGTGGTCCAGGGCAGAGCAAATTGCAGCTGGGGCCTGGCCAGAGTGGTGGCTCAGTGGTCACACCGGCGTGGGGCAACCTTGGGGATACAGCCCCAGGCAGCCCTACAAACAGCCTCCTCCCAAGGCCCAGGAACCTGGCACCCTCGGCAGGGTAGGTGCAGTAGCCGTGCTGCTGGCCAGGTCCCTGAAGTGGGTGCCACTCCCACTTCCTGCCCCAGGCCCCTGAAGTCCAGTTCCAGCTCTGCATCGGGGGCCCTTTCTGCCTGACCATGCTGCTCACCTGCTGTGCTGCTGGCAAGTGACCCGGCCCGGTCCCGTCACAGTGGCCCCCGTCCGCCTCCTCCCCATGTCTTCCCTGCAGGGGCCAGCATGATAGCAGTGGCCGCACTAGATGGCCCACTGCTGCCAACACTGCTGTCACCCATTTTACAGACGAGGACACTGCAGTGCGGGAGGCGGCTTGGCTCTGCTCTTCACCACTTCCAGGCTCCTGGCCCCTCCCTCTGGTGTCTCTACCACAGTGAATCTGCCTCCCGCTTCTCCTTCCTTCCCTGTCAATATCATCATCATTATCATCATCATCATCATCTCCATCTCCTCCTCCTCCTCCTCCCCCTCCTTCTCCTTCTCCTGTCACTCTTGGTCTTTACTTTTCCACTTGGCCACCCTACATCCCGGCTTGGTGCCTCTGATCTCATGTCCAGAACTCCAGCCTCTGTCTGTTGTCCCCTCTGTCTCGGGCTTTCTCTGTCTCCCTCTGTCTCTGACTGTGTGTGGATGCAGATGTGTTTTTTATTATTATTTTATTAAATAGAGACAGGGTCTCTCTATGTTGCCCAGATCATCCTCAAACTCCTGGGTTCAAGTGATCCTCCTGCCTTGGCCTCTCAAACTGTGGGGATTACAGGCGTGAGCCTCTGTGCCTGACCAGGTGTGTGTGTTTCTGTCTAGCTCTGTCTGCATGTCTCTCTGTATGCATCTCTCTTTATTTTTGTCTCTTTCTCTCTCCCACCACACACACACACACACACACACACACACACACACACACACACACACACACACTCGTCTTCCCCACCCCTCTCCTGGCTCCTTCCTGCTGCCTGGGCACCTGGCTCTTCTCTAGTGGCTGCTTGGTGGCTGACTGGGCTCCAGGTGTCTATTTCACTCTTGCCCAGGTACAGAAGCAAAGCAGGAGCCCCCAGATGTGGGGGAGGGGCAGAGAGCCAGGATTCAGCAGGAAGGTCCCAGCCTGGACCTGAACCTTCGAGGGAAGGTTTGGTTTTCCAAATCCAGACATACCAAGCATTTCCTTTGTCTTTTTCTCTGGTTTCTTCCACTGGCCAGCACCTCCCTCTCTTCCTCTCTATCATCACCCCAAAGGGCACCCGGCCAGGCCTTTGGGATGCCTGTGGGGCAGGACTCCCTGGGTGCAGAGCTTTAAACAGGTGGGAGGAAAGAGGGAGGAGCGGAAGAGAGAACTTGAAGCAGGGAGGGCCTCTGCTCAGCCATGCTGAACTTATCTAGCCCTCTTGGGCCGCCCCCAGGCACCCTCTCCATGAAGACCTGGCAGACATGAGCCCAGGCCCGAGGTCTCCCCTACTCTGTGGCTCCTCTGGCATCTGGACGTGTTGCCTCACTGTGACCTTCAGCAAGATGGAGCAAGCACGTGTATCACACCATATTTTGTAGATGGAAAAATTAAACAGAGGAACAACTTGCCCAAGGTCACTCAGAAAGTAGGTGCAGAACCTGGACCTAGGACCCAGGTTCCCTTACTGAACTCTCTCCAGATTTCCCAGGGCCTAAGGTCCCCACAGCCCCCTTTACTCTCACCAAATCTTCATGTGCTGGCTTCTTTTCCACAGTCTACTCTCTGCTCAAGTGAAGCAGAGAGTAGAGTGTGTCTAGCCTCCTTCCTTCAAGAAGCCCTCCCTGACTACCCCAACTAAAGCAGCCTCCTCTCCCTGCCTGGCACTTACTAACATCCCATCCTGTTTTACTCTGGTCACAGCCCTTATCACATCTGAAATCAGCTTGAGCACTTACTTGGGCAACCCACTTCCTCTGAGCCTAAAATCTTCACTACTAAAGCAATGTCTATAGTGGCCCCACCTCACAGGATAGAGGAGAAGAGACAGCTCCATGGAGTGCCAAGCACCTGCCAGGGGCCCAGTGAGGGCTCAGAGACCGCTGGCTGCTGTGAAGGAAACAGCAGCCCCGTGTCCTGGGTGCTTGGGCCTGGGACACAATGGAGACAGAACCTGATTTGGGGGTACTGCCAGGAACATCTGTAAACAGCCATCCCACAAGGAGTGAAGCCTCGACTGAACAACAGCAAGAAGCAAAGGGCTGCAAACATAATCAGTGCAGCCCGGAGGGCAAGAACCTTGACCTCATTTGGTGACCAAGAAAACAGAGGCTTAGAGATGGGAGGTGATACATGTGGGGTTGCAAGATCATTCTGCTAGTAGGTGACAGAGTCCAGATGAGACCAGGCTGACCCAGCTCTGAAATCAGCTGTGTTTTTAAATTTTAAGACAATAATCCATGAAGGAAGTCGAGGAGGTCCCTGGGGCGTCAGCTGGGCAGGAGGAAGGAAGCCAGTTTTCCTCATATCACTTACTGAATGTGACAGTGACCACTGCTGGGCTTGATGCCCCTCCACAGGATGTATTGTAAGACAAAGAGTTGACGTCTGGCTTCTCTGCACTGGTGGAGCTGCCTCCAGTCTCCTGGAGGGCAACCAAACTCTGAAATGTTCTCTTACCCAGAAAGCCCTGTCCACTCTCTTTATTAAGACCATAAATCTCTGAGCTCCCCATCACTGACTGGGGTGCGGGGTGGTGAGGGAAGTGGCACCAGCAAGGCTTGCCAAGCCCCACAGTCTTAAACCTTGCAGCCTCTGAATATGTCACCTTTAATACCCCGTGCTGGCATTGGGGGCTCATTGACTTTCCTTCTCAGTCACCATCTTCAAGCTGCTCTAGTCCAGCCCTATGTGACACAGAGTCTGCTTCTACACTGAGGGGGAGCCCGCCCCGCACCTAGACTGCTCCAGGCCAAGCGCCACTTTGGAGCATGGAAGGGGGAAGGGAGGGGAGGCTCCTGAGTGCTGGGGATGCCCAGGCAGTGCAGAGGGAGCACAGGCCCTACTGTGGGAGTCAGAGGCTTAGGGCTAAGGCTCTGAATGGGATTCCATTGCCTCCAGATTAAGGCCAGCTCCTCCTCTGACCAGCTGTGTGAACGAGTCCACTGTGCCCTCTGTTACCAGGAGTCATGACAGTGCCTACTCCAAGGGAATGTGGTCAGGACGAAATGAGACATTGATTCCAAAGTGCAAAGCCTGGTGCTTAATAACTGCTCATTGTTGCTGTAAATGAGCTTGGGGATATAGCCTTATCCCATGATCCTCTTCCACCATGTTCTTAACAACACTTTGAACAGATGGCATCACCCCAGTTGACAGATGAGGAATCCAAGACTGGAGCAGAGAAGGAGGCTGCCCAAGGCCACATGCAGTCCCATGGCAGAAGACAGAGTTTCCAGCCCTAGGCAGACTCATCCACCCACCCTGCTCTCTCCCCGAGCTGAAAAATGCTGCCATCTCTCAGTTGTTCTCAGCATGTTCTTCTCAAATGGCATCTGATCCACATCCCCTGAGGTTGCACTTTGGCAGAGGAAACTTGCAGTCAGGGCCTGGCTCCATCAGAGCAGGTGCATGGGCCTCAGTTCAGAAGAGAGTTGGGCTCAGACGGTTCCAGAGGCTCCAGATGGCTCCAGGAGCCCTTGAGGGCTCAGAGCTAAAATCTGGCCCTGGCCTGACTCCTGCATCTGCCCTTGAAACTTAACACAACTCCAGAGGAGGGACTTCTGGGGCAAGGAGAGCTTGGGGTGACTCAGGACTTCAGATACATTTTCAATGGAAAGACCAGGAAGAAACGATGTCAGAGAAAAGCCCACATGGCTTTGCCTGTGTGCTGAGAATGATATTATCACTAACTACTGACTCTTGCCAAGCCCTTGGTCCGTGCAAGCCACTGTGCTGTGAACACTTGGTGTGTACTATCCCCCATGAGAGCCCATTGAGATAGACTCAATGTTTATGCCCATTTAACAGATGAGGAGGCTGAGGCCTGCCCAAGGGCTCAAACCCGGGGCCAGAAGGAGGTGAAGCTGGGATTGAAACCCAGGCCCATTGTCCTGAGGATGAACTGTCACTTTCTTACTTAAGCACCCAGTATAGAGATGCCAGTTGGAACTTCCTCACAGTGAGTAGCAGCAAATTGAATCTAGAGTCCACTGGGGAGGACACCCATTTTCTGGAGAGCTCCTGAGTCCGGAGGATGATCAGAGGTGAGCTCAGAAGGGCATAAAGGAGTCAGGGGTCCACCACTCATTCCCTCCCCTACCCTCAAGAGCTCTTCCTTCATCTTAAAAGGCAGGAAAAGCCTGAGTCCAGCACCTGGGTGACCTCGCCTGACTCAGCCCATGGGTGCAGATGCAAAGGAAAGGATCTAGAGTGTGTGCCTTGGGGACAGGGCAGCCTAGCAGTTAGGAACACTGGCATTGGAGTCTCATGGAAGAGTTTGAGCTCCAGCTCTGTGATTGACAAGCTGTGCATCGTTAAACAACTTACCTTACCTCTCTGTGCCCACATTTCCTCACCTGTGAAATGGCATTGAGGATATCTGTAAGGAATTACAAATAAGGAAATTAAACAAGTAGAGCTAATATTAAATAAGGAAATAAAAACAAATAGAGCTAATATTATAAAATGTGTACTTTGTGCCAGGCACTATTCTGAATGCTTTAAACTGAATTAGTAGATGCTGAGATATGGATGGCAATAGAGGCAGGCTGAAGCCATGGTCTATCCTCTGCAAAATTGTGCCAAAATGAGGGGACAGTACTTAGAGCAGGCCAGGAATATCCTAAAATCAGCATTTCTCCATGTTTGGTCTGCACACAACCTTTCATCAGAGTCACCTGGGAAGAGAAGGGCAGTGGTAAGGTGGGAGGTGTCTACCTGAATTACAGATTCCTTGGCCCTGTCTGATACAGAATCAGAATCACTGGGACCTAGGGATCAGCATGTTGAATAGACATATCGACTCTTGGCCAGGTGATTCTTAAGCCTCCTGAAGATTTGGACTCAGGGACTGAGTGTGCAATGAAAGTGGTTATGAGTTTATGTCACAAATTTCAAGGCCAAACAGCCAGAGCCCTCGGTTCTAGAGCAAGCCCTGCCACAAACAAGCCACAGCACCAATGAGGGCATCCACATTCCCTTGTCTCAGTTTTTCTGCACATATAACACGGATTCTGCTCCCCACACCACCCAGCTCATGGGACACACATGAGTGTGAAGGAGCTGGCGACTGTGGGTATGGGCTGGTAACTGTGCAGGAGGCCCTGAGTCACCCTGACCCAAGATTTAATTCTAGCTCTGCCATTGATGTCATTTTAATTTCCTTGTTGTTTTTTTACTATATTTTAAAATTATTATTATTATTATTATGGAGATGGAGTCTTGCTCTGTTGCCAGACTGGAGTGCAGTGGCACAATCTCAGCTCACTGCAAATCTCTGCCTCCCGGGTTCAAGCAATTCCCCTGCCTCAGCCTCCCGAGTAACTGGGACTGCAGGTGCGCACCACCACGCCTGGCTAATTTTTTGTACTTTAGTAGAGACGGGGTTTCACCACGTTGGCCAGGATGGTCTCGATCTCCTGACCTTGTGATCCAACCGCCTCGGCCTCCCAAAGTGCTGGGATTACAGGTGTGAGCCACTGTACCTGGCCAAAATTATTTTTTAGTGGTTGCCTTGGAGATTATAATGAACAGAGTAGTTTAAAACAATTTAGCTCAGATTAATACCAATTTCATTTCAATAGTGTACAAAAACTTTGCTCTCAGGAAGCTCCATTACCTCTCCCTTCCTTTGTGCTATTACTGTCATGCAAATTATCTTCATACATTAGAATCCTACCAACACAGATTTATAATTACTGCATTGTTTCAGTTCTTTAAAATCAGATGAGAATAAAAGAGTTACATGAAATGCATTTACATTGTCTTTTACACTTACCGTTTAGAGATACCTTTTATATTTACCTTTTAGAGATATCTTTACTGGTGCTCTTGTTTTCTTCCTGTGGATTCCAGTTACCGTCCTTTCAAAGTCCTTTCATTTTAGCCTGATGCACTCTCTTTGGTACTCCTTGTAGATAGAGCGTCTCTGCTAGTGACAGATTCTCTCCGTTTTTGCTTATCTGGAACATCTTAATTTTTCCTTCTGTTTTGAAAGATAGTTTCCCTGGATATAGAATTTTTTTATGTAAATACAAATGAGTTTATTACTATAACTTTAAATGAAGTAATAAGTGTATGTTTTTAAATTCCCAGTTTTAATTTTTAATATGGTATATATTGATAGATATGACCCACCCACATTGACAAAAGGTCGTCAGTGATTTTTTTTAATTTGGTGCCCTCTCTTCTTTAATTAATTAATTATTTTTTATTTTGCTTTAAGTTCTGGGATACGTGTGCTGAATGTGCAGGTTTGTTACATTGGTATACATGTGCCATGGTGGTTTGCTGCACCTATCAACCCGTCATCTAGGTTTTAAGCCCCACATGCATTCATCTACAACCATCTGGTCTTCAACAAACCTGACAAAAACAAGCAATGGGGAAAGGATTCCCTATTTAATAAATGGTGCTGGGGAAACTGGCTAGCCATATGCAGAAAACAGAAACTAGACCCCTTCCTTACACCATATACAAAAATTAACTCAAGATGGATTAAAGACTTAAATGTAAAACCTAAAATCATAAAAACCCTAGAAGAAAACCTAGGCAATACCATTCAGGACATAGGCATGGGGAAAGACTTCATGGATACAGAATTCTTGATTCATTTTTTTTTTCTTTGAGCACTTTGTATCTGTTACCCTACTGCCTTCTGGCCTTTATGGTTTCTGATGAGAAGTGCCAGCATTAATCTTATTGAGACTTTCTCATATATAAGCAGGAGTCATTTCTCTCCTGCTGCTTTCAAGATACTCTCTTTGTCTTGGTCTTTTTGACAATTTGACTATGTGTGTCTAGTGTGTATTTCTTTGCATTTATCCTACACAGAGTTTGTTGAGCTTCTTGGGTTTGTAGGTTGATGTTTTCTTCAAATTTGGGAAATTTGCAGCCATTATTTCCTAACAATGTCTGTTTTTCTCTTTGCTCTCATTCTGGAAGTCCCATTATGTGTATGTTGGTATGCTTGATAGTGCCATATAAGCTTCTGAGCTTCTGTTGTTTTTCTTTTTTTCTATCTATTCCTCAGGATGAGCAATCTCTTACTACTTATTTTCATGTTCACTATTTTTTTTCTTCTACCACCAACTCACATCTATTATTGAGTCACTATTGAAATATCCATTTCAGTTGTTGTAGCTTCCAGCTTCAGGATTTCCATTTGACTATTTTAAAATGTAATTTCTATCTCACTATTTGGAGAAACATTGTTTGCAGACTGTCTACTAATTATTTGGACATGGTTTCTTTTTGTTGTCTGGATGTATTTATAATAGCTATCTTAAAGTCTTTGTCTAGTAAGTCCAAACTCTGAGCTTTCTCAAGGATGGTTTCTATTGACTACTTTTTTTTTTTTAACCTGCGTATGGGTTGTATTCTTCTTTCTTTGCATGCCTTGTAAAATTTTTCTGTTGAAACTGGACACCTTAAATAATCTAATGGGACAACATATGAAATCAGATTTCTAATGCCCTCCTTGGACTTTGTTGTTGCTGTTCCTGCTGCTGCTTCTCTGTTGAGTGGCTTTCTTGAACTTAGTCATTAAAGTCTGTATTTCTTATTATGTGTGGTGGCTGAATTCTCCACTCAGGTAACTTAGTGGTCTATGATTCGACAGAGATTTCCTCAAATACCTTGAACCAATAATCTCTCACTCTTTGCCAAAAGGCCCTGTGTGATTTCAGGACACACCTTCCACATTCTAGTAGTTTACAATTCTGCCTTGACCCCACACTTCCTGCTTGCACAGGGCCTCAAGGTCAGCCAGAGATGAAAGAGGAGAGCTTTCACGGGTCTTTCCTGGGTGTAGGCTCAGCCCTGTACATGCACAAGGACTTCTGGAGCCCCAGGAATATGCTGACACTTTTCAATGCCCCCTACCTATGGATATTTAACTTTCCAGATCCTCCTTTTAAGTTTCTTGGCCAGCATATTGTTTGCTTCAACTGGTATTACTGTCTTCTCTGCTGCAAGGATAAACAATTTCTGCTGATTGTTTTTAGCAAACACCCTGAAGATAGGGCTTTCCCCAGTGAGTGACCTCTGAGTTAGGTCAAATAATGATAAGCCTTGTAATGGGGCTTATCCAGTGAGCTGCCAAACAGAGAAAATGGTGACAGTTCTCTGGGTCTTTGGAGGAGCACCCAAACTGGTCTTCCCTCTCCAGCAGCTGCTATGCTGCTGGTGCTCACAGCTACAATGGCTGCTAAGTTGTTGCTTTTCAAGGCTACTACACAGGAGGAGCAGAACAGGGTAAGTTAAACCACCACAGAACTCTCTGTTCTTACTGAGATTCAGTAGTTGTTCTTGAACAGACGCTCCTTGGATTGTTGCAAGCCTTTGATTAATTTCCAGACTTTCTGAACAAGTTGATTTTGACAATTTTACCAGTGTTCTTGTTTCTTTCATAGAGGAGCAGAATGTTTAAAGGCCCTTCCTCTGCCATTCCAGAATTCCTACCTTAAAGGCAGCTATTTGTGCTATTACTTTTTATAATAGCTTTATTGATGTATAATTCACATATCATAAAAATCACCCATTTACAATGTACAATTCAATGGTATTTAGTATATCACAGATATGTGCAACCATTACCACCATCAGTTTTAGAACATTTTTATCACCTGATAAAAAAATCCCATACCCTTTAGCTATCAAACCTTTATTCTTCCATCCCCCAAGCCCCAAGATTAGATAACCACTAATCTATTATGTGTCTGTATAGATTTCCATCTTCTTGACATTTTATATAATGGAATCATGTAATATGTGGTCTTTTGTAACTAGCTTCTTTTACTTAGCATAATGTTTTCAAAGTTTCTTCAAGTTGTAACATGTATTAATACTTCATTCCTTTTTATGTTCAAATAATGTTCTTTTCTATGGTTAAACGTTTTGTTTATCCATTAGTCAGTTAATGGGCATTTGGGTTGTATCTACCTTTTGGCTATTATGGGTAGGCCACTGTAAGCATTTGTGTACAATTTTTGTGTGGACATATGTTTTCATTTATCTTGGGCTCATATCAAGGAGTAAAATTGATGGGTTTTATTGTAACTCTATGTTTAACACTTTCATGAATTGCCAGAATGTTTTCCAAAATGGCTACACCTTCTACATTCCCACCAGCACTGTATAAGGATTCTAATTTCTCCACATCCTTGACACTTGTGACACTTTTTAGATTCATCTGATTTTTCTAGTAGGTATGAAGTAGTATCTCATTGTGGTATTGAATTGCATTTCCCTGATGACTAATGATGTGGGGCACCTATTCATGTGCTTACTGGCTATTTGTATATCTTTTTTTTTTTTTGAGGCAGAGTCTTACTCTGTCACCCAGGCTGGAGTGCAGTGGTGCAATCTCGGCTCACTGCAAGCTCTGCCTCCCGGGTTCATGCCATTCTCCTGCCTCAGCCTCCCGAGTAGCTAGGACTACAGGCGCCCGCACCATGCCCAGCTAATTTTTCGTATTTTTAGTAGAGACAGGGTTCACTGTGTTAGCCAAGATGGTCTCACTCTCCTGACCTTGTGATCTGCCCGCCTCGGCCTCCCAAAGTGCTGGGATTACAGGCGTGAGCCACCGTGCCTGGCCTGTATATCTTCTTTGGATAAATATATATTCAAATCCTTTGCCCATTTTAATTGAATTATTTGTATTTTTATTGTTGAGTTATAAGAGTTTTTATATAATCTGTCCTAGACATATGTTTAGCAAATCTGTCATATATATATATAATATATATATATATCTGTCATAGATATATGTTTAGCAAACACATAAGATATACATTTAGCAAACACATTGCCCCAGTCTTTGGCTTGTCTTTTAAGTTTCTTGGCAGTATCCCTTGATGTACAAATGTTTTTAATTTTTATTGAGTTGTTTACCTATTTTGCTTTAATAACTCATGCTTTAGGTGTCATATCTAAGAATTCATTGCCAAATCTGAGGTCATGTGGATTTACCTGTATGTATTCTTCTAAGAGTTGTATAGGTTTAGCTCTTAATTATGCGTGAGCCATTTTGAATTATTTTTCATATATAGCCTAGGGTACAAGTTCAACTTCATTCCTTTGCAGATGGCTATCCAGTTGTCATAGTACCATTTGTTGGAAAACAGTTCTTTTCCCCATTGATTTTTCTCAGCATGCTTGTCAGAAATTAGTTGACTATAGACACATGGGTTTATGTATTAGTCGGTTCTCACATTGCTATAGGGACATACCCAAGACTGGGTAATTTATAAAGAAAAAAAGTTTAATGGATTCACAGTTCCATATGGCTGGGGAGGCCTCACAATCATGGCAGAAGGCAAAGGAAGAGCAAAGGCATGCCTTACATGTTGGCAGGCAAGAGAGCATGTTCAAGGGAACTGCCCTTTATAAAACCATCAGATCTCACGAGACTTACTCACTATCATGAGAACAGCGCAGGAAAAACCAACCCCCATGAGTCAATTACCTCCTACCAGGTCCTTCCCATGACATGTGGGGATCATGGGAGCTACAATTCAAGATGAGATTTGGGTGGGGACTCAGTCAAACCGTATCAGTTTATTGCTGGATTCTCAATTCTCTTCCATTAATCTATATGTTCTTATGCCAGTTCCATGCTGTCTTTATTACCATTGTAATGTAATAAGTTTTAACATCAGAAAATGTCAGTTCTCCTGCTTGTTCCTCTTTTCCAAGATTGTTTTGGCTACTCTGGGCCACTTGCAATTCCACATGTATTCTAGGATCAGCTTGTTAATTGTTACAAAGAAGTCAGCTGAGATGCTAACAGAGATTGTAGTTAATCAACAGATCAATTTGAAAGTATCGCCATCTTAACAATATTGAGTTTTCTAATACACATATATGGAATGTTTTTTCATTAATTTATATCTCCTTTAATTTCCTTCAAAAATGTTTTGTAATTTTCAGAGTATGGGTTTTACACTTTTGTTAAATGTATTCCTAAATGTTTTACTCTTTTTGATACTGTTGTAAACAATTTTTGATGCTGTTGTAAACATAATTGTTTTTGAAATTTTATTTTTAGATTGTTCATTGCAAGTGTGTAGAAATATAATTGATTTTTATATATGAATCTTCTATCCTGTAATCTTGCTGAACTCATTTATTAGTTCTAGCAAATATTTAGTGGATTTCTTAGGACTTTCTATTTACAAGATAATGTCAGCTCTAACTAAAGATAACTTAACTTTTTTTTTTCCAATCTGGATTTCTTTTATTTCTTTTTCTTGCCTAATTGTCTTGGCTAGAACTTCTAGTTCAATGTTGAATAGAAGTGGGTATGCCCATAGTCACCCTGGGGTTACTGTGGTTTTTGCAAGACTCTCTTTAACTATCTCTTTCTCTGACTATACCCAGTTCTTAAGCTCCACTAATTGCCAGTTGATTGCTCTGTCATTTTCAACAATACGCTGGAGCAGAAATTGCTTCACAGGCAAATTCCAGTCAAATTTAGGCTTCTTTCAAGGTATAGTTCCAAATCAGCATCTGAGATTTGTTCGGCCCCCAGGGGGGTGTCTTCCCACCTGTCTCTTCCCCTAATTCTCTCTGGCAAAATAGCTGGACCCCAGTTTAACCTATGTCTCCAATTAACCTATCATTCTCTTCTCAGTTGCCTTTCACCACAACTTCTCCTGATTTTGACAGTTCCCTTAGATTTGAACTTCCCCACACTCTGTTGCAAATTAAGTCAGTTCTTTGGAGATTTACTTGGTGCTTTCTATTCTTTGCCTAGCTTCCACCTCTGAGAAAAATCTCTCAGCCTCAGCTCTGGTGCTGAGGTTGGGGACAATGGCATTCATCTCTCTCAGTGACATTCCCTCTTTAGGATCTGGGTGTTTAGTAGACAAAACAATAGCAACACCAGGTGTCTTGGGCTCATCTCTCTCAGTCTGGGACCCTCACTTCATGACCCTGAGACAAGTGCAATCAGGGCCTCTTATTCTCAGTGACACTGCACCCAGGGTAGAGCCTTGGTCCCACAGGTTGAGGCTGGGCAGAAGACAGGAACTTCCACCTCTTGGCTGCAGTTGCCTGGAACTCAGTCTTAGCAATCAGTAGCTGGAGCAGGATGAGAAATGTTGACATTCTGCCTCTCCTTGGAAGATAGGTCTCTAACTGGGAGCTGCAGGGAGAGGAAGTTCTGTGTTTTGGATTTACCAATCTTGAGTGAAATTTTTATCTTGTGGAGCTGGGAAGGAGTGGGAAAAATATGGATCTTGGTTCAAATATTACAGAGTCTAGCAGTTCTTATCAATTTTCAGTAGATTTTCTTGAACGCATGCTTCTTCATTTACTATATGGTCATTTCTAGGCACTTAAGTTTTTTTTTTTTCCAGTAATTTTCACCTGTTTCATAGAAGGTAGGGATTGAAGAGCTCCTCACACTGTTGGGCCAGAAGTGAAAACCCTTTGTTATTACTTTTCCACTTTTTCAGGGTTCCCACTGAAAGATGCTATCATCCACTGAGTCACCCAGACAAGCACACTTGGTGTGGGAGTCTTTGGTTTTGCTCACTTAGCATCTCATGACTTGACCTATCCCAATATGTGGTAGGATTGATTTCCTGGTCCTCAAGCTGGCTGGGACTAGTTAGGTAACTAGCTCTGGCTTATTCATTTTGAGTGGAAATGACATGTTTCAATTCAGGGTCAGAGCCTTTGATGTGGATGTGAGACATGCCACCACCATAGCCAACCTCCAGAGTTGTTTATCCCTCTGCCCTGGTGACAGTCAACTTTATAGACTGCAGTGACTTCATCAGCCTGGCACCCTGAGGGGTGGCACATGGAGCAGAGACACAGCTGACCCTTGACGGATATGCAGACTGGGAAAGAAATGACCCTGTGTTTTTTTAAGCCACCGAGGTGTGGGGATTGTTTGTTATTGCAGCAGAGTCTCACATATCCTCACTCATACATCCATGGAATCTGTAAAATTACTTCTCATCCAAACAGATAGAGCCACATCTCTCTGGGAAAAAAACAGAGCTTGCTGTTGCCAAGTGATGTTAAGCCTCATCACTTCTCTGGGTTCCTAGAGAAGCCCCTTACTAATCACCTGCTTCTAGTCTTGCTCCTTTCCGTCTGCTTTTCTCACCAACCATATTAGTAACTACCCTAAAGCCCCAGTGTCTAATGTCCATGCCACAACTGGGCTGCTATAGCCCTCTATGCATATCCTTATTAGGGCACTTAATACACTGTATTGTGGAAAAGTTAATTTATTCAAAATGTTTATGTTCTGGGCGCTGTGTTAGGGGCTGGAGTTACAGTGGTGAAAAAAAGTCAGGGTACTTGCCATCATGAAGGGATGTTCTGGAAACTGAGACCAAATGTTGGCTGCTGTATGATTGGTTTCCCCATACTTATCACAGTGGTTGTGACAATATTTTGGAAAACCAATTAAAGCAATCAGTTTCCCTGCCTGTTTCTGAACCAATCCAGAGGATTCAGGGCATGTTAGATGAAAATGAACCTCCCGTTTATTACTGATGAAGCTATTGCTGGAGAATGGAGCTCACCCATGCAGGCATGTGAACCCCCCTGTGGACCCCCTGGAACTAGACAGGGAGAAACCCATCATCAGAGGTGTGCTGACCACCCCCACCCAGGTCCCCCATGGTTGGGGTGTGAAGACTGTTGCTATAAAACCTCTGGCAGTGGGAGAGCAGGGCAGACATGAGCTCCCTGGGCAGCCAGACCCAAGGCACAGTGAGAAGGATGGGCCCGGGGAGCCTGTTCTGCTTTGCCTCAAACTTGTCACCTTTGGTAGAGGTGGTAGGGGGCTACAGAGCTGAGGTGTCAGGGGAGACCACTCCAGGGGAAATAAAAATGGAGAAATCTTATCCCCAACTCTAAATAACAAAATAACAGTGTGACCACTCATGGAGCATTACTCAATGCTGTCACAGCTGGCTGTCACCAACTGACAGAGGAGGAAGCTGAGGCTTATACAAGTTATCTCACTGGCCTGAACCCCTGGGAAGTGGGGAGTCAGGAAGTGAACTCAAGTATGAACCAAAGCCCTTGTTCTTAACCGCCCCTGACAGTGACCACACCAGGCTCCGGACTCAGCCAGTCTCACCTGAGCTTCCTGGGACAGCTCACTCAGGGCTGGCCAGCTGTGTGACCATTAGAAAGTGCTTCTTCTCTTCGAATTCAAAACTGCCTCTGGTGGATTCTACCAAGTGGTTCTTCTTTTGCCCTCTGGAGCTACAGAGAGTTAGTCTAATCTCTTTAGTAACTGCAAAATAAATTTAATAAAAACTCTATTAATTTGTGTAATCTTGTACACAGGATGCAACATTTCTGTGCTTCAGAAATTTTGTTCATAACTACTAGCACCATGGAAATTTCAGGGATTAGAGACTCGGCTGGAAATAAGACAGATTATGTCACCAAGAGTTCAAATGAACCAAAGCCCCTGCACAACAAGACAGGCTTGGATTTACATAAAATTTAGGAGGCAAGTCCAGGCCCTTTAATTCCATACGGACTTACAGTGACTTTCTAGGGTTTGCTTAGGTAACTCAAAAGCAGGAAGATTTGAGGTATTTGTTGTTTGTTTATTTTTGTTTTTGTTTTTTTAAAAAGCCATTACTAACATTATACTCAATGGTGAAAAACTGAAAGTTTTTTTTAGTCTAAGATCAGGAAAAACAGAAAAGAAAAGGATGCCTACTTTCACCACCTCTATTCAACATAATACTGAAAGTCTTAGTCAAAACAATCAGGCAAGAAAAAGAAATAAAAGTCACCCAAATTGGAAAATAAGAAATAAAATTATTTCTGTTCACAGATGTCATGATCATATATGTAGAAAATTCTAAAGATCACACACACACACGCACTCACACACACACACACACACACATGCAGAAGCTGTTAAAGCTAATAAACAAATTCAGCAAAGTTGTAGGATACAAAATCAACACAAAAAATCACTTGCATTTTCTATACACTAACAGTGTAACAGTGAGTGATCCAAAAAGAAAATTAAAAAGACAATACATTTACTATAGCAAATGATTCATTTACAATAAAAAATTAAAGTACTTAGGAATTAGCTTAACCAAGAAGGTTAAAGACTTGTACATTGAAAACTAAAAAACACTGCTGAAAGAAATTAAAGAAGGCACACATAAATGGAAAGATACCCCATGTTCATAGATAGGAATGCTTAACATTGTTTAGATGTCAATGCTGCTCAACTTGATCTACAGATTTAATGCAATCCCCAACCAAATCCTAATGATTAAGTGATTTTTTTTTTTTTGTCGAAATAGAAAAACTCATCCTGAAATTTGTGTGGAATCTCAAGGAACTCCAAATAGCCAAAAACAATCTTGAAAAAGAAGAATGAAGCTGGAAGTCTCACACTTTCTGATTTCAAAAACTTATTACAAAGTTACAGTAATAAAAACAGTGTGGTTTTGGCAAAAAGACAGACATAGAGGCCAATGATGTACAACAGAGGGCCTAGAAATAAGCCCTCACATATATGGTTAAATGATTTCAACAATAGTGCCAAGACCATTCAATGAGGAAAGGACAACCTTTTCAACAAATGGCATTGGGAAAACTGGATATCCACATGCAAAATAATTAAGTAGGACTCTTATCTTATACTGTATATAAAAATTAATTTAACATGGACCAAAGACTGAAATGTAAGAGCTAAAACTGTAAAACCCTTAGAAAAAAATACAGGGAAAAATCTTTATGACATTGGATTTGGCAATGACTTCTTGGAAAGGACACCAACAACATAGATGAAAAATGGAAAAAAATAATACATTTAGCCTCATTTTTCCATTAAAATCTTTTGTGTATCAAAGGACACAATCAACAAAGTAAAAAGGCAATCCACAGAATGGAAGGAAATATTTGCAAATTAATTTCTGATATGGGAATAATATCCAGATTACATAAAGAACACCTACAATTCAACAATAGCAACAACATTAAAAATGAGCAAAGGACTTAAATATACTTTTCCCCAAATAAGATATATGAGTGGTTAATAAGCACATGAAAAAAGGCTCAACATCACTATCACTAAAAATTGGGGAAATGAAAATCAAAACCACAATGAGATACCACTTTACATTCATTGTGATGGCTATGATATTTAAAAACAAAAAGAAAAAAAAGAAAACAACATGTGTTGGTGAGGATGTGGAGAAATAGGAACCCTTGGGCATTGCTGGTGGGAATGTTAAATGGGATAGCCACTATGGAAAACAGCATGATGATTGCTAAGAAAACATTAAGCATAGAATTTGATCCAGGAATTCCACTTCTGGGTATATACCCAAAAGAACTGAAAGCAGTTGAACAGATATTTGCACAACAAGGTTCATGGAAGCATTATTCACAATAGCCAGAGATGGAAACAACCCAATTGTTCATAGACGGATGGATGGATAAACAAAATGTGGTACCTACATACGATGGGATATTATTCAGTCTTTGAAAGTAATGAAATTCTGACACTTGCTACAATGTGGATGAGCCTTGAAGACATATGTTAAGTGAAATATGTCAGACACAAAAGGGCAAGCATTGTATAATTCTACTTGCATGAAATATCTGAAAAAGTCAAACTCATTGAGACAGCAAGTAGCATGGTGGTTACCACAGGCTGGAGGGAGGGAAGAATGGAGAGTTATTGTTTAATGGATACAAAGTTTCAGTGTGGGATTGTTCTTGGACTGCCTGGTAGTGTCTCCCCAAAATTCATATGCTGAAATCTTTACCCCCAGTGGACTGGCATTAAGAGGTGGGACCTTTGGGAGGTGATTAGGTTTAGATGAGGTCTTGAGAGTGGAGCCCCCATGATAAAATTAGAGTCTTTTAAAGAAGAGAAAGAGGTTAGCGTTCTCTCTCTGCCATGTGAAGACACAACACAAAGACAGCTGTCTATGAACAAGGAAGACAGTCCTCACCAGACACCATATCTGCAGGTTCCTTGATCTTGGACTTCTCAGCTTCAGAACTCTGATAAATAAATGTTTGTTTTTAGGCTATCCATTCTGTACTATTGTGTTACAGTAGCCTGAACTAAGATAGAGATGATGAAAAAGTTTTGAGATGGAGAAGTGGTGATGGTTACACAACAATGCTTAATGCCACTGAACTGTGCACTTTAAAATGGTAAAAATGGTAAATTTTATGTTATGTGTATTTTACCACAATTAAACATGTAAAATACATACATAAATTTACATTTAAGAAACAATATACAGAAAAAAATGTATTAAGTGTCTGTGTTGGAAGGATTCTTAGGAATCATCTAAGCTTATCCCACTTTCCAGATTGAACATTTATGCACTACTATCACCCCCTCACCTCTACTCTCTACCTCCGGGGAAGCAGAGAGGACATGCTTGCTCAAGGACCTGCAGCCAATCCACAGGACTGGAATACAGCCTTTCTGACACTTCTGCCAGTGACCTTCCCACCACACAGACTCATCAGGGAAGCAGGGAACACCATATTAGCAATAGCAGACCTTTCTTCTCATATGCCTGTGTGGTCCACAAGAAACAGTGGGATGTGGGTGATGAAGCAGGGCCTGAATCTCCCAACCTCTCTTTCACTCCCCAGCTCACATGTGGCAGCACACACATCACTATTTCCCATCACATGCCCATGACAGACATGATTAATTGATTACAATACCTGCCCCATTAAGTCTGACCTGACCTCACAATCTTAACTCAGTACCGGAGTTGACACATGGATGAAACATGTCTACTTTCCTGGGTCTTCATAAACTGCATCCATCACCAGGAGAAGAAGGATGTAGAATGAATTTTCTCATTTCTTTCCAAAATTGTTATCAGATATCTGTTATAAACTTTACCCACATTACCTCAGTAATCCCCTCAATGAAGGCAAGTGATCCTGCTTTACACATGGGAAAACTGAGACTCAGAGAGACAAATATACTGCCAGCCTGTTAGTCATTCACAGAGCTGAAGGTGAAACCCAGGACTGTCTGACTTTAGCACCAACATTTGGAGGAGCTGGAGAGTCTCTAATGCTGGTCTAGGAAGTAGGTTCTCTTTCACAAGCTAATGTTGCTTTGTTGGTTGTGTCTTGTTGATTGATGTGTTGCCTTGACAAGGAGTTTGGGGCTGAATTCAGGATCAGAAAGAAGAGTGCTGTGATTGATTGGTGATGTCTGCCACAGGAGTGCAGAGCAGGACAGAAGTGTCACATGCATGCTGTTCGAGCTGAAGTCTCACACATGCCAAAGCCCAGTGTATGAGAACGTGCTGGGTCCCACATCAGGACTTGTCCCTGGGGTGGTGCAGGGTACATGTGAGCACTGTCTGCTCTTACCTATGATGGATGGCCATGCAGGCTTGTTCAGCTCTCGAGTGCTGGTCCTCCAATTCTCTGTTCTGCTCCCAGGGGACACAGCCTTGCCCACTTTCCTGGGTTGGTGCTGGGATTGAAAGAGGTAATGGATAGAAGACGATGTCCAGGTGAAAATGTTGATGAAGACACATTCATATTTTATTCCTCTCCCTCAAAACCCACCTAAAACAACAACAACACAAATGCAAAAGGGTATGTTTTTATTATGACTTATACTAGAAATTTCATCCACACAATCTGAAACATATCTACCAAGTACTAAAAAATCTATACCAGAACAAATGAAGAAGCTGAGAATGGACGTGAACATCCTCAGGCCTTGAGTACCAGCCAGTTTCATTAAAATAAAGGATCTTCGACTTGAGAAGTTTGTCCAAAAATCCTTAGCTTAAAGTGCTGAGACCCAGAAAGGCCCCCTAGGGACTGGAGGTCATCCCTGGGGAGACCCAGTTGGATGCTGCAGGTCTGCAGAGAGGTTGAGCTTAAGGAAAAGCCACACTGATGTGCCACTTCCCAGGCCCAACCCTACCTACCCAAGGAGCTTCCAGAGGCTAAGTAGGGAGAGGGAGAACAAGGGCCCAGCCAGCCCTGGGAATAGTCCCTAGAGGTAGTGACTTAAACAGCTTGGCTGAGGCCATGCTGACCTCTGGGATGTCAAACACAGAGCTCTGCTCCCACTGCAAAGAAAATAACTGCTGTGGTCAGAGTGTCTAAGACAACAAACTCAAATGGAAGCTGCTAACCACCTGAGCCCATCTTTCCCATCCCTTCCCATACTATCATCCCACACAGAGCTGGCCCCATCCAGAAATGGGTTAAAAAGAAACGGATTCAGGAACTATGAATAGATGCTGTAAAAAAAAAAAAGAGAGAAAAAACATAAAGACAGATGAAGAAAATAAACTATAAGAGGAACTGCCCAAAGAATCAGGGGAAGACATGAGAAAAATTGTTTTCCATAGTATTAAGAAATAACAGACAATGTGATATCTCTTAAAAAAAATAAAATGGATTGAAATAAGAGCTATAAAATAACAGCACAACGTTAAACCAAACTGTCTGTGCATAGGTATGAAATGGAATAGAGAAAAAGAAACAGGAGAGATGAAAGCTACATTCAAAACACCAAAAAGGAATAGGCATAATTAAAATACTGTAAGGAATATTGTGAACAAGTTAGAAGTAACTAGAAAAGAACTTTGTTTCTTTTCCAAATTAGGAAGACGGTGATAGAGTTGCAAGACAAAGACTTTCAAACATATGGGTATCCAGTGATGCAAATGGCACAACATAATCTAAGAAATAATGCAAGAAAAAAATCCTAAAATTCAAACAAATGAACAAAAATTCCTGAATCTGTAGATTAAAAGTGTACAACATCTTTTACAGAGAAAAGCTGATAAAAATATGTCAAGCAGATTGGCATGATACAACTGAGATTCAAAACTAGTCTCATTGGTCAAGCCACAATGATGGGGGGAAATTAGTTTGGTGCAAACTTATCCACAGCAACTCCAAAAGGTGGTAGAACAACATCTACCAACATCTGAAGGCAAGAAAATAGAACCCTATAATTTAATACCCAATCAAGTTGATTTTCCAGGTGTGATGGCAATAGATATTGTCTCAATTGTGCCAGGACACAAGAAATAACCTTCCTGACTCTTGAAAAATACTACTAACAAACCCATTAAAAAATATAAAGAACTCAGGTAAGACAAGGCCAGCAGAGTGTGTGGTGGGGGACAGAAGGAAGAGAAGGAGGAGGAGGAAAAAAAGAGGATTCGTGCTGAGTATTGAATCCATATAAATGTATAGAAAAGTCTAAGCTTAAAGAGCCACAACTGTGGTTTCAGAAGAGCATGAAAAAGTATGACTTTGACACAATATGACAAAATCAGAAGGTGGTAGAATGAAGGGTGAGAAGAAGTATAGGTGTGCTAATTTCCTAATCATTTTTTACCCAGGCATTATCACATTCAGTAAAAAAAAAATTAATCAGTAGTTATTTCAAAATCATGACCATAATGCCTTAATGCTTTTCAAAATGTTTTCTGCATAATTATTCAAGGATATGTTATTGTGAAGCAGAATTCATCTGAAGCTTGTAATTCCTTCAATTTTATCACAATTTACATTTCTTCTCTGAAATTCAAAGAAACATATGATCCTATATATTTTTCTGTCAGTCCATCTCCTCTGTAACATCCTGTTTATGCTCATGGAGATATGCCTGGAATTTGCTCACCAAGAGTTTATCACAGTTGTTTCTGGGTCTTGGAGATGTTTATTTTACTTTTCTGTATTGTTCCATATTTCTTGAATATTTACAGTGTATATTTCCCACTTTTCCAGAAAAAAAATCCTTATTTTTTAATTAAAATAGGAATAGAAGTGTCAACTGTTGCACACCTGTGAGGCTTATATGTTAATTATGCCTCCCTCCATTCCTGTAAGCCATTGAGGCAGCTTACCAAAAATACACATAATGCAAAATTACAATATAAATCGCTGGAAACGGGAGGAAAGAGAGATTGTGGGTGAAATAAGCACACAGAAATGCATGCCATTTATTCCCATTGCTGGAGCTTAGCCATGGACCTGGCCTTGGGCTTCCAAGTTGCTGAAACAAAGAAATGAAACCAGCCCAACTGTCCCATAGAAGTGATGTTTATGGTTTCTTTTGAATAAACATAGAAATTTACCCTCCCTGTCTTAAAACCTGAGAAAGTTACATTTGTTTTTTTTTTTTTCTTTCTTTCTCTTTGGGACAGAGTCTCATTCTATTACCCAGGCTGGCGTGCAGTGGCACAATCTTGGTTCACTGCAACCTGCACCTCCTGGGTTCAAGTGATTCTCGTGCCTCAGCCTCCTGAGTAGCTGGAATTACAGGCGTGTCTGCATTTGTCTTATCTGAGTTGCTTTCTCAGGAAACCAACCATCAGGGCCCCCAGATAGTATCAAGGAGCTGAAATTCACCAGATAACTGAAGCTGGACAATGAGGTGCCAGACCTCTCACCCCTTATGATTGCCTAACCCACTGCCTGCTTCCTCTTGACCAACTCCTCTTCCTTACTCCTAAGTCCTGTTTTCCACATGTAGTTGCATTTCTCCCCAGCTACATAAATCCCTAACTTTAGTTGGTTGAGGAGATGGCTTTGAGACTGATCTCCATCTCCTCAGCTGTAGCACCTGAATAAAGCCTTCTTCCCTGGCAATACTTAACTCAGTGATGGGCTTTCTGTGCAGTGAGCAATAGGACCTTAGCCAAAGCCCTGGCATTTTGGTAAGAAAAAGAACAACGTTCTTTTTATAAATTATTATTTTTTAAATTGATGCATAATAGGCATACATCATTTCAGGGTACATGTGATAATAAGACATTCATATAATTTGTAAATATCAAATTGATGTACTTGGGCTATCCATTACCTTAAATATTTATCTATTCTTCATGCCAGAAACATTCAAATTATTCTTTCAGCTATTTTGACATGTATGATAAATTATTCTAAACTGTACTCACCCTATTTCTCTGACACTAAGTCTTATTTCTTCTATCAAACTATATATTTGTACCAATTAATCAACTTCTCTTCATCCACCCCTCCCCATATTCTTCCCAGCCTCTGGTAACCACCAATCTACTATCTTCATGCGATCCACTTTTTTTAGCTCCCACGTGTGAGTGAGAACATGCAATATTTGTCTTTCTGTGCCTGGCTTAGTTTAACATAATGCCTCCAGTTCCATCCATGTTGCTGCAAATGATAGGATTTCATTCTTTATTATGGCTGAATAATACTCCATTGTGTGTGCGTGCCACACTTTCCTTATCCATTCATCCATTGATGGGCACTTAGGTTGATTTCATAGTTTGACTATTGTGAATAGTGCTGCCATAAACATGGGCATGCAGATATCTTTTCAATGTATTGACTTATGGGACTGTCAGTGTCCAGCACCCAGATGGGCTCTCTCTGCCCTTTGATGCCCCTTGCTGGCCTAGGGAGAGGCTGCAGTTTCTCACTGGCACATCCTCAAGGCTGATCTCAGCCCCTGCAGTCCCAGACTATTTATTCCACCTTCTCTTACAAGCTCTGTTTTCCCCAGTGACTCAGACCCAGTTTCTACCTCAGCGCAGTTCCTTGAGCCTAGCTTTAGGGCAGACGGGCTGACTGCTGGGCCTGCCCTTCCTCCAGTACCACTGGACATGCTCTGCTGTGTTTCCTACTGCCTCAGGCTCAGTCACCATGAGCCAGCTCTGCCCCTCTGAAGCTTGCAGAGCCTGTGAGGGTCTCTACCTGCTTCCGCAGGTGTGTCCAAGAGGCAGGCTTGGGCTCAGCACCTCTGGAGGGACTTGGTTTTGTGTCCTAACCTGGGGTGATTTGAAGGCAGAACCTGACACAAGGGCTTGGGAAGGGTTCCTAGGAAGCAAAAATGAGGGGTGTGGGGAATAAGACAGAGGAGGGTATGACTGGGCCTCAATCTCACTGGTGACTCTGAGGAACCCATGCTGAATGCACCTCAGGACAGTCCACTGAGGGACCGGAGCTGGCGGTGTTAATCCCTTGCTTGGGAGTTGGATGTCCATAGGAGCTCCAGATGGCTCCACAGGAGGGCTGAGCCAGCTCCCACAGCCCCAGAAGAAGCCTTCAGGCCAGAAGGCCGGGGACAGTAAGCCCTTGAGGTGGGCCGCTACCTGCTGGCCTGAGAACTCACCACTGCAGCTGCAGGTGACCTCAGAAGTGGCCGAGGATGGAATTAACCTTGGCCTTGGGAACAGAAGTTTCCCTTTCCACTCCCAGTACTCCCCTCCCCATCTTGGAGACAATTCATTTTTTAGTGTCTTGGTCCCTTGGTAGCTTGCTTAGGAGCTTGACAATAGTCTCTCCTATCCCCTTCCTAGCTGTGTGTCCTTGGACAAGTTCCTCAACCTCTCTGAGTCTTCATTTCTTCATCTGTTTGTTTTTTTTTTTAAATAAAAGAGTAATAAAAGAACCTCCCTCAGAAGGTTGTTATGAGGATAAAGGGACACAGCAAGTGCCCAAAAGACGGGCTCTGGCACTGGTATCGCAGCTGTGGCAGCTTCAGGGGACTGAGGTGCCATCAGACTCTATGAGGCAGTCACAGCACCTCCTCTCCTGGGCGCTTGCCCCTCTGAGGTCCTCCTGACGGCCGCCCGGTGGCCTGTCCTCGGCCGGGCTTGGGAGACAGGCCCTGTCGAGCGTCCCCCTTGTTCCCAGGCCCACGTCTGCTCCTGCTTCTCAGCATCCTTGTGCCCTCACTCCTGCCTCCGCTGCATCCTGACAGCGTTTAGTGGTTGTCACTCTTCTCCCAGATTGTGTCATGCTTGGCAGAAATCCAAGCTGGCGTTTTGACAAAAAGGGAGAACTCTGCAAAAATCCACAGGGAGATGTCAGGGAGCTCAGTGAGACACCGCCATGATCCATCACAGGGTGCCCGGCCTGGGAGAGACCCGGGGGGGAGGGAAGACACGGCACAGTCTGGACAGCGAGACCCGTGTGGCACCACCCCACCCCCATCTGTCAGTCCTAGTGATGGACGAGGGCCACCCACCCCTGCTATGTGTGGGTATTTCCTCCCATCTAACCCCACACCCCACTGAGAGGCGGGTAACACGGCTCTTCCTGTTGCACGGGTAAGGAATGCACCTCCTCGAGGCCATGAGACTCGCCCGAGGTGTCACAGCTCCGATGTGCTAGACTCGACCATGGAGCACATCTGCCCTCGGGACCCAGTGGCCAGAACCCTCAGCCACACAAGGGTTATGGCGGCCTCAGTCCTCCTGTGGCTTCCACATTCCAAAGCAGTTTCCCACCCAACCACACACTCACTCAATCTGCATCACAATCATGTGAGATACCAGGCAGGATGGTCACGCCCATTTGTCAGATGAAGTAACTGAGGCCCAGGGAGGTGAAGCGACTTACCTGGAGCCACCCAGGGCATTGGGGTTAGTGGTGGAGGCAGAACTAGAGGCCCAGTCACAGGGCTTGTGAGCACTGGAGAGAAGCTGAAGGCAGGGACACAGATGTGAATCAGGGAGGGCTTCCTGAAAGAGGTGGGCTGAGAGGCTGGCTTAGGAGGCCTGAAACGATGAGGCCTGCTGAGAAAGGGCAGGCCTGATGAGGGGCAAGGCGAGCTCAGATACAAATGCCAAGAGGAAAGAAGGCTGCTTTCTGTGTGGACAATGCAGATGATCTGGGATCCTCCAGGGGCCTGAGTCAGGGCCAAGGTTTTAGATGACAGCTGAGACCCTCGAGGGACTTGTCTATCCTGAAGCATGTTCTGTCTGCAAATAGGTTATTCAGATACCCTCACGTAACACTCGTAACACTCGCTGTGTGCCTGGCACCCCCAAGCAGCTCTGTAGCTGATTTATACTGCACCTCAGGCTGTGAGATAGGGACTCTTGTTAATGTCTGACTTACAGGTGAGGTCACTGGCCCCAGGTCCCAGGTCCCACGGCCCTGAGTTGTGAAGCCAGAGTCTGTGTGGCCACAATGCTACCTTGCGGCTGCGTGCAATGGCCACTCCCCTGCCCTTCCCCTCCCCTCCCCTCCTGGGAGGTCATATAAAGGAAGATTCCACCCAGGTAGCCATGTATGGTCATCCAGAAGTGTCCAACATCAGCTCAGCCACCACACCTGGCCACACTTGAGTCAGGGGCACAGGGCTGTCTGGGGAGATTGGAGATTGAGCATGTGGAGATGTGTTCAAGCCCTGGCTTAGCCCTGTAATGGCTGTGTGACCTCAGGCGAGCCACTTAACCTCTCTGGGCTGCCCTGTCCTCCTGGGTCCTGCTTCCCACCCAGTGCCATGAGATGTTCAAGTAGATAAGAATGCATTTTACAAAACTGAGAGAGATTATTGTGAGCCCGTGGGCATCACTGTCAACATGAGGATCTCCTCCTGTCCTTGAGCAATCCCTGGGCTCAGCAAGAAGCTCTTTCCTCCCCTGGCACAGTTTTTCCTGAACTAGATCTCCCAGCAGGCACATAAGCGACAGCTAAGATTGACTTGATGTTGTCAATATTCCTCCCACTGTTTGCCATCTCAGCATCCCTGGGGAACCTGGGGACTCAGCAAGAAAAATCCCTGGCTGACTCTGAGAGCTCCGATTCTCACCAGGCCCTCGGGTTTCGTAAAAATTTGGAATGCCATAGCTGGGTCTGCCGTTGGACTTTATCCAGCCCAATTCCTTTACTGAGTGATGGGGAAACTGAGTCCTGAGGGTGTGAACAGCAGCAGAGGACTATTCACAACAGCTGTTAATAGTCCCATAATCTGTAACTGCAAATAGTCCCATCATCTGTAACTTCCCATCTGTTAATAGTCCCATCATCTGTAACTGCAGGACTATTAACAGCTGTAACCTGCAGTTACAGATGATGGGAAGAAAATGCAACACAACTGACCTCACAAAGAGGGAGGCAGAGTCCATGCAGAGCTCTTGCTTCAGGAATGGTTGCAGCAGCTCCAGCCTTCACATCTCAGGCTCAATTCCAGAGTGAAAGATTCAGTGTCTTTGTCCTTCCATCTCCAGCAGTTTTGCTGCATCTCATTGGCTCTTACTGGGCTATGTGACCTCCCTGAACCAAAAGATTCTGGGTCACCTGAGTCTACCATGCCTGCACTCATCAGATGCACCTGGGAGGTTGTTTAAAACACAGATTTCTTAGCTCTGCCTTAGAGATTCTCTTTAGGTCTGGGCTGGGGATTGGAAACCCAGGGGAATTAGTCACTGGTTCCCATTTGGGCTTTCCAAAACAACAGCAAGCAAGTCATTGCCAGCTTGCTGTGTGGCCTGGAGCAAGTCACTCTCCCTTCTCTGGGCTCCAGGTGCCTCCCCTGCACAATCTTTAGAGTTAACTGTATGAGCTAAAGGATTTCTTTCCAGTGCTCCAATTTTGTTCCCCCAGTCTATGCCTATGAAGTACTTTATAGATGAGGAAATTGAGGCCCAAAGTGAGAGGCAGAGGTGGAGTCCCAGTCCAGGTGTATCTGGCTCCAAAGACGGGTATTGCTCCCCCAACTAGGCCACCCCCCAGGGCTTCTCAGTTTCCTGCCTTCCCACCCCTGCCCTGTGCCATCCATTAGGGTCACTCTGTGACATCATCTCTCCCAATCAGAAAGGCCCTTACCCTGGGTTCGACCCAGTCACGGCCAGTGAGACCTCCAGCTCCCAGTACCAGTCATTTTAACAGCTGAGGCTCCGGGTGCTTTGCTCTGGTTCCTGCTGGCCTATGTGGAGTCTGTGACTATCCCTCACACACCCATGGGTAAATGTCACCTTCCCAGCGGGTGGGTGGACAATGGACATTTGTGCCATGTGGGGCCCTGCCTGAGGCCAACAACCAGGGAGCCAGGTGGGAAGAAGGGGGCACGTAAGGCCAGGGCTGGGGGAGGCTGTGTGAGTGGGAAGTGGATGAGGTAAGACCTCAGTTCTCATGCCAGTCCCACCTATCAGCAAGCATCATATGCTCTTGCCCATCCGTAGACCAGAGGTGAGGTTTGGGTCACCTAGTCCCGGGTAGTGCTCACATTCTGGGTTCCCACTGGGGTTGGTGTAAGGATTAGAATAATTACTAGGTGTAAAGCTGAGAACAGGGCGGGGCAGACAGCAGGCACCTACCAAATGCTTGTGGTGGTTGTTAGTCTAGACTCTAGGAAGGAGATTGGCTCTGAGCAGCGTGTTCACCTCTGTTGTCATGTGTCAGGCCCTGGGTGAGAGAGGCTGAGTGATCAGCTCATGTTCACATGGTTGGGAAAGCAGAGCCAGGCTTCAAATCTCCATCTGCCCCGAGGCCTGGGCTCTCAGAGTCCCCTTAGTGATGCCCACTGACCTGAATCACTGGATCCACTGCTCCCAGGGGGGCACTGGCCACTGTCCTCTGGGGAAGGATCAGCTGGAAGCAGGCTGCCCTCTCTGACTCACAGCATGTGGACTCTGCCCATGTGTCACCCTGGACCAGGCCTCTGTCACCCCTGACCTCAGCCCTACAGCTGCCTCTTCTCTGGCCTCCGTGCCTCCATCTCCTCTTGGTGATCTGACCAAGTCACTTCCATGATCCCTACTGGCCCGAGAATGAAGTCCACACCCCTCATCCTGGCATCCAAAGCTGTGGTCACTCTCGACCTGACATCTCTGGCATTGTGGAGGCCACAGCCCCATGCATCACTTTGGTCCAGCCTCACTGGACCATCCCCCACCACTCCTGGCTTTTGTGCGTGCTGCTTCCTCCACCTGGGATGCCCTTTTCTATCTTCAATGCCAGGGAAACTCCTACTCATCCCTCAAAGCCCAATTAAGATTTTACATCTCCTTCTCTAACAGCCCCAGGGCTGACTACCTGCCCCATGTCCCCTTCTCTCCCACTCATAGGTTCCTCATGCCCTAACCCTGAGTGGCTGTCATTGTCCATTTACAAGTCTGCCACCCTGGAGACTATCAGGGCTGCAATGGCCAAAGCCACATCCACATAGTGCATGCCAGGAGGGTTTTGTCACATTTGTTACTGGGACCCGTTGCCCTTGTACATATTGTCGTTTAAGATTTCTTCCCACTCGTTCCCAGAGCTCTAGGTCTAGTGTGCCTTCTTCTGGGAACCACGGGTTATGGAAAACAACAGTTTGCATTATGTCCCTTAATTGGGCCTCTGAGACCAAGGCTCCGCTAGCTTTAAGCAGCTGTTTCAATACTTTTATATACTGTTGCTGTTGAGCTGATAACTGTTTTCCCATGATGAAACCCTAGCTTGAAAATCCCCTCGAACTTGGAAATCCAAGTAATAGGAACCCAACGGGCACCAATTACTTACTGTGCAGTCACCTCACTTTCGTTTCCGAGGGTTCCACTGCAGTCCATTGCAGCCTTCCTCACACAGGGCCCACCTGCCGGGTCTGTCCCACAGACCCTGGCCAAGAGAGGAAATCAGTACTCAGACACTGATGTATGTAGTGTAAGAGCAGCTAGGTGACTGCCTGGCTCTAGTGGCCAGAGAACAGCCCCGAGAAGCTGGAGCTGCTTGCTTTTATTCAGTGCAGGCACAATGCTGAAAACCTGGAGCCAACACAACCTGTAGGTAATTAACATTTATTGTTCCCCTTTCAGGGAACCTCACGCATTTGGATGATCAAAGGTCAGTTCCTGGTCAACATAAGTAAACAAGCCTGTTTAAGACAAATTCCCCCACATTCCCTTGTACCTACTGCTGCCTCAGGGTTATAGAACAGCTGCCTTCAGCTATTCTACCCCAAGGCTCTGCAAAACCTTCCAACCTTTCAGAAGGTTTGTGCCCTTTCCCTACAGTTTTTTGCACCACTCTGACCAGTCCTCCACAATCATCCACTCATTCATTCATCCACTCATTCACAAGCCTGCAATGAGCACCCACTCCAGGTTCCAGGCCAGGATCCAGGAGCTGGGGCTACGGTACTGCAAGTCAAAGCCTTCCCGCAGGGGTCTGTTCAACGCACCCCCTAGAAAGCATGTGATTATGCCTCAAATTAAGTGCTCTGAAGGAGACGAAATGGACACTCCAAGAGGGCAAACACATTTAGATCAAGGCCGGGCTGGCAGTCAGACAAGCGTCCTGAGGAGACCACAGGATGTACAGACTTGACGGGAGAGGGGGGCCAACCTGTCCACGGAGGGGACAGGCCCCAGGTGGAGAAAGCAGGTGAGCAGACACCCCAGGGGGATGAGAAGAGTGTCCAGGAGGGACCTGGGGCCTGGGACCTCCAGGGAGGGGGACTGGGGTGGGAGCAATGAGGTCAGAGCAGTGGTGGGGGGTCAGGTCACCCCAGTCCTCATGGCCCTGAAGGGTGGAGACCTGATATAAAAGCAGAGGGAGGCCCTGACAGGCTCTGAGCAGGAACGCAACTTGATCAGATTTTCGTTTGAGCCAGTCACTCTGGTGATGGGTGAAGAATGGCTGTGGGGCCAGGTAGGAGGAGGCCCACAGGTGAGGTGGCTGTGGACTGTGATCAGGGTCAGGGGAATGGAGAAAACGGGAGACTCAAGGGGAAATTCAGAGGTTGGTTGGAACAAAGAATGAATGGCCTCTTGAGTGAGGGGCTGTTGGCGGTGTTATGGGGGGTCAGGCAGCAGAACTGCCCCTCAGATTCCCCCACTCCTAGCACTTGGCAGTCCAGGTCCCGGGGTGATTGGGGTCCCCAACGTCATGACTGAGAAGCTCTGTCCACCTCTGAATAAGCCCCATGTGATCTCTCAGGTGGAACTTGCTGTCCTGATGGGGCTGAGACACAG
Organism: Homo sapiens; assembly: GCF_000001405.40. Classification (NCBI taxonomy): domain Eukaryota; kingdom Metazoa; phylum Chordata; class Mammalia; order Primates; family Hominidae; genus Homo; species Homo sapiens. Next base: position 30,040,626 of record NC_000001.11, read on the forward strand.
AGTTGGAGGAGGAGCCAGGCTGGTGGAGCGAGGTGTCTCCATCTGAATCTTCCTTGATGGGCTGGGTGACCTTGTGCAGGACTCTGCCCTCCTCTGGGCCTCAGTTTCCCCATCTGCAAAATGAGGAAGTCCCTTCCAGCTTCAAACTTCACTGGTGAAACCAGTCTGCTACCCTCAGACCCCCCATCACATGAGCAAGGCTACAGGAGGGCACGGGATTTTGGGGCAAGGTGACCACTAATGAAGTTCAAATGGGGTCTTCCAGGGAGGCCCCAGAACCCAGTGTCCTCCCTGTGGTGGTCTCAGTGAGGACTGAAGGGGTTACTTCTTGTGATGTTCAGAAAAAGCACCAGGTACTCTCCCCACCTACCCACCCTGGGATGAATTCAGTTTGGTAAAGTAGTAGTTATGCTGGAAATTTAATCATCACTTTGGATGATAAGGGAATTGAAAAATAAATTGAAAGTGTCAAGTACTGCATTAGGGGGAGTGATGGAGTAAGGCAGGGGGCCGGTCACAAGAAATTACACAAATTTTTGTTTTCATAATTGTAGGATTAAGAATCAAGGGTGATGGGGCCAGAGGAATGGGGGCATCCCATGTGCTGGAGCCTGCTCAAACCAGCTCATGGAGCTGATGGGTAAACTTTAAAGAATTTTGTCAGGAGGTTATTAAACACAGACCACTATTAAAAATTAAATTATATTAACATCTGATGAAAAAATTACAAAGGTAACAAGTACTCAGAATTCATTAATTCCCAATTCTCTTTTAAAACTGTACTATTGCATATGCCTTTGAGATTATTTACATCTATCTTATCTATTGAGGTTAATCTATTTGAGGTTAGTTACAGCTATTGTATGGTGGAAACACTATATCATAGCGTGTTACTCTGTTTCTCTCCCAAACTTCCTGTTTAGTGACAATTCACTGAGAGCTTGAAATTGACCGTGGTGGAAGTACTTACACCACGGAGATGGGCAGACACTACCACTCAGGGCTTTTTTTTCCTGAAGAGCCAGTTGTTAAACATTTACAGATATACCACTGAGTTGGGAAAGGGGAGAAGGCAAAGGCAAAAATAGAAGGAGGAGATTCCAGTGTGGAGGTGGAGTCAGCATTAGAGACCATCCAGCCCCAACCCTGAGCCACCATCCACACACTGCGTCTTGGGCAGGTGGCCCTTGATGAGCCACCAGGTCAGATGGGAAACCCCTGTGCAGGTGCAGGCCACAGCCATCAGGCCACCTTGGGGGCCTACGGGCAGGTCACTATGCACAGGGTGAACTGGGCCCCTAACCAAGGCAAGCTCTGCTTCCTCTTCCCTACAACCTGACCTTTCATTGATGGCAGTGGTGGCCCATCTGAAGCAGCCGCTGCCATCACACTGGCTGCAGCAGAGAGGCACGGCCAGGCCTTCACACTCTGTGGAGCCAGCAGGAGCCTATGACAAGTGGGAGCCCTGCCCCTTCAGAGTTGGTGGGGTGAAAGCTCCCCATGTGCAGCTGCAGCCACCCAAGTCATGGCTGCAGACCCGGGCCTCCCTGTGCTCTTGGGGGGCTGGAAGCAAGCAGAAGCCCCACACTTCCGGGTGCAGCTGGCCTCCCAAGTCAGAGCTGCAGACCCAAACCTCTCACTCCATGAAGCAGGCAGGAGCCCCGCCCCCCTGAGCACAGCTGCAGCTGTCCAAACCACAGCTGTAGACCCAGACCCAGATATCTCTGCATTCTTGGGGGCCTGGGAAGGCCCCCCTGCCCTCGCAGGTTTGGATGTGCCTGCTCCTGCTGCTTGGCTGCTCCCTGCTGTCAGCGCATGCTCTGATCTTAGAGCAAGTTCGAGCCTGAGCCTGGGCACTGTCACAGCCTGACTGGGTGTGCACATGCTCAGGGCAGTGCTGACACACTAGACCCCTGCCACCTAGGCCCCCTCCAGACTTTGGGCACTGATGACCATAGGAGGGAAGCTGAGGGGGACTGAGGGCAGCTTGGTACTGGCCTGCAGACATCCCTTGGCACCTACAGCCTGGGGTCCATGAAAGGCAGCAGAAAGCAGACAGCTTCCTGGGTGGAAGGGGGCAGGTCCCTGGTGAGGCCCTACCTTCAGGCTAGTGAGGGCATGAAGGCTGGGGGCCAGGCTGCCAGTCACATGGATCAGAGTGAGAACTTGTAGTGCCCTTTCCAGGCCTGCCCATGGCCACCCATGGACCAATCAGCATGCACTTTCTCCCCTCTGAGGCCCATAAAAGCCCCAGGCTCAGCCAGAGCTGAGCAGATGTTGGGATGACCAGCTGCAGACAGGAGCTACCCACTCCAGGGCCTCCCCTCTGCTGAGAGCTGAACACTCATCAGGACACCCTGCCTGCAGAGAGGGACTACCCACTCCAGGGCTTCCTCTGAGCTATTCTATCACTCAATAAAACTCCTCTTCATCTTGCTCCACTTGTCTGCATACCTCATTCTTCCTAGACACAGGACAAGAACTCAGGACCTACCAAATGGTGGGGCTGAAAGAGCTGTAACAGAAACAAGGCTGAAACACCCCTTGCTTGCCACATTGCAGGTGAAGAGAAAGAGGGAAGAGCTATGGCCATTTGGGGAGCCCAGATCTGGGAGCTCCCCAAGCAAGGGCTGTGACTCCCTCTTTGGAGCCCTGTGGTTCCTGGAGTCTCCATGCTTCCAGAAACCACCATGTTCCCCAGTGGCAACTGTAGAAGCTGCATGTGGTGCACCTGGTCCAGCTGTAGCCTCACAGAGAGCTGGCACCTGTGCCTGCACCTGGAGCTGCCCACCTCGCTGCAGCAGCTGGCATGCCTAATTGCACAGTGGCTGGACCCCATGCTCACTTGCTCACACACCCCTTGCTGCTCCACGTCTGGCTTGCCCTTGGCAGGCATGGGATCCAGGTTGGTAGCATGAGCCAAGTGCAGCCTGACAGGCCAAGTGGACAGAATGAGCCCAGCAGGCCTGAGCAAAACTTGGGCAAAGGTGCCACCAGCCACAGAGGTTTCCAGCCAAAAAAGCAACACCCCAAGGATCCTGCAACATCATCACCCGCAGGTCATGCCCTGTCACCAGAGAGGTCACCACACTGACCCCCACCCAAGTAGGATGGCCAACTGTCCAGGTTTTAACACTGAAAGTTCCATATCCCAGACAACCCCTCAGATATGGTCTAACTGGGATGGCTGGTCACCTTACCCCCTTCCCTGCCACCTTGAGGTGGACAAATACTAATAACTCACCCTCTCTGAGCACTTGCCTGTGTGAACAGCCAACCACAATTCCCACAACTCACAGTCAGCCTGGGGCAGGAGGTTTGCAGGTGAGAAAAAAGGGTTTAGAGGTGAAATAAACAATCAGGAAGTGGGGCATCTGCAACCTCCAGGCCCTGGCTGTTACCCCAGGGACAGACCTGCATCTGCACCCTACACCCATCACACACACCCCAGGTACCCTCACACCATCACCTATCACTGACCCCACCTTCCATGCTCTTCCCCTGCCAGGGTCCTGCCTGGCCCCCACCAGCCCAGTCACTGCACACACAAGCACATGCCCCACAGGCACAGGCTTTCAGGCACACAGTGCATACGGGTACATGACTGAGGGGCCCTTCCCCCAGAGGGGTTCCCATGTTCACATTCACACCTGCCACCTTCCTGCACAGACCACCCCTTGGGGGCCTCCCCTCAACTCTTGTCTCCAGGTGTGCCATGAAGTTCCTCATCACATATAAAGGGAGAAGACAAAGTGGAGCAGAATGTTATTGTAATTATCTGTGGCAGGAACCCAGCTTTTCAGATGATGATTATAATCATTAACAATTCTCTTATCAGTGGTGGGGAGCGGGGCTCTGTAAGGAGGGCCTGGAAGCGGTGTCAGGGGAAGCTATGAATGCTCTGATAACAAGATCCAGCTCCCCTCCCGCCATTCCTAGGTAATTCTGTGGGAAGTTCTGGGGCTGGGAGTGGGGCAGGGAGACGGGAAGCTTAGATACGGGAGATGAAGAGCTGCTCTTCTGGGGACCCGCTTGACCAGGTGACCTTCATCTGCCCAGCCCAAGGGCTTTGGCTAGGCCTGAGGTAGCAAAAGGAGCCAACCGGGGCTTGGCCTCCACCATGTTCTCAGAGAAAGGGTGACTTCACTGGAATGAGGGAACTGAAAATCAGTAGGGTGGTGCAGTGAGTCTCCTGCCTGGGTGGTGTCACATGTCTCCCCTCCCCTAGCCTGTCCAGGGCTCCAATGATGGTGTGTGGCCTTGGATGGGTCACCCGCCTACACTGCAGTGCCTCAGCTCCTGGCAGCTAATGGACACCTTCCCAGCCAGCTCCATACTGCATCCACCCCAAGAAAGACCCACAAGAGCAGGGCCCTGTCTCTGCTGCCCACCTCCACACCAGTCCTCAGTGCCCAGACCAGGGCCTGGCACACAGAAGGCTCCACAGAAACACTTGAGGAAGAACCAAAAGAGCCTGTTCATGAAGAGAACAAGGATGACAGGTAGGTGCTGTTATCCCCATCTAACAGAGGAGGAGACTGAGGCTCAGAGGTGAAGTGACCCACCCAGATTCACACAGCTCATCAGAAAGGGGAAGCTGAGGGCTGCTCTTCCAGGGGGCACACAGGACCAGAACGGGGCTAGGAGCAGCATGGATCCTGGGAGAGACAGCTGAGCTGCCGTGCACCTAGATGAGAAATCAAATGTTTTACAAGGATCTGCCCCTACCTGGGAAACTCAAGCTAAGTGGGAGGCCCCAGTGATGGTGGCCTTGGGGAAAAGGAGGAGCAGAGAGGGGAGGCAGCCTCATTTGCATAAAGGCCTCACCTCTGCCAATCAACTGGGCTTTCAGGGGTGGGGATGCCAGGGCCTGGCCAGTCACCAGAAGACTGGGGGCAGAGGAGGGTGGAGCAGGGCCAGGCCCTGACCAGGTAGGCAGCCAGGCCCCGCCCCTGTGCTCCTGGCTGCTCTTCCCAATTGGCTCTTCCCTCCCTGACCTCAGTGGGTCCTCCCAACACACCTGCATCAAGGGCAGGAATAATCATCTCCACTTTGCAGATGAGGCAACTGAGGCTCAGAGAGGTCACATGACTTGCTCAAGGTCACACAGGAAATTCGCAGCAGACCCAGAACTGACCAGGTCTGAACTCCCAGCCCAGGATGCTGAGTTCTGCTCCTCTGGCTTCTTCCTGGCTGCTGCCCAGGGCCACAGGCAGGCACACCTACCCCATCCTGTCCTCTGCTACCACCAGAGCCTCCTGCCCCACCAAATGCCCCAGCCAGGGTTTAGCTCAGAGCTGCTGGGGACTTCAAGCCCACTCTCCAGCCTCCATCCCTGAGCCCAGACCCTTTTCCCCAGCTGTTCCCAGACACTGGGTCAGGGAGACACAGAATTCCGGGGCTGGCAGGGACCCCAGGAAGCCTCTGGCCCAATCCCCTGGGGTGGCAGGTGGGAGCAGTGGTCCCTCAACAGCCACACTGTGCCCCTCACCTTCGTCTCAGAAGCCCTCCAGGGCCTGGCTTGGGGAGCTGCTCTTCTCCCTGCATGTCCGCCTTGCTTCCTGCCTTATTTATTTCCCGGCAGATTATTTGTATCTAGGTCTAAGGTTTGATTTACAAACTTCCAGGGGAGGGAGGGCAGCTGGCTGCACCTGCAAGTACTAAGGTGCCTCAGTGATTTACTCTGCCGGGAAATGTTTGCTTCTCCTGAGGGATCATCTCAGATCCTCCTTATTGAAGGCTGGGATTTACTGAGGCTTCTTTTCCCTAGGGAGCTGCAGGGCAGCTTTGCAGGGATAGGGAGGTAGATGAGAGGTGGGCGGTGGGGGGAACAGAGGTGGAGGGAGCCACAGGCACCCCTATGAAGTGAAGAGTGAATCTAAACAATGTGACTGGGAGGAAGAGGATGGACTTCAGGCTCACCAGCTGGGTTTGAATCCCTGTCCCTATTACAGCCAAGGAGTGTGACCTTAGGCAGGTCACTTAACCTCTCTGAGCCTTGATATCCTCATCTGCACATTGGGCATAATCTCACAATGGCAAGAGTGACATCTGCCTACTGAGGTGGTGAGGCTTGGATGAGGGGTGCACGTAGATGCTAGACACATAGCAGGGGCTCAGGAGAGGTGAGTTCTCCCCTCTAGCCCATTGGAGGTCTCCCTTTTCCTGCCCCGACTGCCTCCTCTATGCCTGCCCCGTGGCTTTCCTCCAAGTCCCCTCCTTGCACATGCCTCTCTGCCCTCGGGGAGAGCAGAGCCTGCCAGTCACGGGTTCTGCCTCCACTGCAGTTCAGGAGAGAACACGGAGCCCCACGGGCAGGACTGGCCTGGCCGCTGCCGCTGTATGCCGGGACATCAGGCACAGGTGCAGCATGTGTCCAGGGACTGTTGGAAATACAGCCGCTTCCCTGTGGATGAGTTAATAAATCTTGAAGTTGGAAAGGGCCTTGGCAGAGTGAGGGGGCTCTGGGGCCTAAAGTTCTGCTGTGATCTAAAGGGTCAGCAGAAGTCTTTCATGTGTCTAATTTCTTTCTTTTTTTTGGTGGGGGGGTGCAGTGGCACGGTCTTGGCTCACTGCAACCTCCCCTTCCCAGGTTCAAGTGATTCTCCTGCTGCAGCCTCCCAAGTAGCTGGGAGTACAGGCGTGCACCACCACATCTAGCTAATTTTTCACATTTTTGGTTAGAAGGGGTTTCACCATGTTGGCCAGCCTGTTATGGAACTCCTGACCTCAAGTGATTCACCCGCCTTGGCCTCCCAAAGTGCTGGGATTACAGGCATGAGCCACTGCACCCAGGCAATATGTCTAATTTCTAACAAAGCGAGGTGGAACAGGGGAGGGGACTGGCCTTATTAGCTCAGGTGACCCAGAGTCTATTGAGACTGGGGAGACCCCTGGGGAAAGGAAATGGGATTCTTCCAGGCTTAACCCAGAGGCCCCAGCCCCGATTTGTGGCCTCCTGAAGGTGTCTCCAGGCCCCTAGGAACTGTCATAGTGAAGTTCAGACTATCAGAAACTAGGAAACAAGCTTCTTCCCTACCCCACCCAGCAGGGCACAGTGTCCGGAGGAGGAGGCTCTGGAGCCAGACCCCCAAGAACCCAATGGGGCCACAGAGAGCTGAGCTGGCCCTGGGCAAGTCTCTGACAGCCCCTTTGTCTCCTGAGTCTCAGTCTTCTTATCTGTAAAGTGGGAGCGGTGAGCACTCCCTTCCTCAGTTGTTGCTGGGGTTACATGACGTGAGTAAAACCCCTTCACAGTGCCTGACACACAGGGCTTCAACAAATATATGGTACTGTAGGAAGGTGGTGCCATGAGCCCAGTTTTAGGAAAGTGTGCATTTGGAAGCCATACAGCCAGGACTCAAAGCCTCCTCGGCCTCACACCAGCCCGGTGACCTTCAGCAGAGAACTTAGCCTAACGTGTTTGGATTCCCTTCCTGCAGAATGAATTAATTATAGTAATTCCCCTCTGAGATTGTTGTAAGGACTCAGTAAGATACTTATAAAGTTCTAGAATAGAGCCAGGCTCACAGAAATACTTAATAGAACTAGTTGTTTTATGGTTGTGTGCTGGTGTGGTTTCAAGGTCATTGTCCAGCCTTTTCTCTTAATGGCCCCTCCAGACCTCTGCAGGCCATCTCTGCATCACTGTGGCCAGTGAAGGACCTTGTGGTTTCCTCCGGGGTCTGCCCTGATCTCCTCCTGCTCTGACCCGTATCTCACCTTCACATACACACACACACACACACACACACACACACACACACACAAGCACACATGAACACACACACATGTGCCCTGAACCCCGTGATTCAGGAGGGCCCAGGGCCATCTTTGGATCCTTCCTGTTGACAGTACCTCTCCCTGCCCAGGGCTGCCCATCTGCACAGCAGTGTGGGCATCGGGCAGAGGCTTGGCAGGGCCGGTTCTGCCTGTCCACCTCTCCCTGAGCTGCCCCATCTGTTCATGGGGCTTGGACTCTGACAGCCCAGTGTACCCCTGGATTGAGGGGGGCTTGTTATTGTCATCCCCCACCATGCAATGGTTGTCCTGAGAGACCCTCCTTGACCGTGGTTGCAGGAAGTCTTTGATATATGGAGGCTGTCACCACACAGACACACTGTCAGGCATGCTTATAGCAATGGTGGCAGGAGCTGAGCCGCAGCCATCTCTGTGGTTGGAAGCCTGGTCTCCCTCATCCCAACTTATATGGGTCCCTTGAGTTACCTACTTGACTCATGAAGACACTTGAGCTTATGTCCCAGTCTGCTCTGTACAGAGATGAGTAAACTGAGCCCACAGAGGGGCAGGGACTTTGTCCACCCTGCCCTGGAATGCCACAGGCTTGAGGGCAGGAATGGCTTCATCCACCATTGTATCGCCAGCGCCCAGAACCAGCCTGGCACTTAGGTGCGCAATAGGCATTTGTGGAGTGTTGAATTTGTTGACTGTCACTCAGTGAGTTGGAGACACAGCCACAGCTCAGACCCACCTCCCCAATCCCCAGGCCAGAATCTCCCCAGCCCCAGCTGTTTCTCCTTTTACTGCCAGACCCCAAGACACTACCTTCTTCCTCATACATATGGACAGGTGCACCCTGATCTCAATCAGCTCAGATGCCTTACAGCCCATTCCGAGTTAACCCCAGAGAAGATGGCGAGCCTCCTGCAGGAACCATCATTTGTCATAATCTATTTGACCATGAGGAATGTTTTTAACATTTAATAAAAGTGTGGGACTCCCACTTGCTATGAGCTGTCATTGTAAATTGGAGGTAGCAGAGAGCAGTGGTGAGGACCGTGGTGTTGGGCAGGCCGGAGATCAAATTCTCTGTTCACCACAATCTGCCTGTGTGTCTTTGGACATGGCACTTTAATTCTCTGAGCCTCAATTTCCTCATCCATAAAAACGACGATAACAGCCCCTCCCCTCAGTGGATGTTGTAGGGATTAAATGAGATATCCCAAGTAAATCACTAAGCCCAGCGCCCCAGCACACAGTAGGTACTTGAGGAATGGTGGCTGCTATTATTTTATCACTAGCCAGCAGCTACCATTAGATCCTAATGACGGAGGAAATACGCAATGGACGAAGGCTGCTAGAAATGCAGAAATGCTTCTCAGGAGCACATGCGGATAGTAAAATGGTGCTCTGTTATGTGGCAGGCCAATTATTCTGTCTACAAATAGCATCTGGTACCCAGGTGAAGTCAGGGCCCCTTGCAGTCAGCACCCAGAAGTTCTGGACCCCTGGGTTGGGACCATCAGCCATTGCTATAGTCAAAACCAGAGGAGAGTTCTGACCGTCACAGTTAGGGTGGCAGTAACAGGGGCCACCGGCCCAGCCTGGCCTCCCTTCCTACCTCCAGGCCATTTCCTGAGTCAGAGAGGATAAGTCCTCCCCTGCTCACCCCTCCAACCCCAGACACTCAGGCTTGAGTGGTTCTCTTTCTTCCCAATGAATACAATATCATCTCACAGATGAACCACGGTGATGTAATAAAACTGGCTCATTACATCCCTGTACATGGAGCCATTTAATGAACACACAACTGCTGGCCCTCCATGGCCCCTGAGCCATATGCAAATAAAACAGTTTCCACAGTGTCATTTAATTAGCTGGGGAGGGCCAGGACATGGGGAGAGGGAGGAGAGAGTATGGGACAGAAGCAGAGAAAGAGGGGTAGGAGGAAGGAAAGAGGCAGTCAGGAGAGGGGCAGAGAGGATGAGGAAGGGCAGTTCTGCAGGCTGTATAAGCATGGCCCCAGGATCTACTCAGCTTCTGGTGAGGCCTCAGGCAGTTTTTACTTATGACAAAAGGTGAAGAGGGAGCAGGTATGTCACATGGAGAGAGGAAGCAAGAGAAAGAGGGGGAGGTCCCAGACTTTTTAACAATCAGATCTCACAGTAACTCATTACAATGGGGATGGAGCTAACTGATTCATGAAGATCCACCTCCATGGTCCAACACTTCCCACCAAGCCCCACCTCCAATACTGGGGTTCACATTTCAACATGAGATTTGGAAGGAAAACACATTCAAACCATATCACATACCAAGAACTTTTGCTAAAATTATCAGGAAAGAGAGAGGTGAAGCCAGTGTGGCATAACTGTGGGGATTTCCATAGGATAGCATTTGCCACCCAGAAGGGAGAGCATGGCTGAGGATTAACTCAATGTAGAAGCACTGGTCAAGAGATGGAAAGGCAAGATTATAAGATGATAGCCCTTAAGCCACTGCATTCAGCTGTGCTCAAAGCCATCAACTCTTGGATGTCTTAGTTGAATGGGCCAATAAGACACCTCATTTCTTCTCTGTTTTATTTAAACCTGTAGGGGTTAGATTTTCATCCCTGGAACTGCAAGTGTACTAATAAGGAAAGCACATTTTTGGCCAAAGGAGAAGACTTGGAATAAAGATTGACAGAAGCCCCAAATAATGCCAGTGAGCCTGCAGCACAGTGGACAAGGCAAGATGAGCCTCTGTGTATCAGACTCAGAGGGACCAAGAAGCCTTGTTGTCAGCTGGGTAAGAGGTGAAGACCAAAGTGGAGGCTAAATGACTCAATGTACTCAGTGAGACAACTTCCAGTTTCCTAGGATAGATGTCCTCCAGGGCCATCCCCAGGAGCCTCACTTCGCCCCAGACCCAGACCCAACTTTGTCCACTCCTGAGAAGTCCAGAATCAGAGGTCTTTGGCCAATCAGGACTGGAAGGGACCATTAATACCACTCATTTTTTTCTTTCCTTTTGTATGGCTAATTAATGTGTATGAGTACATTCTCGTGAATGTATTGCATTCTTATGCAGGTATAGGGTAAAAAGTCTGGCCATGTGGAGAAAGAAAATAGCCTTGATTTACAAATGAGAATGGGCCCAGGAAGCCATGTGATGCACCTAAGTTGTGGAGAGGGTTCCGTGAAATGTTGCACATACAGTGAACAATGCCTGGTACTTAACGAGTGCTGCAGAGCGTTGCCTGGTGCTGGGCTGCTCTTAGCACACTGTGGATGCCTGTCTGTTTCTGAGAAGGCTCCTGCATTGATCTCAGAGGACCTAAAGGGCAAGGACCCGACTGATTCGCCTCCTTTTCCTGGGAGCCTAGAACAGTCTCTGTGAAGAGTCCAGATTAGCAAAATTTAATGAAAAGATGAATGAAAGAGGAGTTGGGGTGGCAGTGTGTTAGGGTAGACAGAGGGGTTGTCCCAGATTCCCCCACCCCATTCCTTACACCTAAAAAGCCAGAAGTCCTCACTCTGCGGCTGGCTAATGGAATGCATCCCCACACCTGTGGAAAGTGGGTACTGTACCCCTTTTGTGGAAGAGGAGGGTGAGGTCGCCCTCTTGGTTTCCATCCAAGGCCAGCCTTCGACAGAAGCTGGGCTGATTCACATAGGTCATTTGTCAGTGCAGACCTGGCCTCAGGGGCTGCGGGACCACATTGAGGTGAGGGCAGCAGGTTCCTAGGAGCAGGGGTTTCTTCTCTGCTCACCACTGTGTCTGGACTCAGTTATTCCTGCTGCCCCCCACGGCGTCTCCCTGCCCACACACTCTGCAGGAGCCCCTGTGTTCTGCAGGCCCCACACCTGGAAGTGCCCTCCTGTCTCTGATCACTTTTGAAGAATACAGTTAGTACACATTCCATTTCACAAAACGCTCCTCTTGATATCTGTCCTGCTCACAAGTGTGAGCATAGGCTAACCCACTCCTCACCCACTCTCACCACAATGTCTCAGCACAATCTGCCCCCTCGCAGAGGCACTTCAAGCAATACTCAGCAGATGTCAGCAGGTGGCTCTGGCCCTCTGGTCTTCATGCTGGGACAAGGCGGTCATAAAAACTTTTGCTGGTTCAACCTTCATCTCAAATCTCTGCACAACGCACCACCAAAAACAAAAAAACAAAGCCCCTTACATGATGGGTCATGTTGGGTTTTTTTTTTTTGTTTGTTTGTTTGTTTGTTTGTTTGTTTGAGATGGAGTTTTGCTCTGTCGCCCAGGCTGGAGTGCAGTGGCAGTGGCATGATCTCGGCTCACTGCAACCTCCGCCTCCTGGGCTCAAGCAGTTCTCCTGCCTCAGCCTCCCGAATAGCTGGGATTACAGGCACATGCCACTAAACCTGGCTAATTTTTGTATTTTAATAGAGACGGGGTTTTACCATGTTGTCCAGGCTGGTCTCAAACTCCTGACCTCAGGTGATCCACCCGCCTCAGCCTCCCAAAGGGCTGGGATTACAGGCAAGTCACCACACCCGGCCAGGTCATGTTGTTTTTGAGGAAAGCCATGGATGGGGTGGGAGGGAACATTTACAGATAGGGAATGTTCAGGAGTTAGATAGACTTGGGTTTGTGCCTCAGACTTACCAAATACTGGCCGCAATAGTAGTGCCTACCTTGCCTGGAAGATCAAGAGCTCAAGTACATGGAGGAAATAGGGATTTCTTTAGATTTCTGCTTCTACAACAGAGTAACAGGAGCTGGATTATTCTCCCACCTGAAGCAACAGAAAAAACAGACAAAATATATTTGAAAATGCTTTGCAAAACATTTGACATCAGGCAACAAAACACAGTGATCCCTGAGAGATGGGAAACAAATAAAGTGAGCCTCACGATTCCTCAGCTTACTGCCTGGAGTGAGTTTCCTAGACATGGTGTAGGGACTCAGAGTCCAGATGGAGTCTGGAGGACTCTCTGAGATGAGGAGATGGAGCTGAGAGTCTAAGGAGAGTTCACAGGACAGAGGAACAAAAGGAGGGGCATTGCACAGAAAGAACTCCAGAGATCTGTGCAGGATCCTCCTGAAGTCTTCAGCTGAGTAGCAATCAGTACAAGCATGTGGGGAGACCGCCTGAGGATGGAGAAAGAATCATTCTGAAGGGTTAGAAGGGGAAGTCATCTGTGACGCTTACGCAGTGCTGGGAATAATACAGTTTCCAACCAGCCAGACTGGAAAACGTCATAACTCATGGGGTACTCGGAAGGATCTTGCCTTAATAATGGGGAAAAATTAGTCCTAGACTGAACACTGCTCTGGCCTGCCTAACAAGTCTTAAAAATGACAGCCAAAAGGATCAAGCTATTTTTGAAAAATAATTTACATCTTAGAACACATACTATAAATATTTACAGAAAAAACAAAAATATCCAGCATGCAATGAAGGAGAGGAACAGCAAGAGGATATAACAAAATTATGAAAACAAATGTGGCTGAGAAATTTCCAAATTTGACAAAAATTATTAATTCGGAGATCCAAGAAGTTCAATACATTACAAGCATTTGAAACATGAAAAAAATGATAGCAAGGCACATCACAATCAAATTATTCAAAACCTATAAAAGTTGCCAGAGAGGCGAAAATTACAAATTAGGCATAAAGAAGCAAAGATAAGGATGTAAAAACAAAGAAAAGGGTGACAATAGATTTCTAATCAGAACACTGTAAATAAGTGACATTAGGGGACAGGATAAAGCAAGAGCCTCTGGAAAGTCTCATTAAAAAAAGTAAGAATACTGGCAAAAATTTTCAGAATAAATTTTTCAGAACTTGGAAAATTAACCAAAGGCTTGCTGCAATCCAGGGCACATTTGTTCAGGAAAAAAAAGTGATCTTCGTAAGACAGTGGGCTTTGAGGCATGTTATCTGGCTGTAGTCCCATCCCCTGCTCTCCAGTTTCATGGTAGCCTTGAATATCAATAGTCCAGAGTCACAGGGAAGCCAGCAGTCTGGCAGCCAGGAGAGAGCAGAATGGGGTTGGAGTTTCTTCAAAGCCACATTCTCAGATAACTGGTTATTTCACCTGTCTGGTGGTTCCCTGGAAGATCCCACTTGTAAGGCTGTCTTTATTTTACCTGAATCAGAGCTCACCCAGTATAAAACAAGCAAACAAACAAACAAACAAACAAACAAAAACCTTTTTAGGGAAGCAATTGTCAAAAACAATTGCAGCCAATCATTTGGCTTGGACTGCCTGAGACAGTGACAGTGGAAAACAGTTGGGGTAAGTAACATACTAACCCAAAAGCTTAAAAGGCAAGACTGGGGAATGAGTTGTTCATAGGGGCTCTGAAAAGCTCCAAGGTATTCCTGGGAATCTAGAATGCCATGAGCATATGTAGGGTTATGCACATGCTCAGGAGAGACCCAAGAAGATGCTAAGCTCTCACCTCTGGCTGACTTTGAGTCTTTGAGGCTTTGTGAAGGCTAAGGCAAATAAATAAACTGCCTGGTTACGGGCTGAAGGCAAGACCCAACTCTCACACAGAGCTCCTGCTAGAGACTTGGAGACTTATTTGTTCTAGGCTGAGACAGTGGTAAACGCGGTAAGCAACAGACTAACCCAGGTATTTAAAATACGTTCGAATAATTCAAGGAAAATGTAAGAACAGTGCTTCACCAAATAAAGAAAAGCAACAAAGGTATAGAAATTATATTTTTAAAAAAGGATCAATATAAATCCTGAAATTGAAAAATACAAAAACTGAAATAAAAAAAATTACTAAAAGGGCTCAACAGCAGTTTTAAGTCGGCAGAAGAAAGGATCAGTAAACTTGGAAAGAGGTCAATGGAGATTTTGCAGTCTGAGAAATAGAAAAGTAAAAGAATGAAGAAAAATTAGCAGAATCAGAGATCCATGGGACACCATCAGGTATATCAACATATGCATCACGAGAATCTCAGAAAGAGAAAAGAAAGATAAGTGGACTTCCACCTCTCCTCTCCCACCTTTGTACTATTGTTGTATGTTTTACTTCTACATGATTTGTAAATATTACACTACATCATTAATTTTGTTCAACAGGTCAGTATTCTTGTGTGTGTGCATGTATGTGAGTAAATAACTTGTTCCTCTATATAGCTGAGCTGTATTCTCTTATATCTATATCTATATAAATAATGGCCAAAACTTCTCAAATCTGATTTTAAAATATTAACCTACACATCCAATAAAGCCCAACAAATTCAAAGTAGGATAAACTCAAAGAGCTGCACACACAGACACAGCATAGTCAAACTGTTGAAAGACAAAGAGAGAAACTTCAAAACAAGAGAAAAATGATTCATCATGCCACAGGTATCCTCAATAAGATCAGTAGCTAACTTCTCATAAAAAACTATGGATGCCAGAAGACGTGGGATGACATATACAAAGAACAGAAGAAAAGGAAGGTTAATCAAGAATTCTATGTCCAGGAAAACTAACCTTCAAAAATGAAGAGGAACCTAAGACATTCCCAGATAAACAAGAATCGAGAGACACTATTCCCAGCAGATCTACTGTAAAAAGGGATTCCTTTAAACTGAAATAAAGTGACCCTAAACAGTGACGTGAATCCACATGAAGAAATCAAGAGCACTGTCAGGTAACTACACAGGTGGTGCATGTGAGAGTCTCCCCTCTACTTCGATCACTATACTCCTTACTTCAGCTAATACATCAGCCTTAGGCTTCCATTTCAGCCCTTACTCACATCCATCCCTTCAATTCCATTCCCACGTCCATTCCATTCCCACTGTCATTCATTCATTCATTTATAAAAAGATGTATTTATATATCAAAATATATCCATTTGAATATTTTACTAGACAACATTTGTTTCATGGAGATATCCTGAAATCCCAAATCAAATTCAATTGAAGTATATCTTGGTATTCTTGCATTCTGTCTTGAATTTTAGTAAAATTGACTCTTTTGAAAGTTATCATAGCATATACATAAATTTGAAATCCTGTAAAGGCTATATACAAAAGAGGGTCTTCAAGTTGCTTATAAAATTAAACATACATTTCCCATGTAATCCAGAAATCCTCCTTATAGATATTTACCTAAGTAAATTGAATACTTCTGTTCACACAATAATATGTACATGAATATTTATAGCAGCTATATGCATAATTTCCACAAACTGGAAACTACCAAGATGTCTTTCAAAAGGTGAATGCAAATGGTGATATATCCATGTAAGAGAATACTGCTCAGCTATACAGAGGAACAAGTTATTTATTCATACACATGCACACACATGAGAATATTGACCTGTTGAACAAAATTAATGATGTAGTGTAATATTTACAAATCATGTAGAAGTAAAACATACAACAATAGTAGGAAGGTGGGAGGGGAGAAGTGGAAGTCCACTGCTATAAGGTTCTTAAAGTCTGTGAGAAATAGTGTAACATCTCGGGCAGACTGTGCTAACGATGTCCACTATAAACCCTCAAGCCAATACTAAAATGCAAAACATAGAGTTATAGTTAACAAGCCAACACAGAAGACAATATGGAATCATAAGTAATATTCAATCCAAAAGAAGGCAGGAAAAGGGAGAAAGGTATACAAATAACAGCTAGGACAAATAGAAAAACAACGAGATCTAAATTTTAATCACCATGACGATCTCCTTTTCCAGGGAAGGAAACCTAGACACAAGGAAGGAAAGGAGCCTGCCCAAAGTTATGGAGCGAGTTGGGAGTGGGCCTGGCCTTCAGCTCAGCCTGTGGGGCCTGCGCTCATAACCTAATGGGGAGCTTCCCCCTGGCTAAAGGCCTGGAAACTTCTGTTCCCCAGCATTTTGCCTCCTGCCAGATCTCTTGGTCCATGTGGGCACAGGGCTGGATGGGGCCACAGCAATGATCTGTTCAACTCCTTCATTTTACAGCTGGGGAGACTGAGGCCCTGAGAGGCAAAGGGGCTTACCAAAGGTCATGTCCTGAAGTAAGGCCACAGCTGGGATCACAACCCAGCTGCCGGCCGGGTCTCTCCCACCTCCCCCACTGCCAGGCTCTTTGCTGCCGCTCCGGGGTTCCTTCCTTCCCCCCACAGACTGCTGTGGCGGCACCTGCCCTTGATTTTCCCTCATGTCCCAGCAGACGTTAATAAAAGTGCTCATCATTGCATTTGAATCATCTTGGAAATGCTCCTGGGGTGCTTTCCAGGAGCCATTTATTCGAATTTCTTCCTCTGTATAAGTAGGTTCAGAGTCATCTGTCTTCCATAATCAGTAAACACCGGGCTTCTGACAGTATTAGTGACTTCTCACTTTTCAGAGGGCTCTTGGCCCATCAGAGCTGGGAAGCCCATTAGGGATCACTAGTGCATGCTGGGGAAACTGAGGCTGGGAGAGAAGGGACATTCTCAAGGTCACCTTGCAGGTGAGGAGCTGAAGCAGAACCTGAACCCGGGTGTCTGGGCTCCTGGATTCTGCTCTTTCACCACAGCTTGATTGCACCTGCCAAGCCTCAAATGTGGCTTTGAGACCCAATTTCCAGGTGGGGTCATGATGTCAAGGTCACCTTGTTTCTGTCTCTGAGCACCAGGCCATGATTATTTTTTTAAAATAGCTTCATAAAACAAATGATTCACACTGTTTGTGAAACATTCCATTGATACCAAAATATAAAGAAACAGACTGTAATGAGCACCCTGAAGCAATGCCACAAGCTTTTGGGGGAATATTTTGCTAATCATCCCTGGCTGGTTGTTCTTCATACCCTCATTCATTCTCCATCTCCTCCTGTCCAGCTCTGCACCAGCGACGCTGCCCTGCATGCACTATGTCAGGGATTCTAGCGACAGCTGGCTTCTGCTGGGTTCAGCCAATGGGAGGTGCTGCCAGGAGACCAGAACATAGGAGGAGAGAAGGTCAGGGTATTTTTTCTTGCTCCCTCCTGGATTCAACTTCATGTCTGCAGGTGCAGGCTTATGCAAGGAGCAGGTAGTCATGGTCGGGGGAGACGATGATAGAGATGGAGTCTCCTTCACTCCTTAGCTCCTCCCCAACGTGCCACCCTCCCTCCCCTTCCCCTGCATTAGGTTTTGCAGAGCATTCCTCAGGACCTAGCATTGTCTCTTTCTTTGTTCTTAATAGGTCTCCTCAACCACATTGCAAATGCCATGAAGGCAGGATTGAGTCTATCTTGATCACATGTGTACTCCTCGTTCCTAGAACAGCACCTCTAGGTGCTTAATAAAGCACGCAGTCCAAACACAGTTGTGTTATGAGTGATGGGACAAATGAAGAGCTCCCAGCTTGGAGGATGATGTTGGAGGACATTAGAGGAGGATGGCAAGCACTCAGTCAACCAGCCTATGGGTACAGGGGTGGTTTAAGAAGTCATGGAGGAGGGGCCTGAGCAGGATCCAGGACAGGAAGGGGGCAGACCTGGGTCAACACTCAATCACTCCCTCCCTCCCTCCCTCCCTCAATCATCAGACATTTCCTGGGCACCTTCTATGCCCCAGGCACTGAGATGGAAGTAAATGCTGGGCACGTCAGACCCTGTACCTCCCCTGAGGAGCTCTCAGCCAAGAGGGAGGGACAGATGCTCCCCTGGACACCTGAGATTAGGGTGACAAGAGCCATGGTCGGACATGAAGTGGCCACCACTGGAGTAAAAGCAATATTTACTGAGCTACCAAATCAGCTGGGCCTTCGACTTCCAACCAAAAGAGTCCAGCCGCTTTAACCTAAGAGGAAATTTAGTTGCTTGTAGAGCTGGGTGAGTCACCAGGGAATAGCCTCAGGCACAGCTGGACTCAGGGGCTCCAATGACATCACTGGATCGCTCATACTCCTTATGTTTCTCAACATTTTGCTTCTGACTGTGTAGTAGCATCTTTCTCTTTGCCATGGGATTCATTCATGAGGCAGGAAAAGGAAAGTGGAAGGGGAATCATAACCATTAGCAGCTCCAAGCTTAGATCATCCCATCTAGTGATTCCATAGGAAAGAGAGAATTGCTTGTTGTTATAGCCATATACATGGTCCCAGTCAAGGATTCTAATAGGCTGATTTTGGTCACATGCTCTACTTGGACCAACCACTATTTCCTGGGGGAATGGATTGCTGTGATTGGTTTAGTCTATGCCGATACCTCTCTCTAAGAAGAGAGGTGGGATAGAGTCACTGACTGATAATTTGGTCAGAATATCAGGGCCTGGGGGGTGCAGGAAGCTTACCTTCCCAAAGCAAGGGTGACAGGAGTGATAGGTGCCAAAAACAGAGGGAGAAAGAGATGCCGGATAAACCAAAACAGCCCAAGTGCAAATTGCAGTACATATTATGATTTCGTTTTATAAATAAAGAAACTGAGTCTCAGAGAAGCTAAGAAAAGGACATAAATTAGCAAGTGGCACAATAGACCCTTGAACCCTTCTCTGCTGGACAAAAGTGCCCCATGTTTTAGCCCATGGACGGCGGTACTTCCAGGAATACCGGCCTCTGCAGGCATCTCAGCACCTCCTGAGTTCCAGCGGGTTTCAACGCATAATTCCAGCCCAAATAGGAAGATTCTCCAAGCTCAGACATTCAAGTCCTTCACAGGCCCCTGGCTTACAAACCTAATCTTCATGATGGATGTAATTTAAGGCCCCTTTCCTTCTGGATTACAGAGTGCAGGAAAATGATGCTCCTGGCAATTTCTTGTCAACTGAGCCACCCTGGGAGTGAGCGCATCAAAGGGAACAGAGACCATGTCAGTGCTGCCAGGGGCAACCTGGAGGTGCAAGGAACATTAAGATGGCTGAAGTGTGATCTGTTTGACATGTGAGCGTGTTCTCCAGTGAAGCACACAGCTCAGAGCACTCAGACTCAGCCACAACCTCGGCACGCCTTCCCTTCTCCCTGGGCTCCTTTTCAGCAATCAGACCCTCCTATTCCTCCTGCCAGACCCAACCTGTCCATTTCATTTAAGGAGTGATTCACAGCATACAGCTCAACAGGGCTAAAGGGACCTTGTGGAGCCTCTGTTCCAACCTCATTCATTTTACAGATGAGAAAACAGAGCCCAGAGAGACTCAGACACTTGTTCAAGGTCAGAGAGTAAGTCAAGGATGAGGCTGAACCAGGGAACATCAGGACCCCTACAGGGAGGGCGTCTCATGTCCAGGTCCTGGCACGGACACTTTTACATGCATATTTAATCCTCACAACGACCCTGTGCCGTGGGTGTTATTATCCCCCCTTAGCCTTGGGTAAAAGAAAGCTCTGAAAAATTAAATGCCATGCTCAAGGTCACAGAGCTGAGTTTCAAACTGCTTTGATTAGCACAAAAGTCCAAGTGCTGAAGCACTGTGCAGGTCATTTGTCCACTGGCCGTTTGCTCTCTGTGCCATTAACACTATTGTGTGATGCTGGATCCTGGCTGGCTGCATCTCCTAGACTCCCATGCCTGCTGGCTTCCAGTTAGCACCGACAATGGAAAGTGCTAGTGAAGACGAAAAGATGGGAGCTGGGGAGAAGCTGCTTCTGAAAGAGGTTCTGGCTGCACCAGGTAGCTACCAGCTCAACGGCCCTTTGGTGACTCTGGCAATAGCTGCAGTGGCCAGCTGCAGCTACCCAGGGTGTGGGTGGCTCTGGCAGCAGTGGGCCTAGTGATGGATTACATCAGCAGGACACGCAGTCTTGAGCTCTGCAGCACCACCTCCTCTGGTTTGTGCCTCCAGGACTAGGGCTCCTATCTTTTCTTTTCTTTACTGTTTTTTTTTTTTTTTTTTTTTTTTTTTGAGATGGAGTTTTGCTCTTGTTGCCAAGGCTGGAGTGCAGTGGCGTGATCTCGGCTCACTGCAATCTCTGCCTCCTGGGCTCAAATGATTCTCCTGCCTCAGCCTCCTGAGTAGCTGGGATTACAGGCGCCTGCCACCACGCCCAGCTAATTTTTGTATTTTTAATAGAGATAAGGTTTCGCCATGTTGGCCAGGCTGGTCTCGAACTCCTGACCTGAAGTGATCTGTCTGCCCCAGCCTCCCAAAGTGCTGGGATTACAGGTGTGCGCCACCACGCCGGGCCTTCCTATCTTTTTCTTTTTGCCCTTTCAGCCTGTTCACCACTTTCATAATCAGCTCCCTGCATTCACTCCCCTCTGTTTACAATTTCTAGCGTACTTCCTGTTTTTTCTAAATGAACCCTGAATGATATAGCACTTGGTATCAGCTGTGCTACCAGGAAACAAACCTTCAATAATGGGATTTGGGGGTGGGCTGTTTGACTTGATTAGGCTTAAACACAGTGAGAACCTCATGGCCAGGGACAGTGAGATTGTAGTATGCCTTGGTGTGCAGGGACATTAAATCACTTAAATCATCACTTACGGTTGCCTGGGACAAAGTGCCTATTGAACACTGAGAATCGTCAGCCCAAGTGGCTGCGGCACTTGGCCTCTGAGGTAGTAATCATGACTATCAGAAGGAATGAGGAGTACAATGGCTACTTATGACAGTACTGGAGAGTTTGTAGAAAGAAAATGACAAGCACTGTGTTTCAAATCTCTGCTCAGAGCACGGATAGATAACCAGTGATTAGATTGCCCTCAAGGAAGCTTTTGTGTTTTCTAGCTATAGGGCAGACACAAATGAAAATCACATCTAAAATGTCATCCTGTGGGTTGTAGAATTGCATCATACGTTGGACTCACAAGCTTACTGTCTGTTCCTTGAAAGTGAAGGCGTTGATTGGGAAGCAGAGGGCCTCCAAGAATGAGGTGTGTGCCGTGTGTGTGCTGCCCCAGTGCATTTTGTAAATGACTTGTAAAACTGAGCAAGTCTTAGAGCCAGGAAAGGCCCTGCAGCAATGCTGATCTCCAGGCCAGTGCCCTGACACCTGGGCCTATAACCCAGCCTGTCTAGTGGAACCCAAGTCTCTGTACAAGTAGGGATCTTGTATGGGGCCAGCAGCAAGCCCCAGTAGGAGACTCAAGCCCCAGCAAGAGACACCAGCAGCACAGTTGCCCCAGTTTTTTGGTGCAAAGCCCTATCCTCTTCTGTAGATAACTATTCTGCATTTGAGAAATAGCTCTTGGCTTTCTACTGAGCCCTGGTGTAACCAAGTGGCTTCCTTTTTTCTAAGAAAAAGGAAATGAGTTACTATTATTTTTCCATGATTTTCTCTTCTTTTCTCCTCTCCCCTTTCCCTAGTCCCTGTTTTCTACTTAGCCCTTCAGAAATGCAGGTGTGACCTTTCACCTCCAGGAGATGGCCTCCGAACTTCTGCCCTCCAGGACTTGCCTGAGACTTTCATCCATCAGGAAGGTATATGGAAAGCATGCCTGCTTGACCTCTTTTACAACTTATTTCTGCCCAGGAAGGCGCCAACTCAGCTGTCCGGTAGATAAGACACCAGGTTAGCCGGGGGACCCCCTGCCCTTGCACACTTCCCCCCTTACCTTATAAAAATGTCCGCTTTCTGCTCCAAAGGTGAAGCAGCACATTTAAAGGCAGGACACTTTTTGCCTTTTCCCCAAGCTGGCTTCAAAATAAATTCACTTTTCTTCTAGCAGACCTCGCTTTTATTAGTTGGACTCCACATGCAGCTACCAAGTAATCAGCTTTTCAGTTACACTGGTAGAGGCAGAATGCCTGACCCAAGGCACCAACCGACTGCAACCCGGGCAGCCCATCTTGGCCTGGGTATCATCCGGTCCACTGGGTTACGGACTCAGCAGGTGCAGCATTAGACCATCATCAGTCTGGGCCTGAGCACATCCCGGAGGCAGGTAAACTGCTGCATGGGCCAGTGGTGAGAGTCTCAGAGCACTCTCCAGTGGCACTGCCATCTTTCCCTAGACCCACACCCGAGCCTCGAGGAGCCTTCTCCTTCACCAGCTGCATTCGTTTCCTGTGATTTCTGGAACAAATGGCCACAAACTTGGTGGCTTAAAACAAGAGCAATGTATTCTCTCACGGTTCTGAAGTCTGGAATCCAGATGCCAGCAAGGCCAGGCTCTCTCTGCAGGCTCTAAGGGAGAAGCTTCCTTGCCTCTTCCAGCTTTGGGGCTCCTAACACTCCTTGGCTCCTGGTTACATCACACCAGTCTCCGCCTCCACCTTCACACAGCCTTCTCCACCCTGTGTCTCTGTCTTCTCCTTTCCTGTCTCTTATAAAGACACTTGTCATTGGATTTAGGGCTTGCCTAATCCAGGATGATCTCATCTTGAGGTCCTTACCTTAATTATGTCTGCAAAGATCCTTATTCCAAATAAGCTCAGATTCTGATGTCTGGGTGGGCACACCTTTGCAGAGGGAGAAGAGGAACCGATTGACCCACATCAGCTGACATATTTAGACTGGCCAGAGGGGACTCTGCAACAATCCAGAGGGACCTAAGACAGGGAGAAAGAGAAGTCCTCCCGGTGGGCAGGTCTTCAAGTGGCACATCTCTCTGTCCACCTAGCTGCGATGGGAAAATGGCCAGAGGCAAAAATCTGATTCATAGGCAGTGGCTAATTGTTCAGTCCAATGATGAGGGACTTGCAAAGAATAAGATGGAAGGATTGGAAATAAGAAGATTATGGCCCCAGGTGCCCACCAGCCCTGATGCTGGCACAGAAGTGGCCTGGACAGCATCCTGCACCACAGCTCTGTGCATATCTCATTTGTGGCATGATGTTCACTTTTTATTTTGATGACCAACAAGGGGGAGATGAAGTTCCCATCCATAGGGTAAGCGAGTGGCTCCTGAAGTGAGTCACGCCTCCCCTGCCACTGCCGTTTAACTTCCTGCCAGCTCCTACATTCCATGGAAGGGTAATTACATTGTACATAGTTTTCTTTTTTAATACTCCAATAAATATCACCCGTGAAAATCAATTGGCATTTTCTATACTTAATGCATAATAACTGGCCTTATAAATCTAAATTATCCCTATACATCTAAATTGAATGCCCAGGTTTAAATGTATTCAGGTCACTTAATTAATAAAGTGCTAGTACATAACCACTACTAATCTGTTTACTTCAAGCCAACTTTTCATCTTTAAAGGATGTATTTCTCTGCAGTGTGTGGGTGGGAGGAAGGAGGGATCCCAGGGTCCTTGGGAAGCTTGCAAGCTGTAAGCACTGCCCATCTATATGGCACCCTCCATGCCTGGGCAGCCTGGGCCTCTTTGCACCTGGCCTCTTTCAGCCTCTGGTTCACTTTCCTTCCAAGGACTGAGGAGAAAGTGATCAGAGCAGCCTGCAGGTGTTGGCATGAGCAGGAAACAAGAGGCCTGGCTTAGCCATGAAAGTGCTGTGTGACCTTGGACAAGTCGCTTATCCTCTCTGGGCCTCAGTTTTTCCTTCTGCATAATAAGGGAAGGACCAGATCGTCACAGAGGACCTTCTTAGCAGCTGTGGGGAGGGAAGTGTGGGTTGTGGGGAGGTTGACTCATGATGCACAAAAGGTGTGGCCTTCAAGTGACTTAACCTATTTATACCTCAGTTTCCTCATCCATACATATGGGGTAGTAACAGTACCAGCTCACAGGGTTTTGGTGAATCTGAGACAAGGAAACAAATGGGATGTACTTAGTTCAGGGTCTGAGTAGCCAAGTGTCCTGTAAGTGTCAGCTGTTACTATCCTCCCAGGGCCCCATCTCCTGGGTAGTTTGTCAGGTTATCAAAATGATATTAAAAAGATTTAGAGCAAGTAAAGTGAAAATCAGGGAACACAGGGCTAAATTATCAGTGTTCAGTGCCTGTGTCTTTCCTGGCTCTCGCTCCCTGACCCCTACCTTTGGTTTTAGCTCCTGCTGCCTCTGTTCCCGGTGTGGACAGCCCGAGGTCCAGGGCTCCAAGTGTCCATTTCTCTGAGCAACTGGGAAAGGAAAAGCACAGATCTGGAATGAAATGTGCCCCGGAGAAAGCCAAGAGCTCTCTCAGCATTGTGTTCACGCGTTTTCCACACAGCGCAGGAGGCAGCAGCAGAGACTTTCAGGGAAGAGGAGCCCTTGGCATCCACAAGAAACTGGAACCCTCGGTGGGACTCAGGCCTGGGCCCCCAGCCCTCCTGGAGGACCGTATCTATAGGAGACTTCAGGAGACAGCCTGGCGGTGAGCCGGGGAGGGTTTCCTGATCTGAGCAGGACAGAAAGTGAAGAACATTGACCCACCTGTAACCAGACTCCAGCAGAAGACTGAAGCTGTGCTTAGGAACTGCAGGACAGCACTGCCCCCCACATTCCTGGGAGGATCCCTGAGCCTCCGGCAAGGCCAGAAGGGGGACTTTGGGAGGCTTTAAGGTTGCTTGCCACAGTTACAGGAAGCTGCACAGGAAACCCACCCAGAGATGAATGGGATCAATTGGGACCAGCCTGGGCCATGCTGAGAGATGAACGCTAGAATAGCAGCATCTCAGAGAGATTCCTTTGTGTTTCTGGCTGTCAATAAATGTCTATCCAGCTACCCGGACTAAAATCTTGTTCATCAAGACCCACCATCCACTCTTCACCAACATCCAGGTGACCGCTGAATCCCTGCTCACCCACCACCTCCCAGCTTCCTCACTAACAGGGCCTGTGTACCCATGCCTGCTACCTTCCTGGGGGAAGTACCATGCACAGCCCTGATGAACACGGAAGCCTCCCAACTGGGTCCAGTGCCAGCGCTCCCCCAGCTCAAACTCCACTTCAGCCCTCCCTTCACTCCACCCCTGCTCAACCCCTTGATCCTCTCCACCCCTCCCCCAGCCCTCCCTCCACTACACCTCTCCTCCAGCCCTCCCTCCACTACACCCCTCCCCAAGCCCTCCCTCCACTCCACACCTCCCCCAGCCCTCCCTCCACTACACCCCTCCTCCAGCCCTCCCTCCACTCCACCCCTGCCCCAGCCCTCCCTCCACTCCACCCCTCCCCAACCCCTTGATCCTCTCCACCCGTGCCCCAGCCCTGCCTCCACTCCACCACTCCCCAGCCTCCCTCCACTACACCCCTCCCCAAGCCCTCCCTCCACTATATCCCTCCTCCAGCCCACCCTTCACTCCATTCTTCCCCCAGCTCTCCCTCCTCTCCACTCCACCCCACCCCCTCCCTTCCACTCCACCGTTCCCCTAGCCCATCCCCTACTCCACTCCTCCCCTAGCCCTCCCTCCACTCCACCGCTCCCAGCCTACTCTCCATGCAGCAGCATAGCGATCTTTCTAAAATGCACATCCCAGAGTCTCCCCAAGGCCTCCTGTCCCCCAGGCTCCCCACTGTACTCAAGGTCAAGATCAGATCCCTCCTCGTGGCTCCTAAAATCCCATGGGGTGCAGCCCCTGCTGCCTTTTTTATCTTCTCAATCCTTGGCCACCCCTCACCTCCCATGACCTACGGGAGCCTCAGGGACTTGCCGTCCTGCTGGCATCTTGCTCACTTGCCTTCTCCTGGGCCTTTGCAGGACCTCTTCCCCCAGTCCTGAAAGCCCCTCCCTCCTCACTGACCTCCCTGCCCTTGGGCCTCCAGGTCTCCACCCTGAGATGAATGGGATCAACTAGGACCAGGATCTTCCTGACTGTCTAATGCCAAGAGGGGCTTCCTCTGTGCCCTACAGTTCCATTCTCATCAGAGAACTGACCACCTAAATGGACCGCCCATTTCTCCACCACCTCCCCCATCTGACTGGGAGCCACCTGAGGACAGAGGCACATCTCACTCACCCCTGTAGCCCCAGGAGCTGGCTTCAGGCGTGGCCCAAAGTCAGGGGCTTCAGTGCACATTGACAGAGGCATGAAGAATGTCAGGCTGGCAGAGTGTGGAGGGGCAGCGTGTCCCAGTGGTCACACTGTGTGGCCAACACCATCTGTCACTCACTCACCCACCTGCCCTCTCTTCCTCCTTCTCTTGCTCTCATGGAGGATAGGTGCCTATTGTCAGGAATAATTCTGATTGGTCTAAATTAGCCATGGTAATCTCATCTCTCTTGGCCAGTGATTGGTCCAGGATAAGGGATAGACTTGTCTAAAATAATTCTGTGCCCTTTTGCTCTCCTCCTTCTTCCTGGCTGGTACCCAGACAAAATGCCTGGAGCTGTGGCAGCCCCATTGTGACCATGAGGTAACAAGCAGAGAGACAAAGCCAAACATGCCAAGAATGACAGAACAGAAAAGCAGAATGAGAGCACCTGGTACCTGATGGCATCATGAGTGCCCAGCGCCAGCAATTGTCCTCTGGACCTCATTTCACGTGAGAAAAATAAACCTGTATTTGTTAAAGCTGCTATTAGTCAAGTTTTCTGTTACAGCCAAACACAGTTGTAATAGATCTAGACAGATCCCTGTTCTATCACTGACTAGCTGAGTGGCCTTCGACAAGTCACTTAGGTTGTGAGCCACACTTGCATCATCTACTCAATAGACTGCTACCTTGTAGATATGCTTTGTGAGGCAGGGACAATATCTGTCATGTTCAGTGAAGAACCCATACAAGCCTAACAATTCCTAACATTCATCAAGAGCTTAGT
The DNA here is from genome assembly GCF_000001405.40 of Homo sapiens. Lineage (NCBI taxonomy): Eukaryota > Metazoa > Chordata > Mammalia > Primates > Hominidae > Homo > Homo sapiens. The sequence continues at coordinate 30,067,820 of NC_000001.11, forward strand.
ATGTGCCAGCAATTGATGGGAGCACTTTGCATAAAGTATCTACCTTAGTTCTTCCCAGAACACTGGGAAATAAATAATATTATCAAATTCTGTAGATGAGACAACTGAGGCATAGAGTGGCTAAGTAACTCGTTCTGGGACACACAGCTGGTAAGTGACAGAGATGGGTTGTGAACCCAGAAAGTCCACGTTTATCATGCACACTCCTGACCACTGTGCTATTGATAGTGCCCTGGCACATGGTGGACACTCAGTGCATAGTTGCTGAGTAATGAATGGACCCGAAGCAAGAGTTGCTCAGCAACACACGGACTTTCAGTCCAGCTCCTTCCACCACTGCCTCAGATTGCAGGGAAATGCTGGAGCAGGGATGAAGTGGGGAGCCCCCAACTCCCAATCAAGGCCATACCTCTGCTAGGAATCTTGGCCCCTTGGGTGCGTAGCTGGACTCAATTTACTAGACACCCTCTCAGGATCTTCTGTGATTGAGCTCATGTATTTGCTTTCATGTTAACTTTTATTACTTATTGATTTTTCCAACTTGCTTTAGCTGTGTCTATTTTTATTTGCTTAAAGTAATAGATGCTGTTTGGTGAGAGAAGCAGGGTATGAAATTCTATAACCACAGCCAGAGATCCTCTCCTATATTAATGAGGCCATTACCCCCAGAGAGGGCAGGCGATGGGACCTGCCTATCACTCTGGCCATGAGTCCTGGATTGGGAAGGCCTGAAGCAGGGGTGTTCGCCTCTCTCCAGGGTTGGTGGTAGGAGCTGAGCACAGGTGCAGGCACTAGGGGAGGGGTCTGGGTCTGCAGGCAGAGGCAGAGGGTTCTGGGGTGAATGCAGGGCCGTGTTCAGTGGAGGCAAAGGGAAGGCCTAGTGTGGAACCCCCAGCAGTGCTCAGGTGAGAGGGGCAGTGAGACAGTGGACAGGGCTGCCAGGCCAGCCAGGGCCACAGGAGAAGGCATGAACAGTCCCAATTCACTCTCCACTCTCTTCACTGCTTTTGTTGCCTCTTGCCCCATTTATGCCTCTGGCAGTGAGAAGGACTTCTCTACCTCCTAACCACTGCACTATGCTGCCCTGGCACATAGCAGGTGCTCAATAAAGAGTCCTTCAGCAGATGAACCACCCTGTGCCATGAGCTGCCCACGCACCTGTGTGCCAAGGTATTTGTCTCACCGTTCTTGGTAAATGAGTCATTTAGCATGTCAACTTTGCCGACTAGTTTATGAGGAGTTGTTTATCTGAGAGTTGGGCTCTAGAAATGAATTTTCAGTGAATTGTCCTAACCCCGAAGAAGAGTGACATAGACTCAGAGAAGGGTGCAGGGTCTGGTAGGGCTGGGTGTGGCAGGAGATGCTGCTGAGGGGGAGGCTGGGACAGGCCTGCAAGGGCAAGCCGAGCCATGTGCTCAACCCTGAGGTGCTCCTAGAGGGCCCCAGACTGGGGGAGCCATGCCTGTGGTTTGGTGGTAGAAAGGCCGGCCCGGGTGCCCTGTCCTCGCCCCCACCCCCTGCTCGTCTCCTGCTGTTAGGATGAGCAGGTAAGCACAGCCCAAGTCCCTACAAGTCAGATGGGACCCTCATTCTTGCCTTTCCCTTTATTTGATGGATTATTATTTTGATTTAGAGGCAACATTGAACCACAGCTGTGGCTGAGGAAGGGATATTAGGCCATGAATAAGAAGATGTCAGTCAGTTCCAGCAACCTCAGAACAATTGCTTCCCTCAGTTTTCTAGTCTGTAAAATGGGACTATTAAATTCAGTGCTCTAAGGGCCCTTCCAGTGCTAATATTCTGGTTCCTTGGGCTCACCTCAGTCATCTCTGTGGTTACTATGAGTCTACGTGTGGAAGGGACATTGATCAAGCACCTTCATTTCCTCCTTCAGTCCTCACCATGGTCCTTCCAGGGCTGTTCCTGTGACCCCATTTTCCAAACAAGACATCCAGTGTCACCCAAGTGCCAAGGTATTTAAACTAGGCCAGAGTCTCTCTGGAGCCCAAGCTTCAACCACCCCTGTACTCACCAGAGGTGAGGCTTTGGGCAAGCAGCCTCCCCTCTCTGTGTCCCATCCTCTCCGTCTGTCAAACGGGGATAGTACTTACCTCAACGGGCTGATATGAAGATTAAATGGGTTAGTGTATGTGAAGTGCTGTATTAGGCACTGGGCACACAGTAAGTGATCAATAGATGCTCGCTGTTGCTCTGCTCCCTGGAAACCCTACTGAGTGTTAAGTGCACTGGAGACTCCTTATCGAAGCTGGAGGGTGGAAGTGGCAAGAGCCATTGGAAAGTTGAAGCCAGCAAGGTGAAGCCTGCTCAGTGTGGAGACGGCTCTTCCCAGCCCTCGCTCGGAGTTCCATGTCCCAAATCCTGTGCTGATTTGTGCTTAAAAAGCAAAACAAACCTCGGATACTTAAGTGTCAATTAGGGTGAGATGAGAGGCCTTCTCCCGGAAGTCACCCTGAGCTCTGTTTCAAATGGCTCTGCACAGTTTCCTCTTTAATGTGTTGTCAGCCTCAGCTCCCTCACACCGAAACTGATTATTGAGCGCCTACTATGTGCTGGGTACTGTGCCGCTGCTGGGCCTGCACTGCTGAGCCATGCCTCCATCCAGCCTGCCCTTGCTGTCCCAGAGCAGCTCACAGTCTGGGTGCAGGTGGGGCACAATCATCCAATAGCCACAGCAAAATGTGGAATTGGAATGTGACAAGTTCCAGGAAGAAGAGAAATGTGCTGTGGTTTGTGTCTCCTTGCGTATCCACGAGTACATGAACATACATGTGAGTGTGTACACATGTGCCCATGTCATTGTGTGTGCATGTGTGTATGCATGTACCACTGTGCATATGCCTGTGTGTGCATCTTGTGCCCATGTACACGTGTGTGTGTATGTGTGTGTGTGTAGTCTGTGAGGTCAAAGAAGCATTCTCTCTCTCTCTTTTTTCACACACACAGCCTCTTGTGCCTGGCTAATTGCCTAAGATCAGTGTCTTCCTCTTTTGGTCCCACTCCCCACCTCTACCCCGCCTCTCTCACTGTCCCCTGCTCTGCCCCCTTGGCCCTGCAGAAGACTCTCTTCCCTTCTGATACCAGAAGAACCTAGCTGGGGCCCCTGGGAGGGTCACCTGTGCCCTTGACATGGTGGACCCTGGACCTCCCTGCTTCCCACACAGCCAGACAGTAACATCTACGAAGCTCTTTGCTAAGCGCAAAGATCTGGGCAGATGGAGATGACCACACATCTCCTTACTTTAATGCTCACCCACATTAATGACAGTGGAGCAAGTTACCCAGATGACCAGTAACCCCAGAGGCATTAGCATTATCATGCCACTGTGGCACCATGTCAGTGAACCAACTAATTCTAGCTCACATGTCTGATGTGTCCCCACCTCTGTCATCCCCCATGAGCACTCCATGAGGACAAGACCTGCCTCCCTTGTTTTCCGCTGCATTTGTAGGGCCTGGCACACAAACAGGTGCTCAATAAATGTCCATTCCCTGCAGAACCCCCAGGCCCTCCCTGCTGGCTACCATGAACTTCGTGGGCTGGTGCAGGCCTAGCATTTGCTGCTGTACTTCCTCGTCTTTCTGCAGCTGGGCAGTCACATCCCCCAAGCTCCAGACTTCATTCTACCTCTTCCCTTTTGATAGCAGAAGTCTCGGTGGAAACTTGGAAATCTATTTGAGTTCAAATAAATAAACACACACCTAATAACACTGTTTGTCTTCCTCCACTTCTCTGTCATCCATCCAAGTGCTGTTCTCACTTTCGCAACCCTCCAATCTCCAGCCTTCTGTGGCCTCCTTCTGCCCTCCTTTCAGGACCAATGGCCCTGGTTGTTTTAAAAAAAACAATAGAATGACTGAAGAACTAATAGTTGATAAAATATCACCTGCCTCCAAGTGGGGTACAGAGCAGCTAAGCAGAGACTGGCCCAGCCGAGTTGCAGGACAAGGGCTGAGCATGGGCATTTGCGGCACATGCGTCACTGAGGGCCACTGAGGCCCACGGCGTGCTGGGCCCACTGCCCACGTGTTGGTGGCCCAGGGCCCATTACTTCCCCGCTGTGCCTAAGCTTTCTCAAGTGTAAAATGGAAATAATGATAATACCACTTCCTAGGGTTGTATTAAATTCACATATTTTATCATTATAATAATAATAATATTGTATTAATATATAATTATATTATATCATTCTAATATAATAATAATGATAAAATACATGAATTTGTATGAAACCAGGGCTAAGCACATAGGAAGTACTTAATTATTTTGGCTATCATCATAGCATCGTTATCATTCTCATTTTACTGAGCTTTCACAACCACCTTCCAGGATGGGTGATATGATTATGAGGAAATTGGGACTCCGAGGACAGCCACTTGCCCCAAGTCCCACAGCTCAGAGCCTATGAGTGTAGCTTGTACGTAGCCACAGAGAGAACCTGTGCTGAGAGCTCACTGTGTGCCAGGTGCTGTGCTCAGCCCTCCAGAACCTTCTCTCATGCTGTTGCAAGCACATCATATGAGAGAGGCACTGCTGTTAATGACTCCGCGTTAGAAAGAAGAGGATGGAGATTCACAGACAAAAGCTCAGGCATATACCAGAGCTCAGGGGAAGAGCCAAGGCTTGAACCCAGATCTGCCTGACCTCAGACCCCATGGCATTCATCATTCATTCATTCATTCATCAGGTCACTCATTCAGCAAACACTTTCTGAGCCCTCACTGGATGCAGGCACCCTTCTAGGCAAAGGAATCCCATGGTGTTACAAGATAGACCCAGTTCCCTGCCCCAGTGGAACTGATATTCTACTGCAGGGAAAAGAAAATAAATCTTGAGTGTACAGCATCCATTGCTGCGAAGGGCTGTGAAGAAATTAAAGCAGCGTGAGAGGGCAGAGAGCAGTGAGGGGCCAGAACATGGCAGTGTCTGTGCAGAATGAATAAAATAAATATTTCATTAGAAGGAATTTCAGGAGATGAGCTATCCCCATCCCACTTGGCTTTGAGGCAGCTTGAAGTTTATACTCCCTCTTCATGGTGTAAAACGATTCAACCAAAGGCACCCAAGACTATTGCAGTAAGGGGATGTCCAGCCCCTGGGCTCCCTAGGCCAGTAGTTTCTATTAAATAACCAGGTCCTTCATCAGGGTTTATTGAGGCCATCTGGTGCTGCACCCTTCAGATCCATTGTCTAGAGGGTAAGGACAATTGGAGAATATCCCAGGGATGTGGGAGATGTTTGTGCTCACAGAGGGACTCCACCCAGGTATGGGGCTGCTTTGGAGGGGAGGTCAGGGGAGGCTTCCCAGAGGAGGTGGCACTTGATTTGGCTTTTGAACCAAGAATGCATTTTTTCGAGATGGAAATGGATAAAAGGTGGGGTAAAGGCTGCCCAGGCAGAGGATGCAGCAGGTATTGCTGAAGCATCTGGGTTAGGAGTGTGGGCCTTGGGGTGAGGTGGGCAGAGGTTTAATCATGGTGGTCAACACTGGGCGACACATCTCTGTGCCTTCATTTCCTTACCTGTAAATCCTAACAGCCTCTCCCTTAAGGAGTGTTGTGAGGATTGAATGAATTGGCCCATGGAGCCCACTTTGAGGAATGCCTGGCATGGAGTCAGTGCTGGGTAATGTTAGTGACCCATTTGGGGGCAGAACCCAGAGGCAGCAGGTGCGGGGGGGTGCAGGCTCTGAGACTGGAAGGCAATGGCCTGGACCATGGATCTGCTGCTTGCTGATTGTGTAAACTCCAAGTGCTAGACCTGCCTATGGACCCTAGTTTCCCATCTGTAAGCAGGAGATCAGGCCCACCTTGCAGGGCTTCTGGGTGCATCCATTATAAACCATCAAAGCTCCCAGCTCAGAGCAGATGCCTATGTGGTCATTGTAGGAGGCCCAGCTGCAGTCAGAGCTCCCAGTGGGTGAGGGCTTTGGGAATTACCAACAGGGAGGGATAATAGAGGTTGTCAAGAGATCAGAAAGGCCTCTAGAGGTCTCTATAACCTAGGCTGTTCTAGGTGGGGTGGGGGGCACGGGGGAGGGATCTTAAAAAGTAGAAAAACTATAGTTCCTCCCAGGTTCTTCAGGAAGGACACAAATGCTAACAAAGGCCTCAGTTGGACCAGATTATGAGTTTTCACACACTCTATCAGCCCTGCGATGTAATTATTCTCATGTTATAAATGAGGAAACTGAGGCTCAGAGAGGGAGTGACCTGCAGAAAGTCATGCAACCCAAATTTGAACTCAGGTTTGTATTACTAGCTCTGTAAGGCTGTCTGAGCAGGACAAGTTTTGAGGTTTTCTATACCATGAAATCCAGTCTGTTCCCAGAAGGGAAACCATTATTAGAGAAATGGTATGTAGTTCCGTATTAGGAAGAATTCTCATCCCTACTTTGGTGCTGCAATAACTCCCAAATGCCTTGATAGATCTGTGGTACTGAAGCCTCTAGAAGAAGACTCTGACAAGAACACAACATTGTCCAAGCTGAGCCCACTCTTAGACAGTCCAGCCTTCTCAGCCTTATCTGTGGTCCTCACCTTCCACACAGATAATAAAAAATCTGAAGCTCAGAGAGGCTGAGGGAGCTCCTGAGGCCACCTAGCAGGTTAAGAGCAGAGTCAGGTTCATACCTTGCCCCACCCAGTTTTCAGGCCACTTAACCACCAGCTTCTAGATGGCTTTAGTGGGAGTCACATTCATGGATATGTGTGAGTCCTGGACAGGTGAACCATGGCTGATATGGCTTGGCGCTGTGTCCCCACTCAAATCTCATGTTGAATTGTAATTCTCAGTGATCAGGGAGGGACCTGGTGGGAGGTGATTGGATCATGGAGCGGATTTCCCCCATGCTTTTCTTGTGATAGTGAGTTCTCATGAGATCTTTACCATCTTTGCTAAAATTATAACTGAGGAACGTATGATAGTGAAAGAGATCAGACATGACTGACTCCATCTTGCCTCTAACTTTTAAGCTGTCCTTGTTTATTCCTGGGCATAGGCTAAACTAACCTTGGGAAGAAATTCAGTTTATGGTTTGACTCTGAAACAAAGTTGATAGTAGCCCTTTGCCTGAAAAGATTCCCTTCTTGCCTGGGGACCAGTCTGCCTTTGCAGGACTAACAAATTAATTACAAGATTAGAAATTAGTTTAGGGGTCATGCAGCCTCTGGCTGCAAGAGTCTGAACCTTCCCAAATTGCTACTGGGGATAACATCACTATTGTAAAACCTAAGATCAGTGTTTGAGATACTTTGCAGACCCTGCACTTGATGGATCAGGTGACACCACCCAGACCGGTAATCTGGCTCAACCAATTCTGTCATCCCACCCAGGAACAGAAGATGGCAAGAAAAACTCGCTTCAATCCCCTATGATTCCATCTTCAACCTGATCAATCAGCACTCCCCACTTCCCAAGCCCATATCCACCAAATTAACTTTAAAAACTCTGGTTCCCGAATGTGAATGCTCAGTGAGACTGATTTAAGTAATAATAACACTCTCGTCTCCCACACAGCCAGCTCTGCATGAATTACTCTTTCTCCATTGCAATTCCCCTGTCTTGATAAATCAACTCTATCTAGGCAGCAGGCAAGGTGAACCCACTGGGCAGTTATGTTACAATGTGATGGTTTAAAAATGTGTGGCACTTCCCACCTCACTCTTTCTTGGCCTCCTGACATCATGTGAAGAAGGTGCTTGCTTCCCCTTCCCTTCCACCATGATTGTAAGTTTTCTGAGGCCTCCAAGTCATGTTTCCTGTTAAGCCTGTGGAACTGTGAGTTAATTAAACCTCTTTTCTTCATAAATTATCTAGTCTCAAGTAGTTCTTTATAGCAGTGTGAGAACAGACTAATACAGAAAATTGGTACTGGGAGTGGGCCACTGCTATAAGGATACCTGAAAATGTGGAAGCGACTTTGGAACTGTTTGGGGCAGAGGCTGGAACAGTTTGGAGGGCTCAGAGGAAGACAGGAAGATGTGGGAAAATTTGGAAATTTCTAGAGTCTTGTTGAATAGTTTTGACCAAAATGCTAATAGTGATATGGACAATGAAGTCCAGGTGGTCTCAGGTGGAGATGAGGAACTTATTGGGAACTAGAACAAAGGTCATTCTTGCTATGCTTTAGCAAAGAGACTGGCAGCATTGTGCCCCTGCTCTAGAGATCTGTGGAACTTTGAACTTGAAAGAGATGATTTAGCATATCTGGCAGAAGAAATTTCTAAGCAGCCAAGCATTGAATATGTGGCCTGGCTGCTCCTAAAAGCCTATGCTTATTTGCATAAAAAGACAGATGGTCTGAAATTGGAGCTTATATTTAAAAGGGAAGCAGAGTGTAAAAGTTTGGAAAATTTGCAGCCTGACCATGTGGAAGAAAAGAAAAACTCATTTTCTGTGTAGGAATTCCATGTGGTGTTAGGCCTGTGGGTGCATGGAAGACAAGAGTTGAGGTTTGGGAACCTCCACCTGAATTTCAGAGGATGTATGGAAATGCCTGGATGTTCAGGCAGAAGTCTGCAGCAGGGGTGGGGCCCTCATGGAGAATCCCTACTAGGGCAGTGTGGAGGGGAAATGTGGGGTTGGAATCCCCACACAGAGTCCCCACTGGGGCACCACCAAATAGAACTGTGAGAAGAAGGCCACTGTCCTCTAGACCCCGGGATGGTAGATCCACTGACAGCTTGCACCATGCACCTGAAAAAGCCACAGGCACTCAGCACCAACTGCAGTGGGGGGCTGTACCCTGCAAAGCCACAAGGATGGAGCTGCCCAAGGACTTAGGAGTCTACTTTCTGCATCAGTGTGCCCTGGATGTGAGACATTAAGTCAAAAGGGATTATTTTGGAACTTTAAGACTTAATGACTGCACTGCTAGGTTTCAGAATTGCGTGGGACCTATAGTCCTTTTGTTTTGGCTGATTTCTCCCATTTGGAATGGGAGTATTTACCCAATGCCTGTACCCCTATTGTATCTGGGAAGTAACTAATTTGTTTTTGATTGTACAGGCTCATAGTCAGAAGAGACTTGCTTTGTTTCAGATGAGACTATGGACTTGACTTTTGCGATAATGATGGAATGAGTTAAGGCTTTGGGGGACTGTTAGAAAGGCATGATTGTGTTTTGAAATGTGAGAAGAACATGAGATTTGGGAGAGGCCAGGTCCAGAATGACATGGTTTGGCTCTACGTTTCCACCCAAATCTTATGTTGAATTGTAATTCCAAATGTTGAGGGAAGAACCTAGTAGGAGGTGATTGAATAATGGGGGCAGATTTCTCTTATGCTATTCTTGTGATAGTGAGTGAGTTCTCACGAGATCTGATGGTTTAAAGGTGTGGCACTCCCCCCTTCACTCTTTCTCTCTCCTACCACCATGTGAAGAAGGTGCTTGCTTCCCCTTCCCTTCTGCTATGATTGTAAGTTTCCTGAGGCCTCCAAGTCATGCTTCTCATTAAGCTTATGGAACTGTGAGTCAATTAAACCTCTTTTCTTCATAAATTACCCAGTCTCTGGTAGTTCTTTATAGCAGTGTGAGAACAAACTAATACAGTGGCCAAGTGGCCTTCCAGGCCTGCTTTCCTGCCTGATGTCTCCCCAGGGCCCGTTCCATGGTTGGCATCCATAAACACTTATTGAATGATTGAAGAGATGAACGGGGCACCTTTATATACATTATTTCACTTAATCCTACCCTGCAAGGCAGGAAAGGTGAGCCTTGTTATAGAAGTGTGGAAACTGAAGCTAAGAGAGAGAAGACACTTTGGCTGAGATTTCAGGGCTGGTGGGAATTGAACAAGGAGTCACCTTCTTTTCCCCACTCTTGACTTTTTTGAGTTCCACTTGATCCCCTGCCCACATATTAAATGTCTGAGTTCTGCTCTGCAGTGTTTCTCAGTGACCATAGTACCCAATAGGAACCAGCCCCCAAAAACCTCTACTTTAAGCTTTGCTGAAATTTACAAGGCCATGAATTGGTCTTAAGACAGAGAAAGGAGTGTGGACTACAAAGACTCCTGTTTAAATTGTCCTGCTCCTTCTCCCTGGTGTTGATCTGTAATGAAGCCAGGCCTCTGCTTCATAGTAGGATCTGAGGACATGGCTGGGAGCATGAGCAGGACCCACGCTCTGCTTCTGACTCCAGCCTGTGACCTGGCATTATCAGACTTAATATCATGCTCAATTTGATCTCTATGTTTTCCAAGCTTAGCACAGCAGATTTTCCTCATTAATCTGCATTTATCCTTAAAGACAGTGCACCAAAGTGCAACCCCTTTTGACTTAGTTGGATGAACACGAAAAGGTCAAAAGACTTTTTCATAATTAGAAAGCTTCTCCCTTTCACTCCGTCTTCCCCCTCCTGCCTGCTCTGGGTTTTTCTCCTCTGCTACCTTGCCCCAAAACTCCCAAGGCTGTGTTCACAGACTGAGTCAGAAAGGGAACAGAGCTGGTGGTGGTAAAATGGAAGGTGACAGAACAGTCAAGTGATTAAGGCCCCAGGCTTGAGTTGGACAGACCCAGATTTGAACCCAGACTTTTCTACTTCCTTCAGGTGACACCTGGATCAAGAGACATCATATCGCCAAGCCCTGATTTAAACATTTGTAAAATGGCCATAAGAATTGCACCTACCTCACAGGCTGAGATATTACCTATGAAGTTCTTAGCACTTAGTGCCTGGAATGAGGGAACTGATTAATAAGCTCTTGCATAAACTATAATTTGGGGTGAGAAAAGACTCTTCCCTCAGAGTCAGGAAGCAGGGGTTTTATACCTTCTTTGGTCCTGACCACAAATGAGGTACTTAACTCTTAGGGGTCTGGTTTTCCACCCAGGGAACAAAGAGATTAAATTGAGCATAATCAGAGGACAGTGGAGCTGGAAGACCCACTGGGACCCATTCATGGAACAGGTGGAAAAACTGAAGTCTAGAAGAAGTCACTCAGGAGAAAGTGAATGGTAGACCACAGTGTCACAGCCACTTACTCTCTCTACCACACCCAGGCAACACAGTGACCCACGGGCCAGGGGAGCTGAAAGAGCACCTAGCAAATATTTTGAGCTAAAAGAGAAAGAAAATATAACATGTGAAAATGTGGGGATGCAACAAAACAGTACTTGGGGGGAAATGTATAGTACTAAATGCCTGTGTTAGAAAGGAAAACATTTTCAAATTAGTGACCTCAGTTTTAAGAAACCAGAAAAAGAATAGCAAATTAAACCCAAAGTAAGCATCAGAAAAAAAGTGAAGACAATAGCAGTCATTAATGAAATTGAAGACAGATAAGCAATAGAAACCAAAAGCTGGTGCTTTGAGAAGACAAATGAAATGAGAGTGTAGATAGCCAGAAAGATCAGGAAAAAGGATAGAGAAAATCCAAACAATTAATATTAGTAATGAGAGAGGTAACATCACTGTAGAGTATACAGATATTAAAAGAAAAATCAGGAAATATTATGACAATAAATTTGAAAACTTAGATGAAATGGTCAAATTTTTTGAAAGATACAAATTTTGTAAGCTCACTTAAGAAGAAATAGATAACCTGAATAGCCCTTATCTCTTTAACAAGTTGAATTTGTAGTTACAAATCCCTCCCATAAAACTCCAGGACCAGAAAGCTTGTCAGGTACATTCTATCAAACAGTTAAGGAAGATATTTACAAATAATACCTCCCAACTTCTTTTATGAGGCCAGCATCATCCTGATGCCAAAACCTGACAAAGACATCACAAAAAAGGAAAACTACAGACCAATAACCCTCAAGAACATAGTTGTAAAAATTCTTTTTTCTTTTTCTTTTTCTTTTTTTTTTGAGACAGAGTCTCGCTCTGTCACCTAGGCTGGAGTGCAGTGGTGTGATCTCAGCTCACTGCAAGCTCTGACTCCCAGTTCTCGCCATTCTCCTGCCTCAGCCTCCCGAGTAGCTGGGACTACAGGTGCCCACCACCATGCCTAGCTAATTTTTTTGTATTTTTAATAGAGATGGGGTTTCACCGTGTTAGCCAGGATAGTCTGGATCTCCTAACCTTGTGATCCACCCGCCTCGGCCTCCCAAAGTGTTGGGATTACAGGTGTGAGCCACCGCACTCAGCCACATAGTTGTAAAAATTCTAAATGATATTTTAGCAAATAGCAATCAACAATAAATAGAAAAGAGAACACATCACAACCTAGTAGCGATTACCCACAAATGCAAGATTGGTTTAACATTCACAAAATTAAAAAGGAAAGATTATATGGAGAACTCAATAGATACGAAAAAAGCATTTGACAAAATTCAACATTAATTCTTAATGAGAACTCCCAGCAAACCAGGAAGAGAAAAAAACTTTCTCAACCTAACTTTCCCCTTCCCTCCCCTTCCCTTCTCCTGTAGCCTTGCCTTGCTTTGCTTGTCACACGGAGGATCAGAGCTCACTTTGTAAACGTGGTGAGGATGATACCATGGAGGGCGTGAGGATGATACCATGGAGGGCGTGAGGATGATACCACAGAGGGTGTGAGGATGAAGATGCAGGACACTGGGCACTGGAGTCTGGAGAGCGGGAGGAGACTCATCCTTTGAAGGATCGTGAGCATGGCTTGCAGGAAGTGTCGGAGGATGATTCGAAGGTAGATATGACTAGCAAGGTCAGGGGAACCAGGTGCCGGCTGGGGCACCCTTGGCCCTGGGAGAAACTGGTATAACTAGCTCCAGACCTGGGCAGTCCCGTGGCCACACTATCTTGATTCCCAGGGCTCCTGCTCCTGCAGCTGGGCTCCCCTGTCCCCCTGGATGGGTCTCTTTCATCCTGGGTTATTTCAAACGCAAAGCCTAGCTCCATCTCTGGTTTCTAAAATATGTGCGCACGTGAAGCATTTTGAATGCATTTGCTTATTACAAATTTGTGACTGGAGGGGAAGGCATAGACTACACCCCCTCACTGGCTGTTCTACACTTCCCCACGGCCTCCTTCTCTGGAGGAAGCGGCCTTCTATCCCACCTCATGCACACTGCTTCTACCTGCTTCCTGCTACAAAGTCTTTGTGCCAGCTGGGCCTGCACCCTTGGGGTGTTGGCTTTTGTCGCCACATGGGTTCCCACTTTCAGATAAATATTGCATTTTTCTTCCTAAGAAAAATTCTGATGGATGTAAATTTCTTCCTCATGTTCCACAGGTATCCCTGTTTTACAGATGAAGAAACACAGACACAGAAGTCACAGCCAGGGAGAGATTTTGGCAGCAGAAGCTCTATCTGGGGTGTAGCAGTTGAGCCCTCAGTTTCTGCTCAGACGGACCTGGGTCTGATCCCAGCTCCACCACGGGCCAGCTGTGATGGCACCCCCATCACAGGCCATTTGAAGAGTAAATGAGGTGACACATCTTAGGTGCTAGCAAAGTCCCGGCACATAGTAAATGCTCAAGTAAATGCAGCTGCTGTTGTTCTTATTGGCATGCTGACTGCACCTGCAGAGACTGCCTCTGCCCGGGCCCCACCCGCAGACTTTCCTCTCTTTCCTTTCCCTAACATCCGATTCCTATTCCTTTCTGTTTCTATGACCAGATTAAAAGTCACTCCCCTATTTAAAATCCTGCCTGTCAGTCTGGTGAAAAATGTGGAAATGGAATTTAGGAATTAGACAGGTTTGAATGCAAATCTGTTTTCTCCCTTCATTAGCTGGAAGTCCTTAGACAAGTCCCTTAACCAAGCCTCAGTTGACTCACCTGCATAATGAAGACAGCACTCTGCAGCCTGCGGCTTATGGTAAAAACCAAATGAAACAACAGGTGAGAAAAGGGCTTTGCAAATGGCAAATGGCAAACCACTGCTCAAATGCTGGCTTGTTTTCCTTCTCATTTTCGGTGTCCCTTGGTAACCTGAGTGTTTAACCTGTGTTTTCTTTCTTTGGTTTAATGAAGGCCCACTGTGAAGAAATAGCCATGTTGGGGGATAGATCCACCAACCAAGCCTGGAGTTAGGTCCACAGTTCTGAGCTTGAGTCAAGCTCCCCGACAATGCTGTGTGCTCTGGGCCCTGCAGACCTCTGGGCTGCTACTGGCCTTTCTGCCTCTCTGCTCCTCCCTCCCTCTGCTCCCCCACACAGCTCTGCAGCAGCCTCCAAACACCTCTGGCTCTGCTGCTTCTACCCGGAACGCCCCTCCCTCCTCTTGTTCCTCCTCCTCTCTCTCAGGGAAGCCCTCCCTGACCCCAAGACCCAGGCACACACTACACAATTCGCAAAGAATGAGTAGCTTCTCTCCCAGCTTATTTTGTGACTTCCATGAGTTTGGGGACTGTGTCTGTCTGACTTACACTTGTGTCCAGAGTTCTGCATAATGCCTGGCAGAACTCTATCCACTCAACATTGTTCATAAAATCTCTACCCACTCAGTATTGTTCATGGAATCTCTATCCACTCAGTATCATTGGCCACATCACAGCCTTGCTGTGAGACACTAGGCTTGTGTCTATTCCTCTCTGGAACAGAGTTTCCCCCGGCAGTGTAATGAAGGAGCTGGGTTCAATGGCCTCCAGCATCCTCCACTGCTACTCCCCTTCGCTTTGAAGGCAGCTCCTGGACGGTGGAGACAGCTACTGCCAACAGTCTGCTGATGTCAGCAGGACAGGCTTCAGGTGCCCCTGCCTCCCATTCCCTCCTTATAAATAGCTCTACCTGAAAGCACTGGGGTCACTCACCCCTGGGGACAGCCACAGGTAGCCAATTACTCTCAGTGCCTGGAGGGCTGATGGGGAGGGGGTTTCAGGTTTGAGTGGGAACCTTGGCCCTGGAAAGAATCCACTGGCTCGTCTGGGAGAGAAAAATGGAAGGTCATTTCGGTGTCTGCACCAGGCGGGGCCCGTAGCCACCAAACAATCATCTGTGGCCTGAGAGTGGAAGTAGTAGATGGCTCTGTGATTCCAATTATCCTCGGATCATTCAAATGACTATTGGAATGGAGAGCCAGACTGTCCTGTTTGGATAGTGATGTGTGCAGTGACCCCCACCCCACCCCACCACACCACCCACGAGCTATCTCCTCTCCAAGCTCCAGACTGGTCACTGCAGGGCGGCCCCAGGGACTCCCTAAGCTCCCAGCTCCCCATAGGTCTGCTGAGCACGTAGGCCTGAGTTGGTGGGCTCTGGTGGGTGCTCAGTCCATTTGATTGTAGAAGGTCTGGGTGGCAGAAGATCCTACTAGGGCTATGGGGAAAAATCAGGTTCTACTCCAGGGGACCTCAGGCAATCAACCTGAACTCGCCCAGTGCCAGCTTTGTGACTTTGTGATTTTGTCCCACTGAGATGGGAGAATGATAATGTGCACCTGGTAGGTCGGAAGTGAGGGCTATGTAAGGTAATGCCGTGAAATGGCTTGGTGCTTGGCACATGGAGGCCTTCTGTGAGCGGATTAGCTGGTGCTGTGGTGCAGCTATAGGAAGCAACTCAAACTGGCTTAAGCAGAACACAAGGGACATCTCCTGGAACCCCAGGATGACAAGGCAGCCAGCCTCAGAAGGAGACAGGCCCAGGACACAGCAGACCCGGCTTCTCCTTTCTCCATCTGCAGGACAGAAGATAGTGGCCTTCAGGTCCTGAGCATGAATGTCTCCTCCATCTGACAGAACAGCCCAGATAGAACCAGATTCTCTCAGTCCCAGATTTCTGGCAAAGGGACTCCACTTGGTCTGACTTGGATCTGTTTTCTGATTGTCTACTCTGGCTCACTTGCTCTTCTCTAGAAGCACATTAAAAAGGCACAAGCCTGGCCTCTGGGAGGCACCCCAGAAGGTGCTGAGGACTGTGAAGGGGTCAACATGAGCTGGACAGAGCCCCTCCAAAGTTCCAGGCCCTGTGCCAGCTCTGGGCCACCAAGGGAAACCTGGCCTGCGCCCTGTCCTTGAGAAGTTCACACCGGGAAGGGAAGACAGATGAGTGTGATCAGCAGGGCACGGGGAAGGCAGCAGCAAGAGAACCAGGATCCCCAGGCCCCTCCGTGTGCCAGGCTCCACATGCCTGCTTCCTCTATGCCTGCTGGGTAGATGCAATGATCCTCCCGAGAGGCAGAGCCAGCCACACAGCACAGACAGGGCTGGGCCGGGGCTGGACCCCAAGCCTCCAGGCCTGGCTTTGGGATGGTGGTCGGTGGGGCAGCCATTCCATGGCTTCACTCCAGCGAGACCCCATCGAGCCAGGTCTCACACAGCCATGCCAAAGATCTGACATATTCTTAGCTACAATCCTGAGTCTGGGAGAGAAGCAGGAAATGACTCACCCTCTTTCTCCAACATAAACACAACTCTGTGCTATTAATATTTACCCAGGGGCTTCTCCAAGGGCCCCAAACAGCAAAAGGATCCTGGTGAGGGAAGGGTATGAAAGATATGTCGGGTCTGCAGCTGCCTTCAAATGGAGCAGAGAGACTGAGTGCCAGAGTGAAAGGGAGCCTCACAGCTCTCTCCGTCCTCCCCATTTGACTGAGGTCCAGAGAGGACAGGGAGCCAAGAAAATCCAGCAGGGCGGTGGCAGAGGAGGGAGCAGAAGGTGGGAGCACGGGAAGTGGAACGAGCACAGGGCTGTGGGCCCCTGGCCCTCATCTGTCAAATGGGAAAGCAGGAACTGGTTTGAGGATGTTTCCCTGAGATGTCAAATGGCCCCTCTGAGTGTCTGGCAAAGAATAGGTACTGCACAAACTCATCATGGTGAGGGCAAAGTCATGGTGAGGATGCCAGTGGTCTTCCCTGCCCCGACTTCCCAGTGTGCTTTGCACCGCCTCCCAAAACCCTGTTTCTGCTTGGTGACCCTGCCCTGCTCCCCACCCCATCAGTGCATTGGACCAGGAGAAGATACCTGCCCAGGCTTGGCCAATCAGAGTACCTGTGCTACCAATTCTAAATTGAGACAGAGAGCCTGGTTGGGTCTTCTGGTTGTGTGAACTACTGATGCATGCATTTCTGATTCGTGAGAAATGGGAAAAGTAGAGACCTGACCTGAAGTCTTATGAGGTGGGTGGAAGAGAGTCAGTCTGCATTCTGGCTGGTGCTCCTGTCTCCGGTCCGGGTCCCTCCTGAGTTCTGGCTGCATCTGAGAGACCAGGGTCCTTATGCCAAACCCCCTCTTCTCTGCAGCTGAGCAGATTCTGTCACTTGTGACTCAAGCAGCCCTGATTCCCACGAGGAAGAAGAACTTCCTGATCGTCAGAGGGGTCCAGAGCCAGGTGGGCACTGACCTCAGAAGGAAGATCACTGAGGTCCATGGGAGGGCGGGAATCCCGCGGTGCTGGGGCCCAGGCCCTGCACCCTGGTGGCTGGGGTGTCCTAGGGCCTCTCTCCTAATTAACCTCCTCTCCGCTGTTTTCTCCCTCCTGCTCCATGTCCCTTCTTTCCTCATCTCCCACACCCAGCCCCTCCCGAGATCATCCATTCATCCCTTAGGCAGCATCTATAGCCCACTTGTGGCTGTTCATCCACTGGGCTGGCCACCCTGGGGACGCAGAGAGGGACAAGGCCGTGTCCCTGTCCTCAGGGAGCCTCCGGTCTGGCTGGCGGAACAGACACAGAATCAATCACAGCCCAGCCTGGCCAGTGCTGAGATGGGGGAAGATGTGGGAGGGGCTGGGGAGCTAGGGGCAGGCCAGGCCCTGGACATGGAGAAGGGGAGGACTTCTGAGAGGAGGTGGTGTCTATGCTGAGACCTGAAGGAGAAGTCGGGGAGCCAGGGGAAGAGGCTCAGGGGGAGAAGGTTACTGCAGCAGCCCAGCACAGGCAGGGCACTGGCAGAGAGGGGGAGCCTGGTGCCCTTGGAAACGGCAAGCAGTTCTGCTTGGCCAGGGCAGGGTGGGGAGGGTGGGGAGGTGTGGAAAGATGGGGCTGGGGTCCACCTGGGTCAGACCACAGAGGGCATAGGGAGGGCTATGGGAGGAAGTGACCTCTCTGTAAGCATGGAGGAGCGGGTGTTCCAAGAGGATCTGGGCTCCTCAGACCTCCTGAATAGCGAGGAGGGGAGGAGGCTTCTATCTTCCTCCCTCCCTCTGGCCTCCTCTCTCTCTCTCTCTCTCTCCTCTTTAACTCTTACTCCACCTAGATGAACCAGCTCAGATGCCACCCACTCTCCCCTCTCTCTGTCTTTCTCCCCCTCCTCTCCCCTCACTTCTCCTCTTTTGTCCTCTCCTTCGCTTATACTCCCCCTTCCCCCATTTCTCTCCCTCCCTCCTTCCCTCCCCATTCCCCTCCCTCTCTCTGCAGACCCCTCCCCACCTCCTCCCGGCCCCGCCCAGCCGCGCTTGTGAGGTCCTGCAGCGCCACCTTCAGGCCGCGGCCGGGAGCGGTGCCGGTGCGGGGCGCCCCACCAGGAGGAGGTGGCGGAGGTCCCGGGGGCCGCCCCGCCTCGCAGCCTGGGCTCTGCCTGCTCTGCGTCCACGCCAGCATAAGCCCCAGCCGGCTCCGTCTCCCCTAACGACTCTAATTACCAGCCAAGCTCGGCTCCCCAAGGCCCAGGCGCCAGAACTGATGACTTTAATAACAGAATCCCTTCCCTTTCACGGCCTGCTCCGGGGGCCGCTGGCCTGAGGATGCAGCGATCTCTGCTGTCCTGGGAGGGCGGGGTCCCACGGGGGTTCTACACCCTCTTACACATGGGGAGGGGGGGCTCAGCCAGGGCAGTGAGGGGAGAATCGCTTAGGGTGGCCTAAGAGAGCCTGGCGCCGCGCGCTTGTTCATCTATGGCAAAAACCGCAATAACTTTTGCACCAACTTAATATTTGATCGATGATCACTCAGGGACATCACCCTGAACTTAACGGGTCCTGGGACCAGACACCCAGAGATGAAAAGACAGTGGGGTACAGTTCTAGCGCTGGGTGATTGAAGCTACGACACTGGCCTGTGACAATTCCTGCGGGGCCCAGAGAAGGTGCTGGCACCCCGGGGGGGCTATCAGAAGCGTGAGGGAGGGGGCTCTGAACTGGCTTCAGAGTGGGTGGCATCTGGGCCGGTTCATCTAGGTGGAGTAAGAGTTTGCAGGGGAAAGACGATGAGAAGGGCATTCCAGGCAGGCGGCAGTTGCCCAGAGGCGTGGAGGCTGGAAAGAGCAGAGGCTTTCAGAGATGGGGAGTCCTGTGTGGCTGAAAATGGAGGGGAAAGGGGGGGTTAGGCTGGGGGACCATCAGGTGTCAGACTGGAAAGGACTCTGGGTGCTTTTTGCTAGCCCTGTATCTATATTCAGTACTGATACAATATAAGCTAATAGCAACAATCATACAAATTATTATTATTACTATTAATATTATAGCCACTAATACTTATTAAGGGCTTTCTGTCTGCCAGGTGCTCTCTCAAGCACTTTATGTCTATTGACTGAATTAATTTTTATGACAGCCCCATGAGGTAGGCACGATTGGAGAAACAGGCACAGAGACGTTAAATAACTTGTCTAAGATGGCTCAGGTACTGAATGGCAGAGCATCCTCTCTCCAGAGCCAGCTTTCTTTACTTTCACAGCACCCTTGGCCCACCCCCACCCCAAAACTTCCAATTTAATTTTTCTTAGATTCTGTCTCCCAAGGAGAAAAGCACCTCCACCCATTTCCCCAGGGATCAGAGGCAATTTGTAGTTTGGAAGAAAAACCAAAGGGCCTGGAGAAAGCAACATTTAACCCAAAGCCATGATTTGCCCATGCTGGGCTCTCGGGCATTAGCTGGGGACAAGCTGGCTGGATCAGCAGTCTGGGGCTGCCTGTCCTCCAGCATCGAGTCCCCGGGCCTGGCTAAGGTTGCCTCTTTTCCATCCTCACCCCAGGAAGCCTTTGGCATTTCCAGAAAGAGGAACTACTGCCCAGCTACTGCCCCTGGTGGAGGCACTGGCAGATCTGCACTGAAGGTGGGATGCAAAATCTACCTCTTTATAGTGTTGAGAATCCAGCCCCAGGCTCTGCCTCTGAGAGCCCTGGGAAGACAGGGGTTTTCAAGAGCTCGTCACCAGCCTAGAGGTGTTCTTTGGCTGGGCCGAGAATGGGTGTCATCTCGAAATTAGACTTGCAACTATACACCTTTCCCTTAACTGAGCCAGAGCGTTGTTTCTGTTGCAACACTGGGTTGGAGAGAAAGAAATGAGAGAAAATTGACTTGTTTCCAGTAATGCTCCAGAAAGCAAGTGTGGAGTCTGCTTTGTGATTTTGGATTATTTTTTTTTCTTCCTTCCTTTCTATATCTGTGCTTTATCATGACTAGAATAGGGATGATGCCATGTGAGGAGAAATGGAGGTGACAGGACTAGGCATCTGGGCCAGACTAGATCTTCCAGTGGAGAGACCCAGCCAGGCTTGGGGCCTCTGTGATGGCCAGGGAAGTCAAGTCTAGCCTTGGTGAGGACACAGGTGGTGCTGGGCTTTAATGACAGGGAAGAAGGCACAGGATAGAGAGAGGCTCAAGAAGGGCAAGAACAGCCTTGTCTCCTCCCTGCCCCGCCCACTTTATGCTGCAGGTGCAATGGCTGGTCCCTGCTCCTTCTGCAGGCCAGGCCCATCCATGCCCTGCCTCTTTGCACATGCTGCCTCCCTGCCAGGAATGCCCTTCTCCGTTCATCCCTCCAGCCACGTTTTCCCTCCTCCGTGCAGTCTTCTGAGGCTGCTCTCTACAACCCATATACACAACTCATATACACATAGCACTTTTTTTTTTTTTTTGAGACAGAGTCTCGCTCTGTCACCCAGGCTGGAGTGCAGTGGTGCCATCTCGGCTCACTGCAACCTCTGCCTCCTGGGTTCAAGCCATTCTCCTGCCTCAGCCTCCCCAATAGCTGAGACTACAGACGCGTACCATCACGCCCACCTAATTTTTTGTGTGTTTTTAGTAGAGACGAGGTTTCACCATGTTGGCCAGGCTGGTCTTGAACTCCTGACCTCAAGTGATCCACCCGCCTCCGCCTCCCAAAGTACTGAGATTACAAGCGTGAGCCACTACGCCTGGCCTACACATAGCTCTTTAAGATCTTCCCAGCCCCAGCATTCTCACTTGTAGAAACTCCTCCCCCCATCAGATCAAACATAGTAAAATGCCCTAACAGCCCACATTAACTACAGATTATACGCGACTATGCAAAAGCTGAGTTGGAAAGGAAGGTGACCATTTGATAATGTTATACTTTGTAGACATTTGATTAAACATTGATCTATTTCGACTTCACAGCTTCCCTTTTATAATTTGAAGCCAAATAAATTGTTTTCCCAGACCTTCAACATTTTCACAGGCCCTTAAGAGCCCTTAGGTCTTGGCACTGTGCCCAGAACAGAGAGTCTACCGGAGAAACGCTCCCATCAGACTCAGGCTGGGCTATGGCAGGTGGAGTTTGGCTTCTCGGGCTTGTTAGAGGGAGACCGTCTCCTCCAGCGGCCCTGCCCTGAACCCGGGCTGCTTCCTTGATCTAATTAGCATCGCTGAGAATTAAACTGCACACTGGAGCGTGCTCGTGCTCCCCCGAGGGCGTCCCAGAACTAACACTGCTTAAATATGAAATGGTTCCTGCCCTTGGGGCCTGAGTCAAGGAGGCATGAACCAGAAACAACAGTTGTGATTACTAGCTCTGATTAAAGCAGTGTAAGTTATACAGTACAATAAAATAAAACTCTTGCAGCAATAAAATAGTTAACAGTACTCTGAGTTATTTCTCTTTTCTTTGAAGGGAGCACAGGCTGTTTATTTTTTACTCTGTATTCTGATGATTCCGCTTATTCATCCAGGTCATTTACTGATCACCTACTATGCGATAGGCATATACTGGGTGCAGGGAAGAGAAAGAACTACGTCAAGATGCCTACACTGCTGGGGGCTCAGAGTCAGGAGGGGACTGTGGCCGTCCAAGGACAATTCACACAGATAAGCCTACCTTGGGATGGAGCCAAACACACCATGTGCAACAGATTACCTGAGAGGATAATGGGGGGACTAACTCAGATGGGGGTGATGTTAGGAGCTGATATTCAAGTTGAGGACTGAAAAAATGAATTACCTGAAGAGTGGGGACCAGAGTGATCTAGGTAGCAGGAACTGCCTGTGCAAAGGCCCTGGGTGGGAGGCAGTGTATTTGTTGGAGGGACTACAGAAGCCCTGGGGCGATGTGTGGGGAGGGGCAAGCATGGGGAGGAGGCAGCACCCAGCCCTGCAGCGCCTCTTGACTCAAGGCTCCCTGAGGGGCATAGAAGGGTTTTAAGCAAGGAAGTGGCCTGGTCTGATTTGTTGTGTTTAAATGACCCCTAGCTCTTCCAGGAGGTCAGAATGGGAGCAGGGGTCCAGTGAGGAGATGGAGGGGGACGTCCAGGCGGAGCTGATGGCAGCTTGGACCAGAGCAGGAACCGTAGGGGTCTGGGAATGAGGAATTTGTCCACACAACTCCGAGGTTTCTGGCTGAGAAGCCAGGTGGATGGAGCTGCCATTTCCCGAGTGGAGAAGCGGGGAAGGCAGGAGCAGGAGCAGCAGCAGGCTCGAGGCTGAGAGGCCAGCATGGGGCATATGACTCCAGGGCTGCATCCCCAGAGAAAGGGAGGGGCAGCCGGAGCATCCTGAGGGCATGCAGGGAGAAGCTGCTGGAGACCTTGTGTGAGTGTCCTCTCTGGACAGCAGTGTGAGCCTCCTGGGAGAGTGGACAGAGGGTACAGAAAGGATCAGGCTGAGGGGTGGTGACTGCCTTCACCCCCTCCAGCACCCCCCATGTCTGTGGCTTCCAGAGAGGCCCCTGGGGGTGGCTGTGGAGGGGCTCTGGCTGGTGGGAGGGCCTGGGGCTGCTGCGGTTGGTCTGCTGAGCTCTGCTTCTTCCCCACTTTGTCACCTGCCGGCCCTCCGATGGCCGGCCAAGGCCCAACTCTGTCCCATGCTTGGGCTCTGACTCCCAAAATGGCTGGGGCCAGGTTTGTGGAGGGCAGGCTGAGAGCTAAGGTGAAGGGCCACTTACTCCCAGCCCATCTGCAGCTGTAATCCTGGCCTCCCCATGTCCCTGCCCTCAGCTGCCCTAGATATCTCTCAGTGAGTACGGAGATAAACCCTCCAAATCTCCATCCCTCTCTCCCTGCAACATGTCTGCATTCCCAGGGCTACGAGGGGCTGCTGCCCATTGGTTTCATTTGATTTGCTGTGTTTATTTATAAGCTTTCTATTTCTCAAACCTGAATATCTCCCTCAAGCAAGTGAAATCTGCTCTGCCAAGGACTTTTATGAGAAGTTACAAATGACACATGGGAAAGCTAAGAGCAGGTTTATTTTTAAACTCTGGGCTCCGAAAGACACCCAGTCCATCCATCCATCAGCTCCCTCACTCTGGCGGAAACACTGGCTGATGTGCACAATATGCTTGGTCTTGCGCTGGGGGATGAGGGTACAGAGACACCAAGGACTGGACGTCCTGGATGAGCGCACAGTGTGGTTGGGCATGGGGAGGAGGTCGGGGCAGAAATAGGCTATCGCAGCATGGTGGAATCAACAACATTCATTCATTCTTCATTCAATAAATGCACGGATGGCTGTGCGCCAGGCACTCTTCTAGGCATAGAGGCTATGTTGTGAACATAACAAACTATATACACCACTGTCTCATGGCATCCCCAGTCTAGTAGGGAGACAGACGAGAAACAAACCTGCAAGTCCATAACCTGTCAGGGCATGGTCTCCAGGGAAGAAAAAGCAGGAGAAGGGAAGGGATGCAGAGGATGGAGGGTCTGGGACCTTTCCGTGGCGGTAGACCTCTCTGTAGCAGAGACCTGAGCAGAGACCTGAAGGGAGGGAGGGCATAGGTCCTGCAAACATCTGGGGCTTCCAGGAGACGATACAGCAAGTGCAAAGACCCCAGTGTGGGATCGTGCTAGCCATGCTCATGGAACGGCAGTGACTGGGAAATTTAATGATCTTGCTGACAGAGGAGGCACAGGGAGATTTGGGAACTCAGAGGAAGCTCTGCCCTGCTTGGGTGAGGGTGGATGAGCATTCAGGGCATCTTGAAGAATGAATAGGAGTTGGCTACCTGGGGAGTGTATGGAAAAGCATCTCTGAAGAAGAAACAGACACAGGTCACGGAGGAATGAAAGAACCTGGGCGTTTTGGCAGTGGGAGGTGGCAGGAGTGGGGAGGGGAGGGAGTAGGGTAAGGGTGGGGGCAGGAGGGAGCCAGAACAAGGAGGCCCTGCTAGGATGAGAGGAAGGTGCTTCCTTGCTGATCCTTAAACACTGTAGGTTTATTCCTACATCAGGGCCTTTGCACTTGCTGTTCCCTCTGGCTGCAATGCTCTTCCCCAGATATCTGCATAGCTCATTCCTGCATATGCTTTCTAGGCCTCTGCTCAAATGTCACCTTACCCCGATCCCCAACTAAGCACTCTATGTCTGAGCTCTTCCCCACACCTTCTTGCCCTTCCCTGCTCTGTTATTCTCTTAGCTATTATCATCCCTGCAGTGCACATCATGGACATCTCACCTGTTGATTGCCTGTCTTCATCCGGGAGAATGAAAGTTCCAGGAGGGCAGCAATTGTATCTCTTTGATCACTGCTGCATCCCCAAAGGTGATGCAATAGGTATTTGTAGAATGACTGAATGAATGGCCTTGTAAGTCAAGCCAAGGAGCAGGGAGCTTATCCTCAGAGCGCAGGGGAGCTGGCCAAAGCTTTGAAGGAGGGAAGTTATAGGGTCTGATTTAGGAAGATCTCCTGCCCAAATTGAAGGTTTGAGGCTGGGGACCAGTGAGGAGGCTGTGCTGCCCCCTCGGATTTATTAGAAATGCAAAATGCTTGTTCCCCGGTGCCACAAAGAAATAGCACTCAAACATAAATTTAATTTTCTCAGCAAGGCAATTTTTACTTTCTGCAGAAAGGGTGCTCTTCACAGATGGAACAATGGCGAGAGCACAACTGGACAGGGGAGGGGAAGGAGTTCTTATTCCTGACACAGGGCCCTATTGCTGTGTCTTTCCCCTATTGGAGTCACGCGCCCCACGCTGCCTCTCAGCCCCGAGCCTTCCCCACTTCTCCACTCGGGAAATAGCAGCTCCATCCACCCGGCTTCTCAGCCAGAAACCTGGGAGTTTTGTGGACAAATTCCTCATTCCCAGACCCCTACGGTTCCTGCTCTGGTCCAAGCTGCCATCAGCTCTGCCTGGACGTCCCCCTCCATCTCCTCACTGGGCCCCTGCTCCCATTCTGACCTCCTGGAGGAGCTAGGGGTCATTTTAAAAAGAATGGCTAAGGTTGGGGCGCACAGTCTAAGCTAATTCCTGTTGGCTATTTTAAAGAGAGCAGGGGTATGAGCCAGAGTGGCAGGGTAAGTAGTTTGGCGGGAAGGATGGTTAGAAACAGGTAACTTAGGTCAGAGCAGGTGACCAGGGGTGATTCAGGTCAAAGCACGTGACTGGGATGAGTCAGGACAGAGCAGATGACCAGGGGAACAGATGTGAACTACTGATTAAAACTGGTGGAAAAAGTTGTTTACTGAAACTAGAAGCAAGAGGGTAAGAGAACCGGGAAGTTAAGCTTTAAAATGGAGAATCAAAGAATAAGAGAGCTGAACATACTAACATACTGATTCTTTGAAGAGAAACTTGGGGTTCACTATATTTAACAGGTGTGAGCTGATGGCTGTGGACCATGGAAGTGGCAGTGGAGAGGCCAGAAGGGGGTGGAATGTGGAGACCCCAGGAGGTCTTGGCACCTGCTTGGCTGGGGATGTAGGAAGCTGGGCGATATACTGAGTTGCCAACCTCGGAGGCTGTTTGGGAGGCAGGGCAAGCTCAAGGGGTCAGAGGGGTCTAGATTTAGATGGGCTGCCCTAGAGGGCCTGTGGACCTCAGGTAATGCAGCAGGTCCCAGTGATAAAGAAACAGGATGTTGCCTGAACTATGACATGGGGAGGCAAAAGTGACGCTGCATCCAAAGGAGTGAGTGATGGATGGTGGCCCATGGGCATTTCTGCAGAGGGACGGTGGAACTAAAAGTGTTGCTGGTGGTGGTGGAGGGTGGGAAGGTGGAGGCTGATGCTCTGTGTGCATAAGTCCCAGAGCCCAGGTCAGATTGGAGCCGGTAGGCCACACCTTCCACAACCATCAAAAGAGAGAAAGAAACCCAAGGCTGTGTGTAGGGGAATGGGGTCATGGGGAGAGGGTCAGACACAGTTCACAGAACCCCAAGCCATGAGTGAGGTTCTAGGGGGTGGGCTGTTAGGACCAAACCACAAGCACAGAGACTGGGCCAGGGGAAGTCAGTGCTCACTCCTGTGCCACACCTTCGCGGTAGCATCCGTCTGTCCAGCATGGCCTGGCCCTTTTGCTGCCCCATGCGAGGCGGTTGAGGCCAGGAAGGCCCTCCCAGGCAGATCTCAAATCCCATCTGGCCTGGGACCCACCATCTCCACAGATGCAAGACTCTCTGTGCCCTGCTTCCCATCAGTCCCCAGCCCCATGCTGAGCCCAACCTCTCTTTTTGCTGGCATTTCAGAGCTGCAGCCCTTCTTATTTGTGATCAAGTGTTAATTTGGCACTCAGAGAGGCTCTGCTCTGAGTCCAGGTCAGCAGCTCTCAATACAGATGCTCTGCCATCCCTCCCTGGAGAGCTGGCCTGGCCATAGGAGCCAGTCCATAGGGAGGCAGGCGGTCCCAAGCAGGGCTGGGGGCTCATTCCCAGCCCAGCATCAGCCAGAGTGTGGGGGATAGGGCAGGGCCTGTGGCCAGGTCGGGGCTGAGCTCTGGAGGGGACATAGATAGCTCTCAGCTCTGCCCTTCCTGTGCATCTTGGGGAGAACTGCTGGCCCCTTCTGAGTCCTGGTTTCTTATTTGTAACACAGCAAAGCTAAGAGGGCAGTCCTGGCACAGGCCTTATGCACAGCAGGTGTACCATCAGCGGCAGCTGCTCCCAATATCATCGTCATGAGTTACCACAGACACCCCATCTCCCAGACAGTGCCCCAGGATGGAGTTTCTTCCTGCAGAGGCCTAAGGGCACAGAGTGAACCAGAAGCCCTGGCACAGACCTGAGGGTAGGGGCCTGGTGCCTGCGTGGATCTCAGATGGGGAACAGGGTGGGCAGTGGAAGGCCTCACCTGATGGGGGTATTTCCAGATGCCTCCATGTATGGATTTAATCCTCCCAGCTCCTTAAACCACACCCTCCTGTTTCTGTTCAAATGCCTAGGCGAGTGTCTATTTCTAGGAAGGGCTCCCCAGCCAGGGATCAGACATAGCCCAGCCACCCCCATCAGGTACCAAGCACCCTACCTGCCTGTCGTGCTCACCGTCTCCAGGACACTGATCTCATTTGCAGATGAAGGAACTGATCTCATTTGCAGATGAAGGAACAGAGAGGTAATGTGTCCAAGGTCACACCGCCAAGGAGGAGCTATGCCAGGTGCAGAGGCCTCCTGGCTGCTGAGTGGTAGGGCTGTGCTGGCCCCCTTGGGCTGGCCCAGGGCCTGTGCCTTGACCACATGGCTCCCCAGCCCCTCATGGTGGTCACCCACTGGACCCACCCAGGCCCTGCAAGATTGGCCTCATCATCCCCACTTTACAGATGAGGAAACTGAGGCTGCAGGGTAAGGAAGAGGCTCATGCAAGACCTGCGCCTAGAACCAGGATTCCAACCCAAGTCTGCTGCCCACAAAACCCAAGCCCTACATGGATCAACAGGGCACAGTCGGGAGGAGCCAGGGCAGGGTTGGCTTCCAGAACAGAAGCAGGGGTGGGCCAGGGAGGAGCCAGGGGTCTGGTGCCAGGACTCCCACCTAGGATGGTGGGAAGTGCCTTCATAGTCCCCCAGGTCAGCCCTGACTTCCCCACAGACGCCTCTCCCTGACATACAAAGCCCCAGCCCCGGCCAGGCCTTTCAGGGCCTTGGCCACTCCTGCCTCCATCCCAAGTAGCTGGGCCTCACTTGGCTGTATTAACACTGAGCTGCGGCCAAGGGGGAGCCCCGCATGTCCCGTTGGCCTTCAGGGCACAGCAGTGCTCAGTCCCAGTTTCCGGACCCTCTGCCCATGTGGCCAAGTCTGGTCCTGGATCCTGAAACCCACAGCTGCCAACTGTCACCTTGCGTCCAAGCTGCTCTTGCAGCACTTGGGCCCAGCCAGCCTTCCCTGGCCCTGTCTGCTCCCTGGAGCAACTGGCCACCCTGAGTGCCCTGCAGGGGCCCAGCGGTCCTTCTGCCCAACAGCCCCCCTTCCTCTCCCCCATCTTTCTTTGGGAACGGTCCCTCCCAACCCTGCTCAGTTCATGCAGTTCTGTGGGGTGGGTCTGGGCACAGCCAGGCGGGCCTTCCTTCCATCCCCTGTGCAGTGAGTGGATCAGTGACGGGCAGGCAACCCGAGCTGAGTCAGGGAAACCCATTGCTGGGATTTCTGCTATGGTGGTGAGGAAGGAGGCTCTCTAGGTCTTCTGCAGCAGATGGAGTGGCTGGGATGAGGCTTGGAGGACCCCACAGGGAGGTGTCGGGCATCTGAGTCCTTGTGGAATCAGGTAAGAACCTGGATCTCTCTTACACACACACACACACACACACACACGCACACACACACACACACACACACACACACACATGCTCCTTCTATGTGGACCAGCACTGACAGCACATCCTGCCGGGAGCAGTGGGGGATAAAACAATGAATTCCTAGCAGACCTCCTGAGCTGTGGAGGCATGGAGGGGTGGGGAGGGGAGAGGCAGGGAGGTTAGGGAAGGGAAGGAGATACTGGTGACCACCCCTGCCCCTGGCACCCCGGGTTATGATGCCCCACAATGGTCCAGCCCCTAATGCCATGATAGGGCTGGGCTGGGCCATTGCGGGACATCATGGTCAGAGGGAAGCAGGGGCAGTGGATCCAGGACCTTCTCTTTCTGCTCTGCCAGCCACAGCTACCATATGGGGCAGCCCTGGGCACTCACCTGGGGCCTGCAGGGTTGGGTCCTGGACGCCTGCCTGCTCCTCGCCCCAGTCTGAGGAGGAAGACACCCAGGCTGTGGAAGCCACAGAAGGGCGTTAGGCAGGAAAGCAACGTGATCGACCTGTGTTTGGGACAATCACTCTGCCTGGTGATCCAGCTGTCCCCAGCATTTGTGCAGCCCAGGGCATGAGAACCAGTGGAGGGCATGGGCCAGTGACTGAGCATGGAACTTCACAAGTCACATCTGTTAAATCCAACATGCTCCATTCCCCTGCTTGTACTGACACATTTTCAAAAGGGCCTGGAAGGCCAGGTTTGAATTTGGAATTCCTGGACCCCTCAGCATTCTGCTTTGCACTGTGGTGGTGTTGAGAAATTGGGACTGACCAACTTGGGACCAGTCCCCCTCCCCTCCCCTCCCATGGCCCAGTCCCACATCACAGTCTCACACATTATGTGACACCCCACCCTGCAGGTCGATGCTGTATTTGTATACCTCCTCACACACAGCTGCACGTCTGGGGTCAACAGCTGGGCACAATGGCACAGAGAAGAGGCCATGTGGGTCCTGGGAGCAGGCAGGGATTCTGGGGCTGGGGTATCTGGAGCTAGAGCAGGGCCCCCTAAACCTGGGCCCCCCTCACTCAGATCTCAGGGTGTGCAGGGTGGATGGATTGCAGGGCAGGTGGGGCTGAGGAACAAGTAGGAGGGCGTGGGGATGTCTGGGCCAGAGATCACCAGTTCTGAGATGGGGGAGAGGGAGGGGGTAAGGGAGAGGGGAATCCCAGGGGTGTAAGGTGTTAAAACTGGCAGGACCGGATGGTGCCCACGGTGTGGGGAGAGGGAGAGTTGGGGATGCCTGCTTATTTCCGACTGGGGTGAGCAGGGGCTGTAGGGCACAAGGCTGAGGAGCAATTTGATGGGAAAATGAAGGTTTGGTTTTGAATGTGTCCAGTGGAAAGAGGTTGTGGGCCACCCAGAGGGCAGCAGCTGCAGGAGCCCCAGATAGAAAGGTCCAGAAGGCAGGGTGGCCTGTCTGGCTCAGCACTGCATGGGTAGCACTTAGAGTCCCTTGATATGGACCACAGCTCAGGAAGAGCTTCAACAGGAGGTGTTCTGGGCATGGGTAGTGGGGACCCATGGATGTAGATGAGCTCATACAGAAGAAGAAGAGAGGAGGGTGCTGGGGAGAACTGGGACACTGGCTGCATTAGTCCATTTTCATGCTGCTAATAAAGACATACCCAAGACTGGGAATAAAGAGATGTTTAATAAATGTACAGTTCCACATGGCTGGGGAGGGCTCACAATCAATGGTGGAAGGCAAGGCGGAGCAAGTCACGTCTTACATGGAAGGAGGCAGGCAAACAGAGAGAGCTTGTACAGGGGAACTCCTCTTTATAAAACCATCAGATCTCCTGAGACTTATTCACTATCATGAGAACAGCACGAGAAAGAACCACCCCTATCATTCAATTACCTCCCACTGGGTCCCTCCCACAACACATGGGAATTGTGGGAGCTACAATTCAAGATGAGATTCGGGTGGGGACACAGAGCCAAACCATATCAGGCTGCTGTAACAGAAACAGACTGGTGGCTTAAACAACAGAGATTTATTTTCTCACAGTTTTGGAGCCTGGAATTCCAAGATCAGGGTGCCAGTGTGATCGGGTTCTGGCGAGGCCTTTCTTCCTGGCTGTGAATGGCCATCGTCTTGCTGTGTCTTCACATGACGGCGAGAGAGAGAGAGCAAGCTTGCTGGAGTCTCTTCTTACAAGGGCACCAACCCTACCACGAGGCCCCACCCTCATGACCTCATCTGAATCTAATTTCCTCCCAAAGTCCCCATCTCCAAATGCCATCACATTTTGAGTTAGGGATCAGCACATGAATTTGAGGGGACACAGTCAGTCCACAGGGAGCACCAAGCTATAAGGAATGAGGAGAGAAAGAGAGGTGAGAAAGTGGGCCTGAAGGGGAGGAACAAGTCTGGGATAGGGTGGCAGAGTCTTGGAAGGACACCAGATGTGGGTATAGCATGGGGATGAGGGCAGAAGTTTCTTCCCCAACAACCCTAAGAAGTCAGACTGTGATAACTGCTATCCAGTCATTTAAACAAGGTGCACTGGAGGCTTGTGCCACAGGACATTGATTTCCACTGAAATTGAAAGAAGCCTCATAGAAGTTCTCCTTTTAACCTTGGCTTCCAAGAAGGTGGGGTAGGATTGCAACTGGCAGAACTGGGGAGATAGATGGGGTGGTGGGTGAGGTGGGACATGCAGGGCACAGGGCTGGAATGCTGAGGGAGCTGGTACGTCCAGGGCAAAGGGTTCAGTAGACAGGGCTAGATTTGGGCAAAGGGCACTAAACAGAAGGTGTCAGGCCAGTGGAAATAAAAAGAGAAGATCTGAAGAGGAACAAGAGACAGAAATATTCGGATGCTCACGATGTAGCAGGCGGCCCAGGGCAGGGACAGGTGCTGCTGCTGGGGAAATGAAGAGATGGTCTTGGGATTACATAGCCTTGGATTCTCCAGCCTTAGATGAGAAGCAAGATGAAATCATACTATCTGAAAGCCTTAGCATCTAATGAAGTCTTACAATTTTAGGATACTTGAATCATAGACTCTCAGAGACTTTGGTTTTTAAAATCACAGAAATGTTGAATCTTAAATCTCTTTAGTGTCAAAATCTTGACCACCTCCTCCTCCTGGGTATGATAATATGCATTCTGCGCTCAGCGCCTTGCACACATGTCATTTAGTCCCCATGACAACCCTGGGAAGTAGGAATGATTATTTTGCCTGATTTTCCAGATGAAGAAACTGCGGCTCAGTGAGGGTAAGTCAGTTGCTGAAGGTCAGGCACCTGGTGGGCAGCATGGCTGGGGCTCGGCCCAGATCTCTGGGCCTCCGAAGCCCATGGTCTCAGCCTCTCTGCTACTTTGCCTCCTGCAAAACCTCTCTGCTGAGTGCTCACCCATCCTCCATGCACGCCTCCAGTGACGGGGAGCTCATTACCTTCCCCAGGGCCGCCCATCCATCCCAACTTTTGACACATCCCTTCTTCTCACCCATTGGCCCCCAATCTGTCTTGGGAGACCACGCAGAAGACAAACCTTTTTCCAGGACTCCTGGAGGGGGAGGGCGCAGCTACCTGCTGTGGGGCAGCGACTATACAGGAGAGAGGATTTGAATTAGAAAAGCCCCGATGCCGCCCATCCTGGCGAGAGATGGGGTTTAACCCGAGGGAGGGAAGCAACCAGAGACACCAAAGCAGGTCCCCCAGAAGACAAATGGTGATGGAGCCCAGAACATGGGGAAGGCAGCCAGACAGGGGGAGCAGAGAACGCAGGAATGCGATTCTCCTCCACAGAGTTATGGCGCCTAATGAGATTGGAATCGTAAGTGCTTTTATTTCCTTAGCTCTTTTCTCTGAAAACTTATTCTGCAAATTGTGCCTTGTGTCATCCATCCTCCCAGATGGCTTTTTAAGTGAGGCTGTTTGTTAAGTGGGAGAAGAACAGGGAGATTAATCAGGAGAAGCGAACAGGAAGAGCTGCTGCAAATCCTGGGGAAGGAGACACAACCGGACCAGCAAGTGCGATGAGAGTGTGCAAAGAGAGCCCGTGGTGGGCCGGTGGGGTGGGGGGGGCGGTCCCCAGAAGACATGGAGCACGTCCTTCCAGGATGAGACCATTGGGCACAGCTGAGTCCACATGACCAGGGTTCCAGTGACAGTCACTGACAGATACTGGGCTCCAGTGTGAGCCCTGGGTGAGCACTTCGGAGTCACTGGTCCCAAACGTCCTCCCACATCCCCAAGCAGCAGGTACTATGACTGTCCTCAGTCACCAGAAGAGCCCAGAGAGGGGCAGGCACTTGTCCAAGGTCACATAGGTGGTGAGAGGCTGACTAGGGATTGGAGCCCAGGGCTGCCGGACTCCAGAGCCCCAGCTCTTGACAGGGATGTCACAACACACAGCTGCAGACTGACAGTCAGAACCTCTGGGCTTAGGGCCCAGATATCTGTGTCCTTAAAAGTCCCACCCTATTCTCGGATGCCTTAAAGCACACCCAAGGTTGAGAACCCCTGAGCTGCCCCAACCACCTCATTGTACAGACAGAGACACGGACAGCCTGAGCAGGGACAGCACTTGCACAGGGTCACAACGCAGGTCAGAGGGCCTAGAACCGTCGCCCCATTCCCTGGTGAATTCTCAAGGTGAGTGTTCGCAGAGCCGATCGCAGCGGAGGCATGAAGAGGTAGAACTGTCCCGGGCTGCACATCTGCGGCCTCCCAGAGGGAGGGCCTGATGGATTCTGTTTCCACCTCTGCATCTCGAGGCCTCTTTTTCCCCCTCCTTCCTCGGGGCAGCCCCCCTTCTCCTCCCAAGCCATGCTTTGGGGGCCAAGATGGATCACAGCTGTCCCTGCCCACAGATGGTGCGTCCACCACCCTGTGGCAGCCAGTGTAGCCCGGGATGCCCCGCAGCGGCTCAGTGAGTGATTAGGGAAGGGAAGGAGGAAGGGCCTGGGGAGGGGCATGGCTCCGGGACAGGGGGCACAGTGGAAAGCACAGCATCTTCCTCTTGAGGCAGCCCCAGACCAGACCCTGCACTGTGTCCTCCCAAGCTTCAAATCACACATGTCATACCAACCAGGAAGGGACATGGGCGTCTCAAACAATGAATAATGCTGGAAACTGGCAGCCACCTTATACTTGCAAATGGGGTCTTTGCCTCCCCAGAGAAAGGGGTGTCTGCCCCATTTCTTAGGCCATGGCAGAGACCTTCAAGGTGGTGGGAGAAGGTAGGCCAGGGCAGCCTCCCTTCACAGTGAGCCTGGGTCCTCCTAGGTGGACTCTTACCTGACTGGTTGCTGTGATCCCATTTCTGTCTCTAAAATGGTTAATTCTCTGGCCCAGGCTGGCCCCGCCCACAAGCTGGGATGGCCCCACCCACAAGCTGGGATGGCCCTGCCCACAGGAGGCCGTCCTCATCCTGCAGACTTTCAAGCCACTGACCTCCTTCCCTTCCCCAGCCTCTTCTACAGCCTGAAATCCTCCTCAGGGTTCCCCCTTTGGCTGTTGAAGATCTCCCTAGGGTTCCTGGGGACCGGCTTTATTGTGACATTATGTTTGAAAGCAACGCTGGCCATGAGCACCTCCCCAGACCTCTGTGAGCACAGTGTCCTTGTCTGTAGCTGGGCATCCTCACTCCCCCTCACAGGGCCTGAGCCCCTGGGGGTCACAGGAAGCCCACAGGGGTCCCGGAAAGCCCCGACACTGCACCTTGTCCAGGAGGCCCAGCAAGCAGGAGTTACTTTGTGAACCCACATGGACTCGGACCTGGACATCTGAGGAGCAAACGTCCTGTCCTGTGGGGCTCCAGTCCCTCAGGCAGGTGGGCCTCTGCTACCACCCCCTGGTCCCTCTCATGCTGGGGCCTCCTGACTACGATTTTGAACCTGGAGCACAGGGGCAGGTGAGATGGGACCAGCTGCCCTGACTCCCTGCTGAGGGCTGCCGGCCCCAGCCTGCTTCTTGTGTTTGTCATGAGGGTTCCTGGGCACCCGGGATCTGATTTGACGATCACATTGCTGGGACTCAGGGGCCCCAGGCCAGGGCTCTGGCTGGGGGGACAGGCAACCCCATGGGCCACTGGGGGTGCCAGTCAGGGTGACTTTAGGAAAGCGAGCGGATGATAAAGACCCCCAGCCTGGGATGCATTCCATTTCTTGATACCCTGATCCCACCTGCAGGAATCTGTCCTGGAGGTGGTCAGGGACTCAGGCAAACGGTGCCCAAAACATTCATGGCAGCCTGACGTGTATGAGAACAGCCCCGGAAGCCTCCGAGCATCTGACAGTCGAGGATGGTGAGGTAAATGATGGTGCATCGAAATGAGGTACAATTACGAAGCTATTAACATCATGCTTTTGAGGAATTTTCAATGATGTGGGAAAAAGCTGATGATAGAATGGTAAGGGAAGAGAAATGAGTATACAGTATGGTCCCAATTACATAATATTTCAGTACTGCAGAGAGAAAGATCAGATGATGATGATGACGATGATAATGATGATGATGGTGATCATCAGAGCTGCTATTTATTGAGCACTTGCTGTGTGCCTGCCTGTACTTCCGTTAGCTCATTTCACCTCATCACGCCCCTGCGCGATGGCAGTGGCAATAACTCCACTTTACAGATGAGGAGAATGAGGCACAGAGAGGAGGTTGGTGACCTGCCAGGGAGCACACAGCTGAGACAGGACTTGAGCCCAGGTCTGTGTACCTCTGAAACTCACTCTGTCCTGTCTACCACTCTCCGCGTCTGCCAGGCCGCAGGCAGGGTGTGAGGCCGGCTGTGAAAGGCGCCCTGAGAACTCCTTGGAGGACGTGCTCATTGCAGGTTGCTCCTCGTTTCTGAGATTGATGTCACTACCAGCCCCGTCTTATGGACAATGACTCAGGGACCTGGTGATGGTGATGGGGCTGGACCAGGTTCATGGGCTGTACCTCCCATGTTCCTTTCTCTATTGTGAGTGGCTGGATGGGGCTAGAGAGGGGCAGGCACAGCCATGGACCACCACAGCATC
This sequence comes from Homo sapiens, assembly GCF_000001405.40. Lineage (NCBI taxonomy): Eukaryota > Metazoa > Chordata > Mammalia > Primates > Hominidae > Homo > Homo sapiens. Next base: position 30,103,318 of record NC_000001.11, read on the forward strand.
GTACCCAGGAGGAGGATGTGGTCACTGGGCCTTCACAGCACTGCTCTGGGCATGGGCGACTGAGGTAGAGAGCTCACCCTGGCACCCCATCTGCTCAGGCTGACCCAGCCCCTCCTGGGGCGGCCCCACTGACTCTCCTTGGCTGGTTCTGTCCCTGCAGAGTCTTTGAGTTTATCCAAGTGTCTCTCCTATGAGTGTACCCAGCAGGTGAAGGCCGGGCAGGAGGAGGGGAGGCAGCCAGCCAGTGGCTGCCTTGTAACCCACTATAGGCTCATTAGAGCTGCTTTTGAATCCATCACCTTCAGAGAAAGGCAAACTCCAGGGCAGGAGTACCCAGGAACCATCTATCACTCAAGGGCTCCTCACATGGGGAAGCTGCAGTTCTGTCCCTGATTTGCTGATGAATCATTGAAATTTTCCTCAACACTGATTTCTGCCAAACACCCCACCAGCACCCCTACCCCGAACTCATAGTACCTGCATCTCCTGTGCCAAATCTAGGCCTTGCAGAGAACCAGCAGCGGGGCTGGCAGGCTCTCTATCCAGGCCAATGTGCCCATTCACACACTGAAAAGGAATCACATAAGGCCACCTGGATCTCATCCTCCCCACCCTGAATGTGTGAATATCTCATCGGCTGCTTGTGTTGAGAGATCAAGATAGTCTCTGAAATGTGGTACAGCAGCCCGAGCAGAGGAGTGAGGCTTCCTGGAAGGAGGAGGGGGGATTAGTACACGATTCTCCGCACCTGCCCACTCACTGCTGCCCCTTGTTGCCCACACCTCCCTCCTGGAGGGGCTTGGAACCGAATGCTTTAATATGGCCATGCCGGTGCTTTGGCTACTGGAGACTGCTGCCCGGGCCTCTTTCCCAGCACAATCTCGGTTGCAGCCAGACCCCTTCTGGTGGCTGTTAGCTGGTACCGTGTGCATTCACAGACGCTGGAAACCGGGGGGAAGTCAATGAACGCTGTGTGTGTGCATTTTTCCTTTACAAAGCATATTTTCTCCCCATTCTTTGCAGCCCTGAAAGTCTCAGGAAATGAGAAAGTTGAGTCACAAAGAAGTAAGCTGTTAACCAGCTAGTTAAGAAACATGAGCTGAGCTCAAGGTTGATTGATACCAAATCACTCCCTTCCCCTGAGAGAGAGGAGCCTAAAATCTCTGGGCAGAGCAGACAGAAAGGGGTGCATACGTGGGGCCTGGTAAAAGGTTTTAAGAACAAATATATCCCCTCAGCCAGTGCCTGTGTTCCCTCAACCTAACGGCTCGCAAATGGCTGCAGGGGTGGAGTGAACACCCTTTGCCTTAAGACGGTTCATCCCACCAGGGACCATTTCAATTCTGTGAAAATCCCATCTCACAATGAGCTGAAGTCCATTAGTTCATTCATTCATTCATTCATTCATTCATTCATTCATTCATTCATTTGTCTGAGCACCTACTATGTGCCAGGCACTGTTCTAGGTCCCAGGCACACAGCAGGAGGTGCAATAGACATGTCTTTGTGGAGTCAACATTTTACTGAGGAGAAACATGATAAACAAATAGCTACACAGCCAGTCGGGCAGTGAAAATGGCAGAGGGGAACAAAATACAGGGTAAAGGGAATGGGGGTGCTGGGTGGAGGGGCAGTTGATATTGGGTCATTCTGGCCACCACTGGGGAATGTCCACTCCATCACCTGGCCCATGACCACTCAGCTCACTTGTGCTAGGAAGTTTCCAGCCCCAGACTCTGAGGGTCTTGCTCATCTCCTAGAGTCTCCCAGCATCCCACAGGGCCTCCTCGGCCAGCAGATGGGAATGGCTGGGACTTCCTAGGGCCACTGTGGCCACTACAAATGGCACAGAGTTTGCAAAGCCAGCCTGGTCTTTGCCTTCCCTTCCCTTGGCCACACTGTGCTGAGCATTTTAAAGTTAATTGGTTTTGCAATTAGAAGATGCAGAGAACAGGTGATGCAATTAATTTTACATAAATGTGTTCAGGAATAAAGTGTTCCAACCTTCCGTGCATCCTTAAATGGAGCCTGTGTTTACTTCCAAATGGGGTGCCTTCTAGGCATATCAATCTGGGCAGCTCACACAGCTCAACAGGGAGAACTCCTCATCCTGCCTGCCTTTTGGGGGTGCTTTGTGAGGTTCACTGGGTCTTGCCAAACATTATGGTTTAGGAGTAAGTGTAATTTTTTCTGTCTGGTAGATGAAGACACAGAGGGTCAGGGAGGTGCAATGGCTCACCCAAGGTACAATGCAAAGCTGAGACAGAGGAGAGAATGGATGCACGAGAATCTCTGGCTTCCAGACTCATTGCTCTTCCTGCCTCACTGCATATTTAGAAGCCAAATATGCCAAAGTGCATGAGTTTAAAAGACAGAATTGAACCCCTTTTGCCAAATGAAACAGCCTGGTGTATTTTAGTGTCCACTCTATGCCGGCTCCACGCTTGGCCCTCAATTTACATCGCCGTGTCCAGCCCTCACGATAGCCTTCCAGTGGGGCATCATGTTCCAGTTTTACAGATGAAGAAACTGAGGGTCAGAGAAGAGCAGTGGCCTGCTGCAGCCCACACAGCAGGAGTTTAGAGCCTCAGTGTCCTTCGGCTTCTGGACAAGGCGTTCTTTCCACCCCGTGTGTGGTTAAGGAAAGAGCTTCTGAAAGCAATGAGAGACAGAGAGAGGGGGAACATAGGCCTTTTTCAAATACATGAAGCACATCTTTTAACACTCCTGCCCCATGTGTCTGAAAAGCATTTTCAACACTGACTAGAAACACTTTACATCTTTCTCATATTTGATCCCTGCAACAGCCCTCCAAGATAGAGGTCATCACTCCCGTTTTACAGAGGAGGAAACTGAGACACAGGGAAATGCCGTAAACACACTCAGAATCATACAGCAAGCAAGTGAAGGAGGCAGAATTCAGACCCAGGTTCCGCTGACTCTAAAGCCCCTTTAGCACGGGGCAGCGCCTGCTCTGTGGTCCCCCTGGTGGATGGCGGGTTCCCAACACCACTGACAACACCATGTCCTCAGGGAGAGGCGTGAGGTGGGGCTGACCAGCCAGTCTGTTGTGTCTGCTGGTTGCAGGCTTAGATCCTGCCTCTGCTGCTTTCCAGCCATGGGCGTGGAACAAGTTACTCACCTCTCTGGGCCTCAGATTTCTCAGCTGTAAAATGGGCTTATAATAGGATCTTGTAAATACAGGATGCTTTGGAGGATTCAGTGAGGAGGCAAAGTTCTATATTGGCCCTTTCTGGTTTTCTTTGTGGCACACACCTCATTCTATCAGTTTCACTGTTTGTTTATTGAAGGGTTTTTGCCTCCATCTACTTCACCCAAGCAACAGCCCCATGAAGGTATGGGCCACATCTGTCTCAATCCCAGCTGTCTTTTCAAGTCACAGCATGGGGCCAGACACATAGTAGGTATGAAAAGTTGCAAGTGGATGCATTCATAAACTGGCACACAGTAGACGAGGTGCTTAGTTAGTGGACATTTATTAGTGTTCTCTGAATCCTCTAGAGGCCCACATACACATGTCCCTCGGTGACCCTCTCCTCGCCTCTCCAAAGCCTCTCCTGACTCCATGCTCCCCCACCCCTTAGCCCTCCCACCTCTGCCTCCCGTGGTGTTTCTCTGCAGCATGACCCTGAGGTTACTGGCCAAAATGAAGCCTCCCAGAATGTCCACATTTAGATGAGCACTGTCCTTCAAAAGCATCCCCAGGATGCTGGCATTGCCCCAGCCTCTGGCAGGTACTCTCTGAGCTTGTTCACGTGTCACAGAAGTAAATCCTGAACAATCCCGAGCCCCTTTGTCAGGCTGTCCTCTACTCTCTTGGTGCCCCCTGTAGCCCAGGGCCACACAAGGGGTCCTTGACCTTGCCTGGCCTTGAGTTTGGGTCTGTGTGACTTGGCAATCTTCCCATCCACTTGGCCAGACCCACCTCCTTATGATCTGGGGCCACACCTGGGGCCTCCATGTGCAGCCCAAACCTTACACCAACGGCCCCTGGAAGGCGCCCCCTTCTCTTCTCCAAAAGGAAACACCTCAGGACCCTTCCCTACCCTCCCCGACCTGGCTCCCAGTCAGGCTCCTCACACCCAGGCATCTCTCCCAATGTCAGGATCTCTCTGACCATGTAGGGCCCTGAACTGAATGTTGCAGGCTTTTAATCAGCACCCACTGTGTACTGGGCACCTGCCCTCAAATTGCCCAGCCCTGTGGGGAGCATCCTCTCCTTATTCCTGACATGCCCCAAAATCTCGGGCTCTTAGCAGCCCATGGAGGTCGAACAAGGTCTTTCTCTTCCTCAAACACATCCCACACACTCCTGCCTCAGGGCCTTTGCACTTGCTCTTCCCTCTGCCTGGAGGGCTTCGCCCCCACATGTTAGAATGACTTGGATGCTGTTCGGGTGTTTGGGCAAGACTATGGTTGAGGTCCCTGAAATCCTGAAATCCTGTGATTCTGACATTTGACTCTCAGTTTTATAATTTGAGATCTTATTAAAGTCAACATTCTAAGACTCAGTACTATAAGATTCTAGGTTTTGATGACTGTGAGGCTCTAAAATGCTGCCATTCTCAGAAGTGTCCTCTGTCACTGGAGAAACTCCCATCAGAATACGCCATCATCTTAGAGTGGGTTTTTTCCTCTTGCTCGGTCCCCCAGCCAAACCCACAATACACCATGTGAGTGTGGCACTTTGTGGCTTAGACACTGTCAATTCTTTCTGCATTTCTGCGGTCACACACTCACCTTTTCTGCATTTCTGCCGTCACACACTCACCTTATCTGCATGCTCCAGTCTCTGGAATAAATATTAGATGATGATGAATCTTTGGAGATTCTTTTATATGTAGAAGAGCTAAGTCTTCCAGGCAGGTTTTTGATACAGGGCACTAGTCCTGCACTCTCTACAAGGTGCGACTTGTGATTGGGCCACAGGGAGCCCAGAAGAGGGAATAGAGTTCCTCTTTCTTGCCCCAGGGACTGAGAAGAGCCCTTTGTCTGCAGAGGCTTTAGGCTGGGGTGGGGACAAGGTAGGAGGGTGACTATCTCCCAGCGGGTCTGAAAGGAAAGAACTAGCTCATGCTTTTTTGCTGTTGATATTACTACCCTCGTTTTAAGGAAGAGGAAACTGCAACCCACAGAGGTTTTGTGAATTGCCTGAAGCCACAGACATAGCTAGAAGGTAGCAGTCCAGTAACTTGCAACCCTCTCCTGGCTACAAAGATCCTGCAAAGCTTGCCGGAGTTAATAGAGCAGCAAGTGGGAAGCTGAAGCCCCATTCATTGATGTCGACTGCACCTTCATACAAACCTCCTCCTTTATGCCACCCGAGTGCATCCTTCCCGTTTAATCAATCTGTAATGGTAATTAAATGTGGATTGATTATGAAAGGATGCATTTAGTCACAGGTAACGCACAATAACACAGGAGGTAAATCAGGGTTCTTATCAATACAATAACCTTGCAAGCATCCCGTGCAGTTCATTGCACCCTCTGCACTTGGAGCCTTACATGATATTGCCCAGCTCTTACTGATTAGTAAATCTTTACAAATTGATGGCCAGGTGAAATTAATTGGCCACAGTGAGGGGTATGTTTGACCCAGGCCACGAGTTCCACGACCCAGTTGAGACAAGGCGGGAATGGGGGAATATTCTGTAAAGGCGGCACCAGCCACCTGGACCCGCTGTGGGGTCATTGTCCCTCAAATGGCTCTCACGGGGTCTCCATCCCAGCCAGGGTCTAGGCCATCATTCTCACTCACCTGCACTGTAGCCTCAACTTCAACTCTTGCTGGCTCTAATCCACCCTCTGCCCTGGCCATGTGATGATCATTCTAGAAGGCCAGCCTCACTGAAAACCTGCCATGGCTCCCTATTTTCTAAAAATGCCTTAGCCTCGCATTCAAGACCCTCAGGATGGGGGCAGGTTTCTCTCTCCATCCCATCCCCCTCCAGGGACCACCCTTGGTTCTGGCCACACTGAGCAATGGTCCCAGCTTCCTGAACTAAGTTCTCTCAAGCCTATGGACTTTTGTACATCCTTCTCTTTTGCCCTCCCATTGTTATCCCTCTGGCCACTTCACACTCACTATTAAAACTCAAGTGGGAGCTAAGCTATAGGGAGGCAAAGGCATAAGAATGACACAATGGGCTTTGGGGACTCAGGGGGAAAGTTTGGAAAGGGGGTGAGGGATAAAAGACTACAAACTGGGTGCAGTATATACTGCTTGGGTGATGGGTACACCAAAATCTCACAAATCACCACTAAAGAACTTACTCATGTAACTAAACACCAACGTGTTCCCTAATAACCTATGGAAATAAAAAAAATTAAAAAATAGGTAAAATAAAATACTTACTTAACAACAACAACAACAACAAAACAATTTGCTTTACCTCCTCCAGGAAGTCTTCCCAGATAGACCCAGACTGTTTGTTCTGATAGGGCCTGAATTAGTTACCTATTCCTACAATAAAACTGCCTAACAAAACCCAGAGAACCTCACTGGCTAACGTCAGAACACATTTATTGCTCACTCCTCTGGGGTCAGCTGTAGGTTGGCTAGGCAGCCCTGCTGCTCTTGGTTGGATTCACTTACATGTCTGGGGGGTTCCATCATTGCTGGCTGATGTTGGCTGACCTTGGCTGATGTAGTTGAATTTGGATGGGGTGACGGGAGAAACTTGGCTCTGCTCCGTGTGCCTCTCATCCTTCAGAAGGCTGTCCAGCCATGTTCTCACAGCAGTGGTAAGATGCAAGAGCCAGCCCAAGTGCGTCACAGCAGCGTCACGTCTGCCGACATCCCATTGCCCGAAGCAAGTCATATGGGGGAACCATCTGTTTTCTGCCAAGGGACAGGACATGTTGCCCGCCCACAGCACTGCAAAGTTACACGGAAAAGGGTGGTTGCTCGAGAGGGGATGAGAAATTGGGGACCAGTGATGCACATTTTCACAGAGCAAAACGCATTTGTCTTTCAAAGCTCTCAGGACTCCACGATGTAGTAACCTTTAAAAATTTTTAACAGCTTTATTGTGTTACAACAATAAACCGTATATATTTAACATACTGATTTGATGAGTTTGACATATGTACCTACTCGTGAAATCACCATCACAGTCCAGGTAACAGACATACACATCACCCCCAGGTGAGTCCCCTGCCCCTCGGTCAGCCCCCCTCCCATCCTCCCATCACTCACCACCATGCCTGCCTCCTCTGCCCCAGACAAAAATTCATCTGCTTTCCATGACTATCAGTTAGTTTTCATTTTCTAGAATTGTATCTGCTGGAATCATACACTATGTTCTCTTACTTGTCTGGCTTCTTCCACTCCACATAATTACACTGAGATTCCTCTAGGTGATATGTATCAACATTTCCTTTCTTTTTATTACTGAAAAATGTTCATTGTATGGATGAATCACATTTTGTTCCTCCATGCACCTGTTGATGAGTATTTGGATCATTTCCAGTTTGTGGCTATAAATAAAGCTGCTATGAACATTTGTGCACAAATGTGTGCATGGACATATGTCTTCTCTCACAGGTAAACACTTTGGAGCAGAATGACCAGATCATATGGTGGCGTGTGTTCAACTTTCTAAGAAACTGCCAAGCTGTTTCCCAAGGTGGCTTTGCACTCCGCATTCCCGAAAAGAGCCCCAGCCACTCCTCATCCCTCCAGCCCCTGGTGCAGGCAGTTGCCCTTTTATCCTGGGCGGGTGAAGTGACATCCCGCTGTGGTTTTCTTTGGTCCGTCCCGATAACTAACGACGTTGAGCATCTTTTCATGTGCTTACTTCTCACCCTAGCTCTTCATTGGTGATGCGTCTGCTCAGAGGATAATCTGTCATAATTAGGGTCTTCGTTTTATTATGGTTGAGTTTTGAGGGTTATCTATGTGCTCTGGGCATATCTTTACCAGATATGTATTTGGCAAATATTTTCTCCGAGTCTGTGGCTTGCCCTGGGTGAGATTTTTTTTATTTTTAACACATTGATCAATCAATGATTGGCAAGAGCTTCACTGAGAAGGCCCGAGCTGACAGAATGAGTCAGGGTCCAAGCCATTCCCTCCACAAAAATAATCACAAAATAATAATAATAATAATAATAATAGCAAGCAGAGAGGCTTGTGAAGACTCATCAAATCCGTCCTCCTGTCGCCGGTGGCCTGGACTCTATAGAGAAGTCATCCTAAAAATCGGGATCGCCGTGGGGAGGGGAGTGGCGGGGGGAGGTGGATTAGGTCCAGAAAAGCGCACACTCCGGGACCTCGCACAGCATCATTTTGCTGATGCAAGATCGCCCTCTTATGGCCACGGTTCCTCCAGCCACTGAGCTCTGCCCCTCTCTGGGGCTCTGTGAGGCACTGGAAGACAGATAAATGGAAACATTTGTTTTGGCTCCCAAGTTTCTGATGAATACAAGTGTTTTCATTCGCTGGGCAAATATCTCAGTGGAGATGGATGAAAATAAAACTGCGACTGGGGGAGTTGATTCCCGCTTCCCTGGATGAGGCTGCTAAGGGAGGGGAGGTCAGAGGTGGGGCTGGAAGAGAAGCTTGTGTACATGCAGGGCAGAACCCCCATGTCCCCAGGGCCAAGGGCTTCCTGAGGGGCCCAGGCTTTCATGTGCACATCACGGGCCCTCAGCCCGAAACCCCTGAGACGTGGGGTTCCTGGCTGAGAATGCCTAGGAGTGGCCAGTTCTTAGCACCTGCTGCTCCTAGGTCCGGCTCTCACCTGAATCCTCCAAACTCACTGTGTCTGGCCTCCTGCAACCACTGGCCTTTCTCTGCCCCATATTACCCAAGGCTAGGAAGCCTACCAGCCTCCTCCATTTCCTGCAGGACCACAAAGAGGAGGCTGCGACCCACCACTGACATTCCAGAAGCCTAGGTCAAAGGGCAGGGGACCGCAGCACCAAAAAAACAAGACAGACAGATGTTCCTGCCTGGGGTTCCAGAGATCTCCCTGGCTGGCCTCTCCCTTCTGTGGCCCTGACCTGCTGCTCTGGTGTTGATCTACCCTCCTAGGCTCTCTCCACCATCCCCTTAAATGTCAGATCCCCCTCATACTCCCGGCTCTCGTGCCATCACGCCCCAACCCTGACTTCCTGTTGCTGAGTACAAGGCACTGAGTCCTGCCCTCTGCATGTTCCTAAAGGCCCAGGAAAAGAGTCACCTGGCTCAGTTCTTGGTGACACCATTGTAAGCAGCATGAAGAAGCCCTGCAATGCGGTGCTCAGGAGCCTGGCCCTGAAGCCCACGTGCAAATGTCCACTGCACCAACTATGACAACTTCTTTGATTGCTGTGTGCTTCAGTTTCCCCATGTATAAAGGGGAAATTATAGTTTATACTTCATAGAGTTTTCTAGAGGGTTGCATGATTTGAAACCTTTACTGGGTTTAGAATAGTACTTCACACATAGTAAATGCTCAGTTAGTGTTAATACACACTCCTACCTACTCGCCCCACAAACAGCTGGCTCTAAGTTGAATCCTGGAGACTGGCCTCCTTTTTCTTTTTTCTTTTCTTTTCTTTTTCTTTTTTTTTTTTTTTTTGAGATGGAGTCTCACTCCGTTGCCCAGGCTGAAGTGCAGTGGCGCGATCTCGGCTCACTGCAAGCTCCATCTCCTGGGTTCACGCCATTCTCCTGCCTCAGCCTCCCGAATAGCTGGGACTACAGGCGCCCGCCACCACGCCCGGCTATTTTTTTGGATTTTTTAGTAGAGACGGGGTTTCACCATGTTAGCCAGCATGGTCTCGATCTCCTGACCTCGTGATCTGCCTGCCTCGCCCTGGCCTCCTTTTTCTTTAAGTGGATGATGTGAGTGGGAAGGGGTGCAGAGGATGAATATTTGCTCTTCCAGCCTAGAAAGCTCCAGAGGTCCAGGGAGGAAGGAGTTGTAACTTCTGTGTATACGAAGGACTCCCTGCAACACCCTCTGAGGACTGACTGCTGGGGCTGGGCCATGATGAACTGGTGGAGGCATGAAGGAGAGGAGAGGAGGGAAGACAAGGGGCAGGCAGGCAGGGGGTCCCATAGCTGGGACTGTGTTCTTTAGAGGTTTGAATCTTTACAAATCCTGCAGAGCTCTGGAAATCGTCAGCAATGGAGCAGATAGAGGTAATTCATTCACTCACTCATTCTTTCCTGTGTTTATTCAACAAACACTTCCTTGAGCATCTATTGTATGTCAGGCCCTGGCTTAACACTGAGAAGGCAGCAGGCGAACAAGACAGAAGCAATTTCTGACTTCAGGAAACTTACAGTCTAGGAGGAAGACAGACATCGAACAATGAAGAACAGATTTGACTATTTCATTAAGGGGTCTGTGTCCCATCATGTCAGGGGCAGGAGAGGAAGGAAGAAAGTGGCTTTTCAGTGGTGATACAAAAGGAGAGAGTGTTCTAGATAAAGTGTGGGGAGAGATGGGAAGAAGGAACATCAGGTCAAGGACCAGCATGTACAAAGGCCTAGAGGTGAGAAGAAGCATGATTCTTTCTCCGGAGGAACTGCGTGGAGACGTGGGTGGCTGAAGGCTGGTGACCAATGGGGCAAGGGCTAGGATGAAGCCAGAGAGGTTGGCATGTTGAGGTCCCAGGGGGCCAGTCATATGACTGCTTTTCATCCAGAGAGTAGAGGGTGCTAACTGAAGGGCGGTGATGGAAGGCCAGATGACCCTGGGTTGGGAGGGACTTGGGCCAATTCTTATGTGAAACAGTGGGGGTGACTCAACCTCCTTGATGATGTGATCACCAAACCTGTCACAAAACCCAAGCCTCAGAGACCCCTGGAACAGGAGTTCCAGAGACACCAGTGAGATTCATGCCTCCCTAAAATTCCAGCCATGAGGTCCTGATCCCATGACCCGCAGCACAGATGCATGAGAAACATTCTTATGAAATTGATAACATGTGAATTACTAAGAGCAACTTGGTAAACCCATGGATCTCTTGGGATATTGTTTCCCCTGCCCATTTGGTTTGTCTTCAGAGATTTGGATGAGCTGGGATGTGGGAGACGAGACTCCAAAATCACTGTGCCTCTGCAGAAAGATTTATTACCACATATGACAGAGGAACAGAGTAGGCACGTGCTTGCAGGCTCACACCTCCTAACACTGGGTGCAGACGCTCAGGAAAGCCCAGCCAATTCTGTGAATGTTCATTCACCGATCACACTGATTTTTAAAGGCCAGGAGAACACAAGTTCTGGGTGGTGGTAACTGGTGTTTTGAGAACAATGGCTGAATACGTTTGAGGAACACAACATGCAAAACACAGTGTCCTGAACACTTAGAGATGTTCTGCATTAAGAAAACTCTGCAGAGGTTGCAAAGAAAGTTCCAGAGCAGGGCCGGGCATGGTGGCTCATGCCTGTAATCCCAGCACTTTGGGAGGCCCAGGCAGATGGATCACGACGTCAGGAGTTCAAGACTAGCCTGGCCAAGATGGTGAAACCTCGACTCTACTAAAAATACAAAAATTAGCCGGGCATGGTGGTGTGCACCTGTAATCCCAGCTACTAGGGAGGCTGAGGCAGAGAATTGCTTGAACCCAGGAGGCGGAGGTTGCAGTGAGCCGAGATCATACCATTGCACTCCAGCCTGGGTGACAGAGTGAAACTCTGTCTCAAAAAAAAAGAAAGAAAGTTCCAGAGCAGAAACTAAAATTGGCTCTCACAATCCTTTCATTAAAAAGGGAAAGTTGAACCAAAAGTAAAAACAACACATTTCATGGTAAATGGCCTTTCCAACAAAGGACACATGGCTACTTGACACTGACAGCTACAGCTACAGTCACCTTATTCTTCTAATTTCATTGTGAGCCCATCACAATTTCTTTCATTTTATGTATTTATTATTTTAGAGACAGGGTCTCATTCTGTAGCCCAGGCTGGAGTGCAGTGGTGCAATCATGGCTTACTGCAGCCTTGAAGTCCTAGGTTCAAGAGATTCTCCTACTCTCGCTTCCAGGTAGCTGGGACCACAGGTGTGCACCATCGCACCCTACTAACTTTTTTATTTTTTGTAGAGATGGAGATTTTGCTGTGTTGCTCAGGCTGGTCTCGAACTCCTGGCCTCAAGCAATCCTCCTGCCTTGGCCTCCCAAAGTGTTGGGATTAAAGGCATGAGCCACCGCGCCCAGCCCATCCGTCACAATTTCATCCCAGACTGCCATGGCATTCATTGGGGTAAGCCTGTTCATTGGCCCCAGTCAGGACTGGAGAAACTCATTCACTGGCCCCTTCAGAGCATCAGGGGCCTAGTGTGAGGTCTTTATTAACAAAGCTTAATTTTCCTGCTCTCCACCAAGGTCCATACCTCCTGCTGTGGTCTGAATGTTAGTGTTCCCCCAAAATCACATGTTGAAATCTCATGCCCCCAGATGATGGTATTAGGAGGTGGGGCCTTTGAGAGGTGACTAAGTCATGGAGATGGCGCTCATGAATGGGGTTTGTGCCATGGCAGCCCTTGCCGGCCCCACCCCCATCTCCCCTCCACTGAGAAAACTTCAGCCCATTATGACATGGACTCCACAGTGACAGCCTCACAGTCTCTCTCTTTTTTTTTTTTTTTTTTTTTTTGAGACAGAGTCTTGCTGTTTCCCAGGCTGGAGTGCAATGGCATGATCTCAGTTCACTGCAGCCTCTGCTTCCTGGCTTCAAGCTAGTCTCATGCCTCAGCCTCCCGAGGAGCTGGGATTACAGGTGCACACTACCACACCTGGCTAATTTTTGTATTTTTAGTAGAGACGGGGTTTCACTATGTTGGCCAGGCTGGTCTCAAACTCCTTACCACAGGTGATCCACCTGCCTCAGCCTCTCAAAGTGCTGGGATTACAGGTGTGAGCCACTGTGCCCAGCTCCATCTACCTCTCTTATCAAAGGGACCTCAGAGAGCTCCCTTGTCCCTTCCCTTCAGCCGTGTCAGGACACGGCAAGAAGGTGCCATCTCTGCATCAGAAAGCCGTCCCCCACCAGATGCCAAATCTGCCAGCACTTTGATCCTGGATGTTTCAGCCTCCAGAACTGTGACAATTACATTTCTGTTGTTGATAAACTACTCAATTTATGGTATTTTGTTATAGCAGCCCAAACAGACTAAGACAACTTCTATTTAAATTTGCCCCTCCCTTGTCTGTCCCAGACTTGAAATTCTGGGCCCAGCCAGCACTCCAGGCCTAAAATCCGTGGGCTAAGGTAGAGCTGGGAGAGTATCGGCTGCAGGTCAGAAGAGTGAGTCCTAGCCACTGCACTGCCACCAATGTACTGTGTAACCCTGCCAGATCATGTACCCACAGTGGGCCTCAATTTCACCAGCTGTACATGAGGGGGTTGGACGAGATGATCCCCTAGTTCCTCCCTCCTTTGGTGGTCCAAGAATCCATAAGTCTGTATGGGAAAGCTGTGCCCAGATAGTCATAGGAAATTGGTGCTAGGTCTGTTATGATGGTCTCTCCTCGGGAGGTGAGAAAGGAGAATAAACCTCGGTCAGATTATGAACTGTGAACATCACAATCAGAAACGGAAAGACACAAGCTCATGCTGGTCACCGCTGGCCTGGGCCAGGGAGCTTTAGTTCCCAGTGTGAGCTCAGCAAGATGAAGTCCTGACCAAAGCAAACGTGCCCGTCCTCTGATATGTGGGTCACAGGATCAACTAAGCCAGTGAGAAAGAATGAAGCCCCTCCTTGGTGACAGAGCCTTGGGGGACATGGACCAGTAAGGAGGGGCTGACACCTGATGACGGGAGAGTGGATGTGGGAATGGGGCAGCAAATGTCACCATCACTGGCATTAATGGTCATTGTCATCGTCATCATGATTAGAGTACAGCTAAGAATTATCAGGAGCCTCCTATGCACCAGCCTCCTTCTCCAGAGCTCTTCGTAAAACAGTAAGACCAGTTAGTATCTACTGTGTGCTGAGGCTAGGGGAGTCACAGGTGTTGTCATTAGCTTTCACAGCAACCCTACCTGCTACAAGGTCAGTTTAATCATTCCCATTTTATAGATGAGGATACCGAGACTCAGAGAAATTGGGAAACTTACTCAGGGTCTCACAGCCAGGAAGTAGTTGAGCCAGCATGCACTCTGTGGGCCCAGCAGCATCAGGACAGCTCTGCCCACCCTCACCCCTCAGATGGAGACCGGGTCAGCTGAGGTGGACTGAAGTCAGGTATGGTCACCTAAGCCAGGATGTCAGAGCCCAGGGGCGGTGCTAGATTGCAGGTGAATCATCTCCCTCCGATTGTGGAGATTCCTCAGGGTCACCCACATAAGTCCAGTTGAGTTTGGCCATCCCAGCCCAGCTGCCAAGCAAGAGGCAGGAATTAGGTTCACTCTGAACAATAACATTGTGTTTACCTGCTCACGATCCTCTCACCACATCTAACATTCTTTAACTTTTCCTTTGGAAACTGTGCCTCTCGCCTACCACATACTCTTTGTCTAGGTTCTTTGACCAGGACAGAGCCCAGCCCTGCAGCACTGGCGCTAAGGATAAACATGTGTCTCAGGCCTGGCCAATCAGTGACTTCCATTCCACTGAATTTAGTGATTGGCTCAGAGATGGGCATGTGATCCAGGTTAATCCAATCAGAGTTTGCCCTTGGACTTGCAGAAAATAGCATAAAAGAGGCTCTTTCTTTCCTTTCCTTATGGTTGCTAAGCTGGTAGAATATAAGACTGGCATTGCAGGTGCCCATTGTAGGAGGAGACTGTCTAAAAAGAAAGCCGACACAGATAGACAAATCTCTGAAAGATGGAGTAAAATAGAAAAAGAGAGATGGTCAGGGCAGACAGAACATGAGCCTCAGAAGATAGCGACCCTTGTCTGTTTTGCTTTCTACTGTACACCTGCCTGCACAGACTAGGTACAACTGCTTGAGCCCCTGGATCAAGGCACACTTGAAGCCAGCAGTCTCCCAGATGTTCCAGTTTCATGAACCAATGCATTTCTTTTTCTGTTTGGGTCAGTTTGAGATGTCTTTCTGTCACCCGTAAACCAATGAATGAGTCCCAGTTCTGCTCTGTAGCCACCACCAGAAAACATAGTACCTGACATATAATAGATGCCAGGTAAACATTTGGGCAATGAAGGGAAAAAGAATGAATGAGCCTGGCCATTTCTCCCTCTCTGCTTCCCACCCACTGCACACAAGCTGCAGACAGCCTAATGGGGACCATGGCTCTGGGAATTAAAACTTGCTGAAGGATCAACTTTTTCCCCATCAGCAGCAGCATCTGCCCACTGGGCCCTTGGAGGAGGACAGCAGGGCTCAGGGAGGTGGTTGCATTTCTGTGCAGAAACACCAACCCCAGGAGATATCGGAAATGGGCTCAGAGCTGCAGAGATGAGGACTGGGACCCTGTTCCCCTGGCCAGTGGACACTGGCGTGGAAGGACAGTAACAGTAACTCCACACATGTCCACCGAGGTTTACACAATGTGTCCACACAGAATGGATGAGCCCATTGGAGGAGGCGGCACTGAAATCCTGGCTCTTTGTCCTAAATTTTCTATTGATTCATAATATTTGTACGTATTTACGGAGTACATGTGAGATTTTGATACTCTGCCATTTACCAGCTGTGTGGTCTTGGGCAAACCATGTCTCCTCCTTGGAGCTGGGGTTTCTCATCTGCGGAGTGACCCAGCTCACAGGACCGTGGTGAGGAGTCACTGGGATAAGAATTCAACTTTGTGACTGGCACATCGTAAATCCATAGCCAGTACCCAAGTGTTATTAGCCCCACTGTAGAGGCACAGACACAGGGACTTACAGGTGGCCGGTGGCCCGCCTGGGGGGCTGCAGTGGGGAAAAGCATGGTCTGAAGCCAGAGCCCTGTGACTCCCAGGCCAGTGCTCCATCCACTGCATCCTGGGCTCTCAGGAGGAGGTCAAGAGGGGACTGCCTGGTATCTCCCCAGGGGAGCAGAGATCCCAGAATCCCCACATTCTTCCAGGGATCCAGCTTCCTGAACATGTGTCATCAGGTGGGCCCCAGGATGCCCAGAAGGGTGGCCACTCTGCTGAGGACACCGAGGGCAGGTGTCCTTGGAGGGGAGCTGAGCCAGAACATCATTCCTCACATTCCCACTGTGCCTTAACTAAACTCTGCCTTAATTTCCGTTACCACAGAATGCATGCGTGCATGCTTGTATGAACGAGTGAATTCAAATACATCATTCTATCTGGAGGAAATGGAGTCTCAGAGAAGTCAAACGATTTGCCCAAGATCAAACATTCTGGTAGGCCAGAGGAAGCTCAAACCCCAGCCTCTGCCACTAAGGTCCATGCTCCTCCCTAGCCCTACACTGCCCTGCAGAGCTTGGGTCAGGAGTTACGAAAGGAAGAGGCCAGCATGGGCTGGAGGCATCAGGGAGGGCTTCCTGAAGGAGGGGGAGCCCAATCTGGGTCCTGAAGAACACACTGGAGAGGAATAGCATGCAGGGAGGGAGGCACAGCCCACAGTTTGCTGCCCCCAAATCTTTAGGACTCAGGCCTGGATTTCTCCACCAGGAGGGTCAAGGTCTTCCTGGAACAGGCTCCCCAAGACCCTCTCCTCAGAGCAGGTGGAGCTGCATCCAGGCAGGATGGGAGGCAGCTCCCAGGTAGGGGGTGGTGTGTCGGGTAGAGCAGGAGCTGCTGGGAACCTCCTGTTCACTTGGTTCCCGGCCCAGGTGTGCTGGAATGGGAGCGGCACCCTTGCCCGTCTTCCGTAAGGGGGACTGTGGTCTCACAAGAGCCTCTGATGAGGCCATTAGACCACATTCCATCAGCCAGTCAGCCCCACCAGCCACACAGACAATTGCTGCAAAGCGCCTCATCAGCTGAGAACTGTGTAACCAAAGGGCCCTGAGATTTCCATTGCAAATTCCCCATGTGAGCCGCAGCTTGCAAAGGTAAGAATCCCCCCATTATGTCCACAATTGGGACAATTAGTCCATTTCTCTTTCCTGTTCCTGTAATGAGCCTGCAGAAGCAAAACAACATCAGGCGGGTATGAAAATACACATCAGCTCAGCTGCAGAGGGGTATTCTTAAGACTATTTTGGGAGCCAGATGCCTGTGTGCGTGGGAGAGGCATCCGTCCTCTGCACAGATCAGCTTTCCAGATGTAGGCCCAGGAAGCTGAGCCGGCAATTCTTTGAAACCTCGAGTCTTTTCCCTCTTGTCTCCCCTCACTCCCTTTGGCTGGCATTTGGTAATGCCAATGAAACGCAGACCCTGAGGTTGGCACCAGCGATTTGGAGATGGCCGAATGCCTCCCTAAATATTGTGGCCTAGGCACCTCGCTTGCCTGACCCTAGTACCAGCCATCCGCCTGAGTCATAGTCCCCACCCTGGGAGGGACTCTGAAACCTGCAGTGCCACCATTCTGTATGTAACACATGTGTTGACCACCTACTATGGGACAACCACTGTGTTAGGGGAATCAACAGTAAGCAAAACTGCCACGGTCCCTCCTGGAGCTCAGTCTAGAGGAGACAGAGACTAATCTAATCTAGAATCACACGAAGCAGCGTAAAATGATAGGTGCTCCAAAGGAGAGGCTCAGCATGCGTGAGAGCACTTGAAGAGGGGATTTCAAGGCAGGCCAGGAGGGCATCCCTGAGGATGTGATCCCCTCGGCTGCCATCTGAACAACGAAGCAGAGTTATCAGGTGAGCTTGGAGCTCAGAGAGAGTGTTCAGACCAGGCAATAGCACATGAAAAGGCCCAGCGGCTGGAGGGCTCTTGGCAACCACAAAGAAGTTCAAGGCCTGTGTGGCTAAAAGGCAGGGAGTGGGTGGGAGCCTGCAGAAAGAGCAGGACCCAAGACTGTGCAAGGGTCTCAAATGCCACTTTAAGGATTTGAGTCTTCATCCCAACAGCAAGGAGACAGTGGAGGGCAAAGAGGAAGCAAGGTTGATGTGATCAGATCTGTGTTTCCAAATCAACCCTTAAGCCACAGCACAGTGGACCAAGATGGAGACAGTGTTGGACAGTGTGATCTGAAGGTAGGAGCATTGTGGCTCATCCTAGAGGGAGAAGGACAGCTTCCGGGAAAGAGGGGACGGGAATGATGAGTGTCGGCATCTGTGGGGCGTTCATTTAGCTATTTGACACGTCATTATTGAGCACCAACTGTATGCTTGATCCCGTATTCAGTGAGGGAGTGACAGGATAAATAAGAACAACAAAGTCATTGTCCGCAAGGATCTTACAAGGGGAAGCAGATATTTCCCTGATGTTTCAGGAAGGGCCAGCTCACTGAGAAATGTCTGGGCTGCTGTGATAATCAGCTCTTATTGGATGAGAGAGAAAAGACCAGCCAGGGATGTTTGGATATGAACCAATCACCCCAAATAAATCAAGGGGACTTGAGGAAAGGACACAGGACAGAGTCAGGCCCTCCAGGACTGAGAGTCACCCAAGCCTGTCTCCCCCTCCTTCCCTGTGCAACCCCCTGGATGGTGCCCTTCAAGGTGGGCTCCCACAACAATTCATTTTGCATCGTGGGTCAATATTTCCCAGAGCAGGAACCTGAGTGGGCTCAACTTGGCTGATTGCACAACAGGAGGCTCCCAGGAACTCTGCAATGTTAGCTTCCCCTTCCCCACTTTGCAAATGAGCAAATACAACATCAGAGAGGTGAAGACATTTCCCAAAGAGCTACTAAGTAACAATGTCCTGGTGTCCAGGCTGGTGATGACATGTGGGAGCCCCATCATGAGCATGGAGGAAGCCATTCATCCCGACCTTTACTTTGATGACAAGGACAAGCTCCACCTGACGGCAGGCACTGCTGAAGCAATAACCCTAGCAATACCCATTTAGAGCCTCCTGGGTACCAGGCACAGGCTCTAAGCCCTTCTATCTACTGATTTACTTCATTTTCACAATAACACTTTGGAGCATATTCCAGTTATATGTTGCCACTGTGATGGTGTGCTGCAACCATGAGAATGAGTAGCTTCAATCAATGGGTACTGATTGAGTTCCCAACTCTTTGAGTGGGCTGGACAATTCTGCTGCATTGGTCAAGCACTCTCCGTCTTCTGAAGTCAGCTATTACCTCATCTGTGTGTTGGCTTTGCTGATGTTGCCTGGCTTTCTCTCCTATCTGAGGGCCTTGTGTAGTCTTTGATTATCCAGCAAGATGGCCTCAGGTTGTTTAAACAGAGATGTCAAATTTCCAAATGGGGGAGTCCCTTGAGGTACAGGCTTCAAATCGACACCTACACATGCAACATAGTCTATTGGCCAAAGCAAGTCACAGGACCGTGCATACTGAGGCAGTAGTAAAGAAACGCCACCTCTTCATAGCGGAAGTCATATGCAAAGATGGGTAGGCTACTGGGGTAGGCATCATTATAATCAAGCTACTCTCCAGACGAGAGCACTGAAGATCAGAGAGATGCAGTGGCTTGCTCAAGACCACACAGCTACCAAGGGGGCATGGGTGAGTTTTGTGCCCAGGTCTGTGCTCTTCTCCATGGCTCTGCTGCTTCTTGAAAGCTGTGAGCAAACTACAGACAGAGAAATCCAGGGCTGGGAGAACCTCGAGCTTCCAGGATCCTGAGCAGGAGACTCCTGGGGTTAAGGGAGACCCTGAAGCCCTAGGGAGGACTCTGGCAGCTGGAGGAGAAGGGCCTTCCTCTCCCAGAGGGGCAGAGGGCCACCTGAGCAAGTGTCAGAGCTTGGACATTAGGCCCAGCTCTGTTGGCAAAAGGTGAGTCTGGATTAAACTCATTCATTCATTCATTCTCCCATTTATCCATTCATCCACTCAGTAAACAACCTTGGAAGAGAATCCTCTTGACATATTCTGCCCTGGCATTGTCTTCTACTGGTCATGCCCATTTATTCTTTAACAGTCAGTTCAAATGTCTCCTCCAGGAAGCCCTCCCTGATATGCAGAGTTAGTGCCCCTTTCCTCTCCTGCCCACACACTTTGTGTTTTTGCTGCATCCTGGCTGGGAGGGAAGGAGGGAGTCTGGATTGTCACTGCTGATTTATGTGCCACTGTCCACTCCCAGGGTCCTGTGAGAGAGCCAGTCTTGGGCAGGCCAGGGTCCCACCTTAATCACCTCCTCTGTCTTCCCCAGGGACTGCAGGTTCCAGGAGAACAGTGTAGAGCTCTGTGCATCTCAGGGACTGTGGCTTGTTGGGGTCTAGAACACTGCAGGTCACAAAGCAGAATCTAAAATACTGGATGGAAGAAAGAAGGGAAGGAAGGAAAGAAGAGTTAGAGAGAGAGAAAAGGGAGAAGGAAAGAAAGAGAGGGGCCTTGCTTCCTAGGCGTAGCATGAGGGAAGGAGACAGAGAAGAAAATCGCAAATTTGGAGGTTGTGAGAGGTGAGGGAAGCAGAAACACTCGAACATTAAAAATGGTCACATCGTGACCTCTGACATTTTGCTCAATCAGGAACAAATCACTTAGTACTGCAGGTAGATCTGAGAGCTACTCAGAGTTTGCTCTCAGAAGAGCTTTCTGGAATGAAACATTTCTCCCGGGGCCTGCCTCATGCTGAGCCACATCCAGCCCAATTCCATGGGTCAGAGAGAAATTTTTTCCAGTACCTCTGCCTGGGCAAAAGAGCAGAGGTCCTGATCTGAGGCTGGGTTTGGGTGGCTGCTCCATCCAGCATGTGACCTTGGACGAGTCACTCAAACACCCAGAGGACCCGGACAGTGGGAGTCTCTCCCTTCCTTTCTTGCTTCTCCTCCACACCCTCCCTGGCCTCAGGCCATCTTTAGGGTGGGGTCCTATCCTCTTCCTGGAAGTCATCTAGACTGCCCGTCCTCTAGACTGGAAGGTTGAAAGCCAGGCTAGAAGGTCAGGCCAGCTGGGCTCAATCCAAGCTGCCCTCCATTCTAGGTCCTTGCTGCCCCAGAAGGTGACAGCAGCATCCACATCAGTGGGGAGATGTAGGCTCTTGTGCCCCACCCCGGACCTCAGGTGAGCCTGACTCTGCACTTAACACACACCTGAGGTGCTGGGTGCATACTTTAAAGTGTGAGGAGCCCTGGTCCAGCTGGTGGGGGAGACAGAGCTGTCAGAGGCCTGCAGGAGGGCTGCAGGGACAACCAGGCCTGCTTCTCCCCAGAGGGACCCAGCGACTGCCAGGGTGACTTTGACACGCACAGACACATCTCCACATGGGAAAGAGCAAAAACTAAGACAAACACACTTCCTGGCTCTGTGACTTGGCCCCATCACCCCACCTCTCTGGGGTCACAGTTCCCTCCCCTGTAAAATGGGGATAATAACAGCCCCTTATCCCAATTATCCTAAGGGTGGAGGGAAGTAATTTGCATAAAGCTGGGAGTGGCGAGGCCTGGTGGGGCCTGCCCCTCTGTCCTCTCTGCAGGAACCTCCTCTGCCCTACATCTCCCTCCTTCTCTGGGGCACTTCCCAGCCTCCCTCTCAAGTTTCCTTCCTGCCAACCAGGACTTCCCCAAATCTGGCATTGGTTTTTCATCATCATCTCTTTTCCTTCCTGGTCCTTTTCACGGCATGGAATTATTTGGTTGTTCATTTGCTCATTTTGCTTGGCTGCTTCTGCAGTCAAGAGCCTCGTGGTGGCAAGGACCTTGTGGGTCTCAGTCACAGTGTGTCCCCATCCTTAGCACAGAGTTTGGCACATAGAGGAGCCTGATCAATACCTGCTGGATGGAGGGATGAGGAGTGGGGCTGGGCCGTATCAGTCAGGATGGTGAAGTGCATAACAAACAGCCCCCACATCCCAGTGGCTTCACCCAGGAAGAGTTGATTTCTCTCCCAGGCAAAGCCCAGGTGGCTGCTGCTGGCCTGGGGCGTTTCCTCCAGGGGGTGGCTCTTCTGAGTAGTGATGCAGGGATCCAGACTCCTTGATCTGGGATGACATCATCAACATGCATGGCCTCCAGGGGAATCAAGGAAGGAGAAGTGAGTGAGGAGCAGGTGTCCAGATGCTTAACCACCTCGGCCAGAGGTGTCCACATCATTTCCACCCACATTCCACTGGCCAGAGTTAACGGTGGCCCCACCTAGATGCAGTGGGGCTGGGCCAAGTCATCCCTGGCTGGGCAGCCCCTGCCCAGCACTGGCCCTGCGCTGTGAAAGGGGAGTGTAAGGCCCTGGACAGCAAGCCTGTCTCTGCCCCTCTGCGGTGGTGATGGACGATGCCCTGTCACCCTGGGCCTCCTCCTGAGGCCCCTGCTTTCCTTTCTCTGAGCCTCTGGCTGACAGGATGTCTGGTCAGGAGGGGAGCGGGGAAGGGTTCCCAGGGCTGCCTCCACACTGGGCTCAGAGATGGGGGAAGATCTGGGCCATTCCAGCTGATTGTGTTCAGAACCTTCTGTGTCTGCCAGGCTGCTAAGTTGGTGCCATCTGCCTGCATTCCCAGCACCAAAGCCCTGGCATAAACAAGTTTTATTTTATGGTTCTTAAAGAAAGTTTAGGCAGAGGTGGGGAGAGAGGGGAGGGGGGCCTCAGAATGATCTAGTTCTCTGGGAGCCAGAGTGTCATGTCCATCTGCATTCTGCCAAGGGGGCTGAGTGGAATTCACGGTGGGCAGAGGAGGGTTGAGTGGCCTGGGGGATGACATTACTGTGAATTCCTACCTCCCCCATAGACTGGGGCTCCTTGGGCCTGAGTCTTCTTGTTCCCAGTGTCCAACCCACGGTCTGACCCGGAGCAGGTGTCAAACAAACTCCTGCTGAGTAAATGATTGAGGGGAAGAATGAGCAGTGGTGAAGGGCAGGGTGGGGAGAGGCTGACTGGGATGTAGTGGGAGGCCAGGTAATTTCTGTGTTAAGCACTGTAATGAATTATCCAATGGGAGGAAGCCTGGGGTGGCCTGAAAGATCCCAGCCTCCTGGGATGACAGAGTAAGCAGGACCTGCAACTTATTTCTTCAACAAGGTGACACGATGTCACTTCCATGATTTGGTTACAAAAGACTGTGACTTCTGCCTTGCCGGCTGATTATTTATATTGCCTTCTTGTCTTCTGGGTTTTGGTGAAGCAGGTTGCTATGTGGGAGACACTCCCGTGGCAGGGAACTGAAGCAGCCTCCAGCCAAGAACCAGCCAAGAACTGAGGCCTGCAGCCTATCAGCCCTCTAGGAACTGAGTCCTGCCAACAAGTGCAGGAGCTTGGAAGCAGATCCTTCCCCAGTCGAGCCTTCAGGTGCCATCCCAGCCTAAGCTGATACTTGTATTGCAACCTGTGAGAGCCACTGAAGCACAGGATTCAGCTAAGTTGTGCCCAGATTTCTGCCCCACAGAAACTGTGAGGTAATAAATATGTGTTGTTTTAAGCCACTAAATTTGAGGGGTAATTTGTTACCTGACAATAGATAACTAATGCATATCCCATCAAATCCTCTCAACAGCCCTGTGGTGTGCATGCTGATTAGCCTCTTCTGGGGATGGGGATACTGAGGCACAGTACCATGTACAGGGTTCATGGGAGAGCTGGGATGCAAACCTGGGTTTGTCTGAGCTGAAACTTGTGCTATGCATTATCTCTTCTTTTTACTGACTTGCAAGATCAGCTAAGACATAAAATTCACCCACAAACCCATAAAGAAGAGGAAAATCTAAAACTCGAAGGAATTATGTAAATATAAACCCACACACAGTTACTTGCAAATCCTCCTACTTTCTCTTCATCATATACACTCTGATTCATTCTAAGCTCCACATCTGCACAGCGGGGAGGCCACTTGTCAATAAACTAAGTGCAAATCACCTTTGGCACTGATATCCCTGTAATTTGGTTGGGGGAGGGTCCAAGGCAAGTGGAGAAAAAGATTATGGTGGCTGAGTCAAGTGGGAGCAGTTGAGGAAATGGATGCTGGCATGTTTCCCAGTCTCCACTCCCATTTTTAAAGTAGAAGATACTTCAACATTCCTACAAAGCTACCTCCAAAGAAGGACTTCTCAGGGACAACTTTGAGCCCTGGGGCAGGTGGAGGGGACATACGCATATTTGGTGGAAAGACTTTGAAGACAAGAAAAATGATGGGGCTTCAAGAAGCTGGCCAGTGGGCACACTGGAGGATCCTTGCCCAGGGGAAGGGGATTTGGGTCGCCTCCTGCAGAGGGATGGTAGTGGAGGAGTCCTAGCCTGGGAGTTGTTCAGGATCCACAACGCTCTAGCTAACTCACTCACTGTGGGGTCACTGGGGATTGAACTGATCCCTCTAATCCCTAGTGTCCTCATCTGCAAATTGTAAGGTGAACTTTGAGGATGTGTCACTCATGGAACCCACATGGGTAAGAACAGAGTCTTCCAGTTCCATCCAGTCTCCTTTTTCTCCCTTTAAGTGCCCAGAAGGATGAGAGAGCAGCAGAGGTCTCCCCAGCCCTCCCCTGGCAGGAGATGTGGCCCCCACCTCACACCATGCTCAGCCCATGCTCCTTCTGATTCTTTAGGGACAATCACACAGGCCATTCCTGTAATGCACTGGGTCAGCCTGGCCTCCTGTGAGCTGGGCCCCAGCTCATCTGTATTCATCCTGCATGCAGCTTCTGCCTGCAAGAAGTGGCCATCAGGGTGTCCGTCCCTGAGCCTACCGAAAGGCATGGAGGTGGGAGTGGGATGACCTATGATCCCTGGAGGTTCAGGATCAAGCCCTAGAGAGCCTCTGTGTCACCCAGCTGCATCACTATGAATACTAATTGATGACAGTGGACACATATCAAATGCCTACTATGTCTCAGGTACTGTGTTAGTCTTATTCCAGGCATTTTCTCACCTAATCTTCAAATTCTTATCTATGTCTCATGACAAGAAAACTGAGACTCATGGGGGTGAAGCGACCTGCCCAAGGTGGCACAGCAAGGAAATGACTGAGCCAGAATTTGAACCAAGAGCCTACACCCTTAACCACCCTACATCACTTCCCTTCAGTGAGGGCACCCACCACGAACCCAAGTTCTGCTCCTGTGAATTTCAGGGCAGGAACCAGGTGGCTCAGATTCTGCAGTGGGGGTTCAGTGTTGGGTCAAGTTCCCCAGACTCCAGGTGATATGGTTTGGCTGTGTCCCCACCCACATCTCACCTGGAATTGTAATAATCCCCACGAGTCAAGGGCAGGGCCAGATGGAGATAATTGATTCATGGGAACGGTTTCCCCCATACTCTTCTCATGGTAGTAAGTCTCATGAGATCTGATGGTTTTGTAAATGGGAGTTCCTCTGCACAAGCTCTCTTGCCCACTGCCATGTAAGAAGTCCTTTTGCTCTTCCTTCATCTTCCACCATGATTGTGAAGCCTCCCCAGCCATGTGGAACTGTGATTCAATTAAATCTCTTTCTTTTATAAATTACCCAGTCTTGGGTATGTATTTATTAGCTGCGTGAGTACAGACTAATACACCAGGACTAACCACCACCTCAGGCCTCTCTGTTCACCGAGGCCCTTTGCCTGGTAAGCTTGCTTAAGGCTGGTGATCTTCTACCTGGTGATGTAGAAAGATGCTGGAGTGAAGAAGAGGATGTTTCCAAGAAGTCAGTAGAGCTGGTGGCTGAGGACAGCATTGGGTGCTGCGGGGGCACTGTGAGAACTACCACTTATTCACCTATGTGTGTGTGCCTTCCCCACAAGAGAGGAAGACCTGCAAAACCAATCAACTCTGGTTCAAGTGAAGTGCCCCTGGCAGAGCCGGAAAGGTGTTACAGGGTTTGTTTGTGTGGATGGAAGAGGCTGACCTGTCCCGCAGCCTGAAAACAGGAGGTGGGAGGGGGTGGGCAATGGAGCCCTCTCTCTGCATGGAGACACTTCAACGAAGATAAGGGAAAGCTTATCAGGCAGCATTCACGGTGTCAACAGCAGACAAGAAATGTTTCTAACACTTCAGCCTTGCCAACACTCCCTATTTATCTCAAGAAACACAAGTGTTTTTCTTTCTTTCTTTTTTTTGTTTCCGTTCTCTCCTGCTATAAAATGCTCAGAGTCTCACAGTGCAAGATGAAGGGTTGACACGCGGTGAAAACTCATTTTTAGATTCCATCAAGTTCCATCAGTCGCACTCCCCTTGCAGCAGAACCCAGCAGACCAGTGGGCAGAGCCAGCAGGCAGGGGGTGGAGGAGGCGGGGAGGGGTTGGGGTGGGGGACAAGCTGAAGGAGGGGGCTAGAGGGTGCGCAGTTCTGGTGAGAGGGCGCCCACTGGATGGGCTTGTTTGGGTCTTGAAGCTATGGTAAGGGTTGGGGAAGGGACATGACAAACATTTAGGGCAGAACTGCCTTTAAACCAGGTCACCAGAGGCCCCTCTGCTTTGGAGGGTCCCAACTAGGCTCTCCCCCACTGCGCCCCATTCCCTGGGGTGAGGATTCTGCAGAGCCAAACGGAGAGCCCAGCAGGACGGTGGCCCTCTTTAGACCTCATTCTGGGACCCCAGAATTTTCCCCCCCAAGTGGCCCTGCACCACCTCCAAGAGCCTGTTTCTCCCTTCTTGCCCAGATCGGGGCTGCAGAGCTGACCTAAGGGTGAACACTGTGCCCAGAGCCCGCACCCCTGGCCTGAGTGCAACCTAGGGGCGGCTATGGGCAGCTTTTGCAATGACGTGAGTCAGTAAGTCTACAGTCAAATTAACCCTCCCCACTCCCACACCCCCCAAGCAGTATCGTGACATCTCTGCTTTAGTCCCTGAAAGCAGGGGCCATGCTCCTTGGTCTGGCCCCAAGTGGGACTCCATTGAGGGATTGCCAGAGGTCACCCAGAGAGACCCAGTGGCTCTCTGAAGGGCACACAGCAATGTGATGGGCAGAACCTCTGTGTCCAAGCCTCGGTCAGCTCAGTGTGTCCAGCCTGAGCTGGGTCCACCATCAGAGAGCCTCCCGTGATTTCAGGCCTTTAGGGAGACTCATGGATGAGAACTATATGCAATTGTTCTTGAACAATATTAGCACCAGCAGTGCCCCGCCCAGCTCCATTGGCACAGAGAGCAGCTGCAGCAGGAGCTGGCTGAGGAGGGAGGCTGGCACCCCAGCAGCTCCCTGGAGTGTGGGGCTAAGGCTCCAATGCCAAGTAAGCTTCTGCAAGGCAGGCACTGCTATGGCTCTCAGAGGGCCCCCTATGCCCACAGTCTTCTCCACTTCTGGGAGCTTCAGCAGTCTCCACCTGCCCACCAGGCCTCCCCCTCCCGGGAGCTTCAGCAGTCTCCACCTGCCCACCAGGCCTCCCCCTCCCTCCTGGGATGCTGTATTAGTCTGCTCTCACATTGCTAAAAAGAACTACCTGAGACTGGGAAATTTATAAAGAAAAGAGGTTTAATTGACTCACAGTTCCACAGGATGTACAGGAGGCATGGCTGGGGAGGCCTCAGGAAATTTATGATCATGGCAGAACGCAAAGGGGAAGCAAACACATCTTACCATTGCAGGGCAGGAAAGAGAAAGAGCAAAGGGGAAATTGCCACACACTTTTAAACCACCAGATCTCATGAGAACTCACTCACTATCATGAGAACAGCAAGGGAGAAGTTCACCCCATTGATCCAGTCACCTCCCACCAGGCCCCTTCTCCAACACTGGGAATTACAATTCAACATGAGATTTGCACGGGGACACAAATCCAAACCATATCAGATGCTCTCTGCACTTGGCAGCCAGGGGCATGGGAAGATGAGACTTCACTGCCAGGTCAGGCACTTGGGCTCATCACAAAACTGAGAGCTTCAGCTTCTGGAAAGTTCTTCTTTCATTGAAATTAAGTAGCTGTTCACCATTAGTGGTGGTGGTGGCATCTTAAACCAGCACTGTTATTGAATGCCTTGCCCATTGCCCATAGGTGGGAACCATCCGTGGTTCTGCTGGGAGAGGCTCAACTGGGATGAGGAAGCCTGAAGGCTTTGGAGTCAGCTCCATCACTGAGCAGCTCGGCTTCCCTGATCAGGCCCCACATCTTTATTATGGAGCTAACAGTCCCCACCACAGGCTGGGGAGGGGAAAATATACTATCCTCTGTGTGCCCTCCAGACACACCTTCACCCCCTCCCCACTCTGTACAAGGAGACTGACCTGCATGGATAGCATCAATAGGGCTCCAGTGCCCTCCTGTGTCCTGGCTCCTGTTGGGTTCTGGAGGCACCAGAGGAGACCAGGGGATGGGAGGAGAGAGAGGCAGGGGAGCTTATTCCCTGGTTCACTCCCTTTGAGCCATGGCTGCAATGGCTGCGTTCCTTTCCTCTGGCCCTAGCCCCATTGGGCAGCCCCTCTCCCATGCCTAGACACTGATCAATATGCCAAGAAATTGATGGGGTGTTGGTTTTGAATTTTAATGAGACCTGTTGGGTTTAAGTAGGGGAGAGACTGAATTTCATTCGACTTTTTTGAAGGCTCCCCTGGGCTGCTGCAGGGCGGGATTAGGGAGGCACACAGGGGTGGACGGTGGACCTGTTGGAGCTGTTGCAAGGTCCAGGCTACTCTGATGGAATTTGGTCCACGATGGAGGCAGTGAAGATAAACCCAACATCAGGTAGGACCAGGAGCCAGAGAAACTGAACTGGCAGAGAAACTCCAGGGTGAGGGGCCAGGAACCCCTGCTGAGCCTGGAGGCAGGGTTAGGGAAGCTCAGTGTAGAGGAAGGACAGGTTGAGGACCCAAGTGGAAGCTGGGAGCTGCTCTAGGTCTTAGCGAAGAGCTGCCTTGAAGAGGGATGTTAGAAACCAATAAGTCCTGCAATTCTGGGCAGCCTGCATCCCCACACGGCACTAAATTACGGCACTAAACTAGTGCCATGACCCTGGCCCTTTCTCCCCTTCTAATTGTTTCAGCATGCACACCCCATCAGTGCAGGAGGGGCAGCAATGTGTACTTCCTGAGGAGTAGGGCCCAGCTGAGGTCCCTGATCCTGCCCTGCCTCCTCCCTTCTAGTCCTGGAGGACAGAGAGCAAGTGGAATTGGGGAGCACTTCCTGGTGTGGAAGCCGGGAAGTTTGGGTGTCTTTTCCAGATTGGCCACTTTCAAGGGGAGGAGGGATTTGCTGTGGGATGCTGGGCCAGTCACTTAACCTCTCTGAGCCTCACTTTTCTCATCTGGGAAACAGGCTAACACCTAGCTCACAGGGCTGGTATGAACCCTAAGTAAGATGCCAAGGCCAAGGGCTGTGCCTGGCCCTCTGCAGCTGCACCACATGGGTGAGTCCGTCCCTCCTGCAGGGACCTCAGCACTGACAATCTTCCCAGAACCCAGCACTCACATCATTCACCCTTCAGCATACCCATAGGCCTCTATTCCCCCATCAGGACCATCAAGCCTTCAGGTGGGCAGCCACCACGGCCCTTTCCAGCTTGTACAGTGGGGGCCCTTATTTCTCTGCTAAGCAACAGCCTTGTAGCCCCAATCTCTAATCACTGCACCCCCACCCTCAGGAGCCTGTTGGATACATTCGGGAGACGCTGAAGCCTCCCCTGCCCTAGAGCTGTGGCAGGAGAAAAGACACACCGTTGGCCAAGGACCTGCTGCTTCCCCGGCCCTGTGCTCACAGGAGCCTCCCGCGTCCTATTCCCTCCAAGACTGTGCATGGGCAGGAGGGGTCAGGAACCACAAGGACATACACTGGACATGCCAGCCACCCCTGGGAGCAGGACGCTTACCTGGAGACCCAAGAATAGAGCCTGCTGGGTGCACATGTGAGTGCTGGGTGACGGCAGTGATCAGATCTTTGGCCTGTCAGCACCTGGGAATAATTACAATCCTAAAAAAGCCCTCATTATTTCTACCAGGGCCATGTGTGCCCTTTGAAAAAATGGATGTTTCCTGCCAGATTGTCCCCTGAAGCTGCATTTGTCACAGGCTATTGTGTAAATCCATGTTTGGCCCATTTTTAAAAAATGTGATTTAGCCACTTGACTGGCCTTAACGCTCCTTCTCCATACTCTCAAAATGTGGCTGATGTCAGGAGTCCAGAGAGGAACCATAAAGCATCACAGGGGGGTGGCCTGGCTAGGTCCAGCCTGGGGCTCTGAGATCCTTGTGCTGCCCAGGAGAGCCAGCATGGCCAGTACAGGCAGCCATGGTAAAGAAGGGTGTTCTGCTCTGGAGCAGCAATCATTCAGGAACAGTGGAGGGAGAGAACCTGGGATCTGGAGGAAGTCTCAACTTCAGGTTTATTCACCCCACCAAGGCTCACTGTGATTCTACCCTGTGCAGCCCTGTGTGGGGCCTGGGCTGCAGCAGTGAACAGACAACGTCCCTGCACCCCAGGAGCTGACACCATGGAGTGGGGAGGCAGAAAGAGACAGATAAACAATGCATCAGCAAGACTATTCCAGGTAGCGACAGGTGCAACGGAGAAATCAAAATGGCATGATGTTACGGTCTGGCTCAGGGCAGCCTGAACAGTGACAACCTTGGACTGTGGGGGACAGGAAAGAGCTCTCTGAGACCTAAAGGATGAGAAGGGACACTGATGCAAACAGCAAAGGGAATGCTCCACCAGGCAGGGGGCAGGCACCCTGGGGCAAAGGCCCTGACCGGTTAGCTTGCTGGGAGAGCATTGATGATGGAGCAGTTAGCTCCACCTGGTGGGACCAGAGAAGGCTTCAGCAGGAGAGGACACCTGGGCCGAGAATTTCACAGGTGGGAAGAGTGAGGACTTGACAGACTGAAGACAAAGACAGAAAGACCTAGACCTGAGCAGGTGCATAACATATTGGAACAACAAGTGTCATCATCAGAGGAGAGTTTCCATTTACAAGTGTGACAAAGAGGAGGCTAGAAGCATCCTGGGGTCAAATGTGCCACCAAACTGAAACAGAGCTAAGGGGTCAGGCTCCCTCCTAAGGCAAGGAGACCCACTGTTTAAGTAGTGAGCAAGTCACACTCATTGAAGGTGTTAGGTCCAATAACTTCTCAGGCTCCTTTCAGCTTTAAAATGCAACAAGCCAGCAATGCCAGCTTATGCTTTAACTGAATAGAAGTTAATAGACTTGTTTAATTTGGTTGCATCTATTTTTAGTTTCCGGTCCTCATCCCAACCATTGAGATGAAGAAAAGAACCACTACCAGAATGCTGAGCACAGATGCAGAGGTGTGTGGTGACGGGGGGCCCTTGAGCCCTGGGGAGAACTGGGGGAGGTCAGAGAGACCAGAGCTGGTAGCGGAGACCGAACCTTAGTAGCCCAGGCTCCCTCACATGGGGCCACACACAGATGGACACAGGCCAGGGCAGACTTTCATTCTCCTCCAAACAGCCTTTCCACTCCACCCCACCCACCCACCGCAAGTGCCAGCAGCACCTACACCTCCCCCTGCTCCTGCCCTGAATCCTGGCCCGGCCCTGGGGAGAAGTCCTGGAAAGCCAGCACCCCCCACATCACCCTCACCCGAAAAAAAAGTGCAAACCAGGTCAGCCTTCCTCCCCTCTTATCTTAGATCAAGCAGCCATTCCGCCCTTTGGGAGCAACAGGCTCATTTCTCTTCCTGACTCACTAAACAGTAGGACCCTGTGACTCTCTCAGCAGACCACTGGGGGAAAAGTTTTCCAGAATCCAGACCCCTTGATGGAGAAGTCAGCCTAATGAATCATTGACACGTCTGGGCTTCCTGAGAACACTATGGATGGAGGTGTCCCAGTTCCTCCAGGAAAGCAGAGCTTCGGAGCGCTGCGCGGAGGCGAAGAAAAGCCTTTACTTAAAGATGAGTCAGGAAGGCAGAGGGCCGGGGTGGAAAGGGCTGGAGGCGGCCAGGGGAGGCGGGTGCGGGGGCACTGGCTTCGGGTGAGTATGTGACCCACCCCACACCCTAAAAGTCCACACTCGGTGGCAAACACTGTATGTTCAGGATCTCATTCCACCCTCCAAAGACCCCGTGTCGGGGATCCTGTCATGCAGCTCCATTGGACAGATGGGGAAACTGAGGCATAGGTAAACCAAGCCCTTCCCTGAGGGCCTGGACCCTGGCCTGTCAGACTCCAGCCTGCAGGCTCTTCACCACTCTGCTCATCAGGCAGGAAGCAAGGGTCAGTGGGATTCTGGAGTGTTAGGTCCTCCAGAACCTCTAAGCTGTTGCCTGGCATGGGATCAGGATTCAGAAGCCGAGGCTGAATCCCAGCTTAATCTGCTCTGGAAAACAGAGGTGATAGTCCCAACATCACAGTCCTGTTGTGAGGGTGGAAAAGGCAGATGTGTGCGCTGCAGGGAGCACGGGGCCTGCGCAGATTGCTCAGTGAATTCTGAATATACTCAAGAGAACATGAACTGCACTAACAATCCAACCCCAAATGTACAATGGCTCCAGTGCAATCAAGTTGTATGTCCAAAGCAGGTGTTCTTGATTGGTAGGTATCATGAGATGGAATGAGGCTGGGTCTGTTCCGGGATAGCCCCTGGGGAGGGCACCCACCTGTCAACACCCAGTTTCCATCTTGCTGGCCAACTCTTTCTATTGCCTTCTTAGCCTGCATGCTCTGATGGAGCAAGCTGCTATGTGTGATGTTCCCCTGGGCAAGGAAAGAAGGGCAGGTGGTCCTGCTCATCTGCACTATCTGCACTGGACCAGCAAAAATGCGAGGAGTTCATGGGAGGTTCTCAAAGGCCTGAAGTGGACATAGCACATGCTATGTGCTATGCTTCTGCTCACATGCTATTGGCTGGGATGTAGTCACATGATCCCACCTACCTGCAGAGGAGGCTGGGAGATGTAGTTGTGCTATATGCGCAGGAAGAAAAAAAAATTTCTTGTTTGGTCGAACAGCTGGACAGTCTCACTTCACCTGGAGAGGTGAAATTATGTCTGAGGAAATCCAGCGGGTCAGTAGCTGAGCCCAGCTTAGAGCTCAGGTTCCCCGTGTGCATCTGAGTCCCAGGCTCTTCCCTCCACATGTTGTGCTCCAGAGTGAGGCAGAGTCACAGGTGGCCAGTCAGATCTCAGACATGGGTTCATCTGAATAGGGGGAAGGAGGTGAACAGGGGGTCAACCTGCTATCTCTCTTGCCTGGAGGAATGACGGGTAGTGGGCAGAGCACCACAGCTTCAGGGCTCTGGGCTGTGAAATCAGTCCAGATGCAGAGTTGGCCTCAGGTACTCATTGGGAACAGTTTTCTCACCTGCCCCACAAGGCTGCAGGGAGAGGATCCATTGTATGGGATTGTGTGAGGGTGAAGGAAGATCTGATACCCTCATTGCTCGCCTTTTCCAGCTCCCACTTCTCTCAGGGCCCTGCTTTCTGAGGTTCAGGTCTGAGTTAATCAAACTAAGGACTTTGGATAATGTTAGTTTCAGGGCTCATCCTGCCCAGGGGTGTTTGAATACAATGGGAAGCTGGGGAGAGGAGAAGAAATCATGCAGGTCACTGAGGTCAAGTTTCTTCCATCAAACAGATGAGGACAATGACACTCAGATACTGGATGCTTTATGAATATGCATAACCAAACCCAGAAATCTACCTCTAGGAATTTAGCCCTTAGAAACAATCAGAGATGTATATGGAGATCTAATGCATAGGATGTTGCTCATAACAGTTAAAAACTGGAAAGAATCTGCACGTGACCTCAGTGAGGTAAAGTTATTTATGCTACGCCCATTCAATGGAAAACTAGGCAACAATTTCATACTTGAACCGCATGTTGTTGTCTTAGGACTGGAAGATATCTAAGGACAAGGAGATTTTGACCTTTTATGACTCTAAATCTTAGATGCTAATGGCATCTGAAAATATGCTGAGATCATTAGGGGAAGGTCAGGGCTTCTTTGCCCTGCAGATCCTTGAGAATTGGTTTGTTGATTTTTTACATGTTTTGGATTTCAGTTCGCTTATCATTGCAATCCAGCTGTACCTTCCTGAGGCAACAAACGCATCCTCTTGATGGACCTGAGTACAGGTGAAAGAAACATTTCAATCACACTGTATCAGTTAGCTATTGCTGTGTAACAAACAGCCACAAAATCTGAGAGGCACACAATAGTAAGCATGCATTTCCCACTTCTTTGCAGGTCAGCTGGGTGGTTCTCAGCTGCAGGTTTGGGCTGCAGGACTGCTGCATGTGCCAGGGCATCAGCTTATTCCCATGACAATGGCAGACAAGAGGGCACTGGGAGCGTGCAAACTTCTTTTCTTTTTTTTTTTTTTTTTGAGATGGAGTCTCACCCTCTCGCCCAGGCTGGAGTGCTCGAGTGCAGTGGCGCGATCTTCACTCACTGCAAGCTCCACCTCCCAGGTTCACGCCATTCTCCTGCCTCAGCCTCCTGAGTAGCTGGGACTACAGGCACCTGCCACCACGCCCATCTAATTTTTTGTATTTTTAGTACAGACCGGGTTTCACCATGTTAGCCAGGATGGTCTTGATCTCCTGACCTCATGATCCACCCGCCTCAGACTCCCAAAGTGCTGGGATTACAGGCATGAGCCACCGCGCCTTGTCACAAACTTCTTAAGACACAGAACTCGCAACTGTCACTTCTTCCCACACTCCACTGGCCAGAAGAAGTCACACACCAAACCCA
This sequence comes from Homo sapiens, assembly GCF_000001405.40. Lineage (NCBI taxonomy): Eukaryota > Metazoa > Chordata > Mammalia > Primates > Hominidae > Homo > Homo sapiens. The sequence goes on from NC_000001.11 coordinate 30,137,775, forward strand.
GTGGGAAAAGGCCATGAGGGTGACTCTGCCTTCTGTAAGGAAGGAACTGCACAGTCAAGTGAATAGGGACAAGGAAGGGTGAAGAATTAGAGCCAGTAGTTTAATCCACTATCTCCCATCCACAAATAACAGCTGTGGTCAGGACATGTTGTCTGTAAGAAAACTGAACATCCTCTGTACACTTTAAAAATAGTGTTATTCCTCCCCTGACTTTAAAGTAACACATGCTTATAGCACAAATGAAAAGAAAATTAAAATTACCATCATTTCATTATTCATAGATGGCCTGATTTTATTGCATTTTCTTGCAGTATACACATCCACTTTCACACTCCAATAAACACAGGCATATATTTAAATACCAAAAGTAGGATCACACTTTATTTGACTGTGTCCTACCTTTTTCATTTAATCTCATTTTGTGAGCTTTTACTTGCATTATTAAATATTTGAAAGCAGACTCTTCAAGGATGTATAGTAATTTATCTAAAGGTGTCACATCACTTATCTAGACAATCCCTTGTGGTTAGATATTTAGGCTCTTTCAGATTTTATTCTACTATAAACAATGCCATAACGAGCATCACGGAACACAGTACTAGTCGGCATTGAGCTGTGTTCACACGCCTGGCTCTGTGTAAGCACTTTCCATATGGGACCTCATGTGAGCCTCAAGCTTCCCTCTTTGGACGTTACCATTACCATCCCTATTTAGAGATGAGGAAATCAGGACTCAGAGACATTAGCAATGTACCCAGGGTCGCCCAGCAGCTATTTAATTGGTGGAGCCAAGATTAGAACCAAAGATTTATTACAAAGTCATGGTCTTTACTGCTTAGCTAAACTCCTTTGTGTACCTTTCTGATGGTTCCTTTGGGATTAATTTCTAGAAGTGGGGTTAGTGTGTTTGCACATTTTGAGGTTCTCAAGACATATTGCTAGCACACTTTCCAGAAAGAAGGTGTTAATTCAAACTGCAACCAATAGTCTCTTCATCCACAGTGTTCACCATGTGCTGGGCACTGTTTTAGGTACTGAAGATCCAGTCAAGTGTGTTCCAACCCCACCATGCTTCCCAGTTGGGGGAAGGGACAGGCACTGTAGAGGGAACATTGTATTTTCAGATAAATAAACAAAGCAGAGGGTTGCCACAGTGGCTGGGGTAGGGTGTGGGGTGGGATGGGAAGGGGTCTCCACCTTAAATAGGATTATCCTGGAGGTCTTCTCAGGGGAGGTGGCCTGGAGCTCATCCCTGAATGACCAGAAGGGAAAATCCACCCGAGAGGTTCCAGGTAGGAGGTATAGCAAATGCAGTCGCCAAAGTGCGGCTCAGCTCAGTAATTAGAGGAACTGGGAGAAAATCAGCGTCTGCAGTGTGGCGAGGGATGGACACAGTGCTAGGAGGTGGTGATAGAGAGGGACTGGGGAGCCTTCCACACCATGGGGAAAAAATTAAATTTTATTCTAAGTGCAGTAGGAAGACCTCAGATGCAGCAGATCCAGGTTTCATGGTTCTGAAAATTATACCATTTGGGGGATCCTTTAAAAAAAAAAAAAAAAAAAAAAACAGGCCGGGCGTAGTAGCTCATGCCTGTAATCCCAGCACTTTGGGATGCCGAGGCGGGCGGATCACGAGGTCAGGAAATTGAGACTATCCTGGCTAACACGGTGAAACCCCGTCTCTACTAAAAATATAAAAAATTAGCCGGCCGTGGTGGCCGGCGCCTGTAGTCCCAGCTACTCGGGAGGCTGAGACAGGAGAATGGCGTGAACCCAGGAGGCGGAGCTTGCAGTGAGCCGAGATCGTGCCACTGCACTCCAGTCTGGGCGACAGAGCAAGACTCCATCTCAAAAAATAATAAAAAATAAAATAATAATTTAAAAAACCATAGACTTAGGATTCAAAATTAGCTTCATAATTTAATATTTATTTAGAGTGAGAAAAGAAAAGCAATAAATTACAGATTTCAAAAACCAGCCATTACTGAAAACATCACAAAATCGAGGAAAATCACACCCAATGCATTCCTTAGCATCCCGACACACTTTTATGCCTTTCTGCCATAAATTGTTTAGGCTGCGCCTTCTTTGTTCACCTCTTCATTGGTCAATGATTTTGTCATATTTTTCTTTGTAAAGATAATAGGAAGTGAGTTCAAGCTCTCCTTCAGCCTCCAGCAGATTCTCATCAAAGTGGCTTTTTGCTATGGACAGTTTCAAAAAGTTTCTTTCTCCTTCGCCATCCATTATGGATTATGTCATGCAAATTTTCAGCGTTGTTGTTAAATTAGGGAAATCCCTGCCAAGGGTCTTTTTATATGAACTGTAAAATTTCATGGCATGGCAAAGTTTCTTCACAGCTACTAATCCTAACTAATCCGTGAATTAACAATGCTCATTGACCACATCTCTTGGAGCCCAACCAGGGCCTTAGAATGGACTCTGGAGACTGAAGGCCCCTGAAACATAAGCTGTGTCAGCCTCTGGTAAAGCCACCTCTGTCTGGAAGGTTCTCACGGGGAGAGAGCTGGTCCTACCACGGGAGCTCCAGAGCAGAGAATAGCAGGTAGGGAGTGGTGAGGGGTGCTGGGAGGAAGCTGGGAGCTGTTGTTAGGGGCTCAGCACAGGCCCCAGGCAGCGCCGCTCTGGGCATGAGGAGGGAGGCTGACTCTGGGATTATCTGAGATGTGCTGCCCTGTGAGAGGAGAAGGGAGATCTCAAGGGCAATTTGGATTAGGCCTGTCGCTTGATGTCTCTCTTCCTCCCATGTTCTCTTGGGACTGAGGGCTGGGCATGCCCCATCCTCCCCACCACCATCCTCACACAGGCCTGGAGCCTGGGCCCCCAGCCACGAGGGGGTTCACGTGGAGGACCCTGTGATGGCATCCAAATCAAGGTATCCCGTGGGATGCTGAGCGTGTCTATGCAGGTTGGTCTCCTGATAGGCTCAGCCTGGGCAACCAGGCCACCGTTGAGGTGGAGGAGAGAACCTCATTCTGCCCATGAGGACAGGGAGACCCTGCCAGCAGCCAGGGGCCGGGGCACTAACAGTGACATCCAGCAGTCACTGCTCTGCCAGCTGGAGCTGGAAGCCAGACGGGTTTGGAGATGGGTTTGGACTTGGTGGTGGAGAAAGTCCCCCTCCCACTCCTGAGCCAGGGAATGAAGGTGTCTTTATCAGGCTAACCTGTGCGTTGAAGACTGAGGAAAAGAGCTAGGGAAGCTGACCAGGTTGCGGGTGGTGTCTCTGCTGAAGGTGGGCATGGTTGACACCAAGGGATTATTTTGATCAGGTCAGCCTGCCCTACTAGCTTTGTTCACTTGCTTTTTGTTTCTGTTTTTGTTCCTTTTTCCATGAAGCTGAAGGCCTCTCCACTGAACGCTGAAACCTCACCTTCACTGGCTGCTTTATAATTAGCATTTATAGGTCACCGTGGCTATGATGGCTTCTGCAATTTTTCAGGAACTTTGGCCAGCTCCTGTGCAGTTCAAACTTGTTGGTACCACTGATCCTTCAACTGAGCCTGCATACATGCCCAGTAGGTGCCTTTTGACATCAGAGGGCCAAAAACCCCACCCTCAGATGATGCAAATGTCACCATTTTCTGTACACACATCCTATGAAATGCCATGAATTCCAGCTATGCTTGTGCAGAACGAACCTGTTACTTGGTTGTTCCCCACTGCCAATCACCTTCCCCACACCTTAGACCATCCACTTCCCTAATCTATGAATATTCCTAAGGCTTATCTTCAGGGAGGCAGATTTGGGAGCTGTTCTCCTTCCTCCTCACTCTGTGCCCTGGCAAATAAATCTTTTCTCTTTTGCAAAACCTGTGTCACAGTGATTGATTTACTGTGCGCAGGCAGAACAGACCTGGACCTGGCCAGCATCATGGTCAGTGCTCATGAGTGGACTCTGCTGGCTTTGAAGCCACTGCTCTTCCCGCCCTGGGGCCCCATCAGCCAGGGCCACCTGATACCTGTACCCCACCCTCCTGCAGCTTCCATGCAAGATGGACTGGACATGAGGCTTGGGGTCGAGGCAGGCAGAGGGCCTGTGATGTTGGGGGCTCTGGGCTGGGGGAGATGACCCTGAGCTATACGGGTGATGTTTGTTTTGTTCTGACTTAAGATGGAAATTCATTAAAACTACAAAAAAGCAATTAAAAATTGGAGGAGTAAACTCCAACTTCCATGATACAAGTAGAACCAAGGGTTGGGTGGCTGGGGTTACAACATGAGGTACCCCTATTTTGCCCAGGCTGGTCTCAAACTCCTGGGCTCAAGCAATCCTCCTGTCTCAGCCTCCCAAAGTGCTGGGATTATAGGTGCAAGCCATTGTGCCTGGTGATTACTGTAGTTTTATAGTAAGTTTTGAAGTCTGGAAGTATAAGAACTTTAATTTTGTTCTTTTTCAAAATTCTTGTGGCTATTCATGGCATTTCTGCAGCTGTAAATTGGGAATGTGACTGTTAAGCACTGAAGTGTGCCCCACCTCTGAAATCCATATGCTAAAGCCCTAGCCCACCCATACCTTATTTGGTAAGGTATGTGATCTTATTTGGAGATAGGGTCTTTACAGAAGTAATCAAGGTAAAATGAGGTTATTAGGGTGGGTCTTAATCCAACATGACCCTAACACAGTGTGTTAGTTCATTTTCACGCTGCTGATAAAGACATACTGGAAACTGGGACCAAAAAGAGCTTTAATTGGATTTACAGTTCCACATGGCTGGGGAGGCCTCAGAATCATGGCAAGAGGTGAAAGGGACTTCTTACATGGTGGTGGCAGGAGAAAAATGAGGAGGAAGCAAAAGCAGAAATCCCTGATAAACCCATAAGATCTCATGAGACTTATTCACTCTCATGAGAATAACATGGGAAAGACTGGCCACCATGATTCAGTTACCTCCCCTGGGAGGTTACCCCCCTGGGTCCCTCCCACAACATATGGGAATTCTGGGAGATACAATTCAAGTTGAGATTTGGGTGGGGACACAGCCAAACTACATCATTCCACCCCTGGCCCCTCCAAATCTCATGTCCTCATATTCCAAAACCAATCATGCCTTCCCAACAGTCCCCCAAAGTCTTAACTCATTTCAGCATTAACCCAAAAGTCCACAGTCCAAAGTCTCATCTGAGACAAGGCAAGTCCCTTCTGCCTATGAGCCTGTAAAATCAAAAGCAAGCTAGTTACTTCCTAGATACAATTGGGGTACAGGTATTTGGTAAATAGGCCATTCCAAATGGAAGAAATTGGCCAAAACAAAGGGGCTACAGGGCCCATGCAAGTCTGAAATCCAGCTGGGCAGTCAAATTTTAAAGCTCCAAAATTATCTCCTTTGACTCCATGTGTCACATCCAGGTCACACTGATGCAAGAAGTAGGTGCCCATGGTCTTGGGCAGCTCCCCTTCCATGGTTTTGCCAGGTACAGCCTCCCTCCTGGCTGCTTTCACAGGCTGGCATTGAGTGTCTGTGGTTTTCCCAGGTGTATGGTGCAAGCTGTTGGTGGATCTACCATTCTGGGGTCTGGAGGATAGTGGCCCTCTTTTCACAGCTCCACTAGGCAGTGCCCCAGAAGGGACTCTGTGTGGGGGCTCCAACTCCACATTTCCCTTCCTCACTGCCCTAGCAGAGGTTCTCCATGAGGACCCCACCCCTGCTACAAAATTTTGCCTGTGCATCCAGGCATTTCCATACATCTTCTGAAATCTAGGTGGAGGTTCCCAAACCTCAGTTCTTAGCTTGTGTGCACCTGAATGCTCAATGCCATGTGGAAGCTGCCAAGCCTTGGGGATTCCACCCTCTGAAGCTACAGCCCAAGCTGTACTTTGGCCCCTTTCACCCATGGCTGGAGTGGCTGGGACACAGGGCACCAAATCCATAGGCTCCACATAGCTCGGGGACCCTGGGCCTGGCCCACAAAACCACTTTTTCCTCCTGGGCCTCTGGGCCTGTGATGGGAGGGGCTGCCATGAAGCTCTCTGACATGGCCTGGAGACATTTTCCCTGTGGTCTTGGGGGTTAATATTAGGCTCCTTGCTACTTATGCAAACTTCTGCAGCCAGCTTGAATTACTCCCCAGAAAATGGGTTTCTGTTTTCTATTGCATAGTCAGGCTGCAAGTTTTCCAAACGTTTATGCTTTGCTTCCCTTATAAAACTGAATGCTTTTAACAGTACCCAAGTCACCTCTTGAATGCTTTTCTGCTTATAAGTTTCTTCTGTCAGATACCCTAAATCATCTTTCTTGAGTTCAAACTTCCACAAATCTCTAGGGCAGGGGCAAAATGCTACCAGTCTCTTTGCTAAAACATAACAAGAGTCACCTTTGCTCCAGTTCCCAACAAGTTCCTCATCTCCATCAGAGACCACCTCAGCCTGCACCTTATTATTCATATCATTATCAGCATTTTGGTCAAAGCCATTCAAAAAGTCTCTAGGAAGTTACAAAGTTTCCCACATTTTCATGTCTTCTTTGCAGCCCTCCAGACAGTTCCAACCTCTGCCTGTTACCCAGTTACAAAGTTGCTTCCACATTTTCGGATATCTTTTCCGTAACGCTCCATGTACTGCATTAGTTCGTCTTCATGCTGTTGATAAAGACATACCCGAACATGCGAGCAAAAAGAGGTTTAATTGGACTTACAGTTCCACATGGCTAGGGAGGCCTCAGAATCATGGCGGGAGGTGAAAAGAACTTCTTATATGGTGGTGGCGAGAGAAAAACGAGGATGAAGCAAAAGCAGAAACGCTGATAAACCCATCAAATCTTGTGAGACTTATTCACTATCAGAAGAATAGCATGGGAAAGACTGGACCCCATGATTAAATTACCTCCCTCTGGGTCCCTCCCACAACGTGTGGGAACTCTGGGAGGCACAATTCCAGTGGAGATTTGCGTGGGGACACAGCCAAGCCACATCACACAGGGTGTGGTAGGCTGTTTTTGCATTACTAAAAGGAATACCTGAGGCTGGGTAATGTATAAAGAAGAGAGGTTTACTTGGCTTGTGGTTCTGCAGGCTATACAGGAAGCATGGCACCAGCATCTGCTTTTGGTGAGGCCTCTGGAAGCTACAATCATAGTGGAAGGCAAAGGAGAGCCAGCATATCACATGGTGAGAGCGGGAGCAAGAGAGATGAGGAAGGCATCAGACATCTAAACAACCAGATCTCATGTGAACTCACTCATCACCAAGGAGATGGTGCTAAACCACTTATGAAGGATCCACCCCCATGATCCAATCACCTCCCACCTGGTTCCACCTTCTACAGTGTGAAGATCACATTTTAACATGAGATTTGGAGGGGACAAAACATCCAAACCATATCAACTGGTGTCCTCCTATAAAAGAGATTTTGCAGAGAGACATGCACACAGGGAGAGCACCATGTGATCATCAAAGCAGAGATCAGGGTGAGGCATCTCCAAGCAAAGGAACCCCAGATTGCCAGAAAAGGAGAGAGACCTGGAACAAGGTCTTCCTCAGAGCCTAGAGAAGGAATCAATTTTGCCAGCACCTTGATCTTGAATGTCTAGCCTCCTGCACTGTGAGATAATAAATTCCTGCTGTTTCAGATGCCCAGTTCGTGGCAGTTTGTTTGGGCAGCCATAGCAAACCATTACAGTTATTGCATTGGTCTATTTGAGATCCTATAAAAGAATACCAGAGGCTGCGTGGCTAGTAAACAATAAAAATTTATTTCTCACAGTTCTGGAGGGTGGGAAGTTCAAGATCAAGGTGCCCACAGATTCACTGTCTGGTGAGGGCCAGCTACCTAACTCATAGCCTTCTCACTGTGTCCTCACGTGGCAGAAGGGGCGAAGGAGCTCTCTGGGGTCTCTTTCAAAAGGGCACTAGTTATATGAATTTTAGAGGGACGTGAACATTCATTCTATAACAGTGGCTGAGTTAAAGTTCAGCAGGCAATGAGGAAAGGCATTCCAGGCAGAAGGAACAGCTGGCAAGAAGGTGAAGAGAGCAAGACAGTCAGTAACAGAAGAAGGCACTGGGAGCAATGGGGTGAACCATGAGGGTCTCCTGGACCTCGGTAGAGAGGAATGTCAGGACATGGCCTCATGTCTGTGCAGGGCACCTCTACCCATGGTATGAGAAGAAACCAAGGCAGGGAGGAAGCAGGGGCCAGGGGAGAGGCTGCTGCAGTGCTGCCAGGGGAGGGAGGATGGTGGCATGGGCCAGCGTGGGACAGTGCCGTGCAGTGGTGAGAGGGGCCAGACGCTGGACCCATGTTGAGAGAGGAGCTAGCAGGGTTAACTGGTGGGTTGGGTGTGGGCATGAGAGAAAAAGAGGAATCAGGGATGACTGCAAGACTTTTGGTCCAGGGTACTGTTGCAATGGAGTGGTCATTCACTAGGCAGGATAAATGAAATCTAAGTTCTGCAACATTAAAAGTCTGGTGACCTTTTAACCATTTGATTGGAGAGAGGAGAGGTGAATTTGGGGCAGGCTGCAAGGGACTCAGTTCCCCAGTTCAGCATGGCAGGGGTGATGAGCAGAGGAGGCACCAGGGTGGCAAGCCATAGACATTCTCCACACCTGACCCCCTGGTTACGCAATGAGAGGTCTGAAGGAGGGAGGAGGGGGGACCCTGGGCCTTGGTTCACAGAGACCTGGAGACTTAACAAGCTTTGCCAAAAGTAGCAACAACTTCTTGACCCTGAAAAGTGAGGAAGATAGAACCCCCCACGCCCAGGGCAAAGGAAATTATGTATTTTCTCTGAAGGTTTCGGGATGATGATCCCACGTTGGAGTTAAGGATTACCCAGCTCAGTTCCCCTGCCCCCCAACAAATGGCCACCCCCTTGAGATTCGTAAAGACCAGCAAGAGCAAAACGGGCGCCCCCCCACACACAGGAAATGCCTCTCTGATAAAGAGGATGAGCACAAGAGCGAAGAAAGGAGGAACCTGCCTCCCAAGAGGAATCGCCAAAGAACCAGAGGCAGAATGACAAAAACTCAGACTCAGAGAAAAGAGTCACAATTCAAAGAAGAATTATCCATGGAAGTTATAAAATGAGAGGAGAAAAATGAGCTAGTACATTGTAGGGGAGAAACAAAACAGATGAAAACATTAACAGAGATGAATGCCACATAAAACTCAACCCCAAGATGATAAATCATCGCTGGAAATTCCATCGGGGAAATGGAGAGGAAATTACTCAACTTAAAATGGGAAAGAATGAAGTTGTAATAACAAAAACAGTGAGGACAACGGACATGGAAGACAGAAAAGAAGATCTGGGATGTGCAGAGTGCTTCTGAAAAACAGAATACACAGAGAGAGTTTTTCACAGAACTCCAATATGTTCTCCTACATCAGGCTATTTTCACTGGGCACCCACTTTGTGGCAGGCACTGGACTAAGGGTGCAGAATCTAAGTGACCTTGGGAGGGCATAAGCAATTAAGCAGACAATTAGATTAAAATAGGGGAAATACGATTGATGCTAATTTAAAAACCAGAGGCAGGACTAGGTCCTATGGAGGAAAGACGATGACGTATTGAATGCCAACGATGCGTCAGACACTGTACATTGTTGTGTGTGACTAGAGGGTTGGGAGTGATGTGCGCATGACCAGCTAAGGATGGAGCCAGAATCTGAAGCCAGGTGTATCTGCTTCCAAGTTCATCCCTTTTTTCCTTGAACATGCTGCTTTCCAGTCTCACATAAGCTTGAAGATGCCTATCAGCTCTGTAAGTGAAAGTCCCACTGGTGATAAATCCCAGGTATTTTTCAGCAGGGTTAATTATGAGGGGTCTGGTTCTTACGGGGTGGGGGAATCGCTGAGAACCTGTGGGATGCACACAGGCTTGAAAGGCTTTGTCTAGCAATGGTTTCCTACACAGGTAGAAAGGGGCTTATAAGAAGAACAGCAAGCACATTTATTAAGCAAAGGTGTGTTCCAAGGCAAAGGCTATTGCAAGATGAACCATGGAGCATCCTTCAAGCCACAGGCTGGTGTTCAGGATGTGCTAAGAAGTCAGGACCACAGAACAATGGCAGAGGCCAGCAGTGAGAGAGAGCGGACAAGTGCCTGAGGAAAGGGGGAAACAAGTTTTTGGAGGAAGAGCATTTTGAAGTCCATCCTGTGTGGAAAATAAGTGAAATGCAGGCTGGGCACAGTGGCTCACACCTGTAATCCCAGCACTTTGGGAGGCCAAGCTGGGAGGATCCCCTGAGGTCAGGAGTTCCAGACCAGCCTGGCCAACATGGTGAAATCCCATCTCTACTAAAAATACAAAAATTAGCTGGACGTGGTGACACACACCTGTAATCCCAGCTACTCAGGAGGCTGAGACAGGAGAATTGCTTAGACCTGGGAGGCGGAGTTTGCAGTGAGCAGAGGATGCCACTGCACTCCGGTCTGTGTGACAGAGTGAGACTCTGTCTCAAAAAATATATATAGAGAGAGAAATGCAAACTGACTACCTTTGCTTTAAGTTGGCCTGAGAAGTCTCGCTGCCCCTGCTCAGATCATCTATTGTAGCTGTAAGCACAGAATATCCTATGTAAGAATGATCGTGCTGGAGATGCCAAGTGGCCGTACAAACATAATACCCAGTAGTGATCTGAGCCCAGCACTAAGCCTCTTCGTGTTTGTCCAAAGCTCTCTTCCTAAGGCTTTAGGTTATTTAGAACAACAGCAAAGGACTATTTACTTTTTGGTGGTACTCAGAAGATGCTTGCTTTTGGTACCCTCTGGGTGGCTTGCCTGGAACCCTGACCTATGATACACAGGTTCTCTGCCTGAGATCCATATCCCTGAATTCCACGCCCATTCCTAGGCTGGGAAGAAAAGCAGAGGAGAGAGCCTTGGGAGATCCCTTCAGAGTAGACTCATTGAAGGAGATAGAAAGAGGGTGGGCAGATGGAGCAGGGGAGTGCCAGTAGGGTGTGGGGGCAGAAGACAGGGAAGAGGGCTTGGAGGAAGCATCAAGTTCAAGAGTGAGGATTTGGTAATAAGAAGTCCTCAGTGAGAAGGCAGTTTCAGCAGCATGGTGGGGTCTGAAGCTGATTTACAAGGGGTTAAGGAGCAGGTGGGGGTTGAGCAGGTACAGCTTCCTGGGAAGCCCAAGCACGAGCATTTCTGCATCAGGCCTCCAAGCCCCCAACCCACCCCTGCCTGCATCTCTCAGGTCACTTGCTCCAGTGAGACAAACACGTCCCCCTCCCATTCCCTTTCCAACATAGCCTTCTTTGCACCCCTGTGCTAGAACAATCTCCTTCCCTCTCACCACCAAACCCTGTATTGAAATCCAGAATCTTAGTATTAGAAGAGACCCTAGAAGTCACCCAGTGATCAACTCCTTCATGTCATAGTTAAAGAAACTGAGGCCCAGAGAAGGGAGGTGACATGTACAACACCGTGACAGGAGCAAGAGAAGGACAGGGTGCATCAGTCACCTTCTCATAGTGCTGCTGCATGACAAACCAGTCCCAACTCCTGGCTTAACACCACAGTCATTTATTTTCACACTGTATGTGGCTGGCAGCTACGACTCTGCTGATTTTGGCTGGGCTCAGCTCGGCTTGGCTCCAGACCACAGGTTTGGTTCAGATCTGCTCCGTGAGTTTCTCATCCTTCTGAGACCAGCAGGCTATCCAGGGCATCAACTTTCATGGGGTTGGCAGAAGCTTAAGAGGGCAAACCCAGCCACACGCATTTAAAAACCTTTGCTTGAATCACATCTGCTAATATCTCATTGGCCAAGGTAAGCCCCGTGGCCAAGTCCAAAGTCAAGGAAATGGGAAATCAATTATGTGGCAAGAAGAAAGAATGAGAGGGATAAGGAACTGGGCCAGTGTTTCAGTAGGCCACCCTGAGTGAAGACTAAACCAGGTGTTTTGTCTTCTTGCTAGACCTCTTCCCCCATTCTTCCATACAGGCTCCAAGCAGTGGATTCAAGGTTTAAATAGCAAAGCTGCATTGGGAGAAATAGTTTTACTCAAGGGTTGCGTATAAAGCCAAACTTCCAGCCTTGCTAAGGCAATGGAAATAAGGACTCAGGAAACAGGGCTTTCACATAACCTTTCAGAAGAATCTACATGGAGACTTGAACCACTCAACTGAAAGAGAATTCAAAATGAAGAACTCACACTGCTAAAGCTGTAGTGTGGAAAGACTGGAAATACTGAATCATTTTAAACATGAAATTAAGTCAAACAATAATTATGGTTACAAAACCGGACATAATTTTTATGGCTCTTGAAAGAAAAGCTACACAATAGTAAATAATAATTTGATGATCATACACTGGAACAAAAATCCCACCAACAAATGAGAGGGATGGTACAGGAAATGAGGCAATGTGTCTTTATGTCTCTTCTTCCATGGTAGATAATCAATAGGCACAAAGCTGATCAGTCTAAACCCATGATTTAAAAGTATAAACATAAAATTTAAACCAGAGCACATACCAACCAAATTATAAAAGAAGGGAGGGTGGGGCCAGGCGAGGTGGCTCACGCCTGTAATCCCAGCACTTTGGGAGGCCGAGGCAGGCAGATCACGAGGTCAGGAGATGGGGACCATCCTGGCTAACACAGTGAGACCCCGTCTCTACTAAAAATACAAAAAATTAGCCAGGCGTGGTGGCGGGTGCCTGCAGTCCCAGCTACTCAGGAGGCTGAGGCAGGAGAATGGCGTGAACCTGGGAGGCAGAGTTTGCAGTGAGCCGAGATTGTGCCACTGCACTCCAGCCTGGGTGACAGAACAAGACTCTGTCTCGAAAAAACAAAAAAAGTGAGGGGGAAGGACAAATAAAAATAAATCATAAAGCAAATAAATGGCGAATGAAGCACCACAAAAGAATAAATTTTTTATATGGAAATTAGTGAGAGAAACACAACCTGAAATATCTGCTATAATGATAATTAGATACAAGATAAATAAAGCTGGTAATGTATTCTCTCACATTGGGTTAAAACATTTCTTATTTTTGTGTTCTCTGCCAGAAACACCCCTAATGATGGGCAAAAAGATAGAACAACAAAAAGCAACACCAGAAATGTAAAGAGTCTAATGTAAATAATGAATTCAAGGAAACAGAGATCAGGCCAGTGGGGGGAGAAATGAAACTAAATGGATAAAGAGGGTGGTATGGTTTGGATCTGTGTCCCCACCCAAATCTTATGTTCAACTGTAATCCCCACTGTCAAGGTGGGGCCTGGTGGTAGGTGATTGACTCATGGGAGTGGATCCTTCATGAATGGTTTAGCACCATCCCTTTGATGCTGTTTTCATGATAGAATTCTAATGTAATCTGGTTGTTTAAAAGTGTGTGGCACCTCTGCCACCCATCTTTTTCTTCCTCCTGTTATGTAAGTTGCCTGCTCCCACTTGGCCTCTATGAGTAAAAGCTCCCTGAGGCCTCCCCAGAAGCAGTGCCGCCACGCTTCCTGTACAGCCTGTGGGAGGGTGAGCCAATTAAATCTCTTTTCTTTATAAATTACCTAGTCTCAAGTATTTCTTTATAGCAGTGAAAGAATAGACTAATATGGAAAATTGGTACAAGGAGTGGGATATTGCTATAAAGATATCTGAAAATGTGGAAGTAATTTTGGAACTGAGAAATGGGCAGAGTTTGGAAGAGTGTGGAGGGTTCAGAAAACGATAGGAAGACGAGGGAAGGTTTGGAACTTCCTAGAGAGTTGTTGAAAGTTTGTGACCAAAATGCTGATAGTTTTACAAACAGTGAAGGCCAGGCTGAGGAGGTCTCAGATGGATATGAGGAACTTACTGGGAACTGGAGTTAAGGTCACTTTTGCTATGCTTTAGCAAAGAGCCTGGCTGCATTGTGCCCCTGATCTAGGGATCTGTGGAACTTTGAGCTTGAGAGTGTTGATTTAGGGTGTCTGGCGGAAGACATTTCTAAGCAGCAAAGCATTCAAGATGTGGCTTGGCTGCTTTGAACAGCCTATGCTTGTGTGCATGAGCAAAGCAATGACCTGAAACTTGAACGTATATTTAAAAGGGAAGTAGAGTATAAAAGTTTGGAAGATTTGTAGCCTGGCCATGTGGGGGGGTGGGGGGAAAGCCCATTTTCAGAGGAGGAATTCAAGCAGTCTGCAAAAATTTGCATAACTAAAAGAAAGGTAAGTGCTGATAGCCAAGACAATGGAGAGAAGGCCTTGAAGGCATTTCAGAGACCTTCACAACAGTCCTTACCATCACAGGCCCTGAGGCCTAGGAAGACAGAATGGTTTGTTGGCCAGGCTCAGGGCTCCAACTCCCTGTGCAGCCTCAGGACGCTGCTTCCTGCATCCCAGCTGCTCCAGCCCCAGCCATGGCTAGGAGGTGCCCAGGTACAGCTTGGCCACTGCTTTAGAGGGTGCAAGCTGTAAGCCTTGGCAGCCTCTCTGTGGTGATAAGCCTATAGGTACACAGAAGGCAAGAGTTGAGGGTTGGGAGTCTCTGCCTAGTTTTTGGAGGATGCATGGAAAAGCCTGAATGTCCAGACAGAAGCCTGCTGCAGGGGCAGAACCCTCATGGAGAACCTCTGCTAGGGCAGAGTGATGGGGAAATGTGGGGTTGGAGCCCTCACACAGAGTCCCCAATGGGGGACTGTCCAATGGAAGTGTGAGAAGAGGGCCACCATCCTCCAGACCCCAGAATGGTAGGTCCACAAGCAGCTTGCACATTGCACTTGGAAAACCACAGGCACCCAACACCAGCCCTTGAAAGCAACTGTGGGGGCTGACCCTTGCAAAGCCACAGAAGTGGAGCTGCTCAAGACCTTGAGAGCCCACCCCTTGCACCAAGTATGCCCTGGATGTGAGACATGGAGTCAAAGGGGATTCTTTTGGAGCTTTGAGATTTAATGACTGCCCTGCTGGGTTTCAGACTTGTGCAGGGCCTGTAGCCCCTTTCTTTTGGTTGATTTCTCCCTTTTGGAAAGAGTATTTATCCAATGCCTTTATTGCCATTGTATCTTGGAAGTAACTAACTTGCTTTTGATTTTACAGACTCATAGCGGGAGAGAATTGCCTTGTCTCGGATGACACTTTGGACTGTGGAGATTTGAGTTAATGCTGGAATGAGTGAAGACTTTGAGGGACTATTGGGAAGGCACAACTATATCTCGAAATGTGAGAAGGACATGAGATTTGGGAGGGGCCAGGGAAACAATGATGTGGTTTAGATCTACTTCCCCACCCAAATCTTATGTTCACTTGTAATCAGTGTTGGAGGTGGGGCCTGATGGGAGGTGATTGGATCATGGGGATCCTCCTTCATGAGAGAGGTGGTTGACACATGTTCAACCTTACCAGAAACCATAGAAATGCAAATTAAAATAATGATAAATCATCCATATTCTCATGCACAGCAGATGGAAGTATAAATTTTTGCAATGGTTTAGCCCCATCCCTTTGGTGCTGTTCTCATGATAGCGTTCTCATGGGATCTGGTTGTTTACCTCCCACTCCTCCCCTTGGTCCTGCTCCTGCCATGTAAGATGCCGGCTCCCACTTTGCCTTTCTCCATGAGTAAAAGCACCCTGAGGCCTCCCCAGAAGCAGATGCCACCATGCTTCCTGTATAGCCCGCAGAGCCATGAGCCAATTAAACCTCTTTTCTTTATAAATTATCCAGTCTCAGGTAGTTCTTTGTTACAGTGCAAGAATGGACTAATACAGAGGGCTACTTTTAAATTATATTAAGGATACAATCA
This sequence comes from Homo sapiens, assembly GCF_000001405.40. NCBI lineage: Eukaryota > Metazoa > Chordata > Mammalia > Primates > Hominidae > Homo > Homo sapiens. The sequence goes on from NC_000001.11 coordinate 30,153,479, forward strand.
CAGTGAAGATAGAATGTCCTTTAATCAACTTGAACCAATGATATAAAGTTAAGATACAGTATATGAAATAATAGCTGAAGGAAATACAAAGAAAAATCCAACAGAAACATAGTATCAGTGGGAAACTGCCAGTCTTCCTCTGCTGGTAACATATCAAGAAGAAAGAACTAAGATTATTTGAGGCCATAAGTAGGATAATTAATGAGATTGATAGATTATTCTTTACACTGCAAACAAGAAATATATCTTTTAAAAATGTATGTCTATTAAATGGATCAAATATTATATCCCAAAGAAAATGCCAATAAACTTCAATATGTGGAAACAGCACTCTCCACATTCTCTGACTGAGGTTATTGTGCAGATTCGTAGGGTGTACAGAGTGTCAATGAAAAGAGTCAAAGTCTGTAAAATATTTGAAGAGATTTATTCTGAGCCAAATATGAGTGGCCACGGTCCATGACACAGCCCTCAGGAAGTCCTGAGAGCATCCGCCCAAAGCAGTCAGGGTGCAGCTTGGTTTTATACATTTTAGAGAGTCATGAGACATCAATCAAATACATTTGTGAAATACATTAGTTTGGTCCAGAAGGGTGGGACAATTCAAAGCAGGGGGACTTCCAGGCTATAGGTAAATTTAAACATTTCCTGGTTGACAATTGGTTGAGTTTATCTGAAGACCTGAAGATCAATAGAAAGGAAATGTTCAGGTTAAGATAAAAGATTGTAGAGACCAAGGTTCTTTTGAAGTCTCATAGTGGCTGCCCATAGAGACAATAGATGACAAATGCTTCCTATTCAGACCTTTAAAAGGTGCTAGACTCTTAGTTAATCTCTTCAGGATTGGGAGGGCCTGGAAGAAAAAGCTCTACCTATGTTAATAGAGATTCTTTACAGATGTAAATTTTCCCCACGAAGGACAGCTTTGCAGGGTCATTTCAAAATGTGGAAAAGAAACATGTTTTGGGGTAAAATATTTTGATTTTCTTCTTTGTCACATCATGTTACACCAGAGTCAGATTGGAAAGTAAGTCACAATATACAGGGTTAAATAAAACCCATCTGAGGAGAACTTATGGTTTGTATGGCATGACTCCCTAGACCCCTTAGATAGGAATTTGGACAAGATAAGAAAAAAAATCAGAGCTTAGTCCTTAGAGAGAGGATAAATAAGGTAGACACTTATTCATACAATTGTCTTAAATTTGTATGGAAGAGTGACTATGTGAGAATAGATAGGAAAAGTCCTACAGAAGAAATTAAATCAAAGCAGATATTGATAGACTTGAGAAATGAGTCACAGTAATTGAAAAGCTTATCAACGCAAGAGATGCAGGGCACGATTTTCAAAACAACAGAGCAGACAAATAATGAAGAATCAAAAAACACACTCAAATATGTGCGTATGTTAAGTACATAGACAGACATGCAAATTAAATGTGTATGTTTCAACTCAAGGGAAAGATTAGTCATTGAATGTGAATTGTGACAACTGGCCTGGCTCTGTGAAACACAAAAAATAGAATTGAAGCTTCTGATAGAAGATTATTTCTTTTTTAAATTTCAAATAAATACCCATTTTAATAACACATATGGGCATAATTCCTTATTTTATATATATATTGTTTTTATTATACTTTAAGTTCTGGGCTACATGTGCAGAACATGCAGGTTTGTTACATAGGTATACATGTGCCATGGTGGTTTGCTGCACCCATCAACCCGTCATCTACATTAGGTATTTCTTCTAATGCTATCCCTCCCCTAGCCCCCCATCACCCAATAGGCCCGTGTGTGTGATGTTCCCCTCCCTGTGTCCATGTGTTTTCATTGTTCAATTCCCACTTATGAGTGAGAACATGCAGTGTTTGGTTTTCTCTTCCTGTGTTAGTTTGCTGAGAATGATGGTTTCCCGCTTCATTAATGTCCCTGCAAAGGACATGAACTCATCCTTTTTTATGGCTGCATAGTATTCCATGGTGTATATGTGCCACATTTTCTTTACCCAGTCTACCATGGATGGGCACTTGGGTTGGTTCCAAGTCTTTGCTATTGTGAATAGTGCCGCAATAAAAATACATGTGCATGTGTCTGTATAGTAGAATGATTTATAATCCTTTGGGTATATACCCAGTAATGGGATGGCTGGGTCAAATGGTATTTCTGGTTCTAGATCCTTGAGGAATCACCACACTGTCTTCCACAATGGTTGAACTAATGTACACCCCCACCAATAGTGTAATAGTGTTCCTATTTCTCCACATCCTCTCCAGCATCTGTTGTTTCCTGACTTTTTAATGATCGCCATTCTAACTGGCATGAGATGGTGTCTCATTGTGGTTTTGATTTGCATTTCTCTAATGACCAGTGATGATGAGCTTTTTTTCATATGTTTTTTGGCCACATAAATGTCATCTTTTGAGAAGTGTCTGTTCACACCCTTCGCTCACTTTTTGTTGGGGTTGTTTTTTTCTTGTAAATTTGGTGAAGTTCCTTGTAGATCCTGGATATTAGCCCTTTGTCAGATGGATAGATTGCAAAAATTTTCTCCCATTTTGTGGGTTGCCTGTTTGCTCTGATGATAGTTTCTTTTGCTGTGCAGAAGCTCTTTAATTTAATTAGATCCCATTTGTCAATTTTGGGTTTTGTTGCCATTACTTTTGGTGCTTTAGTCATTAAGTTTTGCCCATGCCTACGTCCTGAATGGTATTGCCTAGGTTTTCTTCTAGGGTTTTTATGGTTTTAGATCTTACATTTAAGTCTTTAATCCATCTTGAGTTAATTTTTTTATAAGGTAAGGAATGGGTCCAGTTTCAGTTTTCTGCATATGGCTAGCCAGTTTTCCCAACACCATTTATTAAATAGGGAATCCTTTCCCCATTGCTTGTTTTTGTCAGGTTTGTCAAACACTAGATGGTTATAGATGTGTGGAGTTATTTCTGAGGCCTCTGTCCTGTTCCATTGGTCTATATATCTGTTTTGGTACCAGCACCATGCTGTTTTGGTTACTGTAGCCTTGTAGTGTAGTTTGAAGTCAGGTAGCATGATGCCTACAGCTTCATTGTTTTTGCTTAGGATTGTCTTGGCTATACCAGCTCTTTTTTGGTTCCTTATGAAATTTAAAGTAGTTTTTTCTACTTATGTGAAGAAGGTCAATGGTAGCTTGATAGGGATAGCATTGCATCTATAAATTACTTTGGGCAGTATGGCCATTTTCATGATATTGATTCCATCCATGAGCATGGAATGTTTTTCCATTTGTTTGTGTCCTCTCTTATTTCCTTGAGCAGTGGTTTTTAGTTCTCCTTGAAGAGGTACTTCACATCCCTTGTAAGTTGTATTCCTAGATATTTTATTCTCTTTGCAGCAATTATGAATGGGAGCTCACTCATGATTTGGCTCTCTGTCTATTATTGCTGTATAAAAATGCTTGTGATTTTTGCACATTGATTTTGTATCCTGAGACTACTGAAGTTGCTTATCAGCTTAAGGAGATTTCGGGGTGAGGCAAGGGGGTTTTCTAAATATACAATCATGTCATCTGCAAACAGAGACAATTAGGAAGTTCTGGCCATGGCAATCAGGCAAGAGAAGATTATTTTTACAATTGTGGGGTGGAAAACACCTTCCTCAGCATATCAAGAAGCCTGGAGACTATAAAGGGTAAGAGAGATTAAATTAACACAAAATCAGAAATTTCTGTATGTCAATGAAACCATTGACCAAAACAAACAAACAAACAAACAAAAAAACCCACTTTACTCTTGATAGAATGCAGGAACTCAGTGGGGGATCCAGGGGCTTCTGGGGCCCTGGTAATGCTTTGTTTTTCTGATACATTGCTGTTTACTATATATACACTTTTCCATTAAACATTAAAGATATGCCATAAGCAAGGTTTATACGGCAGATATTTTCCACACTCATGGCAAGGGATTAATTAACATTAATGCACACAATGTTACAAACAATGTTAATAAACAGGAATTCTTATAAGACAACAAGATGAACATGCAAAGCACTCATGGAGGCAATCCAGAAAAAGAAATTCAAAGAGCCAATAAACAGATGAAAAGATGTTTAGGTTCTCTACTAATCAAGGAAATGCATATGCAGAGAGAGGCTTGTTTTCCGCTTGCCAGACAGGTAAAGACTAAGAAAACCGACAAACCCACTTAGCTTATTGGAAAATGGACACCCTCAGGCACAGATGAAAATGGTGCTAATTAATTTGACCTTTTCAGGAAGGCAGTTGGCAATACATGTGAAAATGTAAAGGGAGCATGCTTTTTATCCTGATAATCTCATTCCCAAGGATTTTATTGATGGAGGTGGTCACACAAGTTAACCAAAAAGAAGTATGCAGTGTGGTTTATTGGAGCATGATTTACTTTATAAGACCAAATGGCACCAAATAGGGAATTGATTTGCTAAGTTAGTGCAAATCTATAAAATGGAATATAATGTGATGATGTCAAACGATGTAATTCTGCAACTATTAAAATGGAAACACATCTACAGCATCCTGTTGAGGGAAAATAAAAAGTGAGCATGAACCCAGAAGCCCATTTGTTGACATCAAGAAAGAGAAAAAAATGATATGAACCAAAATGTGAGCAATGCTATTTGGGTGGTATGATTTGGAGAAATTTTTGCACGTTTGTACTTTAATGTATGAAATGTTTATGATAAAACATTTATTGTTTAAAAACAAACAAACATAACCTTTAAAAATGAAACCCAGTTTAAATAGTTTTAGCTGAAAAAAAACTAGAACAACAATTATGCTAATAAGCCACACTAAATTTTGAACATAAAAAAATCTTTACAATTAATTTTCTCTTTTTGTTGGTTTTCTAAGTTAACCAGAATGGCTTCAAAATCTAACTTAATTATCCTTGCTTTGAGATTTAGTAGGAGTTTTGGTTTTATTATATACGTATTTTGAAAGCACTTTATTAAGTGTTGGAGGAGGGGGAGTAGGTTGTCTGCCAATTACTTACAGATCAGATTCTGTTACATTTAACCTATTTCTGCCTGGGGACCATATCCCAAGCTCATTCATTTACTGATACACAACTATACAGAAATGCAACTCCAAATTTATGCCAAATCCAGGATGAGCTAACAATTATTGGATATTTAAAGTGTTCTAAAAGTATCACCTTCTTTATTTCATTAATCCTCACATCTACTTTATGCTGTGGGTACAATTATTTATGAGGAAACTGAGGATTGAGCCATTTAAGAGACTTGACTAGGATCATGCAGATTGTAAATAGCTAAGCTACAACATGAGCTATACCTCACTCCAGAGCTCTGATAAACAATAAAAGGTACCAAGAAATAAATCTAGTAAACGATGTGCAAGACCTTTAAAGGGAAAATTATGAAATTTTACTGAAGGACATAAAAGGAAAACTGAATGGGGGAGAGATATACCCTGCTAATCGGTAGGAAGGACTAATATTCTAAAGATGTCAATTATCCCCATGCTAATCCATAAACACAATACAATAATAATTTTTTAAAATCCCAACAGAACTTCAAGTGAACATGATAGGCTGATTCAAAAGTTTCCAGGGAAAATAATTTTGAAGGGCAAGGACAACTTACCTTTCCCAACACCAAGATTTATGATTAAGTTCTAGCATTTTCGATTGTGGTTGTTAGCGTTGTACAAGGTAAATAGGCCACTGGAGAAACCAGACACAGACTCAGATGGACACAGAAACTCCACATATGTGGGGGAGGTGCTGCAAAGAGGAGGGGAGAGGTGGATGACTCAACAAATAGCGCTAGGAAATTGGCTAGATGTTGAGGGGGGGTAAAATTCACATCTTACATAGAAAATAACTGTATAAAGTGAAACTCTACTGCAGAAAACCAAGAAAAAATAAAACTTTAAAACAATTAGAAAAATTAAGAAAAAAATCTTTATGACCATGAAGTGGAAAGTAATTTTTTACATAAAACACACAAAAGCACAAACTGTTAAGGGAGAGATTGATCAAATTGACTACAGTGGAACGCTTTTCTATGATAAAAGATACCATAATGAAAGTTTTTTAAAAAGGCAAGACACGGACTAGAAAAAGATATTGGCCATGCATATAATCAATAAAGAACTATCCTTCAGAATATGTAAAGAATTCCTAAACATTATTTAAAAATGACAAACTGCCCAACAGAAAAATGTACACAGAGAAAACATGCATGGCCAATAATCAAAAGAGACATGTTCAACGTTACTAGAAACCAGAGAAATGCAAATTAAAATAATCATATATCATCTCATGTTCTCTTGCACAGCAGGTGGAAGTATAAATTGTTGCAAACACTTTGAGACCTGGCAACATCCTCCAACGTTGAAGACCCATGTACTCAACGACTCAGCAATTCCACCTGTAGGTATCAACCACAGAGGGGCTGAGACACAAACGCAGAAGGAGATACAGACGGGCTGGTACTTGCATTGTGTGCAGTAGAGAAAATGTAACATCTTCAATACATGGTTATATAAGCTGTATAATTATAAAAGGGGCTGGGCATGGGCGCTCATGCCTGTAATCCCAGCAATTTAGGAGGCCAAAGTGGGCAGATCACTTGAGGTCAAGAGTTCAAGACCAGCCTGGCTAACATAGTGAAACCCCATCTCTACTAAAAATACAAAAATTAGCCAAGTGTAGTGGTGCGTGCCTGTAGTCCCAGCTACTTGGGAGGCTGAGGCAAGAGAATCGCTTGAACCTGGCAGGCAGAGGTTGCAGTAAGCCAAGATCTTACCAATGCACTCCAGCCTGGGCGACAGAGCAAGACCCTGTCTCAAAAAAAAAAAAAATTATAAAAGGGAAAACTACAGAGTGGTTAACATTCATGAATTAAGTCCACAGGTATCAACCTGTGTGAACCTCCTGCACACAATGATGAGACAAAAAGCGATGCATCCGGATAGAATACTGATGACAGACGCAGGTTCAAGGCCAGCACTGTTGCTTTCCAGCGTGTGATCTTGTACAGGTTACCTTGACCTCTTTGTTCCTCAGTTTTCTCACCTGAAAACGGGATAACAACACCTAGGTTGTGGTAAGGAGTGAACGTATCACTGTATGTGAACAACTCAGCATGGTGCTCAAAGTTCCTTTAAGGCAATGGATGTTTTCTATGTTGATTGTGATGGTAAATTTATGAATTTATACAAGTGATAAACTGTGAGAACTTCACATACAACACACACACACACATACACACACAGAGAAACACAAATGAGTGCATATAAAAAACTGCTGTAACCTGAATAAGGTCCGTAGTCTAGTTAATACAATCATGCCAGGGTTGGTTGGACCCCTGATTTTGATATCATATCATCGTTATGTGAGAGATCAGCCTTGGTGAAAGCTGGGTATAGGTTACATGAGACCTCTCTGTGCTATTTTTCAACTTCCTGTGAATCTACAGTTATTTCAGAATTACAAGTTATTTCAAGATAAGGGAAAAGAAGTGAAGAATCTGAATTGAATAAATACATTTTATTAAATCTCCTTGGTGGGTATTTGTGTTTGCAGTAGTAATGATAATTAAAAACAACTACTCATAGGTTTCCCTATGCCAGGGGATTTATCTGTATTAACAGCTCTCAGGCAGGTGCTATAATTATTCCGTTTACAGATGATGAACGTAATGCACAGAGAGGTTAAGTAACATGCCCAAGATCGCACAGCTTCTACAATAGGGTGCTAGATTCCAGCCCAGGCTGCCTAGCCCCTGAGTCAAGGCTCTTAATGACTTGTTACATTATAGCACCTCTCTATTCTCTATCATTCTCTGTAATTTACTTTATTTTAAAAATATTCATTTGTTAAAAAAATGAAATAAATAGTGGAAAATATTGTTAAAAGCAGAAATAATAAAACTCGCCTTGTGGAGGGTTTGTAAGAATTCAGTGACACAGTCATAGATGTATCAGGTCTGAGGGGTCTCGGCGCCAGCTCCTGGCCGCTCTCCCCGTGGCTGCCCATGCACTCCGCTCTGCAAGGCCACACTGTGCCCGCCACTCTACCGTCTACACAGCCACACGCTATGGTGTACAAAACCTTCTGGAATCCATGTCATCCCATTTGTAGCTGAGAGAGTCCTGCATTCATCCTGCTTTATGGATAAGGGGACTGAGGCCTGGAGCAGACACAGGGAACAGGAGCTGAAAACCAGGTCTGCGTGAGGGCAGAGCCTCTTAGCCACTGGCCGCAGCATCTCTCAGGGATACTGTGATGTGCCACCCGGACGCTCGGTCCAGGAAGGAACTCGCTGCCCCAGTGGACAGGGTTGACTGTCACCACACAGCCTTTAACTGTCTCCACTTTAGGGGCTGCCCCAGTGGCAAACAGCACTTCTACCACTGCCACACCCTCCCAGAGTACCCCGTGCTACGATTGACTGACAGAGGTGGGGTATGCGTGCCAGTTGGTCAGGCCCCAGGCAGGCCTCTCCAGCAGCCTGTTTGCTCTGTGGCTCCCTGTGGGATCAGTGGTCTCCATCTGGCCTGCCCAGGCCTGCTTCCTTCCCTGCCTTCCACAGGTGTGGACCCCAGGAGCACATCCTAATACACATTCTTCATTCCCTGCTCTCCAGGGAAGCTGCACCAAGAGGGATCCCAGGAGACCAAGGCTGGTGCTGAAGGGTTTCCTGGAGAGACGTGATGAGCCCAGGTGAGGCATGGAGCCCCTCCTGAGCAGCCCCTCCTGAGCAGGAGTGGAGTCGCCTGGCTTGTGAGAGCTCGTGGTCAGGAAACTGGGAAGTCAAACCACAGAGGGCTAGTCAGGGCCCCAGGGCTGCCCCAGAGAGAGCTGCCGGTGGGCAGCATCCTTCCGAGGCTCAGCGCCTGTGGGCGGGTCAAGGCAGTGCTTCCCAGTTTGTCTCTTATTTTTAGCAAAGTTGCCTCTGCTACAAAATCCGTTATTTGAAGCATTTTCACTGCTCTACGCCCTCTGGTTCTGCACTGCAGAATTTTGTAAACAGGGTTGACTCTAGTTTTCTATGTTTTTAACTTCTTTCTCCTTCTCACCTCATCTGACTTTATTTTGATCTTAGGACACATGAAGAGAACCCTGGCTCTCATTATCTCCCTGTTTGAAATCAATCTATTGCAGCCTTCTCAGTCTCCCGTGTACCATGCCACATCACCTGTGTGGCTGCCCCCTACCCCTCTGGGGTCATTTGTACCCTGTGTGTGGGAGGCATTTACTAACTGTTTATTTGGAGGAATAAGTGAATGAATGAATGAATGAATGAATGTTGGTTATCTCCAACCCTTAGCACAGTGCCTATGGTGACTTATGATAATTACATTATTATTAAATGAGCAAATAGATGTGGGAAGATTAGCAGAACCCAGTCACTCACCATTCACCATGAATCAGGCCTGAAGTTTAACTTTCCTGCATCTGTGAACAGCGTTTCACTGAACCATGTGAAAGTGTCAGCAAGATTGTGAAGAGCGTCTGTCGTATTCATATTCATAAATTCAGAAACTCATTGGCCTGGAGGAGACTTCAGTGATGATAGAAACCGGGTGAGGGCCTACGTGGTATGAGAGGAAGGTGAAGGTCAAGAAGCAGCAAATACATGATCAAGTGTTTCTACGTGTTGACCCAACGGCCCTAGGAGATGGATGCTGTCACCATCCCCGTTTTCCAAAGGAGGAAATTGAGCTCTGTAATTGGGATTGCTCCCAGTTTTCTCCCTTCCTCATGTTTGTCACTCTTTCCTCTGATGGTGAGAACCGTATCTCCTGTTATCCTTAATATGTTTCCTCGTGTGATCAGAGAGATGAAATCTTTTGCCTGCAGTCACTCAGACACGTGGTGGAGCAGGTGGGTACTTCACCTGGAGGGTTTGGTTTGATAAGTCCCCCTCCAAGAAATGCTCCTATGGGCACGGGCATGGTTCCCAGGACATCACTTCATTAAACTGAATAGCACGTGTTCCATGGACTGTTCTTGTGCTGGTTAATTATTGGTATCAACTTGATTGGGCTAAGGGATGCCCACATAGCTGGTAAAATATTATGTCTGGGTGAGCCTGTGAGGGTGTTTCTGGACAAGATTAGCATTTGAATCCGTAGACCGAAAAAAGAAGATCTGCCCTCATCAACGTAGACAAGGTGTCATCTAATCAGTCCATCAAAGACCTGAATAGCACAGCCCATCAGAGGAAGGGCAAATTCATTCTATCTGCTGGAACCAGGACATCCGTCTTCTCCTGCTCTCGGATTTTGGTGCTCCTGGTTCTTGGGCCTTTGGACTTCTGGACTTATGCCATCAGCCCCCCTGTTTCTCAGGCCTTTCAACTCAGACTGAATTACACTACAGGCTCTCCTGGTTCTCCAGCTTGCAGATGACTGACTGTGAGACTTCTCAGTCTGCAGAACTACGTGAGCCATTCTCTAAGTAAATAAAATGCTTTCTGCTCAGTCAGAGGGTCTCAAGACCCCAAGCAGCTCATCTCTGTCTGGGTCGGGCTGAAGACTCTTCTCTAGCTGAGTCTGTAGCCTGTGCCTCATGGTGTCGTGGGGTCCCTCAGCAGACAGGGACCTGGCCGAGCAGTCCTACAGCACAAGTACAAAGCCCTTGTTTAACTCCAGAGGCTGTGGCTCAGTACCAGAACTCACCCCTTTCTGCCTGATGAAGTTTGAAACACCACTGAGAATAAAGGGGAGGGTGGAGGTGCATTTGTTCGCCTGAAGAGGCATGTTTTGCAGGCAGTCCAAGGGGACAGGAGGGCTGCAGGGGCTGGTAAGGAAAAGCAGTCAAGGCTGCCATGGGGGTGGGAAGCAGGTGTGAGGAGAACATGAGGGCCAAGCCCCCTGTAGGGGGGCTCCTGGAGCACATTATAGTACAGGAGGGCTGGTGTCAGACTTGCCTTCTCACCTCATCTGATTTTATTTTGGAGATCTGAGGACACATAGAACACAAGGTCACTGAGATTTCTCCGTCCTACAGTTTCTACAGAGGGTATCATGTGCCATCAGTTTCTAGAGAGTATCATGTGTTATTCGCTTTTACAGGTTTTTTCCCCTGAAATGTCAAGTAGATCCCTAGAAGCACTGAATGGAGAGAAAGGGGATTTGAGGGTCATTCTGTCCCATTTAACAGTCGCCTGGAATGAATGAGAGCAACCAGATCCACTTGGAATCCATCGCCTCCTCTTCCTTCTCCCTCCTGGTTTTGCCTGTCTGCTCCCAGTTCCCACATTAACCTGGTCCAAGGCGAGTGGTCAGTTGAAAGGCTTCCATCGTCTGGAAAAATAAAGAAAATAGAAGCCCTTCAAGCCTAGCTCTGCCACACTAGTGGCAGCTGCCTTGTGCCAACACCTTGGAAATCCTCTGGGCTTCCCAGGCCACAGGCTCTTTGGTGCCACCTGAAATGACACCAGGCTCTGAGTGGGTCAGCAGGGGAAGGTTAAATCGGGGACAGGAAATGTGTTGGCTTCCAAGCAGAGCAGCCATGACTCTTAACTATTCAAATGCACAGTTCATCCCTGGAAGGGCCGGTCAGGGCTGCTAGGGGACACCAGCCTCCTGGGATCTGTGGCCTGGGCTTTAGGCTTCTATACCATTTAGAGATCAAAGATGATCAAAACCCAACAATTTCATATTGTTCAGTCTAATGCTCAATCGTTCAATCAATCCAATTGCCTTATATCAACACCACAAGAACCCTGTGAGGCAGACATTAAGGTCCTTATTTTATGAAAAACAAAGGCCCAGAGAGTCTAAGCCACTTGCCCAAAGTCACACAGAAAGTGACAGAGTCAGAGTCTGGATGTGCACAGGTCAGAGTGAATGCCGACTGAATGCTGTGCCCATCGTCTCTCAAATTGTCTCAAATCTGCTCTGTGCTTTGTTCCAGCCACTCCCTAATGCAGCCACGTTTATTCTCCCCTGCTTTCCTTTGCTCATATCATGACTTCCTCCTGAACTCCTTTTCCCTTCCCTTCATTTATCCTACAGATATTTATTGACAAACTACTATGTGTCAGATTTGCAGTTAGGAGCTGCAAATATGATCCTCGAATCAGACACTAAAGAGTTTAGCAACCAGTGTACACGAAGGATATTTCTGTGACTCCAACTGTATTCTGTTCGGCAAAATAAAATTTAAAAAAAGAAAAATATCGTGATATAAGGAGTGCAGACAATTTTGCCCAAGGCTCTTTGCCAGTCTTAGTGGTATGTGCTGACTTCACAGCCTGCCCCCATGTTAGACTCGACTCTAAGCCCTGGCTTGGTGGAAAAGCAGAGGCTGGGAGCCTGGGGGTGTAGAGTCAGTCTGGAGAGGAGGAACAGTATGAGCATTGTAAAAGTCTCCATGGGGATGGAGCATCAAGTATGGGGTGAGAAGAGGGGAGGAGAGGGGCAGGAGATAAGGTGAGGGAGTTGGCAGGAACATGCAATGAAGGCCCTTGAATATCATGCTAAGGAGGACAAAAGTTATCCTGGAAGCCAGAGGTTTTCACTGATATGCCTCCCTTGAGGGACCTCAGGGGTCAGAGGTGGCCCTGTGAGGAGAGAGCAGAGACAGACAGCCTCAGTCTCTCTTTCGCTCTAAGAAGTTCCACTGCTATCAGCTTTAGATTTGGTGGGGGTTCCATGTCAGAATCAATTTGGAAAAAAAAAGTGTTTGACTCTTAATGATAATAGTATTCAAAGGTGCATTAAAAAATTAGAAAACTGCATCAATTATATTTTTGCTTCTGGCCATGATGAACTAACAGGAATGGAGTTTACTCTCCTACCTCAAGTAACCAGAAAAGTGGACGAAACACATTAAACAACTGTGTCGGACATTCAACAGCTGGCCACACAGGCATGTAAGCAGAGAGAGAAAGACAGCAAGTGAGCCATGCCCTTCAGCTGTCGCAGATCGCTCTCCGGAAGTGGCTTCCAGACTGCAAAGAAAGGAGGGAAAACTGCAACAGAGCCTGGTAGCTTTGATGATCTGAGGAGAAAGAGAACAGAGTTTGAGAAGGCCAAGGTGGCTAGAATTTGAAAGACAGAATATTGAAGAGGGTGCTGCACAGAAAGGGACCTCCAAAGACTTGAGAGGGGTCCCCTCAAGAATCCGTCTAAGTAATGATTTACACATATGTGAAAAAAGTATCTGAGGCCAGGGGAAACAAAAACACCAGAATAGGGGATACAGAGGTATTCTCAAAGCTCACACAAGGTTGGGGCCTAGGGGGTGGCTTTTGTTCCCACCGGGAACAGTGGAAAGACTTCATGGCAAACAGGGTATCAGGTAGACTCCTCAGAAGGCTACTGGATTAGAAGTGGGCATTAATTAACCCTAAATAAACTCTGCTCTATGTCTTCTCTAATAAACTTAAAAGAAAGCTTCAAAATTATCCAACTGACTCAAAACAACTGCTTCCCAGCACAAAATCCAGCACTATTTAAAGAAATAGAACAAAATTAATAACCAGCAACATAAAATCACAACGTCCAGCATCTAATAAAAAATCACTAGGTGGAAAGAAGCAAGAAAGTAGGATCTATGATCAGAAGGAAAAACATATTAATATAAAGGAAACTGAAAATGGTGGCTATGTTGGAACTACTAAGAATAATAAAATAGCTATTATAAATACACTGATGTTTAAGAAGACAAAAGAAAATTAACAGGCTGAGTTTTAATAACCCAAATGGAATATCCATAGCAGAAAAATACAATTTCTGAATTGAAAAAAATTACACGTGATGGGATTAACATGCAGATTCTGTTCTGCAACAGAAAAGGTCAGTGAAATTGAATACATAGCAAAAGAAACTATCCAAAATAGAGCAAAGGAGGGAAACACCTGAAGAATGAAGAAAACATCAGTAACCCATGGAACAATATCCAATGTCCTAACATACTTAACAACTGAAGCTCCAGAGGAGAGGATATGGGAGAAGAATGGGGGCAGAAAAACTATTTTATGAAATAATGGCCACAGTTTTTCTAAATTTGAAAAGAATTATAAGCCTGAACATCCAAAATCTTAACAAAACCAAAGCAAAAGAAATATAAAGTAAATCACACTAAAGCACATCACAGTCAAATTCAGAAAGCCAGCAATAAAGAGAAAAATCTCAAAAGGAGCCAGAAAAAGAAAGAGAGATATAATGGACAAGGAAACAAAGATAAGAAGATGGAAGATGTCATGTTAGAAACCATACAAGGCATAAAACAATGGAGCAACATCTTTAAAGCAGCAAAAGAAGAGATTTAAGATAGGAGCATAGAATTCTATACCCAGTGGAAATGTCACTTAAACATGCAAGAAATGAAGACAACTTCAGAAATAGATGAAAGAATTCAGCATCAGCAGAACAGCCTCTCAAAAAAACGTCAATGAAAGTCTTTTCGGTACAAGGAAAATTATAAAAATAGAAATTAGGATCTACATAAAGAAATGATAGAAGCTAGAACAATAAAGATGATTTTTTGTGTCTCTCATATTTTACCCTTTAAGATAATTGACTGCTTAAATAAAGTACTAACAACAACGATGTATTGTGGGGTTTGTAATATATCTAAAAATAAAATGTAAGAAATCATAGCACAAAGGATGGAGGAAGTGAAAATTTACTGTTATAAAGCTCTCATACTAGTATTACATTATTTGCAGGTATACTGACAGATTAAAGATGTATATTCTAAATGCTTGAGCAACTGGTAAGAATACAAATAAGTAAAAAAAAGAGATATTACCAATAAACCAATAGTGGAGATTAAAATGAACTTATTAAAAATTTGATTAATTCAGGAGAAGGCAGGACAAGTGGGATAAAGGTGCAATGAACAAAAAGAACAAACAGAAACAAATAGCAATACAATATATTTAAATTTAACCTTATCTACTATCATCTTACATGAAATGATCCAAAAATTCAACTGAAAAGTCTAAGATTGTCAAAAAACCATTAATAAATGCATTAAAATCATAATATATATTATATCTATCTATCATAAAATCTATCTAGAGATAAATTTCACAAAATATGTGAAAACTAAAAAACAAATTGCTGACAAAAATTAAAGAGGATTGAGATATGTCAGAACTGAAGACTCAATGTTGTGAACATGTAAATTCTCTGAAAAGTGATCTATGGGTATAACATGATCACAGACAAAATCTCACCTGACTTTTTGTTGAAATGGACAAGCTGATTGCAAAATATATGTGGAAACACAATGGATCTGGAATATCCAAAACTGTTTGAAAAAGTAGAAGAGTTGATTTGTATTAGCTGCTTTCAAGTAAATTATAAAGCCATCATAATCAAAAGAGTGTGGAATTGGTATAAGGACAGACATATAGAACAATGGAACAGAATAGAGAATAGGAAAAAAGGTCCACAAATATAAGTTGATTTTCTACAAAAATGGAAAGTTAATTCCATGGGGAAAGGATTGTCTGTCTTCTCAGCAAACTACTGAGAAGTGGGGAAAACACACAACCATTCTCAACCTCGATCTCACACCTCTTAGAAATTTAACTTGAAATAAATAGTAAATTTAAAGTTAAGTGCTAAAACTAAAACTTTTAGAAGAAAACATGGAGAAAAATTTTGTGACTTCGATTTAGGCAAAAAAGCACGGAAAGTATGAATTGTTAAAAGAAAAAAATGATACACTAGACTTCATCAAAATAAAAAAAAAATGTAGATGGTCCTCTGCTGCTTCAGCGCCTGGCTGTGCTCACTCCTGTTCACACCAGTGGGCTGGGGAAGGCTGGTCCTACCTGAAGGCTCTGCATGAAGACCTTCCGGGTATCACCTGGGTCTTCTTGGAAGATGTGGTTTGAGACACAGAGATCTCCATGGAGCACACCCAGTGCAAGACGGTCTCTGGCACAACAGACGCACAGCATTGCATGCTGAGATGCTGGTGCACACATTTGCTACTAGCATCCCAGGAAAGGTCCTTATCTAGGGCACCGTTTGTTCCACTGAGAAGAGCTTTGCATCTCAGTGGGAGAGGGTGTGCCCAACACTGTAGGCCCCTAGCTGTGAGTTCTGTGCTTACACTTGCAGAAAGACAGTTTTTCTTCTAAATTGTGACCATAGGCCTTGAGGACTTTTGCATATCTAGGAGGTTTATTCTACTGGATGGGTCACCTTCAGTTCAGAACCACAAATGGTGTAACTTGACGTAGAGTGGCATTCTCTGTGCTCTTTATACTTGTTCTTTGGCATAAGCTGGAGTGGATTTCCTCCTCTAGGGTTTATCACAGAAGGACCAGCCCCACCTATGGTCTGCTCCTGTCCTTGGCCGGTCTGCTGGCCGGAAGGGGCATAGACAGTGCCAGTGCTCAGGCCATTCCCAGGTCATACTGACCAAGCCATTCTTGGACCCGCCAATTAATTTAGGATTTTTACACTTCTAATAAAGTCCATAGGTGTGGAAAGGAGGTTTCAAGTAAAAGTTAAACCACCAAAGGGAAAACAGCCTTTCCAATGTGTTGTTACAGAAGCTGGGAGGTTGAGACATGGGCACCTTGGATGGGGTTGGCCTAAGTCACCTGAGGCCACCCACGATGGAGAGGAGACAATCTCCCAGGCCACGCTGCTGCCCCTGAGATGGGAGCTGCTGCCACATTCCAGGGCTAGTGAAGCCTATGAAAAGCCAAACTGATCCTGAAGAGTGAAAGTCAAACCCAAAGGCTCTACTTAGAGCTCTCTGCACATTTACAATTCTTAAAATGTATTGATATAAGCAGGCCAATTTTTTAAGGTAATAAAGGTTCTATTTGGTATGTAGAAAAGGTTTTTAAATTAAAAACGTGTGCTATTCAAAAGAAACATTTAAAGAAAGTGAAAAGGCAAGTGGCAGTTTATTTGCAAAGCATAGACCTAATAAATTACTTGCATCTGGATATGTAAAGAGCATTAGTAAGTGAACAACAAAATAAGTGGTAGAAGATTTGAATTAATAATTCACCAAGGAAAATATATAATGACAAATAAGTATTCAGAAGATATCTAACATCATTAATCATCAGGGAAATGTAAATGATAGCCACAGTGAGATAGTGCCATATACCCACTAGAATGGCTAAAATTAATACCTGACAATAACAAATGTTGACTGTAATTCTTATACATTGTGGTATAAATGCAAAATGGAACAGAATCTTTAGAAATCATTTGGCAATTTCTTAAAGTCAAACATGCATCTATCCATTCCACTGCAAGGTATTTACTAAAAGAAAAGAATACACATGTCCACATAAAGACTTGTATGTGAGCAATTGTAGCCCCTTCATTCATCATAGCCAAAAACTGGCAAAAGTGCCCATCAACTGGTGAATAAACAAAACAAGGTAAATCCATACAATGGAATACTACTCAGTAATAAGATGTATAAACAACTGATATGCACAACATCATGGGTGAATCTCAAAGACATTGTCTTGAATTTTTTTTTAAAAAAAGCAGATACAAAAGACTGAATACTGTATGATTTCATTTATATGAAATTTTAGAAGAGGCAAAACCATAATGGCAGAGGGCAGAATAGGTGGCAAAGGCTATGGCTTGTGGAAGTCATTACTGAAAAGAAACAAGCAAATATTTGGGGGTTAATGGAAATGTTCACATTGTGATTGTGGAGGTGGTTAAAAACCTATATACATATGTCAAAACTCATCAAATTATACACTTAAAGTTGCTACATTTTATTACATCTACATTATGTCAATAAAACTGACTTTGAAAAACACATACCTAAAGTGGCTTCCAACGTGAGTCCAGACTCTTGGGCGTATAAAATGCAGTCTGGGGAAACCTGTTGTATTTCCCCAACATTTTATGTCCAGAGAAACAGCTCCCAGTAAGGAGCAGATGAGAGGGAGCTTCAGCTTCTCTCTTTTTGCTAGTGACTAGCTGGGGGTCATTGAAGTTAATTGTTTCTCTCTGTGTCTCAAAGGCCTACTTGAAAGATGAGGCGATTGGACCCTTGGAGGCTGTTGACCCTGCCCTGCCTGGAGAATACATGCCACCCACCCTCCCCCCTCCAGTTTCCCTCCTTCCTCTTTCCTGGTAATCTCCGCTGCCTGGGCTCTGTGTGCTAGTTCTGACCACCCCACCCAGGAATGGTCTGATGCTATTTAAGGCTGGTGCTTCCATTTCCTAGGACCCCTGCCCTCTGGGAACCCTGCACTCATTCTGTCTCCTTAGCCATGTAAGCAGTGCTGCATGCCAGGGACAGCAACACTAAATCATCCTCCTGCTAACTCTACCTCATGCAAATAGGTGTTAACTCACTGCAAGAAGCCAAGAGCCCTTGTAACAGGGAACTTGCACATAATTGGAAATAGCTTTAACACCCTATTGATGGCTTTTCCTCCTATTGCTCTGTGACAAAATGAAACAGTAAAAAATGTCGATTTTTCTCTGGAAGGGAAAGGGGAAGAAGGCTGGATCTTAAAATGAAATTATGGTTATTGTCCTCCTGGTAGCATTTCTTCTGTGCCACCATGACAGATGGCTCTTTAAGTGACAACAGATTTGTATTTCATTAGGACACTTTAGTTGAAAGATCGATGATGCTTCTTGGAACCTCTCTGCTTGTCCATGGGGGCAGATGAACAGGGCTAGACGCTTGCAAAGATCCAGCTAAAATTAGGCAGCTGCCGACAGACGCCGGATTCGCAATCATAGTGCATTGATTTCCAAAGTGATGCCAAAACCCAGTGAGTTTTATTGGCCTGCTTGTTCCGTCTTCATGGAGAAGGGCCTCTCTAATGAAGTGGTTCTTCCTCTGGGGGAATGGAGCTCTTTAAAGGCAGAATTAATTTTTGGCGGAGGTAGGGAGTCAGAGGCATCCCGGACTCTTTGTACATCCTTAACTGGTAGCTCACTTGCCAGGCCTGTGTCATCACTGTTATTGCCAGTTGCCCTTTGTGAAGCACCCACTGCTCTCCAGGTACTGGTGAGCACCCCAGTCACTGGAGACAAGCACAGGCTCCCGAAAGGCAATTCTAGATCAGAGGAAAGTGGATGGGATGGTGTGGGCCAGCAGGCTGAGCATGGACTCTTGCCAAGCAGTGGAAGCCTGGGGGTTTCGAGCAGGGATTCGGGAGCCCAGGTGCTTGAGTTTGAATGCTGGCAAATCCTTCTACCACTGGGGGATGGGGTAAGGTGTTCTATCTCTCTGTGCCTCAGCTTTGTCAGTATAAAATGACCATTCAGCATTAGTGAATACAGGTATTTAAAACAGGAGAGGTCCTCACTTAATGTTAGCTGCTGTGTGTCATCAGTTAGTTCTGTGCTCAAATTGAGACACTGCTGCTTCCTGGCTGTGCATTCTTGAGTAAGTGACTCAAACCCCCTTGCTGCAGGGAGTGGGTGACATCTTGTGTGTGAAAGGCCCCTCCTGGGGCTCACTCCAGTTATAGAGCTGGCTACAAGTCATGAAGGTCCACCCTGAGAGAAAAGCCCACCACCCTTCCAGGGCCGCAGAAGTGGGCACAGACAGGCATTTATTTGCAGGAGACATGGTTGATTATCCCAGAAAGGACGTGGGAGAAGGAAATAAAAAAGCATCATAGCCTTCCTACCCAACTTTGTAAACATCATTGATTTGAGGCAGGAGTCACTTCAGGGCTGCAGACAGATTGATTGATTGGGCCTTTTAATGTGATCTGTGCTGCAGACACAGTTGGTTCTAAAACTGCCCTCCTGGCAGGCCTGAGTTTGAAAAGCATAGCTGGTAAGGAAGAGGCACAGTGATGAAGCTGCAGCATGAAGACTTTAGGTTAGACACAAGGAAGGACATCCTTTCTGCTGCAATTTATCAGTTGCTATAGTATTTAAGGTTGCAAAAATCTAGAAATAGTTCTTGTTCTAATAATAACTAGCATTTACTGAATGCACGTGATACACTAGGCCCGGTTCTAAGCACTTTCACACATGGGTTCCTGTAAGTCTCGAAATAGCCCAGTGAGATAAAGGCTATTATTCTCATTCTCATTTTACAGATGAGAAAACTGAGGTTCAGAGGAGGAGACTGAGTAACTGGCTCAAGGTCACAGCTAATAACTGATAGAGTGAAGATTCAAACCAAGACCTAGTTCCAGAGTCTGTTCTCCAAACCATCCTGGTGCTTTCCCTCTCTTATTCATTCATTCATTCTTCAACCATTACAGATTCCTGCCTGGTGCCAGGCCTTAGGCCAGACTCTCAGTTCATAGGGAGGAGAGAGGCCCAGGCCCTGCCATGGGCTGCTGGGTAAGGATGTCACCTGGGCTGGGGCGTTGCACTCACCATTTGACACCTGCCTGGTGTTTATTCTCCTCCTTTCTCTCCCTTTGGCCTGTGCTCCTGAGCTGGCTCAGAAAGCTCCCTGCCCCACCCCCTTCCAAAGTTACAAAATAAATCCTGCTGCATACATTGGAGGCTCTTAACGAGTCCTGCAGAGGCTGGGGTACAGTGCATGTTCCTGCTACAGCCACATCTTCAAGGGGAAAGCAACATCGCCATCTCACCTACGTCTCAGGGAGGTTTTGAGGATTCTCCCAAGGCATGTGTGAACTGCCAAGGGCAGCATGAGCATCCAGTGCTCTGGAGCCTCCTGAGTACAGGCTTGGAATATTTTTCCTATTCTTTCCTGTTCTTAGGGCCACTCCCAATGGAGGCTGGATCTATGGAGAATCCTTTTGGTGCTTCTGATATCTAGCTGGTCCCTGTGGCTCTGGGAAGTGTCTCCTGGCATGGTGGGGTGTCAACTCTCCAACCTGTCACACAGGAGGAGTGGCACCTCATCAGCCAGTTCTCTAAGTCAGGAACATCCCAGCTTGGCAAGATCATGCACTTCAAATACAATAGTTGTTGCAACATTTGTCAGCCCTGCCCCACTGGCTAGGTGCTCTGGAAGACCCTAACACTTGGATCTACTGTCTGAGTCTGAAATGAGGCTGTGGTTCATCAGGCAGATCAGAATTTTCCTGTAGATGAGGAGGGAAGAAATGGGGGACAATGATTAAGACCAAGCATTCTGTATCCTAATTTTAGGTCCAAATCTTGAGACATACATCTTAACCATCTTTGTGCCTCGTATGATAGATTCAATAATGGCCTCCCAAAGAGGCTCACATCCTACTCCCTGGAACTTCTCAATATGTTATCTTACGTGGCAAAAGGAACTTTGCAGATGTGACTAAGTCAAGGTTCTTGAGATAGGAGATTATTCTGGATTATCTGAGAAGGCTCAATGTAATCACAAGATGCCTTACAAGAGGGAGGCAGGAGGGCCAGAGGAGACAATGGAAGGAGATGTAGAAAATGTCAACTTAAATAGCAAATAGACAGAGGATCTCTAAAAGAAAATAATATTTACTCAGGAATAGGGCATTGCAATTGAAATATATTTGCCATAGTAAACAGTTTATGTATTCAGGGAGGTAAAGGAAGACAAATATTTTTAAAGGGAAAAGTCTTTAGGTTTTTGGATCTGCCAGGAAGTGACAAGTTTTTACACTCACTATAAGACTAGGAACCCTTGAAGCCAGGTATTTTTTTTTTTTTTTTTTTTTTGAGACGGAGCCCCGTCGCTCTATCGCCCAGGCTGGAGCGCAGTGGCGTGATCTCGGCTCACTGCAAGCTCCGCCTCCTGGGTTCACGCCATTCTCCTGCCTCAGTCTCCCAAGCAGCTGGGACTACAGGCACCCGCCACGACGCCCAGCTAATTTTTTGTATTTTTAGTAGAGATGGAGTTTCACCATGTCAGCCAGGATGGTCTCGATCTCCTGACCTCGTGATCCGCCCGTCCTGGCTTGGCCTCCCAAAGTGCTGGGATTACAGGCGTGAGCCGCCGCGCCCAGCCTGAAGCCAGGTATTCTACACATATTCCCAAATGTGATATTCCAGTCAAAGCCTTAAAATAATAAAGCAAATGTTTCCAATTGTATATTGTTATAAAAAGAGAGTTTTTTTAGACTTATGGGAAAAACATATTGCTATAAGAATACTCATCAATAGTTTCCAAATTTTGATGAACTCAAGTAGATAGAAAAAGCAAATGCTTTCATTTTTGTTCACAAAAGTATGCTTTTTACCAAGTTGTTGTAAATTGTCGTTTCAGAGAGAAAATTTTCATAAAAGTGGAAAATAAAACATTTAAGTAAATAACGAACAATGTTTTAAATAAAAGTCATAAAAACATATTTATCGGTTGCTTAATCTCTTGTAATTAACTTTTGCTCAGCTTGATCTTGATTAGTCATTTCATGAACCCATAAGTTACTTCATTAGAGTTTTGAAAAAATCTTATTTAGTCCATTAATCTTAAAGTTATCAAAAAACTATATTTAAGAGTACTTGCTAGAGGCTTTTCCACGAAAAGCAATTTTGGATAATAGCTGATTGCAAGTACTTTTCAAGAAAAATCAAAACAATAACTATGGATGACAAAAACTTAGGATGCCCATGATTAAGTTATGATGAAAGCTCATTACAGTCAGCAATTGACAAAGAAATGTAGTTACTTTTGTGGCATACAACATAATACCCAGAATTATAACCAATGATATATTTCTAAGAGTTTTAAACAATTTTGGAACATTCATATCAAAAACACACCCATAAATGTAACTGAAAGAAGATCTAGAGTCACTTATTTGACAAGTTTCCCATACAATTTACCAAATAATCCTAAAAATTCAATACCTCTAAAAGATAAGAGAGGCATTCTTTGAGGCACTTTAGGAGGCCAGCTAGAAAATCCAAAAGTTAATTCTAGGTCAAAAAATCTTAATTTAGAATTTTGATCTTGGGGAAGCCTACCAAAGGTGTCAAAAGATACAAAACACTTGATAAAAATAGGATCACAAGTCACTGTGAAATAATAATCATTCATTAAACCAGAGTGTTAATCAAAAAGCTTTAGAATCTATTCAGGAAGTTGCATAGACTTAAAAAACCTTAACACTTTCAAACCTCAGTTATATATTGATAAAACACAAATTCCTTTTATCTTAGGGGCAAGTTATTTAAAAGAGTTTAAAAAGACCTCTTCCAGTGTGATCGTTTCTCCTTATGGAAAGCCCATTTAAATATCCTGGATGTTGAATCTGATTTTTTTTTAAGTACTTGAATTTAATCAGACACATGAAGAATGTGTGCCCAAGGTTATAAGTGTACACAGTACTATAAAGGAATGTAAACAAGAAAACTACTCACCCAAGCAGGGGAATACATGGCTCTTAGTAAAGGTAAGAGCATGTGAAGTTTCCTGGTTACATGGAAAAATTCAGACATATTAAAAAAAAACCAAGAGTACAGAATCAAGTTATATCAGAGGAAAACATTGCTTTTCTAGGTGTTTCAAGACACAAAGTTTCAGGGTCAAGTCATAACAGCAAAGTTGGAACCAGAGAAAAAAGTTACAGTAGCTGATTAAAAAGTTGGAGAAAGTTATCACCCTAAACCGTCTTAAGGGAGAAAGAGCTGATGGTAATGATTCGTGACCTACAAATCAGGGGCTATGAGATAGAGCAAAAGTTGAGCTTCTGAGATATGAATCTCAGTAGACTTAAAAGAAAAACTTTATCTCAAGAAATGAAATTACTATTTTGAAAGAAAAGACAGCATTTGTAACCTAAAACTAGAGAAATTATATGGAAACTAAAATAGAAGAAAGCCACAATTTGGAAGTTGAGTGTTAAAGGAATAGATTTCAGAATTAAAAATGTAAAACCTCTTGCAATTTTTGTTAAAAGCAGACAAATATTTCAAGAAAACCTTGTTGTTCTAATACAGGGAGTCAAATTTTTAGGTTTGTATTGGCATATTTTTAATATCAAAGCTCAATCTTTAGAAAGGCTCATAAATAATTTCCCTCTAATTATTGCCAACCTGATTATACGCTAAATTCCTCTTGTAAATTCATCCTTCATGAACCTTATTATAACTTACACAGACAATTGATTACATGCTTAAACTTTCTGCTTTGTCCTATACATCCCCTTTTTAAAATAACCAGTCATTTTACTTTAGGAAAAGAATTTACCACACAATATTCTTTCTTATACAAAATTATTCTCTTTTCTTTTTGACCCTCCTGACCAAAAATACATCTTCATATGCATAACTTTCTTTACCTCTCCCTCCTACTTACTGGTTCCTTTCTATTCTTGTTTCCATTTAATTCCTAAAATCCATATTTTGAAACAAACTAAATAACCCTTGAATTAGACAAAATTATTGTTTTTTCAAAATAAAGAACACATTTTAATGCATTTTTATAATTTTCAAATTAAAAACATCTTTTGATACATTTTGTATACAGAATTACATACATGATTCAGAAATGTAACTCATAGTAACCTTAATTTTCAGTGAAAACCTACAAAGCTAAAGGTTTTGAATTGTCTGTAACAATAACCACTTTATTCTTTAAAAAATGTTTTCCTGTAACATAATTGTAATGTACATTAATAGACCCAAATGTATTTACTTTTGTTATACAATTTGTGAAGCCAAAACAAAGACATATTTATGCTCAGCATTTTATTTCAGTTCTTTTCTTATTTGGAAATGACCCAGACACTTAATGAATATTTATTCTTTAATTTAAAATAAAGTAACTTTAAGGTTTTTAATTACACAAAAATTTCATTTATAAACATCCCATTTACATTTACATAATTTATTTATTTTTAACAGTTACACTTGGAGTATTTATTAAAACTGAGATATTAGACAAAGACAGTCATCATTTCAAGCTATTTCCCTGGTAACCATTTTTACATCCTGTGACTAACAGGTGTTACCTAAGTAGGACTCTTAAAATTAAATATATAAATATCTTGCTGATAATTTAGAAGCTACAGCTGTTTTCATTAAACTAATAATATTACATTAATGTTACTCTTCAAAGAATTGCACAAAGAAAGATTATTCTATTTTAGGCTGAGTTTGTAGTTTTATAACCTTTGGATCAAACCCTGACATCTTAAAGCCTTGGAAACACCTTAGAGACAAAGATAAAACGGTCTGACCTCTAAATCCAGGCAAAAATGTATGCTGACAATTTTTTTTTTTTTTTCTTGAGATGGAGTCTTGCTCTGTCACCCAGGCTAGAGTGCAATGGAGTGATTTCAGCTCACTGCAACCTCCACCTCCCGGGTTCAAGCGATTCTCCTGCCTCAGCCTCCCAAGTAGCTGGGATTACAGGTGCCTGGCACCACACCCAGCTAATTTTTGTATTTTTAGTAGAGACGGGGTTTCACCACCTTGGCCAGGCTGGTCTCGAACTCCTGACCTCGTGATCCAGCTGCCTTGGCCTCCCAAAGTGCTGGGATTACAGGCATGAGCCAC